>NC_000002.12:222489618-223114618 GCF_000001405.40 Homo sapiens | reverse complement strand
TGGAATTATGCAGTCTTTCATTTTTAGAAATGTATGTGTAAAAGACCTCAAAGAATCTTCAGCTCCAGTCTCCTACTTTACACTTGTTTGTAATTTTTCTGGTTTTTGAAGATCCTAAGAACTTAATCTATAATTTTCTCTTGCTTATTAGGCTAGAGACTTATTATGGACTCCAATGGTCTAATAAAATGCTCTTTCCTGAAACTTAAACCCATTTCCTGTTGAATTCTATACAGCTGGAGAGTCGTGTTGACTTTTCGTGTCTGAAATAACAATCATGAAGCCTTCACTGCTTTTTCTTTTATGAGTCAACAACTGTCTTAGTTAAATTATTTCTGTACGCAAGAAACAGAAACCAGCTTTAATAAATGTTTAATAAAACTTCACAAGGAATTTATTATAAGGGGATATTACATTCTATATAAGGACAAGGATACACCTGAACCTCAGAAAAGGACTAAAACTATGAAATGAAGCAGCTCTGGAACCAAGGTGACTCTCCTATCAGTAACAAGTAGAGAGTTCAAACAGAGCCTGAAGCCAGACTCCCCAGGTTCAAGTCCCAGGTCCACCACAGGCTCTACCTTCAGAGAAGGGCCATCATCACAACCAGTCCTTCTTCCTCATGATCAAATCATGTATTCCTTTCTGAAACTCCTGAAGTTCCATTACACCTCGCTAAATGTTGCACTCTCTCAAAAGTATAGAACAAACTCTATGGGCAGAAAGAGAGAAGCTCAGTATTCTTCACCTGTAGAAGTCAATACTTTTCCTGGAATGAGAAATAGACCGTTTGTACCTCTATCTAATATCACTACTTCTACTACATAACTGACCCACATGCTACACTCTCATTGAGCTTAGTAGAATTAAGACAATAGAGTCTTTTTAAAAATAGTTTATCTATTCATTTTGATTTTGAGGACAGTTTAGTTTGTGTCTTCAAGTAAGTGGTAGTGATTTGCCCTAACTGAGTTTTACACTCTTTTAGAGGTTCTAATTTCTTCCTTTCCTATCTTTCAGACTACTGTCTGGAATTCGATTACTATCTTTCAGACTCTCAGCACCCTATTATTTCAGGCCATCTGAAAACTCAACAACTACATTCTTGATGCCATTCTTCAGCTGCTAATCCATCTTCAAGTTTGGTCACCCACAGCATGTATGACAGATGTCATACAAAGCAGATGGCAGTTGCCATCAGCACCAACCCCTTTTATCCTTTCTGCCAAAGGCTGACAAACCTTATGGTAATCTTCAATGAGTCACAGCCTTGTATAATCCCTCCCTGTGAATGTGGGCAGAACTTGTGACTTACTTCTAGCCAATAAAATATGGCAATGGTGATGAGATGTTACCCCCATGATTATGTGACATTACTTGAAACACTGTTTCAGCACACTGGAGTAAGATTCTCTTGCTGGCTTTAATGAACTAAGCTGTCATGTTGCAAGGGAATCTATCAGAGGTCCACATAGCAAGGAATGGGAGTGGCCCCTAGGAGCTGACAGTGTCCCCAGCCACTGTCAACCAGCAGGAAAATGGGGACCTGAGTCCTACAACCCCAAGGAACTGAACTCGGTCAACAATCTCAAAAGCTCAGAGGAAAACTCTGGCTCCAGGAAGGAATGCAACCCAGGCAGCAACTTCATTTCAGCCTCATGAGTTCCTGAGCACAGAATCCAAGTAAGCCATGTCTGGACTCCTAACTCATGGTAAATGCAAATTATAAATGAATGGTGTCTTAGGCCACTGAATTTGTGGTAATTTGTTATGCAGCAAGATAAAACTAGTGAAGCATTCATCTCCTCCCCATCCATTCCCTAACCTTCCATGACCCCTCCTTATGCTGAACATGCAATAAATCAACGCCCGCCTTAGCTGATCATTAAAACATAAGGAAGGGAGGTGATATTGACTGAGCACCCATGATCTGCCAGACAAAATACAAAATCTCTTTTAATTCTATGAGGTAGGTATTGCTGACTTCGCTAATGTTTCATTTTCTTATCTGAAAACTGGGTGTCATGGACTGAATTGTATCCCCCTCCTAAAAAATTTATAGGTTGAAGCCCTAACCCCCAATGTGACTGTATTTGTGGAAAGGGCCTATAAGGAGATAATAAAGGTTGAAGGGGTCATAAAGGTTGTGCCCTAATCCAACAGGACTGATAGCCTTACAAGAAGAAGAGACACCAGAGAGCTCTCTCTTTGTGTGCACAGGGAAAAGACCATGGGAGAACACAGAGAGAAGGCATCATCTGAAGCCGAGGAGAGAGGCCTTGCCAGAAACGGACCCTGCTGGCACCTTGGTCTTGGACTTTCAGCCTCCAAAATGGTGAGAAAATAAATTTCAGTTGTGTAAACCACCCAGTCTGCAGCATTTTGTTATGGCAGCCTGAACAGACTAATACACTGGGGATAAGCATTTTGACTACAGTTGCCCATTAAGACAGACATGGAGGCAAATCATGTCACCACCCTTCCCGCTTCCTGATTATCCATCTTTGTGTCAGTAGATATTAACTATGAGGGTCTATAGCATTGACTCTTTTTTCTCTACTTCCTTCTCCTCTTCATGCTCATACAATATCTTGATTATCAAGCATTGTCTTTAAGGTAGGGATAGGAAAGAGTGTTCCAATTTAATTCCAGGTAGCTCCAGCCCAACTCTGATCCTGACAGGTCGACCAAGTAATGCTCTGATAGGAAATGCCTTCCCTGGATTTCTCAGGCAGGCCCTCAATCTTCCCACTCTTTTAGTTGCTGTGTGATATTCTGAAATTGTTCTTTTATAATCCTAATTTTTCTCTGTGCCTCATTTTCCTCATCTGCATATTGAGGAAAATTATGGCCCCTATCTCATAATGTTGTAGTGATAATAAGTTAGTCTAAACAAAGAATTTAGCTCTCTCACTGGTACACAGAATGCACTTTGTAGGTGTTAGCTGCTTTTCTCATTTTCAATGGAACAGAACACTTTATTTCTAAGCAGCTCCAGTGAAATACTTCATTGCCCCAAACAAAGAGCTACAGCAATATCCCTTCCTATTTGGTAATCATCCTAAACTGTCTGTGGGGTTTCACATCTTCTTGTCACAAAACCATCCACCAAAACACTACTATGCATTCACACTGGTAATCTAGCGGGTCACAACTTTGGTATCCTATAAACCCAGCTAGACTCTCCCCAATTCCCTAAGCCCCTCCCTAGCCCCTTCCAGGGAGGCAGTTTCCCTGTAACTCTTGCATTTCTGAGTGTCCTGGGAGCATAGCATTAACTGTGTTTTCACCCTGGACTATCTTTTGAAGGATGTCTGTATAGTAAGCAGCATTGCAAGATAGAGATAGTGACAGCCTCCAGAGTAAAGGGAAGATTTGCCTACTGCCCAGCATAGAAAAGATGATGTCTCTCTCCAGAGAAAAGGGAAGGTTTGCTAGCAGCCCTAAGATTCAGGTTCCCTAAGCCAAGGGTTCCTCAGGTGTGAGGTCAGCCCACTGAATGCACAGCATTCACCTGGGTCCCTCCACATCAACCCCATAAGACATGGAGGGGCAGGTGACCAATATAAACATAATGTTTATGCTGCTTGCTCTGCCATGAGTGAATAATAACATCTTTTGTCTCTGACATAGGAGTCTCATGTCTTCTGCCATCATCCCCAGGGCTGGCAGACAAACTTGTTAACTTGTAAATGGAGTAAAATCTCAGATCCTTCACATTCCTTAACACCCTGTCAAGAACAAACCAGCAAAACAGACACATATATAATCCTTCCAGCTCCACCCTGGCACCCTATATCCCCTGAAGGCTATTAGGAACAACATTGGGATGCAATAGTCCAGGGTGTAAAATGTGATAACTCACTCAGAAAAAACAAAGAAGCCTGGCCAGTATGGCGAAACCCCGTCTTGACTAAAAAAAAAAAAAAACAAAAAAAAAACTAGCTGGGTGTGGTGGCGCATGCCTGTATTCGGCAGGCTGAGGTGGGAGAATCACTGAACTCGGGAGGCAGACATTGCAGTGAGCTGAGATTGCGCCACTGTACTCCAGCCTAGGTGACAGAGTGAGACTCTATCTCAAAAAAAAAAAAAAAAAAAGAAAAAAAAGAAAAAAAAAAAAAAGAACAAGCAAAGAGCTGTTGAGAATTAGGCAGCTTTTTGCTTGTAGGCCCCTTGAAACTACCTCCACTGGTTTTTGAGTGAAGGACATAGGGTTGCAATTTTGTGTAATGTCTTCCACTATTAATACATGGGTACTTCTGTGTTCTTTCAGATTCTTCAGGAGCTTTTCCTTGGTTTTTAAGAAACTTCCCAATTAAGGAGTACCTAAACCAATGTATACCAACAACTAAATTATCCTGGTAAGCAACTCATCATTGCTGATATCAAACACACTCAGCTTTTTAAAGTTTTCTTAACTACTAGCCACTTCTAGCCATTCTAGCATGACTGTATTTTCATTTAATGAATCAAGATGCCTTTAGCTCAGGTAACAAAAACCATGGTTCAAACCGTCTTAAACAAAAGACAAATTTATTCTCTCTCTCTTCTTATCTCTCTCTCTCTCTCACACACACACACACACACACACACAAACACACATACAGTCCCGAATTCAGCTAAGATGGGCTTCAGATGTGCTGTATCAGGACTCTTGCTCTATTTCTCTGCAATTCTTGTGGCTCAGCCCTTGTTCCACTATAAAAAATGGCTACAGAAACTTAAAGCATCATATACAGTTAACTTTATATCCAGAGAAGAAAGAGGATTTTTGTTTCAGGAGAAGAAAACTTTCCCAGCCACATGTAATATACTTCTTAACATCCCACAGTCCAGAATCTAGGCCCTCCCCACCCCATTTTTAAACTAATCACCGGCAAGTGGAACAGGCGGCTTTTGGTTTAGACTCCTCATCATTTTACATGTGATACATTCTAGTTTTAGGAGAAAAAAAAGCATAAAAATTGAAATTGAAGGTTGATTCTAAGAATGCTATGATTTTGTCTGGGGAGTAGTAACATTCTGTACTATTCCTGTTGTTCATACCACAATTATTTCATCCATTCATCCAGCCACCAAACCATCTCTCCATTCATCCAAGAAGTATTTATTGAGTGTCAAGCAGATGCCAGGCATTGTTTTAACTGCTGAGATACACGAGTCAACAAAACAAAGTCCCTGCTCTTATGGAGCATACGTTGTGCTTTGCATCAAGCTATTGGATCCTGTGTCAGTGTTTTTCCAGAGAAGGAGACCCATAGAGGGCTGGGGAGGGTACCTGTTAATTTTAAGGAATTGGCTCACATAGTTGTGAGGTCTGGCAAGTCTGAAATCTGTAGGGCAGTCCAGCAGGCTGGAAACTCAGCAGTAGTTGATGGTGCAGTATTAAGGCAGAATGTCTTCTTATCCAAGAAACCTCACTTTTTGCTTTTAAGGCCTTCAACTGATTAGATGACACTACATTATCAAGGGTGATTTCCTTTACTTAGAGCCGACTGAGTGTAGATGCCATCCACATCTACAAGATACCTTCATAGCAACCCCTAGAGTAGTGTCTGATTAAATAACTGGATACTATAGTCTAGCCAAGTTGACACATCAAACTAAGCATCATCGATGTCTTGCTTATCTTTTCAACTCCACTGCCAGTTTCTGGGGAAAATGATGGTATCCTATACCTGTCTATCTACAACCCCTACAGAGCTTCACGCAGTGCCTTGTGGCTAGTAGATGTCCAAGATCCATGCTATTGCATTACTTAACCTCAGTGTTATGACACATGCTATGTCTGCATGTCTTTGAATGAGAAGGGAAGTTCAAATCAAAGAGGATCACCCAGAGCTGAAGCAAGATCATGAATCATAAAATAAAAGGGACAACCTCCTCATTCACTTGGCCCAATCTGAAGACTCTGCCCTTCTTTCGAGCCACACACCCTATCTTCACTGTGGAGTGCATCCCAGACCATCAACCAATGTCAAGGAATGACATTCCTCTAAAAATGCTACTAAGTACACCATGTGCCTTTTTTAGGAAATGAACTTAAGCCTAGGGCTTAAGAGACTTCATTTTTTCCATCTGACTTGAATCTTTCCTGGGGCCATTTGGTCTGCTTCTTTCCGTAAAGCAGATGTTTCCCAGTGAGATTGCACAGGGAGCCCTGATCCGGAGCCAGCCCTCTGATCTGCATGTGTCTCCACTGACCACCCAAGGGGTGTCAGGCAAACTGTGGCCTCTGTGACTGAAAATCTGGCATTTCCAAGCATTCCATACACCTGATATCTTACCATACCACACCCCCCATCCAATCCTTAAAGGGAAGTATACTTGCAAATGTTCTCTTCGTATGCGGATGCCTGATCCTAAGGTATTTTGTATAAATTGTTTTCTCCATTGTGTAAATGTAACCACATTCTCCAGGCTTGACCTTCTGCATTCAAAATCAAGAAAAGATGAAAGTTAATAAATGAATGGATCACCTACTCTAAGCCAGGCACTGAATGAGGCATGTACACATTGTTAATCGTATAATGAAGTATATGTTGTTATATATATGACACAAATGAGGAAATTGAAGCCAACTGTCATTTGGAACACAGATTGCAGTTCAAAGAAAAAGGCAAAGCTAATTAAGTTTGGCCACAAACCTTGCTCCCCTTTATGACTACACAAACTCACCTGAGATAACTGTTTGCAGTTACCAGTTGAACAGCATATAATGCAGTTTAACTTGAAGTGTTCTAAAATATCCAGACTTTTCCAAAGGAAATAAGGTATTGAGTTTTGTTTTGTTATTTTCTTAAGAGGGAGGTGTGAAGTATGTGCCGAGTGGAAAATGAATATAAACATTTTACATAAAACACTTTTCTGAAAGTATATTAATCTGGATATGGATTTCTTGACATGTTTTTCTTTTTTCTTTTTTTTTTTTCTTTTGAGACAGAGTTTTGCTCTTGTTGCCCAGGCTGGAGTGCAATGGCACGATCTCAGCTCACTGCAACCTCCGCCTCCCAGGTTCAAGCAATTCTCCCGCCTCAGCCTCCTGAGTAGCTGAGATTACAGGTGCCGGCCACCACACCCGGCTAATTTTGTATTTTTAGTAGAGACAGGGTTTCTCCATGTTGAGACTGGTCTTGAACTCCTGACCTCAGGTGATCCACCCGCCTCGGCCTCCCAAAGTGCTGGGATTACAGGCATGAGCCACCATGCCCGGCCTCTTGACATGTTTTTCCAAGCCCATTTTTCTTACAATGAATTGTCAAGCATGACCCCATGGCTCAACACAAAGGTCCTGCAAAATAGGGATTACATTAGTTAACCAGTGAAATACACACCTGTTCCTTACTGTGTTTTCCATTAAGGTTTTTTTCACTTGGTTACTTCATACCACAGAAAAATCCTCTCACTCACAAGTCAGGAAAGGAAATCGATCAGATCCAGAAAAAGTTCTGTTGATGGGAGCTACCCAGAGGTTATCGAGAGTCACAGTGGTTTCCCGGTGAACTCAAGAATCACCCACTTTGGTGCCACAGGCTAACAGCTGACAAGAGCTTCCCTGACCTTTGCTCCCCTTGCCCTCCCAACCAATGAATAAGCCTCTCTTTTCTTTACATTAAAACCTTTCATACTTGAAGGAGGAGAAAAAGTCAATCAACAGGCTCCTCATCAGTGAATCATTGAATAAATGGGTGGATGGATGGATGGATGGATCAATTGATGGATAAAATTCTGAGGTCATGGAGGCTATAAAAAGTCATGGGGTAGTGCAAATAACACCATCAAGAAAGTAAAAAGGCAACTTACAAAATGAAAGAAATTGTTTGCAAATCACGTATCTAATAAAGGACTTGTATTCAAAGTAAACACAGACATCCTAAAACTCAATAATAAAATAATAAACAACCCAATTAAAAATAGGCAAATGATCTGACTAGACCTTTCTCCAAAGAAGACATACAGATGACTAGCAGCACATAAAAAGATACTCAACATCCTTGGCCAGCAAGGAAACCAAAATCAGTACCACTTCACATCCACAAGGATGGCTGTAATCAATTAGACAGAGGGTAAGGTTGGTGAGGATGTAAAAAAAAATTCAAACCATCATATATTGCTAATGGTAATGTAAAACAGTGCAGCCACTTTGGAAAACAGTTTAGCTCTTCCTTAAAAGGTTAAACACAGTTACCACATGACCCAGCAATTTTACTCGTTAATACTTACCCAAGAGAAGTGATCACATACATCCACACAGAAACTTACACATGAATGTTCACAGCAATAATATTTGTAATAGCCAAACATTGAAGCAACCCAAATGTTCATCAATTGGTAAATGGATAAACAACTGTAGCATATACATGTAATGGAATATTATTTGACAATAAAAGGAAATGAAGTATTAATACATGCTACAACACGGATGAACCTCGAAAACATTATGCTAAGTCAAAGCAGCTGGTCATAAAAAGCACACATATTGTAGGATTCCATATATGTGAAATATCCAGAATAAGTCAATCTATAGAGACATAAAGTAAGTTAGTGGTTATCTAGAGCTTGGGGCAGCAGATTTGGAGGGAAAGGGGACTGAATAGGTACAGGTTGTCTATTTCAGGGCAATGAAATTATTCTAAGATTAGTTATGGTGATGGTGCACAACTCTATAAATATACTAAAAAGCACCGAATGGTACACTTTAAACAGGTGATTATATGATATATCAATTATATCTCAATAAAGTTGTTTTTTATAAATGTCATTTATCAGAAATGAAGATAGCCCAAATTTTAAAATACCACGAGATTTCATCCTAATGATCTAAATGGAATTTTTCAGAGAGTAGAATGAATCACACTTCGTTTAACTTTTTTGGTTCTTTTTTTTTTTTTTTTTGAGACAGGGTCTCACTCTGTTGCTATTTTTTAACAGTTTTTCAATGAAAAGTTAGTCACCTTCATTCTCAATACCAAAACCTGCAGAAGAATAATATGGCAGTATCTTATACTAACCAGTTCATCAATGGATTTTATAGTAGTGCATTCATCTTAGCTACCACCATTCCTATTACTTAATATTTTAATCACCTCACATTCCTCTTAAAAATACAAATATTTAAAAGAAAAATGTATTTTCCTATTATAGTTAGAAAACCAGTTTTACTTGCCATAAATAAAAGATGAATGCTAAAATAAGTATAATGAAAACAAATCAATATTTTTTAATCCTAGCAAGACAGCGTTGCTACCAGAAGACTCTGAGACCTGCTATCTTTTTTTATTTAAAGGAAAGACTATATTACAGAGGTATTAAAATCTAGTGCAGCAGAAGGAATGACACTATCAAAGAATGTGAAACAACTAAAAAGGAAATAATCTGTGCAAGTAAATGTTAACACTGTATCTGTGGACCACCCGAAACCACCTGTTGACCGTCTACCTAACAGTCTGAAGAAGGCATTACTGGTTAGAGGGTGTCTTTTCTCTAAGTGGCAACTCCAGAACAAGATGTCTTCCAACTTGTGACTCCACCAGACTCCTCTGTATCTAACTGGAGGAGAAATCATGAAGAAGGCACACACGCTTCTCAAAAATATGACTTAGAATCCACACACATCACATCTGCTCATGTTCCCTTGGTGAGAATTAATCATGTGGTCACTGCTGGATAAAAGGGGAGCCAAGGAATGTGGTCCCTGGCTGGACTGCCATTTCCTAAGAAAGCCCTAATCCATGGAAGGAGAAGCAGGAATTGTACTAGGCAGCTCTCTTGGCCACAACCCAGGCTAACCCAGGGATTCTGGAAAGATAAGTCATTATCTACACCTGAGATGACTCTTGCATTCTGAAAAAGCGAATCTGAGAAAATAGTTGTATTCCATGGGAGACTACTTAAAACTAAATGAAAAAAATAACCACTTAAACCAAGCATGTAATTATAGATTCTTAGATTTGAAAGAGATTATCTATCACACAGAAATATTCCACCTAGAACAAATGCTCAAAGAGGTGGCACCGTGTCACGTCCCTTCTGAGATGCAGTTAGATTGACCTCCGCGGGTTTCATCATCATGTTGGTCTGTCCCTCTCTCCCTCACCACCCGCAGCAAAACCAATTTGTGGTTCCACTGAAGCAGAGAAAAATCAAGAACCACAGGCTGCCTCACTTAGTGGTAAACCGTAAAAGGCCTCAGAAACCATTGCTTCTAAATCAATATAAAAGCATTTCTACACTTCCATTACCCTCAGGAAATTGAACTTGGTGGAGAGCTCTTCCATTTAATGAAATTTACCCCTTTTACAACCAAAACTTGTTTTTTGTAAATTAAGACACTTGGAACACTTTCTAGAATGTGTTATGTACTTCCATACCTTTTAAAACAGCAAACAGTGGACCAGCATGCAGTCTTTTCCTGATGATACAGGGCTTACCAACAACAGTCACATGATACAGGTTCTTTTTGGCCTCAAGCTGAATGACTTGGACTGTTATAGATTTGGAATCCTTGTGGCTTCTCTGATTCTGCCCATGTTAGACTGCCTCATTGCTCCTCACTTCTGGGTCCTGCTTGGTGTGGCTACTTCTTGCCTTATAACACTCCCTATCTGCTGCGGGTTTGAAAACCAAATAGCAAAACTACTGAGGGCATTTGACTCTTACTTTACACACAACTCTAAATAAAAGACGTGCTTCTGAGTCCATCTCAGAATCTTCAGCATATATTATGTGACACTTTGTTTCTTCAGAGTTCCCTTGTACTCAGTTCCCAGTTTTCTTTGCTCCACGTAGGTGAAGCTGTTGGACAACTGAGTTCCAAATGAATTATGTGGTTAGTTACAATACTCTCATCATCTATTAGTTAGGATTTGCATTTGCAGGTGACCCAAGACCAAATCAAACTGGCTTAAGCTCATAGAGTTGAGAAATCCATCACTTCGGGCACAGCCAGGTCCAGGTATTCAAGCAATATTGTCAAAGTGTCATTTCTCAACATCGTGGGCTCTACCATGTTGCCTTTGGTCTAGGCAAAGGTGGTCACTAGCATCGACGGCCTTTTATTCTACCAGCTTAGCAATTACAACAAAAACTGAGTATCTTTTCTTCTGTAGTCAAGCAAAAATCTCGGCACTGATCTTTATTAGCCTAAGTTGGATCACATAACATGAACCAATTACAGTGACGAAATGGGGTTAAAGTTTATGGAAGGTGATTGTTTTGGATTAGTCTTCTTCACTAGGCCCCAGCAGACCAGACGAAACCAGAATGGAGTCACTTGTGCTAACTGCCACGTAAGAAAAACGAACTTTGAAATGGGCTGGTTTTCAACTAAAAAAAAAAACAATTGGAGATTCTAGTCAACCTGAGTCAGTGTAATAAGGAAGTTCGCTCTGCTTTAACCCTACAAGGGAAGTAACTTTGAAACAACCAGTCCTCTTTTTGATACCTGTTTCTGCTTTTCTTCACCCCTTTTCTGTCTGTAAAGCCAACCTCCTCTGCTCAGCTCATCAGAACACTAATTCTATTTTATAAGATGATGTGTTGCCCCCAGTGCTAGAATCACAAATAAAAACCAATTAAGATTTTTAAAGTAAACATGTTGTAATTTTGCCTTTTGACAATGGCCAAGCTTTGACCATGCACTCAACCTTGGAGTTCAAGCCAACCAAAACTACACAGATTGAGAAAAGGTAAAGCTAAGGTTAATTCCTTAAGATGAAATCAAAGTGCCATTAGCAGAGAAAGAGAGACTGATGCTGTGCAGGAAAAAACAACAGATGTCAACTGAAGTTCATCTTAATCTATCTTTGTGGAGGTTTAAATACAAGGCAATTTTTGAATAATCATTCTGCTGTAGAGTCATTCCTGTTAGTAACACTTCTAAAATTTTTCATATGCAGGAAGATAAACTTGGCACGAAAACCATCCGATACACCTCTAACATTAGGCCTTTTTAAGTAGAACATATTTCTGTTTCCTGATTGCAACATGTTTCTATCATCACCCTCAAAATAATTTTCACACTTTTTCTCTCACTTGAAATAAAAATTTCAGTGTGAAATTTCTCTCCCGTCTTCAATGTCATTATGTTAGCAGTTTCTCAGTCTTTGTAAGTCTTTCTGGAACACCATTTTCTCCTCAAACAGGAAGTATGAGAGCCAAAAATAATCTTTCCTTTTAGCCTAGTAGCTCTCCAGTAACTGTTGTTGGAAGCTTTAATAAAAGACAGTATTAGCAGCCAGGTCACTCTAAACTGGTACCACACAGAAGGCACCTTTTAATGTTTTTTTAATGTCAATCTCTCAGACAGATGTCCTTCAGCCTGTGCGGAAACTGTATTTCCACAGGGAGTAGGCGTGGCTCTGCCACTGGCATCAAACAGGGTGCTGCAGGATGTAGCTGACAGGCTCACATGGTGAGAATCAGCCAGGCACCGCCATGCACATGGTGTCCACCACCTTCCTAAATCCTGCAGTGCAGTAGGGGCCAGGGAATGTATCTGTTCTCTATTCAAAGGCCACAAAGCCAAGAACTCCTAAAGTTCTTGCATCAGAATCACCAGTCTCTAACTCAGCTGGGCATTCTGTCTTGACCATACCTGGCAAGGAATCGCAGCATCTTTTGGAAATTCATCTCCCTGTGGTTCACAGTAAGGAGACTGGGGTTTGAAACTTGATCCTGCCACTTACCAGCAGAGGGTGTCATTCCCACTCACCTCCACAGGATCCTACACTCCTTATTGACCACAGCCTCTGCTTTCTTTTAGGGCTCTTCCCCTCCCCCACCAAGCATATGGTCTGGGCAGGGCTCTCCCCAAGCCTAAGCCAATCAGCACACCTGCATCGAACCGGCCACAGGGACTGTTTCTGGGAGAGATCCTGGTATAAAGCAGTCAGGTCTGAGCAAGTCAGAATATTTTGCAAGAGCTACTCGAAAAAGCATGCTATTTCCTGCTGGATTTGAATCTGTAGCTGATGCTGGAGACCAACTTGTCACAGTTTGACTGGGACTTTGTTGGCTTTAAAACTGAAAGTCCCATGTCTGGGGAACCCCCTAACTCCTGGGCAAACTAGAGCAGTTGGTCAGCCCCAGGTGATGTGAGGGCTGGAGTTGCTGCAGCCACATGGTTAGCACTGGAAATCTGACAATGAAACCAGCACAAAGGAAACAGAGCTGATAGGTGGAGAGAAGAAGCCAGTTCCTGGTCACATCTTCAAACTCCTTGTTCTCTTTTTTGCTTAACCCAGGTTAAGCTGGATTTCCTGACACTTGTAACAAAATGTGTGCTCACCAGTAGATCAGTTGTGTGATATTGCACAAGTCTCTTAATCTCGCTGAGCCTCAGTTACTGCCTCTGTAAAACTGGAATAATACTTTCTGAAGATTAAATGAGAACAGTATCAAGTCTCTGCTTCAAGGCCCAGCATGAAGAAACTGCCCAGTAAGTTCTGTTTCCTTCCACTTTATAAGCTAGAGCACTGATAAACTCTAGACAGTGAGGGCTGGAAAGGAAATAGAGATGCACTTGCTCTGATTGCTCATTATATAGATAAGGGAAACTGAGGCACTGTTGAAAAGTGACTTAACTGAAGCTTTTCAGCAAGTGACAAGGTCAGAACTAGAAACAGGCCCGCTGAGTTTGGACTAGTGCTCTTTCTACCACATCATGAACCGAAATCTGGTTTCCTCTTCTGGGAATACCAGTCTGTTGATGCACAGAGGATGAATCTTTCACAAGCCAAGGAGATGCCACTCAAATGTGATGATAGTGGCACATCTGGGGCAGAGCCAGCAGCTTGACCAGAGCAACAAGAGCTCGCCTGCCCGATCTGTGTCACTGGCATCGGTCCAGTGTCCTCATGGTATTCCACCAATACCAACATGGTGTTGGTATCAATAACCAATTTGTCATTGCAAGATTCAGAAGCTAACTTTAGACTTTGCTTTCTTCTCAGGCAAGTAAAATTCATTGGCAAAATGAGGCTCCCAGCTGTATTTATAAATGTCTTTCCCAAAGCAAATGAGACTAGGGGGAGGAAAAAGAAATAAAGAGGAGAGAATGTGAAAATCCTACACCAAGCTGGATTGGGAGTGGGGGTGGGGAAGTCACCTGAGGCAGATGCTCCAGTGCTTAGCTGGTCTGCTATCTCCTTCCCAGTTAGGAAGCATAGCCAGGAGCTTACCAGGGCATGGGGAGGTGGAGCCACCTCTCTGCTCTACTGGTGATTTATTTGCTATGTCCACAGCCTCCTCTGTTACAAACTGGACTGGTTTTACTCTAAGCTGACTTGAGATCATAAAAGGAATATTCTCCTTGACTGCCACATGTTTGGGAGGGAGACTGGGACTGAGTGGCCAAATGATTCCCCCAGAACTACTGGGCGTGAGGCCAGCTGCTTCAAAAACTCTTGGAGGAATGTACAGTACTGAAATGAAAAAAAATGTTCCTCTCTGTAGACTAGTGCTGTGGTCACTGTGTGTCCAGAGCCAGAGCGGGTGCTTATGCCGGTGATGCACCTAAATGTGCCTAGAAGGCTCTCGAGGGCATTTCACAAGACGATGTGTCTGGAACATTACACATGTAGATAAATGTAAGTTTCGTGTGTTTAAGCTTTCATTTCACCACATTTCTCAACCCTACAAGATCTGAACCAATTGAGAGGTAGAAAGAAGAATAAGATCATAGTCCAAGTTTTGGCTTTATCATTGATAAAGCAGGATTTGATGTCATAGCTTAAGCCCAAAGGCAAAAGAAAGTCCCTTCTCCTCATCCTCCACCTAGCTAAGCCTCCTGACCCAGGGAGGGGCGGGACAGCTGGGGACTTGGCTGCCCTTGCTCTCACCCTGTAAGGCACAGATCTGCCTTGGTGAACTTTCTGTAAGGAGAAGGGATAAGAGGAGGCAAGTGGGCAGGTGGCTCTGAAGGAAAGAATCCAAAGGTCTGAGCATGATGGATGGCATGATCGCCTTTTCCCATCCCAGCAGCCAGATAAACCATGCCTTATCCCAGGGAAGGAAGAAGAGAGTCACGGGAGAAGTGCACAAGGAGTTTGCCCACTGCTTTGTCAAGCTCTTGAATGGCATTGTCCTTGGAGTTCAAAAAGCTGAACCACCTTACAGGTAAAACTGCCTCCTCATCAGTGTCCTAGTTTCTTCTGAAGATAAGCTCCCTAAAAAGGGCTCTCTAATGAAACCCCCTTATTCCAAAGTCCAAATGAAAGCAAAGGGTTTTACAGCAAACCTCTCATACCATTTCATATGCCTCTGCCACATTCTTTAATTTTTGTGAGTTCAAAATAAACAAACAAAAAACTTAATTTGAAAAACTTAAAGATTAGCAGCCTTGTTTCAAACTACCCAATGGCCAGCCCAACCCAGACACCAAGAATCACAGGAGAGGCCGATGAACTCAGTCATTGAGACCCCTGTTGGGCCTAGTTCAGGCACAGACTCAGGGAAACTATGGGGCTTAATTAAGCTTCGGAGCCCCTCACCCACTCATGCAGGGAGGATCTAGCAATGTATTCACATGGTGGTAGATTGTTGTAACATTTGCAGAGGTAAGCTAATTTAACCCCAATGTGTTAATACCATTGATTATTTCCTCTCCACTCCAATGTTTCCTCTGTCACACTTCCCTTCACATTGGATAGCACTGGAGTAGCCAAAGAAATTTTGGGATTTGGCTAAGGAAAAATAGATTTAGTAATACACTGGTTTCGGTTTAGCAATAATATATGCATGTACTTTATAGTCACTTTTGTATGTAGTTGTTATTGTTAACTGCTGTAGAGTAGAAATAACTTTCAGAAGTATTTTTAAGTTCTTTTTAATTGGAATTTTTATTGAGATAATAGTAGTTGTAAGAAATATACAGAGATTCCTTGTGCACTTTTCCAGCTTCCCTAGTGATAACATGTTGCAAAACAATCGCTCAATATCACAACCAGATATTAATTTTGACCAAATTCATTTACATTGAGATTTTCCAGTTTTACTTTGTGTGTGTGTGTGTGTGTGCGTGTGTGTTGAGTGCCATCAATTTTTGTCACCCGTGTAGAGAGGTGTACCTATTACCACAGCCAACTTGCTGCACAATCTAACACCACGCCACCCTCTAGAACAACACCGGATTCCCTCCCCCTAGCTTCCCCTCTCCTTAACCCCAGGCAACCATTAATATGCTCTTCATCTCTAAAATTTTGTCACTTCAAAAATGTTATATAAATGAAACCATACAGTATGTAATCTTTGGGTATTGGCTTTTTTTCAGCATAATTCCCATGACATTCACTCAAGTTGTGCGTATCAATAGTTTATTCTTTTTCATAGCTGAGTAGAGTTCCATGGTGTGGATGTAGCACCGTTTATTTAGTCATAGACCTATTGAGGGGCATCTGAGCTCGTTCCAGCTGCTACAAACATTCACGTGCTGGCTTTTGTGTGAACACATGTTTTCATTTCTCTGGGATAAATATAAAAGGCTGCAATTGTTGGGTTGTACGGTAGCCACATGTTCTGGTTTTTTTCAGAAAAGAAAAAACAACCTGCCAAGCTGTTTTCCAGAGTGTCTGTACCCTTTGGCATTCCCACCAGCAATGTGTGAGTGTGCCAGTTCCTCTGCATCCTCACCATCATTTTTGGTGTTGTCACTATTCTTTATTTCAGCCATTCTTATAGACATATAGCGATATGTCATTGCAGTGTTAATTTGTATTTCCCTAATAGCCAATTATGTTGAATATCTTTCTAAGTGCTTATTTGCCATCTGTCTATTTTCTTCAGTGAGATGTCTATTATGTTTCTTGTTGATTTTTAAATTAAAGTTTTTTACTGTTGAGTTTTGAGAGTTACTTCTATGTTCTTGATGCCAATCCCTTATCAGATGCATGCTTTGCAAGTATATTCTCTGTCTATGTCTTTTCATCCTCTTCACATGGAATTTACAGGGCAAAGGTTTTAATTTTGAGAAGTTGAGAATTTATCAGCTTTTCTTTCTGTAGAACATGCTTTTAGTGCCAAAACCAGGGTGGCTGTACCCTTCGACATTTACAGGGGTAATCTGAATCCCCACCAACCAGCATGATATGAATGTACAAGGCAAGAGGTCATAGGGCAACATGAACATGTCTCAAGCCACCCGCACTGGAGGTAAGTGCGTATCCAGAATAAGGAGTTTTGAAATGTATGGTCTCAGAAGCTAGTCTTTAGAAAATTCTTATAACAATCAGCCGTGCAAAATTGTGAATACAAGATGTAGTTTTCATAAGGTATAGTAAAATTAGTAAATATGATTTAAAATAAAAATAAAAATTGGTGAACCATAAAAGAAGACAGACTGAATTCTCTTTCTATTATTTTTATGGATCATATTATAAAAGTATTACTATGTAAAGAGATCAAAGAAAATATAACCCAAAAAAGTATATACAAAGAAAAGTTTTATGGCCTTATAAAGAGCGATTAAGTAGTAAAAGAGATTGTTATGTGTCTTAGTCTTGGTGATGTTTGGGTTATTGTCAGGTGTTTAAAATTTATAATTTGTTATGATTTCTTATTCTACTTCTATGTTCAAGTTTGTACCAACTATTATTTTCTTCTTAATAAAGTTGGGTCCCCAAATTAAATAAACTTCAGGCACCACCCTGGCCAGGTGTTACTTTTTTAGTTGCCCAGATCATGAGGTTTCCTGTTGTGTGTGTCCCAAAGGAGGGGCCCCAGTGACCAGACCATGGAGAGAGGGGGCGAGGTGGTCCAGGGACATCCAGCAGGCTCAGAAGAGCCGCTGTAGCTATTTACCACCAAGTGTGGAAGTATTTCAAGGATGTAACTGGTATGCCCCTGCTGATGAGGTCTTGCTAAATATAAGCCCTGCCCCTTGTGTTTATGTAAATGCCTTGTTGGGGTAGCAGAATCCAGGCAAGAAACCAAAAGCTTTCCATGACAGGCAATTCTTGAGAAAAATAATAAACTTGCCCCTGAAGTGTTCATCAGAACCTTACAGGAAAAAGACAAATACTATACTTGAACGTCAGTGGCCTAGAATAGATAACAATAGGAACATCATAAATCACTAACAGACATTAAACCAAAAGGTTCCAGCTACTATTTCATTTTTCCCAAGACTCCTGTGTCAGGCATGCTACAAACTAGAGATGAATTCCTGACCCTCCGGGCTCTCTCTGAGGGCTGTCTGTGTCCCACCACTCTAAGCCCCTGGATAGGCTGCAGAAAGGACCAAAGGTGAAACAAATCAATTCAACTACAATAAACAATTGCCGTCAGGCTTTGGGGTGGGGGCTTTCTCCATTTAGTTCACTTAAGCCACTGTGTATACAAGTTCCTCAGGACAGCCATAGCTTTCACTTCTTTCTAGAAATGAGAGCTAAAAATGACCCACAAGCCAGACACGGTGGCTCACACCTATAATCCCAGCACTTTGGGAGGCTGAGATGGGCGGATCACCTGAGGTCAGGAGTTCGAGACCAACCTGGCCAGCGTGGTGAAGCCCTGTCTCTACTAAAAATAAAAAATTAGCCAGGCGTGATGGTATGTGCCTGTAACCCTAGCTATCTGGGAGACTGAGGCAGGAGAATCACTTGAACCCGGGAGGCAGAGGTTGCAGTGAGCCGAGATTGTGCCATTGCACTCCAGCCTGGGTGACAGAGTGAGACTGCCTCAAAAAAATAAATAAATGAAAATAAAATAAATAAACAGCCCACAGAATTCAAGACTTTCATAGAGCAGTTTGACAACCACCAATCGAAAGAAAATTACATTTAGCTAAAAGGCAAACATTACCAATGAATGACACTGAGAAAACTGGGTAACACAGTTTAACTTCTTGCCTCAGTGTCCCCATCACCTAACCATGATGCTGTTTGAATTACACTGCAGCCATACCCTCCATCTTCTTTGAAGTTCTTCGGATGCAAAGTCAAGATGGAATCCCAGTTCTGCCAAGCACTTGTCATGTGGCATTGGACAAGCCCTCTCCCCATGTATAGCCAGGCTTGGTGGTTAGTGATCTCTCCCTTGAAATGTGAGTCTATTATGGCTTGAAGGAGAATATGTTCATAATGCCTAAGCAGAAACCCTCAAGCCTAGCAAATTCTTAATAAAAGTAACTACTACTATTATAAACCGCATCTTGTACATTTTTAACCACCAATAAAAAGGAAATGATACTCACACTGAGATCCTGACACTTATGGTCTGTAAAGTAACAGTTCTTTCTACTAGATATTTACTATTGTAGGACAAGACTATTATTGGAACTAGTATGAATGCTCAAATTTTCATTTCCCATTTGCTATTTATTGTCAAAATTTTCTCTGTGCTAGAGAAAAGAAAGTCTCACTGCATTCTACCCATGTAGAACAATTTCAGAGAACAATTAAGTAGATTTAAAAGGAAATAAATTAGTTTATAGAGCTCTCAAAAATGCAATGATATATTCGCAAATACATAAACACTTTGTTAAAACATGAGCTTAATAAGGTTATGGTGCCCTTTACAGTATTTAAGAAAAAAAAAAAGTCTTTGTAAGCAAATTAGCAATATAAACAAGATTTGAAAGGAAAAGTTTTCACTTCAAAATACTTCTAAGATTTTTAAAGCAATAGCATAATCTAAGTGCTAATCATGCTGTTATTTATCTTTTTATGAAAGCAAGCCCAGAAAATGTTGTGTTTGTAAATTTTTAGCTAGTTTAGTATCAGAACCTGAGTGGGAAAGCTGGCATTGGGGAAGTGGTTGTGGTAAAGGGGAACAGAGCTTTGTAATGTAAGACACAGATACAAAGCTAGATTCACATCCCACTAGCCTTTCATGTTCTTGGACCCTCTGTTTCTCATTTGTAAATTTGTTTGTTTATTTTGAATTTCTTTAACTTGTTGCTTCAGTGTGCCCATTACCTAACCATGATCCTCTTTGAATTACTCTGAGGTCATACTCTCCACCTTCTTTGAAGCTCTTTAGATGCAAAGTCAAAATGGAATCCCAGTTCTGCCAGGCACTTGTCATATGACCTTGGGCAAGCCCCTGTCCGCGTGTGTAGACACATGTGTAACCTGCTCCCAGGCTAGTCTCAAACTTCTGGCCTTAAGCAGTCGTCCAGCTTTGGCCTCCCAAAATGCTGGGATTACTGGCGTGAGCCATTGCACCCGGCCTCATTTGTAAAACTGAGATAACACTTCATATCAGAGTTGTTATAAGAAATTAAGGTATGTCAAGTACCCCAGCATCTCCTTGTTTACATCATAATTGTTTTAAACACATTTCTCATTCATATTTTATTCAACCAGATTTTTTATACTAATAAAAATTCTTATTTTATATAGTTACATAGGTCAGATCTTGATGACCTAGACAATGTTTTTTCTGTTAAAACCTTGGGAAAGCATAAATTTATTTGAAAAATTATTCTATTGAGCTATTTTGGGCCACAGTTAGCTACTTTAATTTCTCTCTTGAAAAAAAGAAATGTTTCCAATTTGGTCTAAAAAATAGCTCCCCTGATAACTGTAAACATTGTAGCCCAACCTATATTTTTTATGGAAGCAAAATTTCTGCCAATATCTCTGACGGTCTTGCCTACAAAAAGTCTGAAAATTTCAGACTGATTTGCTTTGCAATATTTATTTTTTTCCATTCCATTATACAAATCCAGTAGGTTTGAGGGAAGGTAATCAAATATAAAAATTAATCATCATAAAAATTTACATTTAAAAACATTTTGTTAGGCAATTTCAAGGACTTTGCATATCCTGAACACTTTGAGCCTGTACCGATGGCATACTGAAAACATCTGAGGCATCCCTGCAGCTGCCAGTATCAAATCCTCACACAATGATAAGACAATGGAATTTTTAAATACACCAAATGGTTTTCCTGGCCAAGCCTTGCTTCTGAGTCATGTGAAAATGTGTTTAATGCTATTGACCAAGGTGGTTTTGGTTTTTCTTCAAGGGAAACTCTCAAGGGACTGGATGGGAACCGAATTTTGACAATTTGCCCGGCAGGATTTTTAGAGTGTGGTGTCCCCAGCAGGCAAACTGGCACTCGGCAGCCTCGTTAGCATAACTCTGATCTGTGTGTCCCACGAGGCCATCCTTCCAGTCAAGGGTGGAGCCAAAGAAGTCAGCAGAAGCAAGTCAAAGCCAGATGGAAAATCACAGACTCCACGACACATATGTCCATTTTCTCAGGAATCCAAAAGGTGCTGGGGCACTAATGTACTACCTTTCTCACCTCTCCTGACATGGGCAACAGGGTCTGTTCTAAGAGGTGGGAACACGGGGTCACCTTGGATCAGTCCCTCTTTGTTCCAGGAAGTTCACCCGAAATGGTCCTTTATAAATAAATTTTGAATCAAGTGCCTTTCGGCTGTTCTGGTGGAAAAGTTCAAGAGTGTTGTTGGGCTTTGCAGTGACCTTGGACTCAAATCTTACTGGCAATAAAAATGGCTGTGTTTCTCCCAATTAACTAGTTTGAACCTATAAGTTTATTTGGGGTGTCAGGAACATGCTATGAGGTAAGCAAGCAGTCCCCAGATACCTCCCTTTTAGGTTTAAAGTTTTAGATTCAGTCTATTTAGATTGTGGTCAATAGCAAGAAAAGAAAACAACCAAATTAAAAAAAAAAAACTGCCCCAAAGTAGGAAGGTGGAGTCTGGATGGGTGGCCTGCGCTCCACACAAGAGCCCAGTACTGGGAATGTCTCATGACTGATGATGTTATGGGACCCTTCCTAAACTCGTCACCATGGCAACCTGATCATGTCCTCAAGGCAGGGTCAGCTTAAAATGTTCAGAGGCCCTTAATCCTGAGAAGAGTACGTTTCCCATCCAGTCGCCATCCCTGCCCAAAATGTCATTCAAAATAATATTTATACTAAACCATAAAATAAGGGTAAGAAAGTCCAAGAGTAAGAATTAGCTTTTCCCATGATGCCTATTTGGATGCTCCTTTTGCAATATTACATCTTTCAGACCGGCTTCTTACCATAATTTTAGTGCCCCATTTGAGTCTGGATTTGGAATTATCCATCCCTTCCTTAAGGGAATGGCCCAGTGTTTGTGAACTCAAAGGTCTGCAGCCTTGGGACCCCGGACCTATTTTTGCCTGAAGAAACTGGAGCTGAAGGGGCACTCAGTGAGCAGGAGCCCTCCCACTCACGGTGTGTTTAGTAACCAAAGTGCTTCCTGGCTCCCTCAGGCTTGTTCTGGGTCACCACATATCCTGATTTCAGCAACACCATGGAGTCAGAGAAGGCAGTTAGCAGGCTGTGGCAATATTCCAGGCAAGAGAAAATGTAGGCTAAAACTAGAGCAGTGGGAATGAAAAGAAGGCATTGGACAGAGAAATATTGTGAACGAAAAATCAAGAGAAGTTTGTGGTGGAGTCGGGGTTGCAAGTGGTGGGAGGAAGTAAGAGTAGGGAGAGAGGGGCTTTCTCACTTGGGTGCAGGGATGATGGCAATGTTACCAACCAAGATAGAAGTTATAAGAGGAGACGGCATCGACAGTTAAGGGGAAAGAGTGGTGATTAGGGTTTATGGCAGGCTAAACTCGCTGGCTGTCTCCCTATACAGAGCTGGCTACCCAGGTGGGAGGGAACCCAGATGGGGATCTAGAGCTTATGAGGAGGACAGGGAGTCACCAGGTAGTTGGAGACAAGAAGTCTACAAGAACACCTTGGAAGACAGGGAGTCACCAGATAGCTGAAGACGAGGAGTCTATGAGAACACCTTTTGCATAAAAACCATCCAATGTAGTGAGAACACTAACTGAAGAGTGACTCTGAGGAATAAGGAGGAGAAGAGATCAGAGTGCAATTGGAGAGCTGTACTCGGTACTCGGGAACTAACCTGAGAAAACAAGGAGAAATTCTTTCTCTGAGAAGGAAAGGGAAGCAGAAAATACTGACCAAGACAGATACCTTTGAAGTGAAGTTCAAGTTCATGTAATGTAGCCTTGACCTTCTCAGAAATTAAGAAATGATGTTGTTCCTGAGGATGATAGCGCAGCTAAAGGTAAATGAGAGGCTCAAAAAGAACAAAGAAATTAAGTGGTGGTTCAAGGTAGAAAGGGGGAGCAAAGAAACTAGGGTGCTGAGAAGATGAGGCCCATCCACTTGCAAAGAGTCCCCAGGGGGAAAAAAAAAGGCAAAGATCAATGAAAAAATGGAGTGGAAAAATAAATTGTATAACCCTGGGCTTACTTTTCAATATCTTGAGTAAAGAACAGAAAAGTAAATCTCAGATAACTATAGGCAATCTAAAATGTTAACATTATTCTAAGGAATGGGTCTCTGCCAGATTTTAGCCTTTCAAAAATCACAAATATATGGTGACCTAGACATTTCACCTGGGAGAAAAAACAAGGGCCTCAAATTAAACATGGACAAGAAAATCATTAGGTATTGAAAAGTTCTGCTTAAATAAGATCAACTTTCATAAACCATATGAGAAAACTGATCTCATATATAACCTTCCATAAATATTGTGATGGCTAATATTATATTATATATTTTAATTTTATGTAGTTTATGTATTTTGATGCATTTTATTTTATGCATTTTTATTTTTAAAGCATTTTATTTTATTAATTTCATGTATCAACCTGACTGTCCTACAGGGTAACCAGATATCTGCAAGGGTGTTTCTGGATGAGATTAACCCTTGACCTTTGACTTGGCAGACTGAGTAAAGCATTTACCCTCTCTAATGTGAATGGGTCTCATTCAATCAGTTGAAGGCCTGAACAAACAAAAAGACAGAACTCCTTTTGCCCAGCTGCCTCCCAGCTGGGACATCAGGTTTCTCCTGCCTTCAAACTCAAACTGAAACATCTGCTCTTCCTGGGTCTTGGTCCTCTCAGCCTTCAAACTGGAACTGCACCATTGGCTCTCCTGGCTAGGCCTTTGAACTTGGACTGGAACTAGCTACACCACTGGCCGATTGTAGGTCTTGGGATTTGTCAGCCTCCATAGCCACTCAGATCAATGCCTTACTATAAATATTTTTCTGTGTATCTACACTTCCTTTTGGTTCCATTTTTCTGGAGAACCCTGACTCATACATCTATAATAAACCACTAGTTTAGTATTTCTAAAGAATAATTTGATCTTCAGACGGTAATGATGCCTTTAAGTTAGCTGTGTATTTTTTTCTTCCAAAAAAATTTAGTCATAAAAATGGGAGCTAGAAAAAATTAATCATGAACCTATGGTTCATTTTGTGCTTCATGTTGCTTCAAACTTCGCCTCTGGCTCTGGCTGTTCCTACCGATCCCCAGGCAGCACGAACACCTGGTCTAATGGGTGCTGCTCTTATCAGCTTTCTTACCTGTAATGAGATGGCAAGAGTCCCAAGAACATGCAGTTCAGCAAAATGAATTGGATCTGCCAGAAGGATGTGTGAGGCCAGGAAGTAAGTTTCATCACTCTGACTTAGCAGAACAAATCATTTTGTCAATTAATGACGTCTCTCCTTTCTAAGCCAGACACACTTTAAAATACTGGCAGTTTTCCCCTCAAGGCAATATTTTCCATTTTATGACACAAAATTATTGCGAGTACAGTTCTTTCTTATTTCTAACTTAGGGTACCTGGCTAGGGATTTCATTTCTCTGGGCCTCTTTCTCCATTAACAAAGTATGAAGACATTAGGGCAGGTGATCTGAGCAGTCTCCTCTCGTGCCAGTGTCCTTGTATTGAAAGTTAATGTCCAAAGGGTGTCTCTTTCATAGCAGTTTCATTATCCACTTAAGGTCTGCATTCCTTTTTGTACATAACCAAAATGTCAGGTGATCCTTTCATGGATCCTGAGATCTATATATAATTGGATAAAATCCCAATTCCACTGCCTGTGCAAGTCCGAAGCCATCTTTCGTGATATCTGCACATTCCTGGGGGAGTTTTTGACGTCAGAACTTTCTGGCACCAACCTTGCCTGGATGGACCATCTTGACATTTATATCTGCCCCCTATGGACCTGGAAGTGAAATGTAATCCTTTCCTCCATTTCCCTAATTTCTATAGGAAATAAAGGGCAAGGGGGCTGACTTTATTATAGATTTGAAAGGGGTGCAGAAATATAAACAATTCATTTGAAAAGTTGGCACCTCCATTCTCAACCTATTTAAACACTAGGCTACCTGCCTTCCAGTGCTCCCCTGGCCAATTCACCCCTGTAGTGCCCACCCTCACTCTGAGAATAGAATAATTCTTATTTTCTTGTTCTGAGCATTTTCACTGTCTTATATTATCTCGACTCTCTTTTACTGACCTCAAGCTCTTTCTTCCTTGCTATCCCAAAGGTCTTAGTAGAGGGTTGTTATAAACCAAGAGAGTTCTCTCCCTAAGAAGAATTCAGTGCCAGATACAAAGAGAATATATTTTTCAACCCAGTCTCCAACACACACATCCGTAATGGCAATCATGCTGCTATGTTAAGACCTACCATATCTCTGTATCTCTCACACACATTCCAGGAAACTCTCACAGTCTGGTTCATAAAATGACCCTGGCCAGATGCTTAGCAACCGAGACATAAGGGTCTTGAAAGTCCTAACAAGCCAGAAAAGGGTTGATGTTCCCCTCCATGGAAACTAGCAGTGGACTTCGACAGCACAAACCTGTGGACTGATAAGCCACCACTCACTCATGAGCTAGGAGACCTTGTGGTTCAATGTTGTAGAGTGTTAACAAATTAAAAACCACATTTACAACCATTCAGATATTTCCAGCAATTAAAGTTGTATTCAAACAACAACTTTATGATTTTTTTTTAATTTTTGAAGCCAGTAACTATTATGTGGGGGCATATAGGGGTTGCACAGAGTAGCATCTCCCCTCAACCACCTTGGTGAATCATCCCAGTTAAACTGGTTAGTATTTTAGTCACTTATCACCAGTGATAAGTTTGGTTTGGGGAGTACATGTAAACTTTTTTATTTCTCTTATTTTTCACAATCTCTTCTACAAAAAAAAGTGGAGATATATATGATTTTTGCTTTTGTTATTATCTAGTATTAAATGTTCTTACATGGCTTATAATTAACTTTATTTTCTTAATTGTTTCTTCTTGATTTTTTATTAATAATTTGCATTGCCTTTTTATGTTAACAATTAGCTTAAGTCTAATTATTGCTAGAATTTCATAAGTATTTTCTAAAAACAAAAACTTCATTTCTAAAAGTAAATAGTGTTTAAACATGATTTGAACAAATAGATTTTAAAGGGCATTATAGACTGTTATAGCTTCAGCATATCAATTTTCGAAATATATTTGAACATACAGAACATGAGCAAAATTGATATCTTGTGAAATTTTAGAATGTTGGTCATAAAATTCAATGAAACTTTATATTTAAGTACTATTTTGCTTACATATACTTAATTTTGCAATTTTTTGATGCAATGTAGTTTTTAATGTTCACAAAAATGCAGTCAACTTAAAAACTTTTTTTGAAAAGCCAATTTCTCTGAAGCCAAAGAAGGACTATAATCCTTTTATGTGTCTTGCATTTAGGTAAATTTAAATGTTTCTGACATTTATTTTCTCATCATAATGGACAAGACTTTGATTAAAGCCAGAAGGCCATGAGACTTGCAAAACAAACAAAGAAGTCCAAAAAATGTTTAAGGCTGTTTTTAGGCAATATGATAAAGATGATCACACATTGGAATGTGTAGGATCTGATTGCTCTTCTCTGCTATCTAAATAGTGTATTTGCATGTTCAAGTTATCAAGGAAAGCAACAGCGCCAAGCCAACCAAGCCCAGCACCTACATTATACATCCAACTCTCAGAGAAGTTTTGAACATTTCTAAATATCTTCAAATGCAAACCAAGAAGCAAAGTTTTTTATGAAATCTGTTCTAATACTGCTAAAGAGAGTTCAAGATGCTACCAATTACAGTGTTTCACAATTAACAGCAAATGCCAAAATCCCTCATGGTGTTGCACATCACTCACTCGATCAGCCTGCGTGAAAATCTTCAACACTGTGTTTTGGAAATACTTATAAAAGAAAACTCATTGACATCATGTCACATGACATAGAGATACCCGTAAACTAAAATAACATTAAATGTGAAAAATTTTATTACAGAATGACGGATTTACACATATTAGTGCCTGGGATGCAGGATGAGGAAGAGCTTGAGATTGCACTGAGGTTTTAAAGAATTGATGGTGAATAGGAAGCTACCAAATCTGCTCTCTATGTTATTAAGGAGCCTTCTACCCAGCAGAGAAGGTACAGTCAACATAGCACAGGTGGGGCGCCGATTGAAGAAACATGGAACGATGTCACCTTAAACCCCACCACTTGAGGCTGTTGGGTAGGCTGGTTCTATCTATAAAAACAGTGGTGATGGTGGTAAATGCTTCTATGGATCTTATGAGGATTAAAGGACACACTGTCAATCAAGTGCCTGCCACGCAGTAAGTAGAAAGAAAGGAGGCAGTGGAAGGAAGAGCAGGAGGAATGGGAGCAGCAGCAGAATTTGATAGAACTAAAATTATTATCTGGGTTTCTGATACAAGGCACTGTCCTGGAGTGTGGGTCACAACTTAGATTCTGAGCTTGTCTACTAATGTGGGCAGGAGTCATGAGGAATCAGAACCATATCGTGGTGTGCCTGGAACATAGCAGCCGCTCAGAAGACATTTGTACAGGTGGCAAAAGACAGCTCAGATACACTCGGTCATGCCTGGCGGGCGACCCACAGCCATCTAACCAGCGTTACTGGAAAATCTCATTCCTGGGCCTTGGCGGCCATACATGCTCTTGTCAACCAACGGTTCCAATGAGATACTCCAGCAAATATCAGCTCTGCCTTTATAAACTTTGCTGGCCTTTTTAAGTCCCTGGATAACTGCCACCTTATCCAAGAGAGAACTGAAGTGAAATTTGTCTTCCAATAATTTTAGAAGAGGTTGGGAAAGGTTGCTGGCTAATTGTAATGCTCAGTAACTCCTGTTACCATGACCTTCCCGTCAGACATGCCAAGAGTAATGAGATACAGCAGCATTCATCGAATTATGCATTCTGAGCACATCCACGGAGGAACGCCAGGCAGTCGCTCAGTCATCAGCCATCTGCCTTTCCCTTCCCAATATCCACTTTGCAGAGATGGAGCTGGGGCCTCCTGCTTTTCCAAGCTTGATCTTTCATGGATGTCAGTAGGGAGGAAATCCTGGTGGCAGTATAAAGTAGTGGTTAGGGGAGCTGGGAATGTGACCTAGATTAAAATAATGTCTCTATTGTTTGTTAGCACAGTGGCTTTGGTCAGTGTTGGAGACTGAGTTGTGTCACCTCCAAATTTGTATCTTGAAGCTCTAACCCCTCAATGTGGGTGAATATCGAGATAGGGATGTTAGGGAGGAAGGGAAGGTAAGATGAGATCAAAAGGATGTGGGTTTAGCCAGGCACAGTGGCTCACACCTGTAATCCCAGCACTCTGGGAGGCCGAGATGGGCAGATCACGAGGTCAGGAGTTTGAGACCAGCCTGGCCAACATGGTGAAACCCCACCTCTACTAAAAATACAAAAAAAATTAGCCAGCCGGGGTGGTTGGTGCCTGTAATCCCTGCTACTTAGGAGGCTGAGGCAGGAGAATTGCTTGAATCCGGGAGGCAGAGGTTTCAGTGAGCTGAGATTATACCACTACACTCCAGCCTGGGCGACAGAGCAAGACTCTGTCTCGAGAAAAAAAAAAAATTACCCGGGCATGGTGGTGGATGCCTATAATCCCAGCTATTCAAGCAATTCTCCCTTGAACCCAGGAGGCAGAGTTTGCAGTGAGCTGAGATCAACCCACTGCACTCCAGTCTGAGTGTCAGAGGGAGACTCTATCTCAAAAAAAAAAAAGGATGGATGTGGGTTTAATCCAATAGGTCTGGTGGCCTAAGAAAAAGAAGAGACACTAGGGATATCCATGCACAGAAAAAAAGGCCACGTCGGGGCACAGGACAAAGGCCACCATCTAGAAGTCAAAGAGAGAGGCCTCAGAAGAAACCAAACTCATGATACGTCAAACTACCAGCCTCCAGAATTGTGAGAAAATAAATTTCTTTGTTTAAGTTCCCCTGTTTGTGGTATTTTGTTATGGCAGTCCTAGCAAACTGTTACAGGCAGGTTTTTCAATCTAAGTCTCAGGTCTCCTCTGCAAATAGAGAAAATCAGAAGCCCTATAGGGCTGGAGAGAGGACAGAATGACATAAAGCCCATCAATGGCGGGGCCTGGGCCTGGCACAGAAGAAAGGGGGCTGCACACAAGTGAGGTGTTAATTTTAATTATCCAACTCATCCGTTTTAAAACGCATGAGGTCCAGGGAAGTTAAATCACAGCTCAAAACCAGTAGCTATTTGGTAAGCCTGATTTGGGAGCCAGGAACTTCAGAGTCAGGATTTAAAAGAATAGGATGTATCACTGTAATCATTATCTAATTCATCTCTCTTACAGCAGCTGCCTGCCTTTCTCATTCTAAATAGCAGCCTTGGGTAGCGACCAGGGATGCGGGGTCAAGGCCTAAATTGAGCTCTGACCAAGAGCCAAGCACTGTTTCAGGTGCTGGTGACTCATAGGCAAGCAAGGCAGACCAGATCCCTGCTCCCATGGAGCCAGCAGGGGACAGATGGGCTAGACAGTAACTGCCAACAGGGAGACAGGGAAGGCCTCTCTGAGAAAATGATGCTCCAGCTGAAAGCTGAATAATGAGAGAGAGCCAGGTAGGACAATATGTGGGGGAAGCAAGATCTTGTCGCATCACCGCACTACACCCGGCTAATTTTTGTATTTTTTTGTAGAGACAAAGTTTCACCATGTTGCCCAGGCTGGTCTTGAACTCCTGGGCTCAAGCAATTCTCCCACCTCAGCCTCCCAAAGTGCTGGGATTACAGGCATGAGCTACAGATTAGTTTATCTTTAACACAATCATAGTTCATATTCTCCTACCTAGAAACCTTGTTTACTTATGGATTATGTCCAAGAGTTTTTAATTATTTTGATGGAAAAGAAAACAAATCCACAGATTTTTTTTTCTTAGCTTAACTGAAACCCAAAATGAGGGCTTATTTCAAAGAGAATTATCAAAAGAATGTTTAAAAAGAAAGTGATGGTGGAGGTGGTGGTAGAAATAGGCTGCTGATGAGCAGAAACCATGAGGACACATTCAGTATGTCGGAGCTTCGAAGGGCCTTGGAGATAACCTTGTTTGACTGCCTTGTTTTTAAGATGAGAAAACTGAGGCCATAAGCGGTTCAAAGACTTGATTAAAGGCCCAGAGCAAGACAGTGGCAGGACCAGGATGGACATTCAGGCCTCCCAATTCTTAGCCCAATGTTTTAGCCAAACAAATGCCTCTCCCTCAATACCTCCCTAAGGCCCTGTGGGGTGAGGAGAAGCTGAGGTCCAGTGAATTGGAAGCCAAAGTTGTGCCCACACTCCAGGGTACTGAATGGTCACCGGTTTTCTCATTTCTATTGCAATGAATCCAGGGCTTTGAGAAGCTAAGTGACTTGTCCAAGATTACATGAGTAAAAAGTAATGAGAAGTGCTTAAAACTACAGCCTGTCTGCTTCCGATGTAAATCAGAGATGAGGCTCTTAATTAGGTGTTGAATAAGGTGGTGCATTGACACCTGTCAGTTATACCACATAGGCTCATTTCTGATGCTTGGGCAATGCTCAGCCACAGCTTTGACTTGATGGAAGCCAACAGAGGCAAATTCTTTTAAACCATAGGCTTCTAGACTAAGCCAAAATCCAAATACCTTAGGATATTGCCAAGACTGAAGGACCGTTACACAGCCTTTCAGATTCACCTCCCCAGGAAGAAGCTTATTTTGATATTTCCTTCTGCAAACCCTCCTTTTCCCCAGGAACAATGACTGCCTCCCTCAGCTCTCCTCATCTGTCTTCATTGTATTTGTCTCCCCAAGTTTCAATTATTGACTTTCTGCTTCATCTCTCTCTTTACACTGAGAATCTCAGAAACAATAAATTTTATTCATCTCTGTTGGCCTGGCACAATGCCAATGCCTATAAATGTTATTTTAATTAATTAATAAATTATATGGGGGTTGAAATGATAGTATATTCACTTATTTATTTTGGCTTTGCAACCTTTTGTAAATAGACGTTGGATCACAGCAGGCATTAAAACGATAGTCCTGGCCGGGCGCGGTGGCTCAGGCCTGTAATCCTAGCACTTGGGGAGGCCGAGGCAGATGGATTGCCTGAGCTCAGGAGTTCAAGACCAACCTGGGCAACATGGTGAAAACTTGTCTCTACTAAAATATAAAAAAATAGACGGGCTTGGTGTCACATGCCTGTATTCCCAGTTACTTTAGAGGCTGAGGCACGAGAATTGGTTGAACCCGGCAGGTGGAGGTTGCAGTAAGCCAAGATCATGCCACTGCACTCCAGCCTGGGTGACAGAGCAAGACTGTGTCTCCAAAAAAAAAAAAAACCACGATAGTCCTCAATCAAATCAAACCCTCCATTTATACAAAATGTAATCTAATTATAAACACAATTTTTTAAAATTCAACATAACACCCTAAAAGAAATATAAAGCAGACATTAAAGGAAAGTAATATGTAATAAAATAGCAATTAAGTCAAGATGTAAACATCCCCTATGTGACTGTACTAGAGGACTAGTGAAGCTGGGAGATGCCTGCCTCTCTCGTGATACCATGAGCATCTTTGTAAATGAGTCAGCTGCAATGTAAACTGCTACATGTGTGCGGGATAGTGGCTCCAAATCACATAGAGCTTTGCCATTGGTGATGAAATTTACTATATCAGTTAACAACCCTTGCTAACATTTTGAACAAAAGACACTGATCATTATTTGTCCAGTGGGAAATTTAAATATCCTGGAGAACCTAGTTCTTTGATGTGCAGGAATGTCCCCTCCGTTTCAGGGCTCTGGCATCCTGGGTCCCCACTCACTAAATATTACAGCCCAAGATCATGCCCACAAATTTCCAATCGTCCCTGGGGCCAGCACTGTCCCCATGGAGACCCATCACTCTGGACTAACCAATGATTTACCTCAAATGACATTCCCTCCTAATAACATAGTGGCTTTTCTTTCTTCTGGACTTCTTAAAAGTTTGAAAACAATTCTGAGCTATAGATAAAGCGAAACATCTCTCAAAAAAATTAAGGCAATCAAAATTGTACCATAAGTCAAATCTGTTGGAACTCAACATTCTGATAGCTATCCACCATAAGCCAGGGCTGTGAGTATTACTTCTTATTGCACCTCTTTATTGTTGAAGATTCTTGACCCATGGGTGTCCACCAAGAACAAGGTAAAATGATGTCTAGAAAAAAAAAATGACTAGAGGGCACTGATAGCACTGAGACCAAAGGCTCCACGCAGACGCTGATCCAACAGTTGGACCATTTCAGTTCCCAATGGAAAACAGATAAGAATCCAAATGTAAGCAGCTTCAGATTCATATTTTAAAATTCTCAAGAGCCATGGTCTATTTCCACAGCTCTATTTTACATACTTATTTTATGAGTCTCTTGATAGAAATCTAAGCCTTAAATGTTCTTCCACAAACCATTAATCTTCAAAATACAATTTAAGGAAGAGGCTGTGTGGCAATCAAGTGCTGGCATTCCCAATTGATAAAATATAAAGGAGGCCTTGAGTTTTGAGAACAATTAACCGCAGACTGGGGCTGGAGTACCAAACTCCTCCTATCCCCACGGCAACTCACTCACAGAGATGGCATAGCTCCATGAGCACATCCTCTCGTTTCTTTCTTTTTTCTTTTCTTTTTTTTTTTTTGAGATAAGTATATTTTTATTTATTTTTATTTTTGTATTTTTAAAAAATTTTATTTTAGGTTCCGGGGTACATGTGCAGGTTTGTTATATAGGTAAATTGCGTGTCACAGGGATTTAGTGTTCCTTACCCAGGTAATAACCGTAGTACCTGATAGGTAGTTTTTCAATCCTCACTCTCCTCTCATACTCCACCCTCAAGTAGGCTCCAGGGCCTGTTGTTCTTTTCTTTGTAACCATGTGTACTCAATGCTTAGCTCCCACTCATAAGCAAGAACATGCAGTGTTTGGTTTTTTCTTCCTGCGTTAATTTGCTCAGGATAATTACCTCCAGCTCTATCCATGTACCTGCAAAGGACATAATCTCATTCTTTTTTATGGCTACATAGTATTTCATGGTGTATATGTATCAGGTTTTCTTTATCCAGTCTATTATTGATGGGCATTTAGGTTGTTTCTGTGTCTTTGCTATGGTGAATCATGCTATGATGAACATATGCGTGCATGTGTCTTTAGGGCAGTACAAGTTACATTCCTTTGGGTATATACCCAATAATGGGACTGCTGTGTCAAATGGCAATTCTGTTTTAAATTCCTTGAGGAATCTCCAAACTGCTTTCCACAGTGGCTAAACTAATTTACATTCCCATTAACAGTGTATAAGTGTTCCCTTTCCTCCAAAACCTTGCCAGCATCTGTAATTTTTTGACTTTTTAATAATAGACATTCTGACTGGTGTGAGATGGTATCTCATTGTGGTTTTGATTTGCATTTCTCTAATGACTAGTGATGTTGGGCATTTTTTTATATGCTGGTTGGCCACGCGTATGCCTTCTTTTGAAAAGTGTCTGTTCATGTTCTTGTCTCACTTTTTAATGGGGTTGTGTGTTTTTCTTGTAAATTTAAGTTTCTTATAGATTCTCAATATTAGACCTTTGCCAGATGCATAGTTTGCAAATATTTTCTCCCATTCTGTAGGTTATGTGTTTACTCTGTTGATAGTTTCTTTTGCTGTGCAAAAGCTCTTTAGTTTAATTAGGTCCCATTTGTCAATTTTTTGCTTTTGTTGCAATTGCTTTTTGTGTCTTTGTCATAAAGTCTTTGCTGGTTCCTGTGTCCAGAATGGTATTCCCTAGGTTATCTTCCAGGGTTTTTATGGTTTTTTGTTATAGATATAAGTCTTTAGTCTATCCTGAGTTAAATTTTATATATAATGGTGTAAGGAAGGGTTCCAGTTTCAATCTTCTTCAAGTGGCTACCCAGTTATCCCAGAACCATTACTGAATATGGAGTCCTTTCCCCATTGCTTGTTTTTGTCAGGTTTGTCAAAGATCAGATGGTCATAGATACGGGACATTATTTCTGGGCTCTCTATTCTGTTCCATTGGTCTATGTGTCTGTTTTTGTACCAGCATCATACTGTTTTGGTTACTGTAGCACATTCTCTCATTTCTCTTCTGAAAATGGAGATCATTTAAGGTTACCTAGCAAGGAAGTAAAAAGAAAAGAGAGAAGGAAGGAAGGGAGGAAGGAAGGGAGGAAGGAAGGAAGGGAGGGAGGGAGGGAGGGAGGGAGGGAGGGAGGGAGGGAGGGAGGGAGGGAGGGAGGAAGGAAGGAAGGAAGGAAGGTAAATAAGAAGACATATGCCATTCCTTAGAAGTCAGAGAGGCACATCATAGAAAATCTTAATCCCCTAAGAAAATTTCCTCCCCTTTTCTCCTTTTTTGTGAGGATTCTGTCCCAGGTGAAAAAGTCAATGTATGAGACAGAGACGAAGTGAGAGGACTGGTATAAGAAGACCAGAAATTTTATATAAGGAGATATGAACAACGAACTAGTAACAGTCTGAAAGTCAAGCTAAGGATTTTTTGATGAGACTTTCCCCTGCTGTGATTAGTCACCTATTTGGAGGCATGACCCTGACATTCTGCCTTTTACCTATTTGATGTTTTAGAGAAGGGATTCTCAAAAATGTCCTGCACATTAGCAGTACCTAGGGAGCTTTTAAGGCTCTTGATGTCCAGGCTTCACTCCAGACCAGTTAAATCAAAAATCCCTGGGAACAGACCCAGCAATCAGCATTTTTTTAATCTCTTTAGATGATTCTAATAATGTATGTAAGTTTAAGAACCAGTTTTAAACAGCTACGCCTTTTAACTCCAGGAATAAATAAGGCAAATGAAAATGATCTTTTGAATATCTCAGCAGACTAACAATACCCTCCTTAGTATGTGCAATCTCAGAATGCCCAGTATGCAGACTTTACGTGTGATAATGGACATAAGCCTTGAAGATTTTTCAGCATTCCCCAAAACTGCATCTGTTAATGACACAGTAGATGACTGACTGTCCATTTTGATTATACCTAATTACAATAAGAACATGATTAATGATAGTTAGGGACATTTTATTTTTTAAGGCATAATGATGAAAATTAATCATGCTGTAGGCACATCCCCAACTCCCACTCACTGAACAGACTAGGCAAGAGAGCATGATATTCATTATAATCTCTTCTTGTCTGACTTTACTTGACCTTTCAGGTAGAATTCAGTGAAAGTAAAAAGAAAAGAGGACAAGACATTCCCTTCAGGGCAAAAATTTAAAAAGAGAAAGAATAGATAGAACCCAGGACTTTTGCAGCAGATGAAACATCAAACACACACACACACACACACACACACACATACTCACACACACTCAACTGACCCCACCTCTCAAAAACAAAAGTGTTTAAAAATAAGATCTTGGGGAATTGGATCATCATAGTAGACTGAATACCTGCATCTTCCTTTCCTCCTGCTCAGAGTCTCATAAGAGGCAAGAAAATATATTTTTAAAAAAGGAAAATTATAATAGCAGTAGTAAACAATAAATATCATTATAAAATTTTTATAATGAGAAATTTGTTAAAGAAGGAACCTAGGTGGTATTAGACTAAGGATAAATAAAATGAAAGAAAATCAAAGCCAAAACATGTATAAGAGAAGACTTCTCTGGACATCCACAGATTGGTTCTGTGAGCACCCTTTATTCAATCAACAGCTGTAAAGAGTAGGAGGAAGCCCAGACATCACCAGGGTAATTAAATGAAGAACTGAATTTAGAAGATATGTACTTATATCATCTGTACTTTGCCCCAGTTCCTTGTACATGCAATGAAACAGGCAGTAACTTGTGTATACGGGTAATAAAAAATTCAAAGCATAGCAAATATTTGTCAGCAATCACAATAGAGTGAGCAGGTAAAATTTTCCTATAAAAAGACAAAGACCATCCTGTTGAGGTTAGAAATATTTATTTGCCATTTACAAAAAATAAACAATAAATATGCACACACACATGATCCTGAGCAAAAGTTGAAAAATGAAAAAATTATATCAAAAAAGAAGCAAATATGGCAACCTTAATATGAAACAAGATGAAACGCAAGTAAAAAAACTTTAAAAGAGGAAAAGGTGAGCTTAATCTCATATTTAGTTTTTAAAACATCATACACTGAGAAAGTATAACACCAAGTTCAAGAACCTTTATGCACATAACACAATAGCTTCAGATATCATGTCTTCAAACTGAGAATTTTTCTTAGTGAAACCCAAACAAAAACTTCCTATGCAATTCAACCTGCTGTTTTCATTTTCACTGAGGCTAGGCAGGGTGGTCCTGAGGGACCCCTTAGGACACTATCTTCTCTGCCTGGAGATAAGAGGAGGAAAAATGACAACAGGAAGCAGAGTGCTTTTTTTTTTCTTTGAGACAGAGTCTCACTCTGTCGCCCAAGCTGGAGTGCAGTGGTGCAATCTTGACTCACTGCAAGCTCCACCTCCCGGGTTCAAGCCATTCTCCTGCCTCAGCCTCCCAAGTAGCTGGGATTACAGGCGCCCGCCACCACACCCGGCTAATTTTTTGTATTTTTAGTAGAGACAGGGTTTTCACTATGTTGGCCAGGCTGGTCTCGAACTCCTGACCTCGTGATCCACCAGCCTCAGCCTCCCAAAGTGCTGGGATTACAGGTGTGAGCCACTGCGCCTGGCCAGCAGAGTGCTTTTGTAGATGTGGATTTGATGTATTTATGTGCCTGATACAATGCCCAAGATGACTTTTGTTGACTCACCTGATTCGGGGAATGTGTAAAACCCTGGCAGTCCCCAAACATGAGTATGTTCAGCTCTGCATTTGAAGGAAGTTTCTGTTGGTCTAGCCAGTGGCGGAATGGCAGCCTTAGGAAGGAGTAAGCCCTCTCCTTCTCGAAAAACCCGAGCAAGGCTGGAGACTTCTCTGCAGTGGTGGGGTAGTGAAAATATATACGTGAAAGGGGTGACCTAGATTGTTTTAAATAGGGCTTTTTCTCTCAACTCACAACCCTATAAATCAAAGAAATATAAACTGAAATGGCCACATTGAAGTTAGCAAGGAAAGTAGGGAGGAAGGACATCTCTTTCAACTGACATGTAGATTTGAACTGAGGAGGTGATACAGTTTGGCTGTGTTCTCACCTAAATCTCACCTTGAATTGTTATAATCCCCATGTGTCAAGGGCAGGGCCAAGTGGAGACAACTGAATCATGGGGGAAGTTTTCCCCATTCTGTTCTCATGGTAGTGAATAAGTTTCACAAGGTCTGATGGTTTTACAAATGGGAGTCCCCGTTCACAAGCCTTTTTGCCTGCTGCCATGTAAGATGTCCCTTTGCTCTTCCTTCATCTTCTGCCATAATTGGGAGGCATCCCCAGCCATGTGGAACTGTGAGTCCATTAAACCTCTTTCCCACACAAATTACTCAGTCTCCAGTATGTCTTTATTAGCAGCATGAGAAAGGACTAATACAAGAGGCAAGAGAAAATCCAAGGTTTCTTCCAATCCTCTGACATGAACAAGATGGGAATGTGTGATTGGAGTAGATTGAATCAAATTTTGCAAATATTCACTCTCTTGTGCGTCCTACCCCCACAGGAAGGAATCTAATTCCCAGCTTTGGTCGTGTGACTTGCATTGACCGGAATGTGAGCAGACATGCCAGACACTGTGTTAAAAATGACTCTTTCGGTGTGACTTGTGGTTTGGCAGGCATCTTGAGCCTCCACCATAGGAAGGGTATGTGACTTTGCTAAAGCTGCCATGACAAGTACCACAAGCTGAGTGTCGTAAACAACAGACATTTATTATCTCACAGTCTCGAGGCTGGAAGTCCAAGATCAAGGTGTTGGCAGAGTTGGTTTCTCCTGAGGCCTCTCTCCTTGGCTTGCAGACGGTCACCTTCTCCCTGTGTCTATTCACATGCCATTCTTCCAGGTGCGTGCCTCCAAATTTCCCCTTGTTATAAGAACAGCAGGCATATCAGATTAGGGTCCACCCTAATAACCTCATTTTAACTTGATTACCTTTGAAAAGACCCTATCTCCAGAAAAAGTCACATTCTGAGATACTGGAGGTTAAGATTTCAACAGATGCATTTGGCAGGGGGCACATAATTCAACTCATCAAGACCATATCCCAGAAAGGGGCCGCTGTTTCCGTCTGAGTCTGGAAGTAGAAGGCCAACTGGAAGGGATATGGTGGGGACCTTCAGCCCTTATGCTACATGAGCAATTATAAATGTATATGGTAAGCCATTGAGCTTCAGAAGTTGTTTATTAGACAGCATGATTCACCGAAATCTGACAGATATACCAAGTTAGTAGCAAATTCACTAACAATGAGCAAATTATTTGAAAACCACAATGCCTCACTCTGTAAGAAAAGAAACTCTTTCATTTTCAGTGAGCAGTTTCATGATATCAGCAAATCTGAGTGGCTCAGGGGGCATAAAGCATGGAGATGAGGCGAACACTCCAGAAAAGAACTCATGGTGGGATGAGAAGTGAGCTTGGTGTATTAGTTCATTCTTGCACTTCTGTGAAGAACTACCTGGGACTGGGTAATTTATAAAGAAAATAGGTTTAATTGGCTCACAGTTCTGCAGGCTCTACAGAAAGCATGGCTGGGGAGGCCTCAGGAAACTTACAATCATAGTGGAAGGCAAAGGGGAAGCAGGCACGTCACATTGACCAGAATGTGAGCAGACATGCCAGACACCATGTTTAAAAAGATGCTTTCAATGTGATTTGTGGTTTGATAGGCATCTTGATCCTCTGTCTCTTCAATAGGAAGGGTATATGACTTTGCTTAAGCTGCCATGACAAGTACTACAAGCAGAAGGAGGAGAGAGAAGGCAGAAGTACTTGTAAACAACTAGATCTCATGAGAACTCACTCACTTGTCTTGAGAACAGCAAGGAGGAAGCCCCCCCTCCAACGGCACCCATGATCCAATTACCTCCCACTTAGCCCCTCCTCCAACAATGAGGATTACAATTCAACATGAGATTTCAGTGGGGACACAGATTCAACCGCATTACTTAGGTAATCAGCTTGCCCTTTCCATCTCTTAGGTTCAAAACCAATGGGGTTTCTACGGAGCAATCCATTCACATAATTATGGTGTTCTAAGATGTTCTTATAAGCAGGAAAGAGCACATAATAAATGGTGTCCAGAGCAAAGAATATCCTGCTCTTGGTTTTATTTAATGTAACAACTGAGACAATGTAAATATATATACACATATATATGTATGTATAATAATTCAAGTGTTAACTTCAATGTCTACATGCCTATAAATGGGAAAAGTTTAAGAAAAACTTTCTGGCCAGGAACGGTGGCTCACACCTGTAATCTCAGCAGTTTGGGAGGCCGAGGCAGATGGATCACCTGATGTCAGGAGTTCGAGACCAGCCTGGCCAACATGGCAAAACCCCATCTCTACTAAAAATACAAAAATTAGCTGGGCATGGTGGCACATGCTTGTAATCCCAGCTACTCGGGAAGCTGAGGCAGGAGAATCATTTGAACCTGGGAGGCGGAGGTTGCAGTGAGCCAAGATCGTGCCATTGCACTCCAGCTTGGGCAACAAGAGTGAAATTCCATCTCAGAAAAAAAAAAAAAGAAAAGAAAAATTTCTTACTCAACACTATATTATCTTTTGGACTGGTTTTTCCCTTTCAAATATAGGAAAAGAGTCTTTTTAAAATTTTTCTTCTCTAGATGAGTAACATACTACAGAAAATTCTGCTCTGAACTCTTAACCACTGGACTTCAAAGAAAACATCTCAAATCCATTACATGTTTCTCAAGCCTGTGATTTTATATACGTAAATATATGTTATCTAATATACGTATATAAAATATCTATGTATGTACTTCTCTCCACCTTGGATTTGTTTTCTGGCATTTCACAATTATTCCTGCCATAGCTCTCCAATTACTTCAATTCTCAAGAACCTTTCCTCTAAGTCAAGGCTGATTTTAGGCAATTTGAGTCTGACTTAAGGAGGGTAAAACCCAGGCCCAGTTTTGGTGTATTTTGAGACTCCCCATTCTACTGAAGGATGGATGTAGTTCTATTCAGCTCTTGAGGCCATAAAAAGATCAAATGGTCTGGAGGTGAAGAGCCTAGTGTATGGATCAGACTGCCAGGGGTGAAATCCCAGTTCCTACATTTATCAGCTGTGTGCCTTGAGGGATTACTCAACCTCTTTAGGCTTTAGTTTCCTCATCTAGCAAATGGGGCAATAGTAGCATCTCTCCTCTAGGGATATTCTAAAGATTAAGTGAGGTAATACATACAGAGCCCCTAGAAGAGGACTTTACAAGTTGTAAGGGCTCAATGAGTGTTCATCATTATTAAAGGTGGCTTTGGCATCCTCAAGAGAGAGCTGACAGGTTGGTCACAATTGGTGCAACCAAACTATGTGTTGGTTTGATAGCCCTGGGAAACTTAATAGCCTTTTGGCAAAGGCACATCCAGCCTGGAACAGCTGTAGGGCTCCCTCTTGGCCATGAAAAGAAGGAAAATGTTTTCTTATTTCCTGGCCACAGGGGAAAGTGTTTCTATTCCAATGTTGATTCCTCAGTAAGTGTACCATTCATTGATGCATTCAATAAATACTGATTGAGTTCTCACTGTGTACTAAGCACAGTATAAGACTTGCACATGGAGCAATTAGAAGAAATACAAATTTTTGCCATCTAGGAATTTACACTCTAGTTAGGGAAGACATACAATAAATTAAATAAGCCAAAGCACCTTTCACAATGTAGCTCAGAGAGAACGACAGGCCCTAGTGCCCTCTCATTATTCTGAGTTGACTTCTGCCTCAGACTAGATTCACTCTTCTCTTCTACTGAACACAGTAACTGTCCTAAAATGTATTGTTGTCATTGGTCGCCATACGTTTTGAGGCTTAAAGATGAAATAAGTCAGAGATTTCTTTTAAATATTCTAATTTTTTTTTCTGTAGAGCTACCTTATATGCTAAATGCTATGGAGTTTAGAGTCAAGAGATTTAAATTCTAGTCCTGCCTGACCAAACCCAACCATATCATTAAAATAATAAAATTTTGCCCTCTGAGTTTCACTTGTATAAAATAATAGAGTTGGCTGACCACTGGTTCTCAAAGTGTGATCCCTCTCTCCCCTCACTCAGCAAGGAGCATGAGCATTACCTAGGAATTTGCTAGAAGTACAGGTTCTCAGACCCCACCTCAGAACCATGTGAAGCACAAACTCCGACAGTAGAACCCAGATGTGAGTTTTAACAAGCCCTTCAGGTGACTCTGAATTCCCAACATGCTGAGGGAGAGAGAGGACATCCTTTTCTATCCTATCCTCAAAATTCAACTCAATGAGTCAAGATGAACCAGCATGCTAACTTCTGTGTGCCCACAGCGGTAGTTCCCTGACTGTAAAACCATAAAGGTCAAAGCAAACTATGCAACATCTATTTATCTTGGACACAGGTATCTATTTCTGTCTTCGTCTTTTCCAGAAAATATTAGAGTTACCTTCACCAGTCCATCTGGGATATCATGATCCTGAATACTTCAGTCCAGACTCAACTGTTATCTATGTCTTGCCAGAAAATATTAAAGACCCCTCAAACAAATCTCTTTAAACCATGGATCCTTTGAAGGGTAAAAGAATAGGTTGAGCCTGGGAGGACACCCAGTTTGAACATATTTGAAATAAAGATAAGCTTGGAATTCTCTTTTTTTAAAAAACAATGTCAGCACAAATCCTAAAAGAAATTTAAATTTTCTTATCCTTTCAGCCAGACCTCCTCCTGAACTTTTGTTCAATACTCAACATAATCACTGTATAATTCCAAAAATATGTATTACAATTTGTGGTCTTTTCAAGCTTTGGGTTTTTAAAAAATTTTTGCGCTCTTCTCTTCTGATGCTGTCTTTGGCCTGAATGTTAAGTATGCCTGATGACTCTTCATAAGCTAATTAGTGATGGTCATTCCCAGCCTCTTCCTATAAATTTCCTCATATCCTAAGTATTTATCTTCTTTTTGTGGTTGGCTCCATGTTAACAATGTCTGCCTTCACACAGTCTCCTTTCTACCAGTGTGTTCTAGCTTTTCACACAAAGCGAAACAAATGCACTCTCTCTCTCTCTCTCACACACACACACACACACACACACACACACACCATGGGGAAATGCAGTGGCCTTTAAAACATGACACAAGCATAACTCAACAGGACAATGAAACCACCACCACACACGACCAAATGAGGAGCAACAGGAATGAGAGGGACTCCTGGGAGACCCTTAAGCCAGAATGTTTAGGGGAATTCAAACAGGACATGCATGTGAAGTTGCAAATCTTCCTTTACTGTTTCTGAGTATTGAAAACTGACATTCTATTTCCTTTCCACACTCCAGACACTTTTGCGTACTCTCAGTACACTCGGTACATGGATATTGAATATTCCTTCTTCTCAACACTCTTCCTACTATCTTGTTCCAAGTCATCACAACTCCATGTCTGGCCTATTGCTGTTCTCAGCAAAGTTGCCTTCTGCTTTTCCAGTGAATATTTGATATTGACAAATTCCATTCAATGGGTGGAAGTGTGCACTGTTGTAGGAAGGTGATATGGTTTGGCTGTGTCCCCAGACAAATTTCACCTTGAATTGTAATAATCCCCACATGTCAAGGGTAGGGCCAGGTGGAGATAATTGAATCATGGGGGCGGTTTCCCCCATATGAGATCTGATGGTTTTATAAATGGGAGTTCCCCTGCACAAGCTGTCTTACCTGCCACCATGTAAGACATATGTTTGCTTCTCCTTTTCCTTCCACCATGCTTGTGAGGCATCCCTAGCCATGTGGAACTGTGAGTCCCTTAAACCTCTTTCCTTTATAAACCACCCAGTCTTGGGTGTATCTTTATTAGCAGCATGAGAACAGACTAATACAGAAGGATATTTTACTATTTCAAAGATTATTTAGAGAAGTCCACAAGGAGTTACTCAACAAAACAGATAAAAGCAGATAGTGCCAAGTTCTCGATGCACTTTCTCTTAAAACTTTTCATTCTCAGAATAGAATTGGGTTTTCCAGGAATATTCAATTGGGATCGCTTGGACATATATCAGCCTAGTCACTCTGTTTGGAGCCGATCTTTTTTCTGTCATCAGGGGAAACATTTTTTGATCGTAGCATGGATAAAATTTCAGAATAAGAACCCATTTGTGGACAGCTATCTCATGAAAGCTATAAACATTTTTTTCAGTTGTTTGTTAACATGACCCTAAAGAAAATTTGGCAAAGAAGAACCTAGCTCACTTTAAGACCTCAGGTTTAGTGTGGTTTTTTTTGCATAATGTTAATATTCTACAAAACTACCTGGCTCTCAAAGCAATAGAAAATAAGATATGTTAACAAAATAAACAAACTAACAGTAACCAGAATCAAGAATTGTGAATTTAATTATGAAAAGTAAAATTCAAGAAATGAATGAATCAGCTGTCTCAGAATATTCTCAGAAGTGGAGATGTCCAAGTCAATATTGTGACCAGTGTAACACACCAATATTCATCAAGAAATTACTTTTTAATATTTATAATATTCTCATCTAAAAACTGGACATGGGATTAAACTTGCTATTCTCTAAGGCCCTCCCAGCTATAAGAGTCTATTATTCTGTGATTTCGTGACATCTTTGAGGTACAGCTGCAAACTTCCCTTGAAGATTTGTTGGCTTAGTAAGATGCTAGATGGGTTCCCAAAACTACAATCCGGAGGACTGATACTGGGTCTCCCTACTCAGGCAGGGTTTCGCTACAACAACTACAGATAATTAGTTTTATCAAAAGTCTTAAATTTTGTATTAAATGTGCCACTAAATCACAAGCAATCAACAAGTATGGGATCATAGTTAAACTATAAATTTGGCAAAAAACAAGACATTTATTGAAAAACCATTACTTGCCTTGTAAAGCCATTTATATGGTACTGGTTTGCTAGAAGATGGTGGGAAAGACCTCATAAAAAAGTTGGGGAGGGGGATTTGAGAAGAATCAACTAATTAAAAATGTCTAAGTTCAGACAAACTCCCTGGAGAGAGCCACTTATGGAATTTTTATAAGGTTCTGGGAAAGGTCAACGATACCAAAACCACTACCTACTCTAATCAGCCTTCCACAGGCCTCAAATTCCCCCAGGTCTTATTCTTCTCTGCATCTTTTTTGGATTAGGTACTTAGTGAAACTTTGAAATATTATCAACCATTGCCACCTTAACATAAATTCATAAATTAGGTTTGTCAGATTAGCTACTCCCACATTCAGCAAGACTCTGTGAGAGAATAGAAACAGATAAATGATGAAATGGGGCAGAATTTGTCTAAGTCTAGAACCTTTAAAGGGTGGGAAGAATGCAGTGCCACAGTGGGGACCCTAAGATTCTAAAATAAAGGGAAGAAAAAAGACAAGTTTAGGAGTAGAGAGAAAGAGAAGGAAACAACTATTTGACAGGTATCCACTATGTGCTGGGCATGCTTCTAGAAACTTTACATTTATTTACTCACTTTATCCCCAGAAGAGCCTACTGGTTAGATATTATTAATCCCATTTCTCGCTGGTGAAACCATAGACTTGAAGGGGATAACAAATTTGTTAAAGATTGCAGAGCTAATAAATGGTAGAATCTGGGTACCAACCCATATCTCCATGACTCCAGAGCCTGGCCATGTTCCTCTCTACTCCAATGCTTTCTTGAATCCAGAGGCCTTATAAGCTCTGCGCTCCCAGAGAGTCCAGCACAGCATTTTACCACTTACAAGTGAAAACCCTTGAGGAAAAGAGGAATGGAAACACCAAGAGCCAAATTTGCCTCTTTCACAATTTTGCTTTAAACCGATGGTATTCAAATTTTGCTTTTAACCATGGAAACTTGTCTTCAAAATAACCTTAAGCACAAACTCAATCCACCCACCATGGAAGGCCCAAAGCACATTCACGAACCATATGGGAGCCGTGTAAAAGTCTCAAAATGACTGCAGAAAAGATGTGAACAAGCATTCCACAAATAAGAATATACAAATGGCCAGCAAGCATAAGAAAGGTTGCTTAAAATCATTATTCATTAGGGAAATGCATACTAAAACACCAATGTAATACCACTACATTCTGACTTGAGTAGCTAAAATTAAAGATACGAGGTAAACAAGGATGTTGAACAACTGAAACTCTTACATATGGCTAATGGGAGTGCAAAATGGTATGATCACCTTGGAAAACAGTTTGACATTTTCTTATAAAATTAAAACATATCATTGCAATATGACCCGGCAATTTCACTCCTAAGTATTTTTGCCCAAAAGAAATAAAAATATGTATACATCAAGTCTTGTACGTGTATGTTTTCCGCAGCTTTAAAATTAGAAACAGCCCAAATGTCCATGAACATGAAAGGATAAACAAATTGTGGTATTCCATCCAATGAAATACTAATCAGCAGTTAAAAGGAAAGAATGACTGATATGCCCAACTACATTGATGAATCTCAAGAATGTTACTCTGATTGATAAAAGTCAGACACAAAAGAGTACATACGGCATGAGTCCACATATATGAAACTCTAGAAAAGGCAAATCTAGTCTACAGTGTTGAAAGCAGATCAGTGGTTTTCTAAGGCTGGGGGTGTGGGAAGAGGAAGGACCGTGAAGCGGTACAGTGTTTTCAGGTGATGATGGTATTATGTATCTTGATTGTAGTGATGGCTATTTGGGTGTCGGAGTTTGTCAAAACTCAAAGAACTGTATACATAAAAGTGTGCATTTTAACTCTAATAAGGTTGGTTTAAAAATATGTATTATTCCAATTACCAAGGAATTGTTGAGGCAGACCTGTGTCCCATCATATAATCATTCAGGTAACATTTTGGACCTTTCTCCTCATTCAACTATTTTTATTTCCTCCAGTCTCTAAGTTAGCTCTGCTCTCCTCTACAGCCCCATGAAGAATGGCAACCCTATCTGTCCTGCAAACTTTCAGCCGACTTCATTATGAAAATACCCTAGGACCAAAGCCAGAGCTAATAAGCATCTTAGACCACTTGGAAGAAGAAAGGATATTTTTTTGGCTCTGGATAATTGAACTTCACTTCAAATCAGAATCTAAGCTATTATTTTCTCTATACTTAGTCCAAATCCTGAGATTCCTGAAATTCATCCACAGTTATTGTCTACCTGATGCCAAAATGTCCTGATGAAAAGTGAAACATTCAGCCAGTTGTGTGAATTCTTTGTCCCGAAATCTAAAAGCTCAGCTATTTGGCAGGATAGCAGAACAACTGAACAGTCAACATATTTTTACTGTGGATGGAGGAGCTTTAGGATTGTGTAGATAGGATCTTCTGCAAAAATCAAAATGCAAAGGCCCAGTGTCCCTCATTAGTGACCAAGTAAAATTCAGAGCATTAAAATCACAGAAGTTTAAAGCACAAAGGAATCCTGCCCAACTCTCTTTGTTTACAGATAAAGAAATTGAGGTAACTCCTATTCATTCTTTAGAACCTAGATCGAATGCCATTACCTATGAGGAGGCTTTCTCCACCTCTCCAGCTTATTCTCTACTCTGGCTCTCATAGCAGACAACCAACAACCTATTCTAATACTTACCCCTTCATATGAAATGTATTTGTTTGTACATCTGTCTCCTCCTCTAATGCTGTAAACTACCTAAGTACAGGACCATGAGCTCTACACACCCAACTTCTAGCACATAGAGGATACTCAAAGAGTGATTTTTGGATAGACTTGAGCTGAGTATCTGAATACATTTACACTCCAAATACATTCTATCTCCATATCCATGTTGAAATGGTGATAATGAAATTCAAAAGAGATTCTTGACTTATTCACAATTAGTACTCCACACTAAAAACTAAGAATCTTAAGGTTTCATGTTCTTTGGACAAAGAGAACAGTAATAATGTGATTAGTAATAAGACAGCACAGTTTCTGGCATGTAAAAGGAACATTGTAATATAAGGAAATAAAAATACAATGACAAATTTTTGCTATATTAGTATCAATATAAACATAATAGTAATATTTGAGTGCTTACTATATGTGAGACCCTCTTCTAAGAATTATATGTATTTAACTCTTTTAACATAATTGAAAAGCATCTTTATGCTTATCCTTAAAACTAAATACAACTTGATTTAACATTTTGTGGCTGATCTCCGTGTCCTCTCCAGCTGTGACTAAATAGAAAACCAAACAAAATTTTTAAACGGCAGTTGTCAAACTTTCCCTAACAATCTTTATTTTCAAATTTCTTGCCCATAGCCTATCATGACTTTCCATTTTTAAAAATCAGATCTGCTTTAAAAACTGAAAATACTCTTTAGACGTCAAATTGTTCTTCTGTAGTGACATGTTGATCAAAAGTTTAAGGAGCTAAAAGCATGAAGATTACATTTCTTTCAGTGAAAACATGCACTTTAAAATCTAGAAGAATATTTTCCATTTTTGTGTTGTCTGTCACCATGGAGCTAAAGAAGATTCAGTAGATAAGTCAGGGTATGAACCTGACACGATAAACACCAATGAGGAAGACTGGACTGGAAATTTTCATAAAACGAAAAAGAAGAAAAAGAAATCGGTTGATTTTTTTTTTTCCGTGAAAGCCTTAAATTCAATTGCATGTGTTCACTCATAACTCCTTTGACAAACAAAATAAATAGTTTATTTCTTTTTTTTATTTAAAAAGAAAGGGTTTCAAGCACTTGAAAGTACCATCTAGCTATCTTCGCTAGCTAAGTATTTTCAGCCCTAAAAGAAAAATTGTCTTGTTTTTCTGTGAATCTTTCAGGGCACTAGAACAAAATGATCTTGCACACAATAAAGATTCAAAAATGAATGCTGAATTGATGAATAAATGAATCTAAATGGCCTTGCTCTTTTTTGAAGTCACTTTTCTGCATCTACAGTAAGTACTGAAATGCCTATTCTATGCAAATCAACAGCTACCAAATTTCTCACCCTAAGTCACTAAGGCTCTGTTCAGACCACTCCTAGTCACGGGTAAGTGCCTCAGAGTCTCCTTTTCTTCTCCCTCCAGGACCCACCCAGTCCTTCACCCCTCAGAGCCCCGGTTACTTCTCTTGAATGTGGTCTTTATTTCTAGCACAACTATCCTGGAGAACCGCCATCTCAGTTCAGAGGATAATTTCATTTCCATTTTGTAGTACAACAGACTTGCCCTTTCTCTGAATGACGCTGAGAAGACAACTGAGTTAATTTTGCTGGGAGTTTAGAATTTTTAAAAGTTCATGACTTTCCCAATTGGTTATAAGTTTTCAAACTCATGAAGAAATGCAGAATTTAAGTGAAACCTCATATAAATGAATTTAAGTGAAACCTCACATCAGGGGGAACAATAATTACATAATTTTACTATCATTTTGTGGAAAAAGAGGAAAGACTATAATGCAGAGTAGAAAAAAAATACATGTGTTTGTATCAGTTAGATGCATAGTTAGAACAAATCCTAACTATGCCCCTTAGTAATAATGTGACCTTGGATGCTTCCCAAAGCCCCAATTTCTTGCGTGTAAGATGAACAGTATAGGGCCATTGTGAGGATCAAATGAGATTAAATATTAAAAGGGACACTTAATGGACATTCACTAAATGTTAACGCACCACACGTATAACTCAGGATGCAAAGGCAGTGACCACTGAAACTGTAGATCTTAAACACTTTGGACACCTCTTGCGGCGTTTTGGAAAGATGTCTGAGAAAACCATATTGTTTTCCTTGGGACTATGCTCCTGTCACATCTGTAGTCAAGACCATGGCTACTTTGCAGTGCCTCTTAGTTGGGTGACATGGAAGGACAGCATAGAAGTGCAACATGGATTGATTTTAGGACAGAAAACAACTATAATACTGAGAAATAATTCATCTCTTTTACAGCAAAGTCTAGAATAGGGACACTACATTTACGGCTGTGTGTGTGTGTATGTGTGTGTGTAAGAGAAACAGAGACTTTTCGCCTATTCGACATCTCCCTCAAACTCTACTGGCCCAGAAAAAGGGAGGCTATGACTGAAGCCGTGTAAGAAACCACATAAGTTTATTCTTAACTTTCAACCTTGAAAGTAACCAAGTCCCGGAATTTTAAGAGCACTTAAAGAAAGGGCTTTCAAGGATAAATTTTGCCTTACACTCTGATTTTAGAACCTAATCCCTGAAGTAAAATCAGGCCCCATTTTCTACTAAAAATATGATTTCCAGTAGTAAAGTACCAACATTTTAAATTCACATGGCAGTTCTAGTTTTTTTCCTAATTTGGTCTTTGTTTTAAAAGTATAGTTTACTTTATTTGAAGACCAAAATTACATTTTTTAAATTGAAATATAATAATATTCCTTTAGCCTTCTCCTTTTCAGATGATTTTAAGCTGTCAAAGTCCTAATAGTTAATTATTAGTGCCACAAAATAAATTTTTTATTACCTATTTATTAAACTATGAAATTATTACAAATAGCTTCAATTCATCTGCTCTGGTTCTTGGTGCACCATTGCTTCTCTGGTCTATAATATCAGTCCCTGGGCCACCTAAAGCCACTTTCCTTTACAAGTTGGAGATGGCCATCTTGTTTGTGTGTGATTTTGTAGGACCGATCTCTATCTCTTTATGGACCCCTATTAGGAAATGCAAGGAGGGTTTTAAACCAGACAGCAGTTTTTAATGCTACATTTTTATAATGGTGGAAGCCCACAAAGTGACTATGATTTTAATATTATCTACTCTCTACAAGAATATTTTCATCCACTCACTTCTTCAGAAACCTGCTTTTATTAAGGCAATTTGAATTACAACCAATATACACAAAAGGTACTGTAATCAGTTTCTCAACACCCAGAAATTAAACATAATCAGCTAAAATAACATCTTGACTTCATTATGACATGTTCCAGATTAAAAAGCACCATTACATACAATCATACACCCAATCAATTTTCAAGCACCTAGAAAAATTGTGTTCCTGAATAAAAATCACCTTAGAGAAATATAAAAATTCAGGGCAATCCTAAATACAAGGTCACTCTGTTGTCTTTGGTGCTTTTTTATATAACCTGAAGAGAAAATCATGGAAAGGCAGAGATTTGGCAGCAAAGTATATGCACTCTGATGTTTGCAGAGAGAGAGAGAGAATGTTATGTCACTTTTATTCCCTGCTTTCCAAAGCAGCCCTATAACACAACGCCAGGCAACTTCTCCAGGCTGGCTTAACATTCTCCCTGGATAACTTTCAAAGAAATCCACTATGAACCTGGGAAAACGTCAGTCCCTACAGAAATACAGAAAGGAACAGTCATCCCATACCACCAAAAGGAGGGAAAGTTTATCTGCAACCTAAACCAAGTGGCAGTCAATGGCAAGTAAAAAAGAAAGAGGGCTGTAATTCTGACTCCTTGAATTAGACAGAGGATACAGTACTTTGCTTTTCACAACCAAACTTCGTGAGTTAGTTTATAATGACAATGACCTATCCCTCAACAGGCATCAGTCTTTTATACCTATGATATCTCTATCCAGCTACTCTACAAATTCTGCCTCTTGAAACAGAAAACCAAATACCACATGTTCTCATTTATAAGTTGGGTACACGGGTCATAAAAATGAAAACAGTAGTCACTGGGAAGTCAAGAGTGAGGAGGGAGGATGAGGGGTAAAGATGGAAAATAACTACCTAGAGGGTGCTATGCTCACTAGCTGGGTAATGTGTTCCAAACCTCAGCATCATGCAATATACCCATGTAACAAACCTGCACATGTACCCGCTGTTCTAAAATATAAAAGTTGGAAAAAAAAATAAAGCTATCACACACACACACACACACACACACAAAACCTGCATCTTAGGTACTAATCACCTGCAAGTCATCAAAAGGAAGATTCTTCCCCTCCCGCAACCTCATTTCTCTATGGCTGACCACCTCCACTTTCTAGAAAATCTCTGCTTGCTCAGTTCCTGAGCATTCTGCCATGCTGATTTTACTTCTTGAACTGCTCCTCCTCTTTCTCCCTTTCCTCTCCCAGCCCCCAATAATTCACTGCTCCCTGAGGGGCTGTTCTTTGCCTTCCTCTCCAGTCCTTCTCACCTTTGGCTATTTCAGTTGTGCTCAAGATTTTTAGGACCTGTGTCTATGTGAGAGGCTCCCAAATCACTGTCTGTGGTGCCAGCTTATCAAAAAATTTCCATACTGATTTTCCAAATGCTTTCTGGATATCATGTCAGCACCTCCAACTCAAAATGCCCAACACAGTAAGTCCTGGAAAGGATTTTTATTATTTGCACTTCCACTCTCTCAATTACAGACTCAACTCTCCCCTTCAAGCTCTAATATTTGACTGGTTGCAAAATCCTGTCAATTTCAACTCCTCAGTATTTCTAGCTTCTATGTCTTCATTTCACCTGCCATTGCCCCACTTCAGGCACTTGTCTCACGTAGAACCCTGCTTTTATTTAACTCTCTTCCTCAATCCATCTTACAGAATGGAAAAAAATTACAAGCAACGTGATGATAGAGACTGGGTTTTTGTCACTGTCCATCTAGTGCCTTGCATGCTCCATTCCAAAGATTAAATTATTTTTTAATTTATATAAACACAGCTCTGATCATGTCTTTTCCTGTTTCAACATTCCTCTGGTCCTCGGTATTTTTCTGATTAAAGAAATAATTTTTTGGTGCCTACAGGGAGCCTGACTCATGCTAATAAATTCACAAGAGACTAACTGGTAAGCCAGACTATGGCTTTGTGAATTTCTTATAGAAATTATGGCTGATTTAAGAACCAAGATCACATTGGTGGGCCCCCAGGAGACAGGATATATATATTAAGTGACTCAGTGAATAGTTATCAACCTCATTAGTAGTTGTCTGTGTGCTAGGCTACTTCTTTTACTAGACTGAACTCTCTTTGAGCCTTTTATTCCTGGTATCTCCCTTATGTACTGAAGTGCCCGTCACAAAATCAGCACTTAATAGAGAACTGTTGGATGAACCAATGAATGATTCTAAACCAAGGGGATCAAATGATCAGAGGAATATTTACGTCAATCTGGACCAACAAGATGGATTGCTTTCCTTCACACCAGGAATATTTCTGCCTGTTAAAAGACTATCCTCTGTGCTGGGCATCTGTGAAAACTGTGATGAATTTTTACTCCTTCCTCTTCTCCACACAGATCCCTGTTTTATGCTCTCCATAGCTCTATCTCATTGTCAAGGTAAAATCCAAATGGGTAGAGAATCCTTCATTGATTTGTTTTATAAGTTATTTTTCAGGTGGTATCCTGATGTCAGTGTGGACCACCCTGCTAAATTTGAGAAATATCAAAATCAATTTAAATAAACATACTTTGAGGGATGGCTTTTTTTCTCACTTCAAGAATAAAAACTTTCTGGCCTTGTTTTTTTTAAAGAAGTACTTTTTTGGGTAAACAATGACCATGAGAATGGAAAGAGATTTCAGGGAGGTCCTGGTGACCTAAGGTAGGGGACAGAAGCTTGAGTTTGACCCATGTTTGCACCCATGTTCTGTGACTAATGGATTATGGGAAATGTAAGTTGAGGGACAGGTTTTTGGTGGGAAGATGGTGAGTTTGAGTTTTGACATCAGGAATGTGAGGTGTTTATTGGACATAGGTGGATACAGCCAGAGGCATTGATGCTTGTGAGAGAAGTCCAGGCTACAGCTGAGTGACTAAGATCTGGAGACGGAGAGGCAGCACAGCAGGCAGGTAGGTGTATTAACTCTGGAGCCAAATTGCCAGGTTCAAATCCCAATTCTTCTGCTAAATAGCTGTATAACCAGGTCAATGTTCTTAACCTCTCTGTACTTCCATTTTTTTACCTCTAAAACTGGCTTTAAAATCCCTATCACGGCCAGGCACAGTAGCACATGCCTGTAATCCCAGCACTTTGGGAGGCTGAGGCGGGAGGATCAGTTGAGGTCAGGAGTTCGAGACCAGCCTGGCCAACATGATGAAACCCCATCTCTACTAAAAATACAAAAATTAGCCAGGCATGGTGGCATGTGCCTGTAACTCGGGAGGCTTGGGCAGGAGAATTGTTTGAACCCAGGAGGCAGAGGTTGCAGTGAGCCGAGATCATGCCACTGCACTCCAGCCTAGGCGACAGAGTAAGACTCCATCTCAGAAAAGAAAAAAAATAAATAAAAAATCCTATCTCTTAGCTTGTCGTGAGAATTAAATGTCATGAGAACAGTGCCTGGCACATAGTAAACACTAGATAGTCATTTGCTATAATTATTTACTTAATAGTTGAAGGTTTGAGGGCAGATGAGATCACCCAAAGAGAAAATGTAAAATAAGAAGAAAAGAACATAATGAGAGAGACTTCTGCAGAATGCCAGCTCAAACTAGACATTTAGACATAAAAATAATACTATAGGGTTCTCAGTCTCAAGAAGTTTATAATCCTATGGCAAAGACAGCATAACTTCTTCTGTAATCGATGCTTGAGGACAATGGGAGAGGAGAATTAAAAAGGAGAAGATTTTGAGAAAGAAACAGAATCTCTATTCAGGCAACACATCCTGGCAGAAGTACTGAATGGAAAAGGAAGATAGAAATGAGGGAGAAATTATTCCTTCCATATCAGGGCTAAGCTTATAAAAATGATGATTGGTGATGTGCCTGTTGGTTTCTGCATTACCTGAAACCTCAAGCTAAAGCTGAACCTCCAGGGTTTTCCTTCAGGAGTCATCAGTCGTGGGAGCTCTCTGCACTGGGGGAGGAGGGTTGAATGTGAACCACTCTGGCGCTGGAGCTGAGCAGAAAAATATGCAAAAATCAAAAACAAACCCAAAATCCAAAAGCCAGTACACCTCATACAGAGCAATTGCATTCAAACCTGTTTGACAATTTCCCTCCTCCTATTTATGACTTCTTCCCCTTTGTTAAAGTTTCCAGTGATGTCACCTTGCACAGCTTTGGGCAAATGTGTTTACTCTTGCCCGCTCAGATCCAACCTACCACAAAGTGCAATAAGTGCCAGGGTTTGACCAGGAAAAAAAGAAGCCAATTGCCAGCAAGGCTCACAGGACTGGTAAATAGAGGCAGCACCAATGACTTAATGCTACTCTGGACAGCTCAAGGAGAGAGGCTCAAGGGAAAAGACCATCTGGGTCTTTTGTCTTCACCGAGCCTTGGAAGAGGCCTCCATGGCCACGTCCACCACAGGGTGTAAATCCCCATGGTGGGCATGACCACGGAGGAGACCTGAGTTTTGCTCTTGTTGTCCAGGCTGGAGTACAATGGCACGATCTTGGCTCACTGCAACCTCTGCCTCCCAGGTTCAAGTGATTCTCCTGCCTCAGCCTCCTGAGTAGCTGGTATTACAGGCGCCCACCACCACGCTTGGCTAATTTTTGTAGTTTTAGTAGAGACGGGGTTTCACCACATTGGCCAGGCTGGTCTCGAACTTCTGACCTCAGGTGATCCACCCACCTTGGCCTCCCAAAGTGCTGGGATTACAGGAGTAAGCCATCACGCCTGGCCTCCCTCTATGACTTTGAACAAATCACTTAACTGCCATGAGTTTTAATTTCCCTGTCACTAAATGGAGAGGTCAGCTTAGATGATCCAGAAGGTGTCTTCCAACATTTAGCATCTCTTAAATGCGGTCATATCCTGTATCAATCTGGTGGGTGAGATTATGGTGAAGTAACAAAAAAACCAACTTTTCCATCTTTCACTGTAACCTAGATTTATTATTGTTTCATGCAAAGCCAGCTGCAGATTTGGGCACCCATCCAGAGCCATTGCTTTTCATGTAGTAACTCACCATTCCAGGCTGACACAGGCTCCACCCATTACCTATATCTTCTGGAACATATGTTCTTTTTGGTGACATGCAGGTGAAGTGAGTGACTCGGGAATCCTATGTGGACTTTTCACTGACTCAGCTCAGAGGTGACATATATCACTTGTAGTCTGTTTACAGAGAATGAATCACATGGCCCTGCCTAGCCCCTGCTGATAGGAGAGGAGGAGTGGGAGAGGGGTTGAGAAGTGGAACCTTTCATGTTCTCAGAAGAGGAAGAGAACTGAATATTGGTGAATACTGGTAATGTCTAGACACAGCCTCTATCAAACACAGACCCTTATAATTTTTCCAGCTGCTTTATAAGCAGTTCTGACAATGTTTTGAAGACAGTAGAGAAGATATTACTACCTCCATTTGAGGAAATGTACTCAGAAAGGTTGAGCAACATATGCAATGTCACAGAGCTCCCTAAAGTCTGAGATGGGACTATATTCTGTGTCTCGTGCTGTCAGCTTCCTAGTGATTAAAAGAATACCAGATTTTATCTCAGAAGACCTGCATTTGAATCCTGATCTTTTATTTCATTGGCCAGCAATTTACTTCCTTGAGCCTCAATTTTCTTTTTTTATTACTATTTTATTTTATTTTATTTTATTATTTATTATTTTCTTATTTTTTCCATAGGTTATTGGGGAACAGGTGGTGTTTGGTTACATGAGTAAGTTCTTTAGTGGTGATTTGTGAGATTTTGGTGCACCCATCACCTGAACAGTAGACACTGCACCTTATTTGTAGTCTTTTATCCCTCGCCCTCCTCCCATCTTCCCCTCAAGTCCTAAAGGAGCCTCAACTTTCTTACCTGGATTAAAAGTATTATAGACCTATCTCACAGTTTCCTTGGAAAGACTAAATGAGGTAATCAAAGGGAAAGTGTCTGTCATGGAGAAAAATATATATATATACACACACATACATATATATATACACACATATATACATATATACATATACATATATACACATATATACATATATACACATATATATACATATATACATATACATACATATACATATATACACATATATACATATATATGTGTATATATATATATGCCAGTACACCTATATATATACATTTTATATATATATATGTAAAATGCTACTCCATAAAGAGCTGGGAAAAATATAACATCCCCAGAGAGGTGTTACATTTTTTCCTAGCACCTAGAGAAGTGCCTAGAACAGAGGAAAAGCTCAAAATGCAGGGTTGCAAAGGTGTGTGGCTTGTAAAAATTGCTGAATAAGTATCATGCACTGTGGCTACTAGTCTTTTTGTTCCTTTTGGGTAATGGAAGGATGAGAGAGAGGAAGAAAGGGAGGGAGGCTAGATAAAGAGAGGACAAGCAAAGGAAAACTATTAAAGACAGGAAAGAGGTACAGTTATTGATGTGAAGGATTTTTCAATCATGTTTCTTAGCAAGAGAATTCAAGGCAGGAAAATAAATTCATAGGAACAGCAGAACAAGAGCTTAGCCCTACGTCGAATGTGACAGGGCAAGTGCAAGGAAGGGATTGCAAAGGATGCAAGGGGGATGTACGAAGAGAGGACAGGCTTGTGCAAGACAAAAGGAGAACGGTGTTGTCCCTGCACCCCCTCCCATACCTGTGAATAGAGGCTGCCATGGGCTCAAAGCTCATTTTCTGAGCCAAGGACAAAACCTTAGCTCCCGAGATTGGCCCTAATGATCCATGCTAGTGGGCCACAGACTCCTTCCATCAAGTGACCTTAGCTGGTTATCTCCATGGTAACAGCACACATCCCAAACTGTTCCTTCCTGTGTGGGAGGAAACATTTCAGAAATGGGGGAAGGCTGAATTTAACAGTGGTTTTTCCCTCTTGTGACCCTTCTCCTTTGGCAAAGCGTGCACTTTTTCTGAGCACACAGCAGTCTCCTGAGGAAAGCGTCCATAGAAGAGGATGTTTTGTGACTTTATTTGCAGATGCATGCCCAGGACACATTTTTAAAGTAGAAGCCTGAATCTGCTTTTCTTTGAGTATTTCTCAGGGCGTTCCACCGTTCTTTGAACAACTCCCCAAAGAGAAAAGCCAGCATGCTGTCTTCTTGTTGAAAGAGAGAGCTCAGAAAGGTTAGGTAGCTTCCCCAGAGCTACAAGCAACATGGTAGCAGAGTTAGGCTAGAAAGCCAGACATAACAAGGCTGAGGCTCCACTGGCCACTATTTACACCCTACCTCCCCGCGTTTCAGGCGTAGCCTGAGCCACCATCCTGACCAACTGGCTGACAGGTCTCCCTCCAGCGCTAGACTCTGCCTCTAGTCCCATGACCGATGATATGTCCTGTGATTTTCTTCAGCACAGTACACAGACTTTAAGGAAAGGGCATGAGGCAAAAGTATGCTCTGCCTGAAGCTGGAGTTTAAGTTACATTTTAAGCTCAATGTTCTGTTTGTTCCACAATGTCTACGGTCAGAGCAGCATTTTACAGGATGATAAATTACCCTCGTTTAGCTGAATCCTAGAAGTGCATGTCTGACCATGAAACCCTCCAGTTGCAGCTCTGAAAGGCACCAGGGGGTCCACTTTCCAACCAGAATCATGAGCCAAGAGCATTCATTCCTTGGCCTGACTTCAGCCTTTCCCAGTAGATTTGATCCCATGATTCTACCAGTGAAAGAAATCTTCTACTGTGTAACATCCCTGCCTGACTCTGACGTACAAAGGTGTAATTAGAACAGTGTGGAGCAGGCAGGATGATCCATTTACCTCATCCCTAACATTTAAGTGCTTTCAAAATATGTTTTTAATATCTTAGGTGCACAGGGCCAAATTATCCTCTCAGTTTTTCACATGCATGAGTAAATCCACACAGACTAAACCCCTTGGGCCTTAGGTTCTGCTTAGAAATTCTTTTTTTTTTTTAAAGAAAACAAATATCCCATTAAAACGACAAAGTGTACTCTGCATATTTTTAGGACAATTAGAGTTTAGAATTCCCTCTCCTTCCACCCATGGCTTAAAAAAATAGAAAAATTCTTAACCATTTCCTTACGAAGAACGACATTAAACTGGGACAAATGGAAAGGCTCTCTTGCCTTTTACAGCAATCTTCTCATCTTACATCATCAAAGTACCAACTGATGGATCAGGGCCCTCGATATTGTTTGGGAAGGATCCAGGCTCCACTGTACTGTTGCCAGGTAAATTTTTTAGGTAGACAGTTACTAGTGAACTGAAGGGAAACACTTACTTGAAACAGAAAAGCCAATCTCACAGGAAACAGAGAAACATAAAAGTAAGGATGCTTCCTACCATTTGCTTGATTCAAAAACAGGTCATGCAAATAAAATTATGAAGAAGAGGCTGCCGCAGGCTGGCCACGGCCTCAGCCTGTGGGCAAGAGATACAGACAGACCAAGTGGGAGGGGCTGGAATCAGTCCCAGTCTGAAGGAGACCAGGAGAGGGAGGAGAGTCAACCCCAGCCCCACACGTCGTGCTTCACTGTGTTGGTAAGTTTGTGTTGCTGTTCATACAGCAGCTCTTTGCCCATTAGCAGGTGCTGCTGGGCCACATGTGTGGATAATATTTGCCAAGCCAACATACAGGTCAAACGTTTTCTTGCAACCAAGCTTGGAGCAACATCTTAGCAGCAGTTGACCTGTCACTGCATGTTCAAAGTCCAAAGACTCCAGGGCTGCCATATTTAAACAGAGAAGTCCATGTAAGACCATCTGCAGCTTGTTTTCCATTCATTACAAAGCATTTCAAAGGATGAAAAGCCAAGCCTCATTCACCCCATGGTTCAGACAGAAATAAGATACGCCCTCAGGAGATACTGACTTGGGAGAGGAGCAAAATCCAGAGATGTCTTGGGAAACGTATCTGTGATGTCTTCGAAACTAACAATTATATTGAAAAATCAAACAAAGAATTCATGACTTCCCAGGAGGGAAAAAATGTGTTTATTTATTTAAATTAAAAAATATTGTGAAAATTACAAAGTGTTAAATACAAAAGACAATTCTATACAACTCAACAGAATAAGAAGGAAGTATATACATCACTTTTTAATAGGTGCAGAGAGACTTGCACCAAACTTCAGGATTAAGCAATGGAAAATGTGACAAGGCACATGTCCGTCGCAGTGAAATTTCAGAATTCAAGTGATTCCAGGCAAGAGGCCAAACTTAACTTGGCTTCTTTCAACTTAAACAGCCCCCTTTGGCATAAGTCCACACTGAATTTTAAAGTGAACAGAGGGCCTTTTTCCCCCAAACATAAATTTCCTTTAGCTGTATGTCAAAGCGGACTGATAAACCAGCTCCTACACTGTTAACCCTTCCATGGCAACAGTAGTTATTGCTGTGTCTCCAATCCATGCAGAGCATTTTTCTTTAAAAAAAAAAAAAGTGGCCGGGTGCAGTGGCTCATGCCTGTAATCCCAGCACTTTGGGAGGCCGAGGTGGGAGGATCATTTAAGGCCAGGAGTTTGAGACCAGCCTGGCCAAAATGGCGAAACCCCATCTCTACTAAAAATCAAAAAATTAGCTGGGCGTGGTGGCAGGCGCCTGTAATCCCAGCTACTCAGGAGGCTGAGGCAGGAGAATCGCTGAAACCCAGGAGGTGGAGGTTGCAGTGAGCCAAGATTGCACCACTGCACTCCAGCCTGGGCAACAGAGCGAGATTCTGTCTTAAAAATAAAAAATAATAATAAATAAATAATTTTTTTAAAAGTTTTTTTAAATAGATTTAAATTTGACCTTTTACTTCCTCCTTGTCTTTAAGGGCCTAACGGATCTGCGAAACTGTTGACCACAGGAATACTTGGAGACATTGGAAGCATTCCTGTGTGTTTTCCTTTAGACTTTGCTTTCCCTTAGCTGGGAGTGTTAACATCACACATTCTCCAGAGAACTTTGCAGAGGAGAATGTGGTGTCTGCCTCTTTCCTTCAGTCCTGGGAAAACTACAGCAGGGCTGGGTTGGTAGCTTGCCCTGAATTCCCCAGTTATATGTGTTCTGAATCTCCAACTGCTCCTTTAAATCAGCAGATCCTTGTTCAGACTAACCGGCCAAAGGGGAAGCATTTGGTCCAAGCTTCCTCACACCAGGCTGTGGAATATTTATCACAGAGTCCTAAAATCTAAAGACATCCTCCCAACCCCCTGGGGATGGAGATCGTCGGGAGCCTCATGCAGACAGCGAGCTTCTTGATGACATGCCCGGGACCACACAGCAAATGAGTGTCAGGGCTCGGGATCAGGAAGCACAGAACTTGGAGCCCAGCTTTGTGCAATCTCCGCCTGAGTATGCCCTTCTAGGTCTCAGCTACGTGACGAAATACCACATTATGTCCTCTCCCAGCTCAGAAAACTAGGCTGGGAAACTGAGCAGCAGCAGAGCTAACGGCTTGGCCTTGTTCAACCCCACTTTACCCCTTCTAGAAAGATCAGGAAGAGTCTCCTGAACCACCATCGGGAGTGCAGGTTAGATTCTGGGGAAGCTCTTCTGATCCAAAGAACGTCATGCCATCATGTGATGCTGCATGGTCACAGGTCAGAGTTCAAGGTCATAAGTTAGACAAAAGGTCAAAATAGAAGATCATCTCTTATAACCCCGGCCAATGTTAACAGGTTTAAAAGTTACTTTTTTTTCTTATAGTGTGCAAATGGGCTGGGTTCAGATCTCCAGCTTTCTCCCATCAAAAATCCCCCTCTAATCCAAAAGAAGCTTGTAACCCACTGTGAAGGAATGCCACAGGTACACAGTAGAGATACTTACAGCCAATCAGATCTAGAAGGACAAAGCTCTAGGCAAAATAGCAAATCACAACTAGTCTCTCAGCGTGTCCTAAGCATTCGGCAGCCCTGGGAACAGGCAGACCCTGCAGGAGCTACCCAGGGCATCCAGTGAGAAAATGGCAAACATATCATCCCGCCAAATTCTGATCAGAACCCCAACACCCAGGCCCCAAAGTCAGTGTACGCGCTGCGCATCTCCGCGGCTTTTTCAGTGGTGGGTGCAAACCACAGGCACCTCCCGGACTCCTTGGAGGTGCTGGTTCCGGCTGAGCCTAGTCCCCCACCCCACCCCGAATCAGGGGTTTACCAAGGGTCTCTTCAAAGTGGCAGCCGCACTGTGAAAGTGAAACCAGACACTTGAAAACTGTCTTTCCTCTCTCTAAGGTTGCTGGCTGATGGAGCCACCGGCAGGGGTCCCGGGGGTGCTAGGAATTCTGATGGATGTTCTCCGAGGACCCTTCGCTGCTCTCGTTGAGGGGCGTCTCCGAGGTCTCCTCCAGCTCATCGTCTGCCCCCTCCTCCTGAATGGTGAGGTGCACGTCCGGGGAGGAGGACTCGGAGCTCACGCTGTCCCCTTCCATGGAACAGAGGGTGCAGGACAGCGCGGGCGCCACGCTCTCCTGCAGCATGTTCAGCATCAGGGGCACCTGCACCGACCTCAGGCCCGACACCACAGGCAGCGGCTTCATGGCCTCCCCCCAGAGCCGCTCCTCGTCTTTGTACAGCAGCAGGAGGCTGGACTTCTTCTCCCGCCTCTTGGATTTCATGTAGCCCAGCATGATTCCGATCAAGAAAATGCCGTAGAAGGACATGACAACCAGAATGTAGAAGTACTCGTTGCCATTGCCGCTGCCGCCGCCGGCCGCACGGGACTCCAGGGGGCTGCTGGAGGCGGCGGTGCCGGGGTGCGTGCTGTTCAGAGGCTCCATTTTCAGCATTGAGGCTGCCTCCACAGCAGGGGCTGGGGAAAAAGCCGCAGGTTAGAACTCTCCCCCAGGTCCTGGGCACAGGGAGGTGGGGGAGCACGAGGTTTGTGGAACTGCAATACCAAAAAAGCTTAAAAGTGCATGAAAGAAATAGCATAAGAGGGTTCGCCAAACAGCTGACAAGAGTGAGCTATGAGGGCTTGGAGTGCACGGGAGAGAAGCCCGGGAAGGTTCACTGGGAAAAGTAAGAAGGACTTTTTTTTTTTTTTTTAGTGTACACATTTGTCCTGTTTGTAGTGAGCAGTATTACTTTGATTAAAAAAAAAATCAATGTAAGACAGGAGCATACAGTAAATAGTATCTTTAAAACTGGGAAACGTATTTTAACTGAGCAGAAACAAAGTTTACATTGTGTTTCCAAAACCAAACTATTTTAAATTCAAAACAATGTTTCCTTAGAACAAAGAAAAGCAGGAAGAAAATAAAGGAAAAAAATTCATCTATTAATTGGCAAAAATGTCCCTCTTTCAAATGTTTCTGAAAGCAAAGTGTAGCCTTGCTGACTTACCAAGGCTGACAGTTTGTCCCAAGTTTTGAATTCCCAAATCGTCCAGTCCAAGAGGGTTCTTCTGCTCTGTCCGGCTCTGCGCTCTGACAACTCCGCTGCTGCAGTTGGGATATATAGTCAAGAAGTGCATCGTCACGTGCTCTGGGAGGAAAATTTACAACAGAGATTGATCGTGGCAGAGTGAGCAGTGAACTGAAAGCACTGCAGTTCAACTCCCTGAACTTTGCAGCTGTGAAAAGTGAAAAAGACTGGGAAGTGGGAACTGCTCCTCAAGCCCCAGCACCCGGCCAGGGTTTTCAGGTAGCGGTGACGATGAGTGAAAAGAGGAGAAAGGGATGTGCTGTGCTGGAACCGTTACCCCAAAGTCCGCGCTCACTGAAAATTAGCTCATGCTTCGCGCGGCTCCTGGGGAATAACCATTATTGGGCTACAGGTTTTCAGAGGCAGCTGAATCCCATAATCTGGATGAAAGACAGTTGGAAGCAAGTGCGGGATTTACAGTCAAGGAACTGGGGCTTCGGTTTCAGTTCTTCCACTCCTTATGCAAATAAGATAAATCCTTCCTTAACCTCTCCGCACCTCACATTCCTCGTCTGTAAAATCGTTGTGCCTGGCGGGGGGGGGGGTCTTCTGCAGGTAGGATTATATAAACCACGTGACCTTTTGAGACCCTTTCAGCTTAACCCTTCTAAGATTGAAGGCTGCCTGGTGTTGCTTAGCCCTCTAAAAGCAGAGATTCTAGCTGCCTTCCACATCAAGGTCACAAACCTATGTTTATAATAATTTTTTTTTAAAAGCTCCCACATTCTTTTCAGTGGTCTGCATTAAGTGGAAACATGTTGTCGTAAAAGATACTATGGGCAGGTTTTGTTCCGTCCTGCCATACACAGCTGCTCCTCTGAAGCCTCATGCGGAGGCTATTGACACGTCTCTTTGCTGTCTCTCGTAGGTCAGGGGAGGAGCAGGACTATTTCAGAGTGCAACTAAGCACAGTTCAAGTTTTTTAAACCTCGGTAGACCCTGTGTTTAAATGGCTGCTGTGATCAAAATTGGAAGAGGAATTGCAGGCTTTAATGTCAGTCTCTCTGCTCCCTGGGCTGCTTATTCTGAGGCTTTCATGCTAAGTGGAAGGAAACTGGGAGAGATCCACTCCCTCCAGTTGTCTGTGGCCTGTGGATTGCAGCCAGACTGTCTTGTGGGCCAACTCTAAAGGAAACATCTCTCATGGTTCTGCTGTAGTCAAACTGACGCATGCGACATCCACCTGACCTGCTTGAACATATATAGCTTAGGCACTGGAATTTTCACTGCTGCTACAGGAACCCCCCTGGGTTTGCACCTGATCCTGATTCTAAGAAGACACCTGGAGGAAGAATAGGAAGATGAACTGAATGCTGCCATTTTTCCCACTTGACTACTCACCTGTGTTCATCCATAAATCCCCAGCTGGCACTGGAGGTACCAACCATCGACCACTCCAGCATCACGATCATCCATACAGTGGAACTGTGCTCACACCAGTAAAGATACCCTCACCATTGTGTTAATACGTAAAACCCTCCATAGCTACCTCAGCCATGGTAGACTTGGTCTTTTCAACAGGTGTCCATCATAAACACTAGAACACTTCCATCTATATCTAAGCCTACACTGGAATGTCTGGGACACTAGAACAAGATGGGCCCAAGAAAGAGATGCCTGTTGATTGTTGACCCTGGTATTTTTTATTGTATACCTTAGGACATACGAGATTGGTCATCATCCAGGGATTGTCCAACACCAAAGACTGGAAGCTTTGAGTAGGCAGAAAGGAGGTGGGGATAGGAGTTACCAGATTCAAGGAGCAGGAAGTACAAAGCCTGGTGCCAGGAAGCCAAACAGAGGCTGAAGTTTTAAACATAATAAATCCCCAAACCTGAGCCAACAGTCCCAAGGGAATACAACCAAGAAAAGAGATGAGTGTGGGGAAACATCGAGAATGAATTCCAAAGGACGAAGCAAGTCAGAGCCAAAGGAAAAGCAGGACTAATTGCAGGAGTCAGGGAAGGAACAGCCCAGAAGAAATTCTGGGGTGCCTGCTTGGAGTCCCTGCTGCCCCGATTCCCACATACTTCCTGCATGGATATTTCTACTAGAGTTAAACGAGGCCAACTGCAGTGTCTTAGTTCAGTAATCCCAATGCTTGAAGAGGCTGAGGTGGATGAATCACTTGAACCCAGGTGTTTGAGACCAGCGTGGGCAACACAGTGAGACCCCATCTCTACAAAAAAATACAAAAATTAACTAGGCCTGGTGGCGAGTGCCTGTAGTCCCAGCTACTTGGGAGGCTGGGGTGGGAGGATCACTCGAGACCAGGAGTTCAAGGCTGCAATGAGGTCTGAACATGCCACTACACTCCAGCCTGGGTGACAGAGCGAGATCTCTAAATAAATAGAATAGAATAGAATAGAATAGAATAGAATAGAACAGAACAGAATAAAATAGTTCAATGAAATGATGCAAAGAAAGCACCATGTCTGGCCAAATGCACATGCTCAGTGCCTGTGTTTAGTTGTCATTGTTAGGAGTACGCTGTTGCTCCCAAGGGCTTCAGGTTGCCTCCTGTCATGTGTGTGCCCATCTCCAGACTTTTAACTCCAGACTTTTTATCACTGCTCCTTCCCCTGTCTGTCACTCCCAGGAATGGAATTTAAGAGAAGGGAATTCCAACTTCAAAATGCATAGCTCAATCTTCTTCCCAGCCCTCACTCATGACAGGGATTGCGAGAATGATGGCACTGAATAATGGCATAAAGAATGAGGGAGAGAGGGTACATCTAGAAAGTGCACTCTGTCGGGAGAGGATGGGACTGCACAAGAATTATTAATTATATCTACCCCGGGCCTCAGTTTTAGGAGACAGCAATGTTAAAGAAATAAATCAATTTCGGCTAGCATTTCCATTTCCTGAACAGTGTCTTTTCAGGAGCAAACATATCTAATTCTGATGAAGTCCAATTTATTTTAAATGTTTTTGGTTGTGCTGTTTGAATCCTATCAAAGAAATATTTGCTTAACCCAGTCATGAGGATTTTCTCCTGTTTTGCTTCTAGAAGTTTTATGGTTTCAGCCTTACATTTAGGTCTATGATACATTTCAAGTTAATTTTAGTCTAAAATGTAAGATATAGGTCAAGGATTTTGGGGAGGGGTTGTTTGTTTTTGTTTTGCTTATGGATGTCCAATTGCTCCAGCATCATTTGTTGAAAAGACTCCTTTTCCTATTTAAAATTATCTTGGAAACTTTGTTGAAAATCAATTAACCTTATATAAGCAGGTCTATTTCTTAACTCTTCATTCTGTTCCTTTGATCTATCTGTCTATCTTTGCATCGATATTATTCTGTTTTGATAAATCCATTTTAAACTTGTATTTTAAATGAGTCTAAGATACACTGCAGTTCAAATCTAGCTTAGTGTCTATCATATACCAAGTACACATAAGTCCTGTGAGGTCAGGTATTATTACAACCATTTCATAGATAAGGAAACTGAAAGTCAAAGAGTCAAAGAGGCAAAGTTGCTCCAGGTCAAATCACTAGCAGTACAGTCAGTACTTGACCCCAGATCTATGCAACTCCAAAACCCATTCTTTTTCCACTACCTTTTGTCTCACTGAATGGAAAACAAAAAGAAACTGAGAAAGAGTAGGAAGTGAAAGATGGACATTTTTCCAACTTCTTTTGAGTCTTCATAAAACTTTTTTTTTAAAAAAAATGTGAATTCTGACATAACTAGATACTCACACATAAATACACACGTGGAACTACAAGTTGTCTTTTTCTGAATTCATATTATTTTAAGTACTGGAGGCTGCACCAACCTCAGCATGTTCTAGAAGTTATCAGTGAAGCAGTAATACTCTTACCGTATACCTATGTTGTCCATAGTACAGTAGTTTCTCTGCCTACATATACAGCCTGATATGGTTTGGCTCTGTGTCCCCACCCAAATCTCACCTCGAATTGTAATCCTCACGTGTCAAAGGTGGGACCAGGTGGAGGTAATTGAATCATGGGGGCTGTTTCCCCCATGCTGCTCTCATGATAGTGACTGAGTCTCACGAGACCTGATGGTTTTATAAGCGTCTGGCATTTCCTTTGCTTGCACGCACTCCATCCTGCCACCCTGTAAAGAAGGTACCTGCTTCTCCTTTGCCTTCCGCCATGACTGTAAGTTTCCTGAGGCCTTCCCAGCAATACAGAACTGTGAGTCAGTGAAACCTCTTTCCTTTATGAATTACCCAGTCTCAGGTATGTCTTTATTAGCGATGTGAGAACAGACTAACATAAGCCTGTTCTGGTCTTCTTGTTTTAATGTGGGTTTTTTTGTTTGTTTGTTTGTTTGTTTTTTCCTATTTGATCCTGACACACACTTTCTCTAGAGCTTTGAGTACTTTCATTTCCTGGTAACGTCATTTTTACCAGATGACCCAGGAGTCCCTGGCCACACATCTCTGAAATTATGTTAACAGCTTCTGTGACTAAACAAAGTCTATGCTGGGATAACAGCATGGCTGTGAATCTCATCGGATTAAACGTAAGTCTGGAGTCCAGAAATCTGACCCAGCTCAGCCTTGCTGATGCTACGTGACTGGCTGGGTTGCATAATTGCTCTGTGTTTCAGTTTTAGCCACCCTCAGGCATGTCAAAAGTAGCATCATTAATTGTCTCAGGATCCTGAGAAATCTCCCATAATCCACTGGGCTGTCCCCCTCCTGAGCAGACCAGGCTTTGGGTCTGGCAGAATATTGCAAAATGAAATCCTCAGTGCCCACCACTGGTTTTGCTTTTCCCAGAAATTCTGTCTGAAAAGTTCTGTCTGGGAACTCGAGCAGTGGATCATCCCTTCTAATGCCCTGAGTCACCCTCCCTGGACACATACTTTTTAGCATTCCTATCACTAGAAATAAAACAGGGCTGGATATCTGACAGGTCCTTAGTAAGGTCCCCAGGCCCTCCCTGTAACACCAGCTATGCTGTGGAGGATGTGGCTATCAGCAGGTCCTGCTTAGATATCACCCAAAGGGGGTTAAGAGGGAAGAACCAGAACTCCTAAAATTAACAGTGAAGTTGGTATTAATTCACCTTTGTTATGTATTATTCAAGCATTTTTAACCTGATATTTATTTAACAAATACTTGCATAGTACCTAAAAGTGCCTCAGGAATTGCTGTAAGTACTTTGCAAAGTTTATCTTATTTAATTCTCATAAAAAGCCCTTGAGATAGGCTCTGTTATTATCCCCATTATACAATAAGGAAACTGAAGCAGAGAATGCTGGAGCAGCCTGCCCCAGATCACACAGCTAGTACATGGCAGAGCTGGCATTGGAACCCAGAGCTGAAAAAAGAGAAGGGAAAGAAAAAAAAGAGAGAAGAAAAACATTGCCTCTGCCTCTATAGACCTTACCATTGGTGAGGGAGGCAGACAAGAATCCCAAAATTGTGTGTTTAAAGTTGCAAGAATGACAAATATTGCAAAAGAGAAAGGATGCTAGGAAAGTTAATATTAAGGGGATTGAATTCCTTAGAGAAATCAGGGAGGACCCCCTAGAGGAAGTGATCCTTGAGTTGGGATCTGAAGATTGAGCAGGAATTAGCCCAGATGAAGTGAGAAGGTAAGAGAATTCTGGCCAACGGTAATCTGTGGAAAGATCCTTCGGAGGAAGAAAGTGGGGAGGGAAGAGAGATGGCAAGAATGAGGAACTAAAAAGTCTATGGGGACTCTGTCAAGGAACAAAAAGGAACCTGGTAGAAGATGCAGCAGGAGAGGCCAGCATGGGCCAGAAATGTGCCACCTGGGAGCATGAGGACAGGAGACCAAGGAAGTAAAAGATAGATTCCTGCTTTGAAGAGCTCAAGTACCAACTGGGGAGACAACCCCAAGGCCTGGGGCGAGTGTGTGATCATTCAGGACTGACTGAATGCATGATCGCTGAGCACATGCAAAGAACAAACTAAGAGCATACATGCCTGTGCACAGTTAGCACCAAGGAAACCAGAGTGAGGAGTTGACTGACTTAATGAGTGTGTTTGTGAATAACCGTGGGAACACAGACTTTGCTTCCAAGATTCTTATCAAGAGTTCCAGACAGGCCAGGCGCGGTGGCCCACGCCTATAATCCCAGCACTTTGGGAGTCCGAGGTGGGCGGATCACGAGGTCAGGAGATCGAGACCATCCCGACTAATACGGTGAAACCCCGTCTCTACTTAAAAAATGCAAAAAAATTAGCCAGGTGTAGTGGCAGGTGCCTGTAGTCCCAGCTACTCGGGAGGCTGAGGCAGGAGAATGGCGTGAACCTGGGAGGCGGAGCTTGCAGTGAGCGGAGATCGCACCACTGCACTCCAGCCTGGGCCACAGAGTGAGATTCGGTCTCAAAAAAAAATAAAAAATAAAAAATAAAAAAAAAGAGTTCCAGACAATTAAACTAAAGCTCTTGAATGTATCTCAACCACATTTCTCAAGAGCTATCAGTGGTGTGCTTAGAGTAATTCCTGAAACTTTGACAAGGTGACACAGAACTCCCAGAAGCAATAAGACAAATCAACATGTCAGTGAGTGTAGTTTTAAAAGATGGGCTTAAAAGTACGCAGATGGCAAATCCAAGTGTCAGGAACTCAGATCAGATGATGGTACAGCATATAGTTTAAGGGCACAGGCTCTGTGGTCAGGCTGCCTAGGCCTGTCTTGGTTCTTCCTACTAGCTGTGTGACCATGGGCACATTTCTTAACCTCTCTGTGCCTCTCTTAAAGAGGCATAAGAGTATCTATCTCATAAGGTTGTTGTGAGGAAGAAATAGAATTATCCACTATTGCACCTTCTGTTTAGACTGAGCGCCAAGACAAAAATACAAAAGGTTTGAGCCCCTTTCCCACATGAAGAGTGTTTTTTAAAAATTAAAAGTAGAGGATTTTTAAGAAAGAGTCATTGATGTTTTCTCTTCCCCTTCCTGGGGAAGATGTGGGGAATGGGCTGCTTTCTTCTCAAGTTAAGGGAAGTGAGGGGGTGCTTCACAGAGATCACTTGAGAGTCTCAGTGGTCTCTGTGGCCTGTAACCTGCTGGACACAGAGGACTGGGATCAGAACCACACCTAGAAAAATTTGAAGGGCAAGAAACCATGTCTGGCCAGAACTCTGGGGAGAGCTTGCTGAGTTAGGAATGCCCATGCTCCCAGGATTTTTTTTTCCTTTGGGGCGGGGTAGGGAGGGTGGGTGTTTTTTGTTTTTTGTTTTTTGTTTTTTTTGAGATGGAGTTTTGCTCTCGTTGTCCAGGCTGGAGTGCAATGGCACAATCTCGGCTCACTGCAACCTCCACCTCCTGGGTTCAAGCGATTCTCCTGCCTCAGCCTTCAGAGTGACTGGGATTACAGGCACCTGCCACCACACCCGGCTAATTTTTGTATTTTTAGTAGAGACGGAGTTTCACCATGTTGGTCAGGCTGGTCTCGAACTCCTGCCCGCCTTGGCCTCCCAAAGTGCTGGGATTACACGCGTGAGCCACTGCGCCCAGCCGTTCCCAGGGCTTTTAAAGGAAAAGACAGGAGAGTGTTTCCTATAGGCCAGTGGCAGGCGATGCAGGAATGCAGGAGGGAGACACAGACCTGGGCTACATGTTGGTTGGTTCCTGCCCAAGGCAGCCAGGAGCGGGGTGGGAAGTCATGGCCCTGCCCACCAATGACTTCCAGCCTACCCAAGGCCCAAGCAGTGGGAGAAAGAAGAGAAGCAGGCTTCACTCTAAATAAACTTGAGAAGTTACGACCCTCCCATAGGCCTGGACATACAAATTACTGTACTGAGACTATTCAGGGAGACTAGAGAAACCAGGGGGGGTTTCTTACTTAAGAGTAACTAGAAAAGTTGTGAGTCTGCCCCAGATTTTCATCACAGGGCAGGGGACTAGCTGGCCCTAGAGAATGAGTCTGAGGAAGTACTGGGACTCAGAGATAAGGTGGCTTTAGGATGACACCCTATAAGCCCTGCTTGTTTATTGTAACAAATGCGTATGTAAAAGCTTGGAACTGTGCCAAGCACACAGCCAGTGTTCAGTTTTCACCAGTATTAAACAATGTTTAAAAAATGCAAAAACACAATATTCAGGAGGACAGGAGACCAAGGAGGCAGAAGATAAGTCCCCGCCTTAAAGAGGGATGATCTAGCTTAAATTTAGGTTTAGGACCAAAAGTGACTATTTGCTATTTTATTCCCAGCAACTGGAATGGTACTTGGCCTATAGCAGACCTTCCAAAAAAGATCCGTTGACTGAATAACAGAGAGAATGTGCTAAACATTCATTATAGACTTTTTAATTTAACTTTTAATTTCACAAAAGCCCAATGTGGGTGATTATGAACAGAATTTTGTGAGTGTGGAGAATGAGGCCAGAAAAGTAACTTGTCCATCTTGTCCTGGTCACACAGCAGGACGAAGCAAAACTGGAATAGACCGTCCCACCTCCTGTTGAAATCATGCCAGACACATACTCCATTTCTAGATGCACGATGCTCAGCTGCTAGCCACTTCCTCTGGCCCCAACTAATCGAGAGGTCAGGACAGAAAGAAGATGTTGAGGAAGTGCTTCAGGGGTTCCAGCTCAGGAGGGCAGAACCGACACTCTTATTTAAAAACAGTGTTTCGAAGCCTTGAAAAGGTCTTCCAAAACCTTTTAAGTACCAGATGATAAGGCAGGACCCAATCAAAAGGAATGTCCACTTAGCTCTGACTTCTGCACTTTCCAAAGGCAGTTGGTTCTAAAGAAGGACTTAGGGATTTCAAGAGCATTTCATAGCTTGAGTTGCCCTTGCACAAATACAGACTAAATTATGGATGGCAGGAAGTGGGGCAGGAAGTGGGGGTCTCCTTTTCTCTAGTGACTGGCTTCCTGTTGCAGCAATTTCCCATCGTGTTTCTCCATTTGGTCTCCCTCTAGAGACAGAGCTGAGGTCTATAGCACAGTGTAGCCCAAGACTATGAGGAATCTCTATTTTGCCACAACTAGAGTTCTCAGGATCATCCTAGCTAGGCAAAAAGAATGGGCAACTCATCAAGAAAGCTCACTCTATCAACAGCATGCAGGCAAAATTTGCCTGACAGGTACTGAATGAATAAATCAAAGCTGGTTCTTCACATACCAGGGAGGCAATTGTGAAAAGTGGCACACAGCTGCCCACAGTGAACGAGAAACAAAGGAGGCCTGGACACAGGGAGGCTGAGGCTGATACCCAAGGCTATGCTGAGAAAGCAAGTGTTCCTTCTGTGCTCAATAAATAATTGAGACTTGCACAGAAATACTAATGTCAGAAATGCTGATTCATGCTGAGTAGTGAGCATAAGGAGAAGTGAATGGTCCCTGCTTCTGCCTGGGGGGTTCCTGTGGAGTGAGGAAGCCACATGGTAAGCTGATCATTGGTCATTAGTCAGGTAGACTCATACCTATGTGTCTCAGATTAATATTTCAAAGAATTTCAGCCAAACCCATCAGGGTACTGACCTCATGCTCTGCCATGTTTAACCTAATTAATGACATATTCATTTGGCCTATACTGGTTTATTTATTCATTTGTTGATTCATTTATTCAAATAAACACACCTGTCCTGCAACCTAAACCAATAGATATTTTATAAAGCTAAAGGATCAAAACAACAAAAAGATGATTGCAAAGAAAGTATGTCAAGCCAGGTGTGGTGGCTCCCACCTGTAATCCCAGCACTTTGGGAGGCTGAGTGGGGTGGATTACTTGAGGCCAGGCATTCGAGACCAGCTTGGCCAACATGGCAAAACCCTCTCGCTACTAAAAATACAAAACTTAGCTGGGTGCAGTGGTGTGTGCCTGTAATCCCAGCTACTAGGGTGGCTGAGGCAGGAGAATCACTTGGATCTGGGAGGTGGAAGTTGCAATTAGCAGAGATCACATCACTGCACTCCAGCCTGGGTGACAGAGAGACTCCATAAGGAAGAAAGGAAGACAGGAAGAGAGAAAGAGAGAGAGAGACAGAGAGAGAGAAAGAAAAAGAAGAAAGAAAGAAGAAAAGAAAGAAAGAAAGAGAGAGAGGAAGAAAGAAAGAAAGAAAGAAAGAAAGAAAGAAAGAAAGAAAGAAAGAAAGAAAGAAAGAAAGAAAGAGAGAGAGAGAGGGAGGGAGGGAGGGAGGGAGGGAGGAAGGAAGGAAGGAAGGAAAGAAAGAAAAAGAAAGAAAGAAAGAAAGAGAAAAACAAAGAAAGAAAGAAAAAGAAAGACAGACGGGAGGGAGGGAGGGAGGGAAGAAGGAAGGAAGGAAGGAAGGAAGGAAGGAAGGAAGGGAGAAAGAAAGAAAATAAGTCAAATAAAATAAAAATTAGCATTGCACAGCAGAGGCTGATGTTGGGGCTTTGTCAGATCCTAGCTTCTTGGCTGAATGATACTGGGCTCCTCTTTGAAAAGGACCAAATATTTGTCTACAACAAATCACACACCAAGCCCCTGGCAGTGAGACCCAGGACTGCCACCTCCTCCCAGCACTGGATCACCGTGGCGTGAGAGCCGTCATGTTCAGCCTGCTCTGACTGCATGACTCATAACACAGGCCCAACCCACAGAAATCCTGGCCCCTTCATGCAAGTCTCCTGGGAAAGGAACTTCTGAGGATTTTTAAATAAGAAAAAAAAAAAACTCTGGGGCTCATTTGAAACTGTGCATACTCTATACCTTTGCTCTTATCTCTGGCCATTTGTATTTCTTCTTTGAAGAAACATCTATTCAAGTCCTTTGCCTATTTTTCAGTTGGTTTGTTTGTCATTTTATTGTTGTGTTATAAGAATTCCCTATTTATTCTGGATACTAAATTCTCTATATATGCTGGATACTAAATCATTCTGGATGATTGGCAACATTTTTTCCCGTTCTGAGTTGTCTTTTCATGTTCTTGATAGTGTCCTTTGATGCATAAAAGTTTCTAATTTTGATGAAGGCCAGTTTATCTCTTTTTTCTTTTGTTGCTGTGCTTTTGGTGTCATAACTAAGAAATTGTTGCCCATAATTTATACCTATGTTTCCTTCTAAAGTTGTAGCTCTTCCATTTAGTTTCTTGATCCATTTTGAGCTAAAGTTTCATGTGTGATGTGAGGTAGAGGTCCAAATTTATTTTCTACATGTGGGTATCCAATTGTCCCCACACCATTTGTTGAAAAGATTATTCTTTCCCTATTGAATGGCCTTGGTATTCTTGTGGAAAATCAATTGACCATAGATATATGGGTTTATTTCTGGACTCTCAATTCTATTCCATTGATCTATATGTCTAGCCTTATTTCAGTACCACACTGTTTTGAATACTGCACCTTGCACTAAGCTTTGAAATCAGAAAGCATAAGTCATCCAACTTTATTTCTCCTTTTCAAGATTGTCTTGGCTATTTTTTTAAAAAGGGCAGTTGGAAGTTTGATACCAATTGCATTGAGTCTGTAGATCAAATCTAGGAGTGTTGCCATCTTAACAATATCGAGTCTCCCAATCCATGAACACAGAATGACTTTGCATTTGCCTTATCTTCCTTAGTTTCTTTCAGGAGCATTTTTGTAGTTTTTAGTGTACAAGCCTTGTACCTCATTTGGTAAATACATCCTGTAAACCAAAAAGTATCTGAGACAGATCTCAATCAATTTAGAGGTTTATTTTGCCAAGGTAACGTACACATGCCTGGGAGACAGGTCTGTGTCGTTCTTTAAAAATTATTTTTAGGGCTTCAATATTTAGAGGGGAAAAGCAGGCTAAAGATGAAAGAAGGAGAGTACGGTCATATTACTGAAACCACATGTTGCAAGAGACAAGGAGCAGGTAGGAGAATAGTCAATTATGTATTTGTCTTGCACTCATGATAAGGTGAACATAGCGTTGCTACCTGTGGAGATATTTAACTTTTATCTGCAGCTATCTGCTTAGGAACAAAAGGAAAGGCAGCTTCTTGCATGACTCAGATTTCAGCTTAATTTTTTTTCTTTTGGCATAGTGAATTGGGGTCCCAACTTTTTATTTTCCTTTCACAATCCCTAAGCATTTTAATTTTTTTGATGCTATGATAAATGCAATTGCTTTCTTAATTTTACTTCCAGATTGTTCATTGCTAGTATATGGAAATACAATTGATTTTGTACATTATTCTTATATCCTGCAACCATGTTGAACTTGTTTATTAGTGTTAATAATATTTTAGTGGATTCTTTAAATTTTTCTCTATATAAGATCATGCCCTCTATATAAGATCATGTCATCTATATAAGATCTAGTAGAAACAGTTTTACTTTTACTTTTCAATCTAGATGATTTTCTTTCCTTTTCTTGCTAAATGTTGTTTATTTGTTTAATTACTTTTCTGAACTAATTCTGTATTGTCTACATTCTTTCTCATGTGTGGCCACTGAAGTCTCTACTCAGTTTAACGACCAGATGATGACTAGACAGAAATTTATTTCTCTTAAACTTCTGGAACCAATAAATCTCCTAGTCTTTACCATGGAGCTCAATTTACATGTTCAGCCATACTTTCTTTTTTTTTTTTTTTTTATTTTTTATTTTTATTTTTTTTTATTATACTCTAAGTTTTAGGGTACATGTGCACATTGTGCAGGTTAGTTACATATGTATACATGTGCCATGCTGGTGCGCTGCACCCACTAACGTGTCATCTAGCATTAGGTATATCTCCCAATGCTATCCCTCCCCCCTCCCCCGACCCCACCACAGTCCCCAGAGTGTGATATTCCCCTTCCTGTGTCCATGTGATCTCATTGTTCAATTCCCACCTATGAGTGAGAATATGCGGTGTTTGGTTTTTTGTTCTTGCGATAGTTTACTGAGAATGATGGTTTCCAATTTCATCCATGTCCCTACAAAGGACATGAACTCATCATTTTTTATTCAGCCATACTTTCAACACTCCGATAGCTAGTTTACAACTCTATGTTAGCCTTCACTTCCCCCTTGCACAGAGCCTTAAGGTCAGCCAGGGGTGAGAGAATAGGTCCTATTGAGGTCTTTCCTGAGTATGCACACACCTTTCTAAATGTGTGTGCCTTTCTGGATTCCCTGGAATATGTCAAAGCTCTTCAAAGTCCCAGTGAACATCTCATTCCTCAGTTTTATTCTTTTTTAAGCTTTGGTTTTTGTTTTCCTTGTAAGTTTATTGTTTGTCCCAGCAGCTATCCATTGCCTCACAGAGTTTATCAATTACCCCTAATTGTTTTCAACAGGGGTCCCTGGGTAAAATGCTTTTCTCACTGGACAAGCTCAAGTCAAGCAAACAAAGACAGCCTTGTAAGCAGCATCCTCCAGGAAACTACCATAAAGGTAAAATAGTGACAATTCTGTGGGAATGAGGCTTTGAAGGAATTCCAGGCCCACTCTCCTCTCCCACGGGTGGCTGCCAGACTGCTAGATTTCAGTGTAATCTCATTTTCAGGCTGTGAATTTTCTTTTTTTTAATTGATGAAAAGATATTTATTGAGCATTTTCTAGATACAAAGCACTTTGGTATATACTATGAAGGAAGAATAAGAAATAGTCCCTAGCCTCAAAGTCCTTCAACTGAGATGAGGATATAGCTAAATAATTGGCTAGCTGTAATACAAAGGAAATTAAAATAAATATTAAAGTCAGGTCATAAGCCACCCTCTAAAGAACTGCATGTCCAGGGGATGGATTAGCAAGGACTTCATGAGCAAGTTGCATTTAGGTTCAGGCTGTGAATTTTCAAAGCTACTGCAGAGCTGGAGGCAGAGATGGGAACAGAGCAGCGTAAAACACCATAAAGCTTATTGTTCTGAGATTTAGCCTTTTTTTAAAAATAAACACCCCCAAGTTTCTACAAACCTTTAATTTAAAGTTCCAAAAATTGTTGGTTCTGATATTTTATGTCTGTTTTCTTGTTGCTTTTATGAAGGAGATAATTTTCAGAAGTCCTTGCTCTGCCATGTTCTTTGACATCATTTCCACCTGGCATTTGCTATAGACCATTGCATGGTGGTCAGAGCTTGAACTCTGGCAGCTAGACTGCCTGGGTTCAAATCCTAGTTCTACCGGTTACTGGCTGTGTCACCATAATCAAGTTTCTCATCATCTCTGTGCCCCAGTCTCCTTCTCTATGAAGTAGAGATGGTAATACTCCTATATATACTGCGTAAGATTGCCACGAGGATTAAAATACTTAATACATGTAAAACCGTAGTACAAGGCCTGGCTTATAGTAACTACTCAATAAATTCTGATTACTGCTGCTATTATTGTTATCATTTCATTTCCGTAAACATGGCTGGGGGAGGGGTTATTATCCTAGCCATTTGACAAAACAATAAAGGGGGGCAGAAAGAGGCTAAGAAACTTGCCAGGGATCACATAGCTGGAAGTCCTGACTGTGCTGCTATAAAGCAAGATGCAAGGTGACTCCAAGTTTATGCCCACATATGCCACTGGCCAGCCATAAAGGAAGTCAGGGCCTAAACGCAAAAATAACAAATTGTGATTCCAAGAGCCAGAGACTCCCATCACACCTCCCTTTTTTCTCTATACTCAGCAGAGAAGGAAGAGCAAAAGGCTGTGTTGAAACAACCTTTGCAAAACTATAATTGAGGAAATTATGACAGTGAAAGAAATCAGACCTAACTGACTCCATCTTGCTTCTAACCTTTAGGCTGTCCTGTTCATTCCTGGGCATAGGCCAAACTAACTTTGGGAAGGAATTCAGTTCGTGATTTTGCTCTGAAACAAAACTGATAACAGCCTTATTCTTAAAAGATCCCCTTCTTCCTGGGGACCAGTCTGCCTTTGCAGGACTAACAAATTAGCTACAAGATTAGAAATTACAGTTTAGGGGTTGGGCAGTCTCTGGTCTCAAGAGTCTGAACCTCCCCAGATTGCTCCTAGGGATTCTACATCACTATTGTAAAACCTAAGATCAGTGCTTGGGATATTGTGCAGACCCTGCACTGGATGGATCAGCTGACACCACCCAGACCTGAAATCTGGCTCAACCAGTTCTGCCATCCCACCCAGGAACAGAAGGCAGCAAGAAAAACTCACTTCGACCCCCTGTGATTCCATCTCCAAGCTGACCAATCAGCACTCCCCACTTCCCAAGCCCCTACCCTCCAAATTATCTTTAAAAACCCTAATCCCTGAATAATCAGGAAGACTGATTTGAGTAATAATAAAACTCTGGTCTCCCGCACAGCCAACTCTGCATGAATTACTCTTTCTTCATTGCAATTCCCCTGTCTTGATAAATTGGCTCTGTTTAGGCAGTGGGCAAGGTGAACCCACTGGGTGGCTACAATATGTGCATATGGTACAAAGGAAATCCTAGGGAGAGCCAATAAAGGGAAAAGTGCAAATGAAGAAAGGGCTCCAAAGAGTACCAATCAGTGAGGGGAAAATATGTTTTTCTCCGTATTGATTTTCACCTCACTTTCCCCTGGGAGGAAAAAGACTCCCTCATCAGTTCCAATTTATATTATACTTGTAATTCGTATTTATGTTGCCTGCTTTCTAGAGTCTGGGGCATCCAAGTGACATGGCCCACCACTCCAAACTTGCCTTGCCTCAATGAAGAGCCCCAGCAGGGAGTGCAAAACCCTTGCAGGCAACTCCCAACCTCTGCCCCTCCCTCCCTTTGCCCTACACAGTTCCATTTAACAAACAAATATTGAACATTCTCTCTGGGCAAAGGACACTGCACCCCTAAAAGGATTCTTCATTGATAGAAGGGAGTCCAAAGATAAGAAGCAGTCTCCAGCCTCAAGAATGTAAAAACCAAGTATGGAAATGAGAAAAGGGCTCAAGCCAGTAGAGGGCCATTAACTCCAAGGACCATCAATGAGGTAGAAACCACAAGTCCAGGAGGTTCTGAAGGAAACAGTCCTTCAGCCTAGATGGATCAGACAGCACTGACTGATACGGTGCTAGGTATTGCTAGGAGTTGAAATGAGCATGTGGGGAGGTGATACGTGTGCAATCCAGGAGGCTGGAACAGCCTCAGGGAAGAAGAGGATACAGGGTATGTTCAGAGATGAGCTAGGTACATGTCAGTGAGTACTAGGAGAGTGCGACCCACAGCATGTAAGGCCTTTATCCTGGACCAAATAATGTGGACACAATACAAATGTGGGCAAGGGGATACTCTGCAGAACTTGGAAACAGAGCACCCCATGTTCACATGTGAGACCTAGGTCAACTAATGGGACAATATTTGGAGGAGAAGCTGGAGGGTGGTTTCTACCCCAGAGTCACGTTGGTGGTGGAGGCCAGACACCCTTCCCAACAGAGGCAAGATTGGTGGGGTCACCACACTCCAACATTCCGAGCTCCTCATTCATTTTGGTCAAAATGCCCTTGGGCCATGGACAGGTAGGAAAACTCTTGGGAATAGCCAGGGGTCATTCTGGAGCTGACAAAGCCAGGGATATTGCTGATATTCAGTCTTAGGGAAGTGTGGCCCAGACCAGCAAGGAATGGAAGAGAGAAAAGGCTAGAAGGCTAATGCTCTGCTCCTGGGAAGAAAACTGGAGTGGAATCAGTGGGAACAGAGAGGAGGAGATGGGGGCTAATAATGCTGTGGGAATCCACAGACAGATCAGACTGCTCTTTCTTTCTCTCTTTCTCTGAAATCATCTTTAGGGCACTAAGGGTCACTTCCTAACCGCCACCCACTCCACTCTGCCCCCTTAAGTGTCTGTGTGTGTAGTATGACAGCGTCCTCTCTAGGGCATGGAAAGTAGCCATCTCCAAAGATGAGAGCACTAATGCATCCTGCAGTGTTCCGGCTTAGGGAGAAAAGGTAAACTCAGGAGGGTGCCCTAGGGAACTAGGGTCTGGATGCCTGGGTTCCAGGTCTCCTGTCCCACACTGGGACCATTGCCAAAGTCTCAGAAAAGTTTCTGGGTAGAGAAAAAGCCTTCTGTGACAAGCAGGGAAGAGTGGCATGCAATGTGAGTGCCAACTCAAGTTGCTGGAGGGCACCACCATCATGGCTCAGGGGCAGGCTGCCCTTTGCTTGAAGTGGACCATGGCTCAGCCTATGCTTCCAGACTTGCTGGCACCTCACAGATCATCTAGTGGGAAGGGTAATTGCCACTTGCACCTCAAGAACTTGTTCACAGACACATAGACCAATGGAACAGAATTGAGAACCCAGAAATAAGGCCACACACCTACAGCCATCTGATCTTTGATAAAGTTGACAAAAATGAGCAATATGGAAAGGACCTTCTATTCAACAAACTGTGCTGGGATAGCTTGCTAGCTATATGTAGAAGAATGAAACTGGACCCCTGCCTTTCACTCTATACAAAAATTAACTCAAATTAGATTAAAAACTTATATGTAAAACCACAAACTGTAAGGGTCCTAGAAGAAAATCTAGGAAACACCATTCTGGACATTAGCCTTGGGAAAGAATTTATGACTAAGTCCTCAAATGCAATTGCAGCAAAAACAAAAATTGACAAGTGGGACCTAACTAAACTAAAGAGCTTCTGCATACCAAAAGAAACTATCAACAGAGTAAACAGACAACCACAGAATATGAGAAAATATTCACAAACTATGCATCTGACAAAGGTCTAATATCCAGAATCTGTAAGGAACAAACAATTCAACAAGCAAAGAAAAAAGACAAACATTAAAAAGTGGGCAAAAGATATAACAGGTACTTCTCAAAAGAATATATGCAGTCAACAAACATGAAAAACTGCTCAACATCACTAATCATCAGAAAAATGCAAACCAAAACCATAATGAGATACCATCTCACACCAGTCAGAATGGCTAGCATTAAAAAGTCAAAAAACAACAGATGCAGACATGGCTATGGAGAAAAGGAAACACTTATGCACAGCTGGTAGGAATGTAAAATAGTTCAGCCACTGCAGAAAGCAGTTTGGTGATTTCTCAAAGAACTTAGAACTACCATTCAACCCAGCAATACCATTACTGGATATATATCCAAAGGAAAATAAATCATTCTACCAAGAACACACATGCACTCATATGTTCATCGCAGCACTGTTCACAATGGCAAAGACATGGAGTCAACCCAGATGCCTATCGATGGTGGATTGGATAAAGAAAATGTGGCACATCTACACCATTAAATACTATGTAGACACAAAAAAGAATAAAATCATGTCCTTTGCAGCAACATGGTTACAACTGGAGGCCGTTTTCCTAAGTGAATTAATGCAGGAACAGAAAATCAAATGCCACATATTCTCACTTATAAGTGGGAGCTAAACACTGAGTCCTAGTGAACGTAAAGATGGCAATGAAAGACACTGGGGACTACAAGAAGAGAGAGGGAGGGAGGCAAGGGTTTAAAACAAACTATTGGGTACTACGCTCTCTACCTGGGTGACAGGATCATTTGTATTCCAAACCTCAGCATCATGCAATATACTCAGGTAACAAACCTACACATGTACCTTCTGAATCCAAAGTAAAAGTTGAAATTATATTTTTCAAAAAAGAATGTGTTCTCCAGATGACTCTACAAACTACCCCATTCCTCAGTGTATCCTGGAGCTGGGTGGTTTGGCTTAGGGTTCAAAGAAAATGTCCATGAACTCACCTTGAGGCCGCACTGGGGCACCCTGAAAGTAGCAGAAAAAGAAAGGAAGAATGTCAAAGGAAACACTGAGGTTCACAGCCTGATTGAACAGAGAAGCTGGAAGGATGCTGAGATATCCCAGTGGTGTGTTTCCTTGGGTACAAGGGCCCAGCAGCATGCTGTGGTAACTCACCCCACATGGCCCAGAAAGCTCTTAAATGATGATGTTCCTCTGAGCTGCAATTTTCCTGGTCCCCAAACTGTTCACCCAGGAACACTGTCTCTGCCCCCAGCCCCTGCCACACCTCCACCTTTTTTCTACCTGCAAGACCTAATTCAAGGGCCAGGAGGACCTTGTGTCACCCCTCACAATCATGGCTCCTCTTTCCTTGGCCTGTCGTCCTCCTCTGCTCTTTGAAGTGCTTTGCCAGTGGTTGATTTTTGGCTCTGAAGATGAGCATATAATTATTTTGAAAAGTAGAATATGGTATGTGTCTATCAGGTTATAAGCCCCTCTCTGTGGGGACAATGTCTTATTCATGTTTGCCTCCCTCATGGAACCTAGCCAGGGCCTGATTATATTTAAACTATATATTTATTGATCTAATCAATTACTCAACATTCAAACGCCTTCTTGGACAAAGAGCTTCCTCACAAGATGGCTAGAATTGTAAGAAAGTTATTGTATCAGCCAAAGCTGCATCCCTGGAACCTCTTTTGATGAGTCATTGCTCTCCCCTATGTGGCTATCTTAGAATATTTTCCTTTGTCCTCAACCTGATCAGCCCACAAATAGTTGAAGTGAGGATCCATCCTCTGCTTCACCCACCTCCAAATCACTTTTTTCCTCTTCTTAAAAATATTCATACCCTAAAAGAGACCATTATCTTGACTCAGTAACTAGACACTAGGGAAAAGGAAATTTAAAAAAAAAAAAAAGGAAAAACTGAGTTCAAAGACAACAAATGACTAGGATTGGTTTGAGGTTTGGATAGGATTCAGCTCCCTGATCCCATGAGTCACTTTCAGGGAAGAAAGATACAAACCCCTGGAATACTCAGGGAAAGCAGTGGAATTCTTTCACCCCTGTGAATGGAACCTGTATTAGTCTGTTCTTACGCTGCCAATAAAGACATACCTGAGACTGGGTAATTCATAAAGGAAAGAGCTTTAATTGACTCACAGCTCCATATGACTGGGGAGGCCTCATAATCATGGTGGAAGGCAAAGGAGAAGCAAAGTCACATCCTACATGGCAGCAGGCAAGAGAGAGAGCATGTGCAGGGAAACTCCCCTTTATAAAACCATCAGATCTCATGAGATTTATTCACTATCATGAGAACAGCACGCGAAAGACCCACCCTCATGATGCAATTACTTCTCACAGGGTCCCTCCTACGACATGTGGAAATGATGTTAACTACAATTCGAGATTTGAGTGGCGACACAGAGCCAAACCGTATCAGCACCCAAGGAAGGACATTCTGTAACTGGACAGAGCAGTCAGATGATGCAGTTGAGTGTCATTTTCCACAGACTGGTGCTACCTTAGTGGTGCTTACAATGAAGATACAGAGATGCAACATAAAGAAGCATGTTTTACTCAACAGACAAAAGCAAACTCAGAGATTATTTAATCTAGCCCTTTCCATGTACAGGTAAGAAAACGGAGGCCCAAAGAGAGGAAATGAATTAAGCAGTTACCTACAGGTATCTTCACAGATCTAAATTTCCAGTGTCACTAACCAGGCTCACACCTAGCCTCCTGCAGCTATATGTCAGGCAAAAACAGAATGGCTCATCCTTCACCTGCTCCCTGATACATCGCACCTTCCACCACAGAACAGATGCACAAAACTAGAGCCAAGAAATGCCTTAAATGATGTCTTCACCTCCAGGAAGTCAAACAGTGAAGCCCTGGGGTTGGGATGTTCTAGTTCTCAGGTGAACAGATGGCTTCATGAATGTCAATTATGCTATTTTGATTTGTAACATACATATACATACATTATATATTTTAATATGTATCAAATGTAATATTTTTCAAAGAGGGTAAAGGACAGGACAGGTGAGGGACTTTTATCTACATCATTTCCTTAAAGAGGAGAGAGGCAGACAGGAGAACAAAAGTACCCTGATAATGTTGATAATGGTTTGTTCTAGCATAGAGGGGAATTCTGGAAAGGCGCCTTAAACAGGGCCTTTTCCTGCCATAAAATATGCAGAACACACATTCCAGACCCCTAATCCAGGAGCAGGGACATCTGTTATTTAGTAAAATGTTTTTATGCCTGACATGTGGGTGATGTGATTTTTAAGTCACACCAAAAACGCTGTGTCTCCATCATAGTAAGCAGAACACAGCTCACTCTCATGGGTCAACCATAAACCAAGGGGTGGCTTTTCTTGTCCTCTTTCACTGATGCACCTTCTTATTGGGAGGGATGTGGGGAGGGAAATCTGATAGGAGAACAAGTAAAGCAGGGCACGAGGCAGGAAGGTTGAAGAAAGAAACGCCCCAAGGAAAAAGAAAAAAGAAAGAAAACATGGAATATTACACAGAAGTTAAGGTGGTTACACTAGACATACTATGTCAACACAGACATCTCAAAATATAATATTAGACACTGAAAGTAAATAGCAGAAAAAGGTATATGGTATTTTATCATTTACCTAAAGTTTATATTGTCAGGCCAGGCATGGTGGCTCACACCTGCAATCCCAACACTTTGGGAGGCCTAGGTGGGTCGATTGCCTGAGCTCAGGAGTTCAAGGCCAGGCTGGGCAACATGGTGAGACCCCATCTCTACTAAGAATACTAAAAATTAGCCAGGCATGGTAGCATGCACCTGTAATCCCAGCTACTCAGGAGGCTGAGGCAGGAGAATCACTTGAACCCAGGAGGCGGAGGTTGCAGTGAGCTGGGATGGAGCCACTGAACTCCAGCCTGGGTGAGAGTGAGACTCTGCCTCCAAAAAGGTAATGATAAAATAAAGTTTATATTGCCAGTTGTTGGTGGATACAGACATAAAAGTATATAATCTTGCAGAGGAGCAGCAATCATCTAATCAAGCTGGTGGTTACTTCACAGATTCATTTAAATATGTATGAAGATTCACTTTTTTGTATGTCTGAAATATTTCATCACCAAATGTCTAAGTGGAAGTTACCCCAAAAGAACTGAAGCACCTCTCCCACTACCATTTTCAGCCCTCTCCATCTCTCCTCTCTCTTTCTACCTATTAACCTATACACATTTTAACCAATACACGTTTTACAAATATATAGAGAGAGAAGACAGGATAAATAGGTAGATAAGTTGTATGGATGGGTGGATGGGTGGATGGGTGGATGGATGGATGAATGGATGGATGGATGGATAGTGATATAGTTTAGATATATGTCGCCTCCAAATCCTATGTTGAAATGTAATTCCCAATGTTGGAGGTAGGCCTAATGGGAGGTGATTGGATTGTGGGGGTAGATTCCTCATGTCTTGGCACAATCCTCTTGATAGGGAGTGAATTCTCTTGAGTATTGATTGTGTAAATGTGTGGCACCTCCCCCTACCTCCTGCTTTCTCTGTATGACGTGCCTGCTCCTGCTTCATTTTCTGCCATGAATAAAAGCTCCCTGAAGCCTCCCCAGAAACCAAACAGATGCTGGCACCATGCTTGTACAGCTTGCAGAACCATGAGCCAAGTAAACCTCTTTTCTTTATAAATTACCCAGTCCCAGGTATTTCTTTATAGCAATGCAAGAATGACCTATTACAGATGGGTGAAGTCATTATTATGTGCCAAGTGTTTTGCATGAACTATCTTATTCAAACTTTACAATGACCCACCTTAGAAATGGGATAACTGAGACACAGCCTAAGATCACAAAGCTGTCAGGTGGCAGACCCCAAAATGAAGCCCAGGTGACTTTGACTCTAGCACTATGCTAATTTCTTGCACCCTGATGCTGCTTGACATAAAGGAGCTAGAGAGCATTTAAAGGTTAAAATTCTTCCTTTAGGAATCCGAGGGACAAAGGAGCTATAGAAGAAAAAGAATAAGTAAATAAAAATAAATAATGTGGACAAAAGAAGCTGTTTGTTGAGCAGACACGAAAACTGTCCCCCAGGAAGCATCCACTGTCATTCTGCCTTCTGCCTGCAGCTGAGTGAGGGATCTGTCCCATGGAAGAGACAAAGCCTCTTCCCACATAGCAACTCCAGAGAGTAATGTATTTGTCAGCAGTTGTGCATTACAAGTCTTTTTCCTGTTTTAACTTGCATCAGTGGTGCTTCTGCACTAAAACATTAACGCCTCCCTGCATTTACCAACCCAAAGCCCTGTGAACAGTGATGGAGCAAACTGGGGGGACTTTTTTGAGGAAAAGCCACCTTCTCAGTGGCAGAATGAGTGATTGACTGCATTGCCCCAAAGGTTCAAGATCGAGTCCTATTATGGGCAGTGATTCAGTGGGAAACCTCACCACTTTGCAACTCTTTGTCTTTTTCAAAAACCAACAATGGCATGAAGTAGTTGGACACAAAATTTATTATGTGAAAATTTGATCTAAGACTAAAGTTCAAATAATAACTCTTAAAGTTCACATTTGTTGAAACATAGGCTTATTCTTATTTGAAAATTGCATGTATAGGTGGTTTGGGATTAAAACTCCAAAATACATGCTGTTTAACCATCTGCTTTTATGTGTTTGCTCCTAGCATTGAAGTTGTGGTTAAATAATACATGTTTTACATTTAAATAAGTGGAAAGATGGCCAAGACCCATTGAGAAAAGGAAACATTTAGCTCCCCATTTCCTCTGGCTAGTTTTTAGAACACGTTTGTGTATGCCTTTCCTGAAGAACAACCTTTAATCACACCAAAGACAGATATGTTTGTTTCAGTGATTTCAATAACATGAGAAATGAAATGCATATTGCTAGAACATAGGTATTAGAGACTATCTACTCCAACAATTTCATTTTGCAGAAAAGAAAGCTGAGACACAAAGAAAGGAAATAATTCTCTTAGACCTGCATGAAGGAAGCTACCCTTTGCTAGTACAGTGCTCATAAAGACAAGGTTTTGCCCTAAATAATACCAAGTTAGATGAATGAACATTTCTCCAAGCCTGAAAATGTGTCACTTTCTTAAGCATTTCTCATGAGTTGCTTTGATTAACGTTGACAATGCCATCAAACTCTGGGACTGAAGCAGCCAAAATTGCATGCTTAGTTAATGATTATCTAACAACCAAAAGTATATTGTTGTTAGTTGTGGCAAAGGTAACTAATTGCCCATCAAAGACTTGTGCTTTCCTTTCTATTATACAGAGTTTTTGTTGAAAAATGGCTGCCAGGCCAGGACTGTATTCTATCTCTTTTCTACTGGTAAGGTCATGTGACTAGTTTTCATCAATGGAACATGAGCAAAAGTGATGAATGTCACATCTGGGCTAAAACAGGTAAGAAGCCAGTGTGCCTTGTCTACAAGGTGGAAGAAGGCTGGGTCCCTGAATCACTGCATGGAAGGCAAAAGGCCTAAACCTACTTTGGACTCAATATGAGTGAGCAACAGCTTCTACTGTATCACCACTGAGGTTTGGGAGTTCAGCTGTTATAGAAGCTTGCATTATTACTAATGCATGCATCAAATGAAAAGCACCTCAAAACATAAAAATGTATCCCAAGCCATAAATTACATGGAGACCCTGTCTGCATGCTCTGTGTGTTAATTAAGTGATGAGACCTATTTCTTAGGTGAGGGTGCTGATGCTATAGCTTGAGAATCTCTACATATGTCACTGGCATAGTGGAAAATGCATAGTCATTAATGGCAAGAAGATGTGTTCAAAACCCAGCTCTTCCATCTACAAAGTGTGGAATGTTGGACAAAACCGCTTAACCTCTCCGTATCTCCCATGCATGGCTGTGATGTTCAGGGAGTGGTGGTGGGCAAACTTCTGGTAAAATCCTGAACCAGAGAAAGAAGCTCCTATGCCTGCCAAGGAGTTCTCTGGCTCCTTTCCAGATGCACTGAGTCAGTTGGTTCTGGCTTCTGGGAGAACTCCCTGCTGTAGCAAAGCAAATCCCTTCATACCACACTGACCTACCTGCCTCCCCTATCAATCACATGTCAGCTTACTCCCAGAAGTCCAGGGGACAGCTCCAAGCTTCTAATGGCCTTGCTTTGGCTTCATCTCCTTTGAGGCTGGACTGACAAAATGACATCTCTTCTCTACCATCCATTTTATCCCCTTCTTTCTTCTCACTCCTAGTGTTTTTTAAACAGTAAGGTGGCCAGGCATGGTGGCTCATGCCTGTAATCCTAGCACTTTCTGAGGCCAAGGTGGGCAGATCACTTGAGGTCAGGAGTTCGAGACCAAACTGGCCAACGTGGTGAAACCCTGTCTCTACTAAAAATATAAAAATTAGCTGGGCGCGGTGGTGGGCACCTGTAGTCTCAGCTACTAGGGAGGTTGAGGCAGGAGAATTGCTTGAACCCAGGAAGCGAAGGTTGCAGTGAGCCGAGATTGCGCCACTGCACTCCAGCCTGGGCGACAGAGTGAGACCCTGTCTCAAAAGAAAAAAAAAAAAAAAAAAACTAGTGAGGTATGCCTGCAAATAGTGAAGTGCTAGAGAAGTGTAAACTGCTAGAGAATCTCAAGCTATAACATCAGCACCCTCACCTAAGAAATAGCAACGCTCCATCTCAGACCAGCCCCAGGAAAACCCCCAATAGCTACTTTGGAAGATTTTGCTGAGTCACCCAGGACATAGCATCCAGATTGCATGAATGTAACGGTCCCAAAAATGCTTTCTACCATTTCTTAAGTGCAATAAAGAATGTAGAAAATATTAAGACACACAAATAATTCTGTTTTAAATTTCAAGAAGTTCTTTAAGCCCTGTTTTGCCCCCACTAAATTACGAAACATGTAGCTAAACATGCTCTTAACAAAAAAGGTTTTCCAGTTTTTTTAATGTCTTGACTTTTCAATCAGTTTCATCAACTCAGTCAAACAGGTTGCAATTAAGATCAGAAGGAAAAACGTCAAAAAGCCATTGAATTCATTTGGCACATAACACACTAAGGAAATGGCTACGTAAATCCAGCCTTTGCTTAAGTCTTCTGTTTGCTCAGCTGTGTTTATTTAAATTACATATTGGCCTTAACTAGGTCCAATATTTACTATTCAACCCCCTCCTGCTCACCTGAACTTGGGGTTCTTAGTTGCATGGAAGTAGGGTCAATGAATTAAATGTTTCTGATGTGCTGATTTGCATCTGAATTCAGGGGAGTCACTCAAAGTTTGGGGTTCCAGAGACACTAACTTCAGTGACTTGAAGACTCAGCTTTCCTTGAAGCAAGGACATGAAATATATCACAGATCTAACAAAAAAAATTGTTTTTAATTTTAAGTCTGGTAATGCTGAAATGGAACTGCAAAGATCAATCACAGGGACTGTTAAGGGAGAGAGTATTTAAAGATTATCTAGTTGGATGATCTTTCTAACGACTTTTTAGCACTGGAGCTCATATTATTATTATTTATTTATTTATTTAGGTGGAGTCTCATTCTGTGCCCAGGCTGGAGTGCAATGGTGCAATCTCGGCTCACTGCAAGCTCTGCCTCCTGGGTTCACGCCATTCTCTTGCCTCAGCCTCCGAAGTAGCTGGGACTACAGGCGCCTGCCACCACACCCGGCTAATTTTTTGTATTTTTTAGTAGAGACGGGGTTTCACCATGTTAGCCAGGATGGTCTCCATTTCCTGACCTCGTGATCCACCCACCTTGGCCTCCCAAAGTGCTGAGATTACAGACATGAGCCACCACGCCCGGCCTGGAGCCCATATTATTAAAGATAACTCACACAGAAGCCAAATAAACACAGTAAGTAAATTCTGAGTTGCTGTAATTATTTAATAAAACAGGGTTGGAGGTTCCAAAGTCCCTATACCCACTGACCCCTTTCTCTTTGGTGTCCCCTAGGGCTCCTCTTCCAAACCCTTGGGCTCCAAAGACCATATTATGAAAACCACCAATCTAGTTCAGTCTTCTTGCTTTATGTTGCCCAGAAACATATGAGCACAGTGACGTGCTCATATTCACTTAGCAAGCTAGTGACTGGGCCAGAATAGAAACCAAGTCTCCAGACTCCCAATTCGCTACTTGAAAGACAACAGGCTACTTCTCTAGATGTGTTCACATAATCTCTGGGCCTGTGAGTTTCCTGCCTGTATTGGGAGCATTTCCATTGACACTTATCTTCTGGTTCTGAGGTCAAATATACAGCTGCTTCTGCTGTAAACATGCAGAACCCTGATGTACAGAAATCTCATGAAAGGATGACCAGCACGTCCTTGGAGTGGAAGCCTGCCAAACGAGGTAACAGAGAGCAGGGTCTGCATGTTCCACCATCGACCCAAGTTCTCACGCTAGTCCTGTGAGCAAAGATGCATCGGTTCTTGGAGATGGGAAGGCTCCCAAAGATCATCTACTTTCTGAGGCATTTGTAAAACAACTCATTTTCCAAATGAGAATGTATTTGTCCTGGCACTTTATAAACTGATGAGTACTTTAGAGCTGTAAACAGCCATGTCTGAGAGGCAGCTTGGACTAGAAAGGGGCTTCTCAATGTGAGTGTGACACATGGACCACCTATTTTGGAATTACTAGGGGTATTTAGTAAAAATGTGGATTCCTGGATTGAGCATGAATCTGCATTTTAACCAACCATCCTTAACCAACTATCTTCTACATATGCCACTGGCATAGTGGAAAGTACATAGCCATTAATGGCAAGAAGATGTGTTCAAAACCCAGCTCTTCCACCTTCAAAGTGTGGAATGTTGGACCAAACCGCTTAACCTCTCCATGTCTCGCATGCATAGCTGTGATGTTCAGGGAGAGGTGGTAGACAAACTTCTGGTAAAATCCTGAACCAGAGAAAGAAGCTCCCATGCCTGCCAAGGGGTTCTCTGGCTCCTTTCCAGATGCACTGGGTCAGTTGGTTCTGGCTTCTGGGAGAACTCCCTACTATAGCAAAGCAAATCCCTTCATAGCACACTGACCTGCCTCCCCTATCAATCACATGTCAGCTTCCTTCCAGAAGTCCAGGGGACAGCTCCAAGCTTCTAATGGCCCTGCCTTGGCTTCATCTCCCTTGAGGCTGGAATGACAAAATGAAATCTCTTCTCTACCGTCCATTTTACCGTCTTCTTTCTTCTGACTCCTAATGTTTTTTAAACAGTAAAGTATGCCTGTAAATAGTAAAGTGCTAGAGAAGTGTAAATTGCTAGTTTTATTACTATCATCCATGAAGGAGTTATCGGAGTGGTTACAGCTCAGCTAGAGAAAAAGGAACCACACTCAAGACAGAATGTAAGATGGAAGGTGGTGCAGGGGTCCCTGTTGAAAGTGTTGAGATTGATCATCAGTGCCACAGGCAAGATAGATAATTATCCAAAGATGCTATAGGTTAGGGAAGGACTCCTGTGATCAGTGAGATGTGGTCTGCAGAGGAGTAGAAAAGGGCAATGAGGCCAGTATCAACAAAGACTTGACTTTGGGACCAACACCAGTGAAGAGGCCCTACTTGAAAGGAACAAGGCCAGGTGTAGTAGCTAACACATGTAATCCCAGCTCTTTGGGAGGCCGAGGTGGGTAGATCACTTGAGACCAGGAGTTCAAGACCAGCCTGGGCAACACAGTGATACTGCATTTACTAGAGAGTAGTTGGTACCCCATTTACTAGAGAGTAATTGGTAGAGCGTGGTGGTATGGAGTGGCTGCCCCACAGCCCTTGAGGCCCCTCCATACCACCCCATTGCCCCTCCTCAACCACTGAGATCATCCAGGTTGAAATAAGTTTATCTCTATTAAGATGCAATGTAGATAGCATGATTATATATCCCAGTTGCATGGTATGAGTCTAGTCTACATGTAATTATTCATAGCATTTCCTTTCATTATCAGTAATGTTCCACCTTGAACACTACATTACATGGTCACTCAAAGCTTGGGGATTTAACTAATCCCCATTCTTCCTCAGTGGTAAAAATTAATATGTTCCTGAACTCTGTTCTTCATTAATTTAATGATTCTTATGCTTTCATGCTGGCTGTCCACAGGCCAGATACTACTTGTAGATGTGTAGGTTGGGGTGGGAGGGGTCTTTGAACTGTTTTTAAATTAACTTGAGTTAAAAATGGTTGAGTTCTTTGGCATTTTTAATTTGAGAAGTTTCCCCTGAAAGCCTGGATTAGGAGGGTTCTCTTGAAAGATCAGGTCTGCCGTCAATGAAGCTACAATTCCTCCTGACAGCAATTGCCTAGGCCCAAGCTTCCAGGCCAACCCAGCCTTCTCCCAGATCAGGTATTGTTTTTATATTATCTACCTGCTGTAATTTATCACGTCTTGTTACTATATTACCTGCTGCTGTGGGCATGTGAGTTTGTAGTCCCCACATTTATATAAATGTATTCATGCTACGAGTTGAATTGTGTCACTCTAAAATTTGCATGCTGAAGTCCTGACCCCAATACCTCAAGATGTGGCCTGATTTGGAATTAGGGTCCTTGCAGATGCCATTAGTTAAGATGAGTTAATTAAGATGTGCCCCGATCCAATATGATGGATCCTTATAAAAAGGGGAAATCTGGACACAGAGATACACACATAGAAAAATGCCATGAACTTGAAGGCAAAGACGGGATGCTGCATCTACAAGCCAAGAATTCACCAAGGATTGCCAGCAAACCACCAGAAGCCAGGGAGAGGCATGAGAGTCTCCCTCAGCCTCAGAAGGAACCAATCCTGTCAACACCTTAAGCTCAAACTCTAGCCTTCAAAACTGTGAGAAAATACATTCTGTTGTTTAAGGCACCTAGTCTGTGAAACTATTATGGCAGCCCTAACACATTTATACAATTTATGTAACTATAAATTATATACATGTATATAATTTTATAATGCCTTTATATAATTTTACATATACATTTATATAATTTTATATAAATCTGTGATTCTCAGTCAGGAGCAACCTTGCCCAAATGGGACATTTGGCCATGTCTGGAGATATATTTTTGTTTGTTTGTTTGTTTGTTTGTTGAGACAGAGTTTCACTCTTGTCACCCAGGCTGGAGTGCAGTGGAGCCATCTCAGCTCACTGCAACCTCTGCCTCCTGGGTTCAAGTGATTCTCCTGCCTCAGCCTCCCAAGCAGCTGGGATTACAGGTGCCTGCCACCTCGCCTGGCTAATTTGTGTATTTTTAGTAGAGACAAGGTTTCATCATGTTAGCCAGGCTGGTCTTGAACTCCTGACCTCAGGTGATCTGCCCACCTCAGCCTCCCAAAGGGATGAGGTGACAAGGTGTGAGCCACCATGCCCGGCCTGGAGACATGTTTGGTTGTCACACCCGGGAGGTAGGGATTAATCAGTGGCGCCTAAGGATGCTGCCTGACATCCTGCAATGCACAGGATGGCTCCCACAACAGGGAATTATCCAGGCCCAGGTGTCAATGATGCTGAGTTGGGAAACCCTAATATAGATGAGTACCATAAAGTCATGTTCCACGTGCCAGGCATTCGGGCTTTGCAAGCATTAACTCATTTAATCCTCCCTAAATTCTATAGATGATATTATTATCCCTAGTTTGCTGATTACAAAACTGATGCTGGCATGATGAGAGGTTAATTAACTTGCTGTCATGAACCCTGGTGTTTTGACTCAGAGACTTTGTTTGAAGCCTATCCCACACGGATATCCCAGCAGGTCAGTGGATTGAACCCCAGAACAAATGTCCCCTCTCTCCATAACTCATTTTATCCCAGGGACCACCTCCTGAAGCTCCCACTGTTCAGTCTAGAAACTCTGAAAATGTGTATTATAACCTTCTTTGTCACGCTGTTTCCAGCATGTTCTGTCTGGCAAAAGGGATTGGGACTAAATGGAATCAGGATCCTCTCCTGTGAAATTACCAGGCTCTTCACATAGCATGTCATGAAAACTGGAAACTGGAGGAATGATTCCCAGGCTTTTAGCCTGATGCATTCCTTCCTCATTCAAACTCTTGTTATAAAGTGTATGAGAAATGGTGCAATCTGCTGTAAATTGTCACCAGGTCACCCTAATTTCCCCTCAGTAGCCTAGGGCACCGTGTCCCTGACATCACACAGAGGCCACATTTAAATGTAAATAACAGCTGTGAATGCAGGATTTTCAAAGGCAATGAGCAGAGTCCGCTCCTCAGAACAGAGTCCTCTTATTTCATGTACGAGGGCTTCAAATGGGACCGTCCAGTGTGTCACTTGCCTCATGCTGCTGACATTTCCTCCTCTGTAAAACAAGGGAAATAATAATGCCAGTAGCAGTATAGGGAGGGTTACATGAATTAATATATAATTAAGATGCTTGCTGCTGTGCTTGCCACATGGAAAGGGCTCAGTAAGTGTCAGCCACTATTACTGGTAGACAACTGCTTTCTCCCTGGGTGACCTTGACTAGTTTTCTGATCAGTAAAATGGGAACAACACACACATAATACCTTCTCCACCAACATCAATAAATTGTTATGAGACGTAAGTGAAAAAATTAATTCAAAATCAATTCGTACATGTATTCAAACCTAAAGACATTAATATTAGTGGCCTGATTCTCTGTGGGGGATGCCTAGGCAGGGTGAGGTGGCTCGTGCCTGTAATCCCAGCACTTTAGGAGGCTGAGGTGGGAGGACAGCTTGAGCCCAGGAGTTTGAGATCAGCCTGGGAAAATATCAAGGCCCCATCTCTACAAAAAGTTTTAAAAAAATTAGCCAAGCGTGATGGTTTGTGCCTGTAGTCCTAGCTACTCGGGAGGCTGAAATGGGAGGATCGCTTGAGCCCAAGAGATTGAGGCTGCAGTGAGCCATCTTTGTGCCACTGCACTTTAGTCTGGGTGACAGAGTAAGACACTGTCCCCCCAAAAAAGAACAAATTATAGCCTAGCTGGCACATATACACATTAGCAGGAAATTCAACACCCAGTTCTCCCTCTCGGCTCCTGGGGTAAGTGCTCTAATTCACCACATGCAGTCATCCCAGGGCCTGCTTGCTCTCTTTGTACCCAGTGCTTCCACCATCTGACTTGGTCATGTCTCTTTCTACTCTCAAGATGAGTAGAACTTTCTACTCTTTCTACTTTCTACTCTCAAGATGAGGCCACTGATCGCAGCCACATCTGCTGTCTAAGCTGAGAGACTTCAGTAACTGAGAGTCTCAACCAAAGGTTATCGGCGGCCCTGTTCCTTTCCTTTTGGAAAGCCCCATGAAAATATTCCTACCTCTCTGCAGCTTGCAAAATTCATGCAGCATTACTTTCCTTCACCTATGCATAGTTTTTATTCTCCAGATATCCTGCTTCACCCTCAGCCTGGAGAAAACCATTTCAGTTCCTTGCAAATAGTGCCCCCTGTCTCCACTACCCTCTAAAAACGCCTCCTCAGAAGATGGGTACCAGCAGTCTCATAGACTGAATAACCCAGGTTCTTTTCTATAGATAGGTTCCTCAGAAGACGTGCTTCGGGGGAGAACACTAGTCAGCTTAGTGTTAGGCCCTCCCCAAACACACCAGGAACAGTGTAAGGATATCTAAATCCTAGACTCCCAAAGATTTTATCAGAAGGATTGATCAATTTTTTTAGAAGACCACAACTCCCAAATTTCCATGACCACCTAATCTCACCTTGGTTTGAACCACACTCTTGGTGAGGAACAGATCATTGCACAGGGCCACCATTTGGAAAGGAAATAAATGGAAGTTGGCACAGGAAAGTGGTCTCAAAAAAGACAAGATTCATCCACTGTTTCATTATTTGTGCGTTCTGTCTTCTACGTTGGCCCTTCAAGAGAAAGCTACACAAAGCTTCTGTGACATTTGCAACATTGCCCAGCTTCTTCTCACAGGACTCAGGCAGAGCTCTCAGGGCCACCTTGTGAACCAGGACTGCACTTCCCTGTCACTCTGGCTTTACTGGAGAGAGATAGCCTGTCTGTTACCCTTTGCTGTGTCAAAGCTGAGCAGCTTGCAGTGAGATCACTGGAGGAAATAAAATCCCAGTCCTTATCTGCTTACACTTGGACTAACGGGAACTCATTCAGATGTGCCAGAAATCTGTGGGAAAAGGGAAAGATCATAAAGGAACTTTTGGAAGCACAGAGTGTAAGATATGAATGAATCAGGAGGCAAAACAATTACAAGTTTCTCTACCTCTGTGTCTTTTTAATCAATGTACTCTTACAGTGCTGTCCATTACCTTAGGTTTGGTCAGTGATATGGTTTGGCTGTGTCCCCAACCAATCTCATCTTGAAGTGTACCTCCCATAATCCCCACATGTCATGGGAGGGACCCAGTGGGAAGTAATTGAATCAGGGGGGTGGGTTTTCCCGTACTGTTCTCATGATAGTGAGTAAGTCTCACAAGATTTGATGGTTTTATAAAGGGCAGTTCCCCAAACACACTGTCTTGCCTGCTGCCATGTAAGATGTGCCTTTGCTCCTCCTTCACCTTCTGCCATGATTGTGAGGCCTCCCCAACCATGTGGAACTGTGAGTCCATTAAACCTGTTTTTCTTTATAAATTACTCAAACTCGAGTATTTCTTCATAGCAGCATGAAAATGGACTAACACAGAGCTTTTCTCTACTGGACTGACAATTGCCTCTTCTCCCATTAGCAGGTTAGAAATAAGTGAGGCCTGATGAAGAGATTCAAAGGAAGACAAGAGTCCAGCGAATTCATGTGTCCTGCCAGAATGAAGAGAGGATGACTCCCATTCTAATGGGCTCCAGAGAAGAGGGTGAAGGTACAGAGCAACTCTTTAATTTCATCAAATAAATGGCTTTGCAAATATCAACGTGTCTTACTTTACAACAGGGCTTGAGTTTTCTATTGCTAAATCTCCCCTGGCAGTGGCTTACTACAATAACTATCACATATTCTCCCTCATGCTTGCAGAGTTGACTGGGCTCCACTAGGCAGCTCTCATTTGGGGTCTTTCTATAGTTGCAGTTCAGAGATTATCTTGCAGCTTTGTCCATTCACACCTCTGGTGCCTGGGAAGAATGAAACATTGGTGGGTGGAATACCTGGCAGTCTTTGGACATCTCTCTCTACCTCTAGGCTGTCTCTCTATGCAATCCCTTCACATGGCGGCTTTTGCATAGGTTGTTCTTATGTGGTTGCTCAGAGCTTCAAAGGCATGGGGAAAGAGTCAGAGATACAGAAACACAAAGCAAGACAGGAAGAGTGAATGCTCTATTGCCTGCCTTTTACAATCCAGCCTTGAAAGTCTCAAAGGGACAATTCAACTGCATTCTATTGATTAGAAAGGAGTCATTAAGCCAAACTTAATATCCTAATTCAAGGGGAATTAGATCCACCTTTTGATGGAAGAAGTATCAAATAATTTGCAGTCGTGTTTTCAACTCACCAGAGCGGTTTTCAACCCAGCCTATGCATCAGTCACCTGAGGAACTCTTACACATCCTGATGCCCAAGTCATGCCCCAACTAAAGTAGAATTTCTCAAAGTGGAACCCAGACATCAATTTCTTAACAACATGTTTTAAAACCACTGTTTAGATATTAGAGGGATTTCTTTTCTTTTTACAAGTAATTTTTTTTATTATTATAATTTAAGTTCTAGGGTACATGTGCACACTGTGCAGGTTTGTTACATATGTATACATGTGCCATGTTGGTGTGCTGCACCCATTAACTTGTCATTTACATTAGGTATATCTCCTAATGCTATCTCTCTCCCTTCCCCCCACCCCACAACAGGCCCCAGTGTGTGGTGTTCCCCTTCCTGTGTCCAAGTGTTCTCATTGTTCAATTCCCACCTATGAGTGAGAACATGCGGTGTTTGGTTTTCTGTCCTTGAGATAGTTTGCTGAGAATGATGGTTTCCAGCTTCATCCATGTCCCTACAAAGGACATGAACTCATCCTTTCTTATGGCTGCATAGTATTCCATGGCGTACATATGCCACATTTTCTTAATCCAATCTATCATTGATGGACATTTGGGTTGGTTCCAAGTCTTTGCTATTGTGAATAGTGCCACAATAAACATACATGTACATGTGTCTTTATAGTAGCATGATTTATAATCCTCTGGGTATATACCCAGTAATGGGATGTCTGGGTCACATGGTATTTCTAGTTCTAGATCCTTGAGGAATCACCACACTGTCTTCCACAATGGTTGAACTAGTTTAGAGTCCCACTGACAGTGTAAAAGTGTTCCTATTTCTCCACATCCTCTGCAGCACCCATTGTTTCCTGACTTTTTAATGATCGCCATTCTAACAGGTGTGAGATGGTATCTCATTGTGGTTTTGATTTGCACTTCTCTGATGGCCAGTGATGATGAGCATTTTTTCATGTATCTGTTGGCTGCATAAATGTCTTCTTTTGAGAAGTGTCTCTTCATATCCTTCGCCCACTTTTTGATGGGGTTGTTTTTTTCTTGTAAATTTTTTCGGGTTCTTTGTAGATTCTGGATGTTAGCCCTTTGTCAGATGAGTAGATTGCAAAAATTTTTTCCCATTCTGTACATTGCCTGTTCACTCTGATAGTAGTTTCTTTTGCTGTGCAGAAGCTCTTTAGTTTAATTAGATCCCATTGGTCAATTTTAGCTTTTGTTGCCATTGCTTTTGGTGTTTTAGACATGAAGTCCTTGCCCATGCCTATATCCTGAATGGTATTGCCTAGGTGTTCTTCTAGGGTTTTTATGGTTTTATGTCTAAAATTTAAGTCTTTAATCCATCTTGAATTGATTTTTGTATAAGGTGTAAGGAAGGGATCCAGTTTCAGCTTTCTACATATGGCTAGCCAGTTTTCCCAGCACCATTTATTAAATAGGGAATCCTTTCCCCATGGCTTGTTTTTCTCAGGTTTGTCAAAGATCAGATAGTTGTAGATGTGTGGTATTATTTCTGAGGGCTCTGTTCTGTTCCATTGGTCTATATCTCTGTTTTGGTACCACTACCATGCTGTTTTGGTTACTGTAGCCTTGTAGTATAGTTTGAAGTCAGGTAGCGTGATGCCTCCAGCTTTGTTCTTTTGGCTTAGGATTGACTTGGCAATGTGGGCTCTTTTTTCATTCCATATGAACTTTAAAGTAGTTTTTTCCAATTCTGTGAAGAAAGTCATTGGTAGCTTGATGGGGATGGCATTGAATCTATAAATTACCTTGGGCAGTATGGCCATTTTCAAGATATTGATTCTTCCTATCCATGAGCATGGAATGTTCTTCCATTTGTTTCTGTCCTCTTTTATTTCGTTGAGCAGTGGTTTGTAGTTCTCCTTGAAGAGGTCCTTCACATCCCTTGTAAGTTGAATTCTTAGGTATTTTATTCTCTTTGAAGCAATTGTGAATGGGAGTTCACTCATGATTTGGCTCTCTGTCTGTCATTGATGTATAAGAATGCTTGTGATTTTTGCATATTAATTTTGTATCCTGAGACTTTGCTGCAGTTGCTTATCAGCTTAAGGAGATTTTGGGCTGAGACAATGGGGTTTTCTAGATATACAATCATGTCATCTGCAAACAGGGACAATTTGACTTCCTCTTTTCCTAATTGAATACCCTTTATTTCCTTCTCCTGCCTGATTGCCCTGGCCAGAACTTCCAACAGTATGTTGAATAGGAGTGGTGAGAGAGGGCATCCCTTTCTTGTGCCAGTTTTCAAAGGGAATGCTTCCAGTTTTTGCCCATTCAGTATGATATTGGCTGTGGGTTTGTCATAGATAGCTTTTATTATTTTGAGATACGTCCCATCAATACCTAATTTATTGAGAGTTTTTAGCATGAAGGGCTGTTGAAATTTGTCAAAGGCCTTTTCTGCATCTATTGAGATAATCATGTGGTTTTTGTCTTTGGTTCTGTTTACATGCTGGATTACGTTTATTGATTTGCGTATGTTGAACCAGCCTTGCATCCTAGGGATGAAGCCCACTTGATCATGGTGGATAAGCTTTTTGATGTGCTGCTGGATTTGGTTTGCCAGTATTTTATTGAGGATTTTTGCATCAATGTTCATCAGGGATATTCGTCTAAAATTCTCTTTTTTTGTTGTGTCTCTGCCAGGCTTTGGAATCAGGATGATGCTGGCCTCATAAAATGAGTTAGGGAGGATTCCCTCTTTTTCTATTGATTGGAATAGTTTCAGACAGAATAGTACCAGCTCCTCCTTGTACCTCTGCTAGAATTCGGCTATGAATCCGTCTGGTCCTGGACTTTTTTTGGTTGGTAAACTATTAATTATTCCCTCAATTTCAGAGCCTGTTATTGGTCTATTCAGAGATTCAACTTCTTCCTGGTTTAGTCTTGGGGTGATGTATATGTCCAGGAATTTATCCATTTCTTCTAGATTTTCTAGTTTATTTGTGTAGAAGTGTTTATAATATTCTCTGATGGTAGTTTGTATTTCTGTGGGATCAGTGGCAATATCCCCTTTATCATTTTTTATTGCTTCTATTTGATTCTTCTCTCTTTTTTTCTTTATTAGTCTTGCTAGTGGTCTATCAATTTTGTTGATCTTTTCAAAAAGCTATCTCCTGGATTCATTGATTTTTTTGAAGGGTTTTTTGTGTCTCTATCTCCTTCAGTTCTGCTCTGATCTTAGTTATTTCTTGCCTTCTGTTAGCTTTTGAATGTGTTTGCTCTTGCTTCTCTAGTTCTTTTAATTGTGACGTTAGGGTGTCAATTTTAGATCTTTCCTGCTTTCTCTTGTGGGCATTTAGTGCTATAAATTTCCCTCTACACACTGCTTTAAATGTGTCCCAGAGATTCTGGTATGTTGTGTCTTTGTTCTCATTGGTTTCAAAGAACATCTTTATTTCTGCCTTCATTTCGTTATGTACCCAGTAGTCATTCAGGAGCAGGTTGTTCAGTTTCCATATAGTTGAGCAGTTTTGAGTGAGTTTCTTAATCCTGAGTTCTAGTTTGATTGCACTGTGGTCTGAGAGATAGTTTGTTATAATTTCTTTTCTTTTACATTTGCTGAGGAGTGCTTTACTTCCAACTATGTGGTTAATTTTGGAATAAGTGCGATGTGGTGCTGAGAAGAATGTATATTCTGTTGATTTGGGGTGGAGAGTTCTGTAGATGTCTATTAGGTCTGCTTGGTGCAGAGCTGAGTTCAATTCCTGGATATCCTTGTTAACTTTCTGTCTCATTGATCTGTCTAATGTTGACAGTGGGGTATTAAAGTCTCCCATTATTATTGTATGGGAGTCTAAGCTTCTTTGTAGGTCTCTAAGGACTTGCTTTATGAATCTGGGTGCTCCTGTATTGGGTACATATATATTTAGGATAGTTAGCTCTTCTTGTTGAACTGATCCCTTTACCATTATGTATTGGCCTTCTTTGTCTCTTTTGATCTTTGTTGGTTGAAAGTCTGTTTTATCAGAGACTAGGATTGCAACCCCTGCCTTTTTTTGTTTTCCATTTGCTTGGTAGATCTTCCTCCATCCCTTTATTTTGAGCCTATGTGTGTCTCTGCACATGAGATGGTTCTCCTGAATACAGCACACTGATGGGTCTTGACTTTTTATCCAATTTGCCAGTCTGTGTCTTTTAATTGGAGCATTTAGCCCATTTACATTTAAGGTTAATATTGTTATGTGTGAATTTTGTCCTGTCATTATGATGTTAGCTGGTTATTTTGCTCGTTAGTTGATGCCGTTTCTTCTTAGCCTTGATGGTCTTTACAGTTTGGCATGTTTTTGCAGTGGCTGGTACTGGTTGTTCCTTTCCAAGTTTAGTGCTTCCTTCAGGAGCTCTTTTAGGGCAGGCCTGGTGGTGACAAAATCTCTCAGCATTTGCTTGTCTGTAAAGGATTTTATTTTTCCTTCACTTATGAAGTGTAGTTTGGCTGGATATGAAATTCTAGGTTGAAAATTCTTTTCTTTAAGAATGTTGAATATGGGCCCCCACTCTCTTCTGGCTTGTAGACTTTCTGCCAAGAGATCTGCTGTTAGTCTGATGGGCTTCCCTTTGTGGGTAACCCGACCTTTCTCTCTGGCTGCCCTTAACATTTTTTCCTTCATTTCGACTTTGGTGAATCTGACAATTATGTGTCTTGGAGTTGCTCTTCTCAAGGAGTACCTTTGCGGTGTTCTCTGTATTTCCTGAATTTGAATGTTGGCCTGCCTTGCTAGATTGGGGAAGTTCTCCTGGATAATATCCTGCAGAGTGTTTTCCGACTTAGTTCCATTCTCCCGGTCACTTTCAGGTACACCAATCAGACATAGATTTGGTCTTTTCACATAGTCCCATATTTCTTGGAGGGTTTGTTCATTTCTTTTTACTCTTTTTTCTCTAAACTTCTCTTCTGGCTTCATTTCATTCATTTGATCTTCAATCACTGATACCCTTTCTTCCAGTTGATCGAATCAGCTCTGAAGCTTGTGCATGCATCATGTAGTTCTTGTGCCATGGTTTTCGGCTCCATCAGGTCATTTAAGGACTTCTCTACACTGGTTATTCTAATTAGCCATTCGTCCAATCTTTTTTCAAGGCTTTTAGCTTCTTTGCAATGGGTTCGAACTTCCTCCTTTAGCTCGGAGAAGTTTGATCATCTGAAACCTTCTTCTCTTAACTCGTCAAAGTCATTCTCCGTCCAGCTTTGTTCCATTGCTGGTGAGGAGCTGTGTTCCTTTCGAGTGGGAGAGGAGCTCTGATTTTTAGAATCTTCAGCTTTTCTGCTCTGTTTTTTCCCCATCTTTGTGGTTTATCTGCCTTTGGTCTTTGGTGATGGTGACGTACAGATGGGGTTTTTGTGTGGATGTCCTTTCTGTTTGTTATTTTCCTTCTAACAGTCAGGACCCTCAGCTGCAGGTCTGTTGGAATTTGCTGGAGGTCCACTCCAGACCCTGTTTGCCTGGGTATCAGCAGCAGAGTCTGCAGAAAAGCGAATATTGCTGAACAACAAATGTTGCTGCCTGATCATTCCTCTGGAAGTTTCGTCTCAGAGGGGTACCCGGCCGTGTGAGGTGTCAGTCTGCCCCTACTGAGGAGTGCCTCCCAGTTAGGCACCATCTGACATACTCACCATCTGACACCAGAGCCCTGCCCTCCACCACCACTCAGTCCACAAGGACGAGATGTCCAGGAGAAGGCCAAAAACAAAGCAGGCAAATGCTGTGGGACATGAAGCATTTCTCCAACAAACCACGAGATCCTTCTTAGCAAGAGGAGCAGGTGGGATGGTTCCTTAGAGCACTTCATACTCCATCAACTTTAGAATTTGATTAATCTTTGAACAAGGCTAAAATTTCACTCATATTATCAATGTCTAAGTCCAGGGGGAAAACGTCTAAAACATATTTGATTAAACTTTGAACATGTGTTATATCTTGTTTTTTAAAGAAAGAGTGTTGCTCTGTCACCCAGGATGGAGTGCAATAGTGTGATCATAGCACACTGTAGCCTCAAACTCCCGGGCTCAAGGGATCCTTTTGCCTTAGCCTCCTGAGTAACTGGGAATACAGATGTGTACCACCATGCCCAGATAATTTTTTTTATTTTTTTGTAGAGATGGGGTCTTGCTTTGTTGTCCAGGCCGGTCTTGAACTCCTGACCTCAAGTGAGGCTCCCACCTTGGCCTCCCAAAGCACTGGGATTACAGGTGTGAGACACCACATCTGGCCTAACTTTGAATATTTAAAATGTCAAATACATTATGACTTTAATGGTTAGATTTTAAATGGGCTGGAAATTGACATTATTTCCTGATTGTCTCTTCCCCTCTTCAGCACACAAGAGTTGGCTGTGCTGAGCCTTTTGAGAAATACCAAGGTAATTCTATTTTTGCACAAACTGAGGCAATAATGCTCCACATTGCTAGGCATTTTCCAACAAGGCCCCATCTGTTCCTGCTCTCAGCAACCAGGAGTTTCTTCCACAGACAGAGGCAAGAAGAGGGCTCAAGTCTTAGTGTTGTTGCCTCTTTTTAAATGATTTTCCTTTTACTACAGCATGAGAGAAATTAGTTATGATCCTATCTCCATGTTGCAAAATAACAGGTAAAATAGTTTCCATGGCCAATATAAATCATACTGCAAGTGATTATGGTAATGGTTTGACACATATTTTTCCATGAATGGATGGGAATGATAGATTAAACCATGTGTAAATACTGGAAAGGCAAAATGACCTGGAAAGCTAAATATGGCAACAGACATGACTAGAATCTCATCTTAATATCATCTTCTAGGGGATAAAAACTAGGGACTTTCTTTTGGTTAAGGTATTCAAAACCATGTGTTTGGGATAATTCTTTTAAATGTAATAATTATTTGTATTTTGACTCATTAAATGATTTTCAAGGACTTTATATTGACAAGAAGAGACAATATTTACAGTACATTAGATGTATGTTACAGTACTTTGTATTCTGTGATTTCATCCCCAAATCCCAAGTTTCCCCATAGATGTTGTCCATGTGGTATTGAAGGTTGTATCAGTGAAAGATTAAAGAACAAGCTTTTTACCAATAGTGTGCTTCCATGGCTCTTAGAGACTGGATTCCCTCATGACCCTGTACCACAGGATCATTTTGTATACCTATTATGCAATACGGGTTACAAATTCAAAGACAACAATCAAATATAATTGAATTTAACCAATCGCTTTTTCCCTCCCACTTCCACTTTTCCTGAACACATTTAGGAAAGCCTTCCATAATAGCTTAGATCACATACGCATGGTTGATTCATCTGGTCCAAGTCATGACCAAAAATACCCAAAAGATATGCAATTACAATCCAATCATAGTAGTCATAATGTATTCAAACAATTATAGTAATTTTACGACAGCCTAATGGAATTTGAACAGTGCAACTAGTCTTCCTTTCAGGCCATTTCTATTAGGCACCACCCCATTGACCATTTGGCAACTGATTTAAGGGAATTGTTGAACATCATTTTATAGCCTTCCCTGAGATCACCAAGGGAATTTGACAAAAAAGGAAATATAATGGTTCATTTGTAGGCCCAACACTCATAGATTTCCAAGACTTTTAGAAATAATTCTTCCACTCAGCACACATTTACTGAGCCGCTATATTCCCCACATGGGACTATATATCAGACATCAAAAGATGAATAAGGGATATCTCTCAAGAAATTCACAGCTGAACAGGAGAGACAGTATACAGTGACTTATATATAGTGCTATTTGCCCAATATGTAATAGTAACCACTAGCCATACGTTACTACTGAGCACTTTCAACGTAGCCAGAGTGAACTGAGATGTGCTGTATGTAACACACACCAGATTTCAAAGAATTCATTCAAAAAAGAACATAATATATCTCATTAATAAGTTTTACATTAACTACATGTTTGTGATGGTTAAATTTACATGTCAACTGACTGGGCCATGTGGTAACTAGACATTTGGTCAAACATTATTCTTGGTGTTTCTGTGAGAATGTCAGGTGAGATTAACATTTAAGGGGTAGACTGAGGATAGCAGCTTGTCCTTCATAATGGGAGTGGGCCTCATCCAATCAGTTGAAGGCCCGAATGGAACAAAAAGGCTGACCCTCCACCAAGTAAGAGAGAATTCTTCCTGCCTGATGGCCTTTGTCTTAGTCCATTTGAGCTGCTGCAGAATGTCATGAACTGGATAGCTTATAAACAACAGAAATTTAATTCTCAAGGTTCTGGAGACTGACAAGTCCAAGATTTGGACAGATTTGGACAGACTGGCAGATTTGGTTTCTGGTGAGGACCTGATTCCTGGTTCATGGATTACTGTCTTCTTGCTGTGCCCTAACATAGTGGAAGGGGCTAGAGAGCTCTCCAGCATCTCTTTTCTAAGGGCACTAATTACCTACCAAAGACCCTACCTCTTAATACCATCACATTGGCAGTAAGGATTTCAACATTACAAATTTTGGTAGGGACACAACCATTCAGTCTACAGCAGCCTTTGAACTGGAACATGAGCTTTTTCCTGCCTTTAGACTAGAACTGAAACATTAGCTATTCTTGAGTCTCGACCCTGCCAGTATTCAGACTGGAACTACACCATTGGCTGTCCTAAGTCAATTTACCCTGCATCTCTTGGGACTTAATATGCACAATCATGTGAGCCAATCCCTTACAATAAATAAAACTATATTATACACACACATGGACACACCCTTGGTCCTCTTTCTCTGGCGAACCCTGACTAATACAAACATTGAAATGATGTGTTCTATACATTGTGCTGAGTACATTCTTAAAATTGACTTCACATGTTTCTTTTTTCTTTTTAATGTGGCTACCAAAAAATTTTAAATATTGCAGTTCATGTTATATGTCTACTGGACTACACTGATATAGTATATGTGCCATTTGCCTAGTATGAACAGAAAGCTAGTTATGCACAGAGGAAGACATGATTCTTCTGGGTAGAGAAGAATCCCATTGAATGTCTGTCATTTAGAGACTTCTCTGGAGAAAATTTGATGAGACCACAATGAAAAACAGATGAGCAAAGTCACAGAGGCCTTACAGTGTTTGGCATGTTTGCAGAACAGCACATAGACTGGTGTGCAGGAAGAAGGGAGGCAAGTAACAAGAAATGGGGTCGGAGAGGCATGTGGACCCACATGGAGGAGTCTTGATTGTCACAGTAAAGAGTCTGACTAGGTCCTGTGGACAAAGGGGCATCATCAAAGGTTTTTACTCAGGGGATTGACATGATCAGGTCTTGCTTATTCTGGAAGAAGAGAGAAGAGGCTGGAGGGATGAGGAAACAGGGAAAAGGAAAAAGGAGACCACTAGAAAACTGTGCCAGGAAATGACGAGAGCTTGAATTAGATCAATTACAAGGAGAGGAAACAAGAGTGAAGGACATGGCAGATACTTGTCAAGGCGCTAACGAATATGGTGTTTACACTGAAGTCAGAAGGGCAGGTTTCCCTTCCCCAAGCAAATGCTTATATTCTACCTGCTAAATGTGCTTATTATCAACCAATGAACCATAATAAAATTGTTGAGAATCCCATTTATTTATTTCAAAAAATAAATTTCATTTCAATTTGTGTAAATTCTCTTGAATTTACACAAATTCTTAGGTACAGATTCTTTAGGGCTTTTCTCATTCATCCTCGAGTCTCCTGAAGACTGTAACAACAAGGACATGCACAGCCATCCCACATGCACTTCCTCTGAGACAGGCCCTCCTTTTTTCTCATGCCGTGCTATCCTTGAAAAAGGGTAGTCCACGTGGCCAGGCCCTGGACTTGAATTGCTCATCTCCCTTCCGCTTTCCTTTTGCACAAAGGCCACTGAAGTCTGTTCTGTGATTCCTCTCTTGTTTACATAATAGCTACTTCAGTCTTCTGTCGTGTTTTCATTTTCCCTTGGGGAGAAAAATGTTACTCTCCCCAGGATGCATGAGAAAAAATGAGGAGTATAGTCCAATTAGCACTCATCAGAAGAAAACTTTGAAGTGTTTCGAGTAAGAAGCAAGAGATGAAGCTAGTGGAAAAGTTAGCAGAGGATAAAAAAAGAAGAATGGAGAGCAACACCCCAATAATAGTTTCACCCAATAAAGGGGGCTTGAGAAAGAAAGGAAAATATTTACTTTTGTTGGGTTGGGACAGAAACACGTAGATGAAACCAGATGAAAATCACAAGACAGCCACTGGCCACAGCTATAAAATTAAGAATATTCACATTAAAAAAATATGATTGTGTCTTTGTTGTTAAGAGTCTACAGTATTATCTTTCAATCTTCATGGAAGCCTTCAAAGTACAACCTTTTGGGGAGTTATGCCTAGCAAAAGGTGAAACTGAGTCATAAAGAGAAACATTCAGTTTCCAGACATCTCAGGCTATGACTCAAGTAGTAAGACAACATGTTCTGCTCGTAAGGAAAGAGCAGGGAATTCTGTTCTCTAAAGTACACATTCAAAAGTATTCTGTATCAGCTAGTGACCAGTCAGCACATCCTGAAAAGCTGGTAGGGGCTGGGAAGCTGGAAACTGCCTAAATCAGTTGGAGTTTGTTTATTGCAAGCAGCAGAAATGGACTCTGGCTATATTACGTGAAAAAAAGAGAAAATAAAAAATATTGAAAGGTTATAACTCACAGAAATGAAGGAAAAGCAGAGAGGTCAAAACTCAGAAAACCCAGAAATCAGCTCTGGAGATCCAGGTGGCAGGAACCAAAGGACTGTCAATTCAGGGCATAGCCATCAGGATTCATTGGTTTGACCATAATCCTCTGGATAACTCCATGTGAGATCCACATGTTAGGGATGGAGCTTCTTACCAGTGTAGCTGGAATCACCCATCCACTTCTTTTCCAGATAAGACAGGATTCCTTGATTGAGAGTCCCACCAAGCCTGAAAGTAGTAAAGTGTATATGAGTCCACCAAAAGGAGGCAGAAGGGTGCTGGGCAGGCAAAAGAATCAGGCATCCTCTGCAGGCCTCATGCCCTTCCTTTGTTCATGCCATCCACTCTTCTTGCTCTCTGATCCTCTGATCTAAAGCCCATCCATTCTTATGTCCCTACCTTCAACCCACTTTCTCCAAGAAGGGTCCTCTGGATACTCCAAGTCCTACTGACCTCTTTCTCTTCAGAATGCATACAACACAAGTAGTCAGTCACATCATCATTTGTTCAACTAATAGTTTCAAGCCTTCACTATGTGCCAAGTACTCTCCTAGGTACCCATTCTTCTTCTGAATGTCCTGATTCTTTTCTCTATGATTTCCCAGGCATAAGATTCTCATATTTGGGAACTCAATTAAAACTTTGCAGCATTTATTGGTCACTCGTCAGTCTTTGATCCCATGAGTAGGTGTCAACTTTGAACCAAATGCTACTACCTAGCTAAAGGCTCTGAAATTGATTTAACAACCTATATCATGCAACTACTGATAAAGACAAAGTACTCAGAAATACTTGCAAGGCAGATCAATTCTAATTTTAAATGATATCAAGCAGGTATCCTCAATTTACATTTAATCTGTAGTTATTCACCCATTCAATAAAAACATATATTGAATGTCTTTTTTGTGTAAATACAGACATACTTTGCTAAGCAGAGCTGATATTCAGCAGCATACACTAGCACGACTGTACCAACAACTGTTAAAATAGTGAAAGTTCTCATGCTGGTTGGTAGTCACTGCCCCAAGCCTCCAAGCATCCCATCACCACCCTCAATAGCCCTGGCCATCTCTGTTCCTATGACCCCTCCCTCAGGTCCCTCATCTCCTCATAATCCAATGACTAAAGGTTAATTTCTGGCACAAGATCCTGCTGCAGCACCCAGGCCAATATCTGTTCTGATGTGTGCCCATGTCATCTCTGTTGATAAATATATTTAATATCATCCTGGTTCCAAGTACAGTGGTGGACACAAAATTAGGCAGGCCTTGTCTGTAAGGAGCTTAAAGATGGAGTACTACTCAGCAATAAAAAGGAACAAAGTAGATGAATCTCAAAAACATATGTTGAGCAAAAGAAGCCAGACACAAAATAATACATACTGTGTACTTCCATTTATACAATGCTCTAGATCAGAAAAAACCAACTATATGTAATATAGTTTGGCCCTGTGTCCCCAGCTAAATCTCATCTTGAATTGTAATCCTCATAACCCCCATGTGTCAAGGGTGGGACCAGATGGAGGTAATTGAATCATGGGGGCAGCTTCTCCCATGCTGTTCTTGTAATAATGCCTAAGTCTCACGAGATTTGATGGTTTTATAAGCATCTGGCATTTCCCCTGCTTGTACTCCTCCTTCCCACCATCTTGTGAAGAAGGTGTCTCCTTCCCCTTCACCTTCCACCATGAGTGTAAGTTTCCTGAGGCCTCCCAGCCATGCTGAACTGTGAGTCAATTAAACCTCCCAGTTTCAGGCAGTTATTTATAGCAGTAGGAAAACAGACTAATACAATGAGCATGTAACTCAGCAGAGTAGTTGCCTGGGGTGGAATGGGGGAGTGAGGTCTTAATTGGAAAGGGGATTGAGGAAACTTCCCAGAGTGATAAAAATGTTTCATGACTTAAGGACAGTGGCTTAAAATCTGTGCGTTTTGTTGCACATAAATTATATTTCATTAAAGAGCTTACAGTTCAGTAAGGAAGAGGATGCCTCCCAAAAGCAGTTTAATACCAATGAGAAAGCCTAAGTCATGTGAGAGAGGCACAGAGGCTAAAGCCTTCATGGCCAAGTGGCTAAGATCCTCTTCTCTTGGGTTGTGCAGCATTGCCTGGCTTTGAATCCTGGGTCTGTGGACCTATGGGCAAGTTATTGTAGCTCCCTCAGTTTTCTCATCTGCAAAATGGTGGCAGTCATAACTACCTGAGGGGTGCTGTAAGGGTCAATGGAATTATCCATTTAAGGCATTTAGAAACTTTAGCCCAGAGTAGGCACACAGTCAATGCTCACTAATAATAGAGTTCCTGGACTTCAGAAGAGGAGGTTATGTCCAGTTGGGAGAGCCTCGAAGAAGCCAAATTTGAGCTGAGTTTTGAAGAACTGTTTATAAGACATGGATACGGGCAGTGGCTCACACCTGTAATCCCAGCACTTTGGGAGGCCAAGACAGGAGGATCACTTGAGCCCAGGAGTTTGAGACCAGCCTGGGCCACATAAGGAGACCCCATCTCTACAAAAAAAATAAAATAAAATAATTAGCTGGGCATTGTGGCACACACTGGTCCTAGCTACTAGGGAGGTTGACGTGGGAGGATCACTTGAGCCAGGGAGGTCAAGGCTGCAGTGAGCCATGGTTGCACCACTGCATTCCAATCTGAGCAACAGAGCAAGACCCTGTATCAAACAAACAAACAAACAAAAAACATTTGTATATGAGGAGATGGAGGGAAATTAGATTATATCTATGTATACTCACCTTGCTACTCCAATCCTTCAAGAATTATCTTCAGTGTCACTGTCTCCAACAAGCCTGACCTAACTAACCCTTTAGCTACATTCCGACCCTCTGTACCCAAAATCAGGGCGCCCATACTCCCTTGTGCTGCAGTTATCACATTTGTATTTAATAATAAATTTATTGATTATTTAAGAATTTATTTTATATGTGTCAGTCCTCTCTAGTAGACTAGAAGCTGCAGGGGGTTCAGGTGCTCATTTTTGTATCTCCAGACCCTCGTACAGAAACTTGCAAAATTATTCATTATTAATAAGTAAGGAAAAAATAAATACAAGATTTATTTTATATAAGTAAAGTTGTAATTTTGCTCTGTTCAACTCAATTCAGAGTATGTTTATGTGAGGCGCTGGTGACTGGGGGCTCCTCTGTGGGCTTGAGTTCTGTTTGCAACCTCCTACAGACATACCCCTGAGCAAATTAGTTAACCTCTTTACACTCTGCTCTCCTGCATGTAGCACAGGGCAGTAAGAGTCCATCTGCATAGATTTGTTGTGAGCAATAAGCAAGGGAATTTTTGGAAAGCATTCTATCCTGTGCCTATCACATAGTAAATGCTCAAAAAAACGGTGCTGTCATTATTGTCTCCTTTGCCCAACTTATAGAGGAACATCACCCCACCAAAGATAATGTTGTGTCAAAAATATCAAAGTGCATCATACACTGAAGCCCGACTTTGTAGGTACTTCTCAATCTCTTCTTCCAACCCCCCAACTGGCAGAGTGTGGAATAAGGTTCAGTACATTTTGTCTCCATTGTACATATTTTGTCCAAAAATGCATTGCAAAAAAACTACTCCTTTGGGAGCCCAAGGTGGGTGGATCACCTGAGCTCAGGAGTTCGAGACCAGCCTGGCCAACACGGTGAAACCCCATCTCTACTAAAAATACAAAAATTAATTGGGCGTGGCAGCTGGTCCCTGTAATCCCAGCTATTCGGGAGGCTGAGGCAGGAGAATCGCTTGAACCCAGAAGGTGGAGGTTGCAGTGAGCCAAAATCGCACCGTTGCACTCCAGCCTGGGTAACAGGAACAAGACTGCGTCTTAAAAACAAAAAAACAAACAAACAAAAAACTATTCCAATATCAATCATTTTGTCTTCCTTTTCCTTTTCTGATTCCAAGATAGTATTTTCTAATTCTTTCCCATAGTGAATTTTGCAAAACTGTTTTAGCGTTACAGAAATCTTGCACCTACTCCATCTCACTTTATGTTTAGATTGACCACATTTTTCAGTATGAGATTAGAAAATGAGAAAAAAAAATAGAATCTTCCCCAAGCCACAAAGAGAGTAAGAGGCAGAACTAGGATTCCAATCCAAGTCTTGCAGCTCCAAACCTAACATTCTTTTAGCTTGAAGTAGCTTCCTAGAAATTTCTACAGCAGGATCCTAAAGCATAAATGACACTTTTCTGTGTGTCTGTCGGTCTGAATCCGATGAGGCCCATTGCCTGATTTCTTCTGACCCCAGGTTTAAACTCCAGAAAAAATCAAGTAGCCTCAGATTTTACAGTTAAATAAGCACAGCCTGGGACTGAAGATTTTAATTAATCACTGACCTGGTGCAAATTTCCTGGAGCAACACCTCAGGTGAGAAAAATTCAATTGCCAGGAAACAAGCATCACTGAAAAAAACTCCTACCTTGAGGAAGTGGAGAAATGGCCTACCACATTAATAGAGAGGATGCCACTCTGGGAAGAAAGTAAAGTACTAGAGGTAACAGGCCCCTAATTTGACCAGATACAAATCACTCTAGGCTGGGCGCAGTGGCTCATGCCTGTAATGCCAACACTTCAGGAGGTCCAGGCGGGAGGATCACGTTGTCAGGAGATCGAGACCACTCTGGCTAACACGGTGAAACCCCCATCTCTACTAAAAATACAAAAAATTAGCCAGGCGTGGTGGTGGGCGCCTTTAGTCCCAGCTACTCCGGAAGCTGAGGCAGGAGAATGGCGTGAACCAGGGAGGCGGAGCTTGCAGTGAGCCGAGATCCCAAGATCGCGCCACTGCACTCCAGCCTGGGCAATAGCGCAAGACTCCATCTTTAAATTAAAAAAAAAAAAAAATCACTCTAATGTTGGCAGGACTCTGTTTTTATATTTCTTTCTGTATCAAGTGCTATTTATATTCAATGAATCAGGGTCTTTTTTAATCCTTTTTTAATTCCTTGGGTCAAAAAGTACATATATTTTATACATACATGCATGCACACACACACACACACACACATACACACATGCAATTGTAATTTTAAGAGTTTTTTTTTTTACCTTAATAAAGATACTAAATTCTTAAGTGCAGAAATAAATGTGAAAATTCCTAGCACTATTTAAGGTACTCATGGGTACTCAATAAATGCTTACAAACTTTGAATCTCCTGAAATTTCTTCCTGGGCACCTTTTAGCTTTTTACAACAGACACCAAGACAAACTTTTCTCCTAACCCTACCACAGTGCTAAATATGCCCAGAAGAGTTCTTTTGAAGCCCTATTCCCTTGCCTAAGGTTTCTGACACATCAAAATACCATTAAATAGGGTTTCAAAGGTAAATAATCAGACTACTTTTCACCACAAACTCTAGAGAAATAAAACTGCAAACAACTCATTAGAAAGGCTGATAAAAAGCCATCTTGAGGGTTGTTCGAATCATGATATAACTATTTAAAATTTTCTCTGGGATGCTTTCTCTCTAGACAATGCAAGAAAAAAATAGCAGTTTTGCCCACAGATATGTCTAAGGCCATAGGCTCAAATTTCACACAGAAACATGACAAGCTCCCTGTCTTTGAAAGGACTGAGGCAGACCGAACTGACACTTCTTCATTTGAATTTCTCTCGCTTAGCTGACACTCTGAGTAAATGCCACAATTTTAAAATCAAGTCTGGTTTTTTTCCATCTCCAAAATATTTTTATTTGCACCCTGGAAAGGCTGACGTCAATTGCCTTACAAATCCACCCACCTAAAAAAAACAAATCCCAATTAATTATAGTTGACAAGACTGTCGCATCTCTAATAATGGTAGACACAGAGCTTGTGAGCACAGTGTCCGTTGCCATAGTTACCTGTAAGGTATGACAACAACTGCAGCTCCAGAAATTAAAGTGTCACGGAATGGAGGATGACTGCATATCACTTAGCTAAATGATCCCACGTGGTACCTTGGCTGATTATTAGAGAGGGATGCTGTGTTCCTTCAGGTGAAGCTAATAATCAAGTGAAGTGTCCTCTGAGAGACAGCGTTTTCTCTCCTAGATCACAACAGACTGATAAAATGATCCCTTGATAACTCTAAAAAGCAAATGTTCCTTTTTGAAAAGTTTAGGAATGCGCAATATCGTAGTAATTGACCAATTGAATCACTTTAGATTACGTAATACCCGCTATGACCACTACCAAAGAGGGAAAAGCATAGTTAAGAAGAAAGGTGTCCTATCTATATGACAGCAACCAACCAAATTGATCTTTTCATTTAAATGACTGGTTTAGAGCAAAATAGTTGAAGAAGGAATCAATCTGAAATGTACCTTTTACTAAGTATATATTTTACTATCTTAAACGAATGCACTGATCAACTTGTTTAAACTATTTATCCATGTAGATGTGTCTGCAACTTAAAAATCCTTGTCAGCATTTACTGAGCCCCTTGCCCCTTTCTATCAAAGGAGAAAGTTGAGAATCAGAAATAATGTATTTAAGGTTGACTCCACTTGTTTCAGATGGCTCACAGAGAGCCATTCTCAGCTCCTTGGAGGTTCTTTAAGGTAAATAGGCACAAGAGCCAAATCGCTATAGAGAAATAGTGTTAACTTCATTCTTTAGCAAGGGGAAGAGTTAAAGTTTTAATGCTAAGAGAAACAATGCTCTCCTTATGTAAGACTAGACTGTACTGTTAAAAAGAAATGCACACACATAAACTTAACTTCTTTGGTGAGATATACTTAAAAGGCAACCAGAGCTCCTGATGGCAGAGATTAAACTAGAATTGGAACATCCACCATCTTCCCATCAATTCACTGGACTTGTACCTCCCTTCCTGACTTGGGGCTGACAAGGGCATGAGGAAATCAACCTCTAGCATCCATCGTAAACTTTCACTAGAATTCACAAAATAGAGACAGGCCCGAGAAGTTTCACACAGGGAAGAGTAGATTTTCCTGAGAAAGAAGTTTGAGGGCTGTGCACAGTGGGATTTGAAGGGAGCTTGAAGGACTAAGAAATTGAATAGTAAGAGCATTCTACATGAGGAAGCCTCTTCTCAAAGACCTTTCCCAACTCTTGGAGGGTATAAAAGATCTAGATAGAGAAAAAACAAACTTCCCGTTTCCCTCATCTGTAGTATTTTTAGATATTTACCCAACCCCTGTGTCAAAGAGATGCTTAAAATTTTATCATTTTTAAGGATATATTCCATCTAGAAAAGACGGCATGGAGGTATGGTGCTCCATTCTGCCTGAAGGGCTTTGGCTAAGATGGTTCCACCTCATGTAGGTGATTAGGCAGAAACATCCACAGAGTAGCCAGGCACCTCTCCCCAAGCATGTGATAGAACAAAACCCATTCCCTTCATTTCTTCCTTGTCTCACCCTTAATAAAACAGCAAGAAGGGTGCGTGAACAGGGACAGGTTACACCTACATACAAAGATATAATAAAAAGAAAACTTTGTGCTAAATCTCAGCTAAAAGAAAACCATTATAAAAGGTATAAAATGGGACATCTTAGAGCCCTCATTTTCTCCATTGACCTCTCATTTCTCTCATTCACTATATGAAAATAGGGAAAGTTACTGATATAAATTGGAGAGTTAAATCTTAAATTTCTAGATGAAAAGAAGATTTCCTTGTTCTTGTGAACCATCCTTTTCTCTTCTCCCACAATATCTTCTCTGTCATTATTACACAGGTTTCCTTTTATTAACTTTGTTTCTTCTTATAATTTTTGAGTTTGTCTGGGGCTTCTTTTTTTCATCCCCTAGTCTTCTTTCTCTAGTTATCTTTTGCAACAACAGGCTTTCTTTATTCCTTGAAAGTACCACAGTTGTCACTCCAATATGTTTTAGTACCAGGTGGGAACAAAGCAGCATTTGCCATTTCAGGGATCAATGTAAATGGTAATATTATTTAATAACAAATTGTGTGTGTGTGTGTGTGTGTGTGTGTAAACTCTACACAATTTTACTTTGGGTAAATTAACCTAGATCATAAATTCCATAAGTGCTATATTTTCAACATCTATAGCATAGCCAGACAAATAATTGTTGAACAAATAAATGAATAAATGTTGACTAATTTGCACTTCTAGAAAAATTAAAATTATAAGGCTTGAAGGTTTCAAAGGAACCTTTGACAATATGAAAAGACTTTTAATTTCAGATTCTCCAATTCTCCTTCAATTGAAACAAATAATTACCTTAAGATCACACTTTATTTCTGATTAAAAGAAGTAACAGAAGATTACAGTTCCTATTAAGACAGATACGTGTATCCACTGGATACAATTTAAAACAGGAGAAAAGGTACATAGAACTCCTTTCTGAAGACTTTGGAAAGTAAATGGAATCAGGAGGATTACAGGGGGAAAAAAGAGATCTCAAAGTATCACTGAAGTGGTGATAAGTATCACATTTGTCCTCCAGTTTTTCCCAGCCTGGACTCAAAAGCATTCTAAAACCTAGAAGTGTGCACTCAGTACACACATAAAAACTCTAAGCCCAGCATGCAGGCTCCTAACACTCTGTGAGAAGGGAACTCTAGTCTCTGACCAGAGAAGCATGGCTCCAAGAGTGGCAAGAGGGAGGTATCCTCATTGCTTTTTTCCTTTCCGTTATCTAACCACTTGGCCACCAAGGGATGGGCAATTATAGGAATTGGGCAGCAGAGTGGGGAAAATAAGTCCCAGCTGTCTAGTCAGATGTCCAAGGCAGGGAGGCATCCCTAGTTGCAGGTAATCAGAGAGAGTAGGAGCTCAAGAACATCATACCTTAAAGTAATTCTCAAAGGCTTTCACTTCTCAAAAGTTTTGAGAACTGAACCACAGGGTGGACCACTTCCAGATTCAAGGTTGGGTAGTGAATATACAAGACAGGTATAAATAGCGCTACAAAGACTGAAAAATGAACTGCCTCAAAAGCACAGCCTACAGAAATGGATAGGAACTTGCAGCCTCAACTCAAGCAGGTTGATGAACTAAAAACAAGAAAAGAAAACAAAATCAATATTCTCCATCAGATTTAAACAAAACCCAGTGTCCCATAATATGATATTCAAAAGGCTCCACGATACAATCTAAAAGCACTCAATATAAAAAGAGCGAGAATAATCTCAACATCTCAGAAGGGAAAAGAAAATAAATGCCAATCCCAAAATGACACAAATGTTGTAATTTTCAAAGACTTTAAAGCAGTTATTTTAAGCATACTCTAAGAAGTAGGATAACAACTCTTGAAGCCAATGGAAAGACAGAAAATCTCAACAGAGAGATAGAAGATATAACAAAGAGCTAAATGGAAAAAATTTAAAAACACAATGATTGAAGTAAAATATTCACTGAATTGATCTAATAGAGAACAGATGAGAGATTTGATGAACCTAAAGAAAGAGTAATAAAAATATTCATCCTGAACAACAGAGAGAAACAGTGTTTTTAAAAATGGGCAAAGCCTTAGGATCCTGTGAAATAATACCAAAAAAATTAATATTCATGTCATTCTAGTCCCAGAAAGACAGGAAGCAGCATATAGTGCAGAACAAATATTTGAGAAAATAATACTTCACATTTTTCCAAATTTGATAAAAGACATACACTTACAGATCAAGTTCATTAAACTCCAAAGAGACTATGCTAAAAGAAATCCATGTGCAGATAAAACATAAACTTACCAAAACTAAACAAAAAGAAAAAATATTTTAAGCAGCCAGAAAAAAAAAATAGGTGTTAAATTTAGGGGATCAGCGATTCCAGTGACTATGGATTTCTCACCAGAATTCATGGAGGTCAGAAGGCAATGGAATAACATTTTTTAAGTGCTAAAATAAGAGAATTAGACAACATAGAATTCTATATCCATGGCCAGGCACGGTGGCTCACACCTGTAATCCCTGCACTATGGGAGGCCAAGGCGGGTGGATCACCTGAGATCAAGAGTTCGAGACCAGCATGGCCAACGTGATGAAACCCTGTTTCTACTAAAATTACAAAAAATTAGCTGGGTGTGGTGGTGTGCACCTGTAATCCCAGCCACTCAGAAGGCTGAGGCAGGAGAATCACTTGAACCTGGGAGGCGGAGGTTGCAGAGAGCCGAGATCACGCCACTGCACTCCAGCCTGGGTAATAAGAGCAAACACTGTCTCAAAAAAAAAAAAAAGAAAAAAGAAAAAAAGAATTCTATATCCATCAAAATATCCTTCAGGAATGAGAGTAATATACAAAGATACTATCAGATGAAGAGCCAAGACAACTTGCAGCAAGTAGACCTGGTCTAAAAGAATTGCTAAAGAAAGTACTTCAAATGGAATGAAAATGTTACCAGAGGGCAATTTGAAACTTCAGGAATAAAGGAAAAGCAACAGAATTGATAATGGTCCGGAAGATGACTGTTTTTGTCTTCTTAATTTATTTAAAATATGCATGAAAGTTGAAAGGAAAATGTATAGCATTGTATAATAAGATTTAAAATGTATACAAATATAATACATATGAAAAACAGACCACAAAGAGGGGAGGATAAAGGGATTTTATATAGTAGTAGATTCCTACATCCTCCAGAAAGTAATAGGATACTAATTCTAAATAGACTATGAAAAGTTAAGAATATATATTGCAATCCCTAGAGCAAACATTAAAAAGTATACAAGCAGAAATAGTCAAAAACTCAGTATAATAATCAAAATAGAACACTAAAAAAATTCAATGAATCTAAAGAACAAGAGTAAAAAGGATAACAAGAAATTTTTTTAATGGAGGAATAAACAGAAAACAAATCAAGACAGCAATAATTACATAAAATGAAAATTGTCCGAACACAGCAGTTAAAGGAGATAGATTGCCAAAATAAATTTTTTGAAGAGCCAACTATATGCTATTAAAAATCTCTCTTTAAATAAAATAATATAGGTGGGTTAAAAGTAGAGAGAGATGGAAAAAGATATACACAAAAACAAATGGGATATAACTAACAAGAAAACACAAAATTATCATTATTTGTAGGTAATATATTTATCTATTGGTGAAACCCAAGAAAATCAACTAAAAAATACTGTGGCCAAATTATAGCACTCAGTAAAGTGGCTGCTTATAAAATAAATATTCAGCCAGGCATGGTGGCTCATACCTGTAATCCCAGCACTTTGGGAGGTTGAGGTGGGTGTATCACTTGCAGTCAGGAGTTTGAGACCAGCCTGGCCAACATGGTGAAACCCTGTCTCTACTAAAAATACAAAAATTAGCAGGGTATGGTGGCACATGCTAATAATCCCAGCTACTCAGGAGGCTGAGGCAGGAGAATCGCTTGAACCCAGGAGGCGGAGGCTGCAGTGAGCCGAGATCACACCATCACACTCCAACCTGGGTGACAGAGCAAGACTCCATCTAAAAAAATAAAATAAAATAAAATAAAATATTCAAAACTTAACAACTTTTATATGTATTTATAATAACTAGTTTAAAAAATTAACTCATAATAGCAACAATGTTTTATTCTGCTAATGTTATATAGTATTTGACTTTTTTTATTTCAATCATTTTGAGGGAACAGTTGGTTTTTGGTCACATGGATAAGTCCTTTAGTGGTGATTCAATTTTTTGCCTTTTCCTTTCTGATCAGCAAAGTTATATTAAAACAGAGAGATGTTATAAGGAACACATTGCTTCACCTTATCAATTAGGTAGGACATTTTTAGTTCCGTTGCTGACTGTGTCTAGGAACATAAATGAGGAAACCTCTGCCTCCCAGTCCAGCCCACTCTCTGATTTTCTCTATTTGGAAGTACTCTTCAGTGGCATAGACAGACTTTCTCTGTATGGTGGTTGTATTAGTCCATTCTCAAGCTGCTATGAAGAAATACCCGAGGCTGGGTAATTATAAAGAAAAGAGGTTTAATTGACTCATAGTTCTGCATGGCTTGGGAGGCCTCAGGAGACTTACAATCATGGTGGAAGGCACCTCTTCACAGGGTGGCAGGAGAGAGAATGAGTGCAAGCAGGGGAAATGCCAGGCACTTATAAAACCATCAGATCCCATGGGACTCACTCATTATCACGAGAACAGCATGGGGAAACTGCCCCCATGATTCAATTACCTCTACCTGGTCCCAGCCTTGACACGTGGGGATTGTGGGGACTACAATTCAAGATGAGATTTGGGTTGGTACACAGAGCCAAACGTATCAGTGGTGAAGTAGATTTTTAATTAGTGTGCTTCCTGTTCTCAAGCCCAGTGCAAGATTTCTTCTCAGAGCTCCAGCTCCAAACAGAAGAACCCTAAAGAAAGATTGGTCCGTCTCAGGTACCAGGCTCTTACCTGTATCATCAGAGTGGTCAAGAAAATGGGAATTTGTAATTAACCAGGCCTATACTGTGCAGCTTATAGGAAAGGAGGAGGATCCTATAATTAATTGTCCCACCAGAATCACAAATCTAAAGTATGAGAGATTTAATACTTCAACCAGGGTGTGCAGTGCTAGACACCCTAAACCCACATCTTCCAAGAGGAAAGGCTTCTACAATAATTGGAATATAGGATTATAAAGAAGAAATGAAAGGCCCACATTCCCTCAGAAAACCCTGCCCCAAAAATGTACAGAAGAGAAACACCTCTGGGCCAAGAGCTAAATGGTGTTTTTGCTTTTCATCCAGAAAGAGCCAAGATAATGCAAAGGGAATATTATTCTTTCCTAACTGATGCAAACTTCTGGGGAGAAAAACATACAAGTGCAAACGTTATGTTCAAATCTACATATGCGTAATACATTCATGAGCACCAGTGTATCATTGTGATTTGGCACTTAATATTTAACGAATCTAATATTTTTGTTTCTATGAATACTTCTCAGCTGCCTGGGATAGCCTGAAAGTTCCTAGTCTCATTTCCCTGGTGGTTCTTTGCCAGAGAATGTAACAGTGAAGGAAATCAAAAGGCCTTATTTCATCAGCTGACACTGGAGGGAACAGCACAGGAATCACAGACTGAGGCTGGCAACCAGCCCCCTTTCTCACAGAGGAAAATTACCAGAACTCTCTGCAGAGTGACTAAGAGCTGCCAGCAGTGCTGCCTCGTGTCCTCTTCTCATCTGAGACTGAGCAGATGCAGCTTTATAAACAAGATGGAGAGAGAAGCCAGGATTCCACTGTGAGACAGAGCAAGCCACCTCTGACCAGGTGGTCTTCCCATCATATCTATGGACACTGGGCAGACAGCATGAAACGCTAATGGGCAAAAGCACCACAGATGCTTCCTGAAACCAGGGCAGTGCTGAAAGTCAACAGAATGGGCGTCCTGGTTAGGGTGGGTATCGGCTTTTTCATAATGTGGTCAGGGAGACAGACGCTCCCAAGAAACCCGTTGGCTCATCCAGTTGTCTGGCAGAGATGAATCGATGTTAAGACACATCCCTGACTGTGCCTTCCATGCATCTGTTCTAGAACTGGAAAGTTGCCAAGACCCTGAGGACTCCCACAACAGAAAACAGAGGGAAAAAAAATTAAATTGGAATAGTGTATTGTAGGAGTAATAGAGATTTGCATTATTTGCCTGATGTTTATCGGTTTTTGAACCACATGCAAATAAAGAGCCTCTGACTTACTCCCTGCTGTATCCCAGCTCCTAGTAGAAAAGCTAGTTCATAGAAGTGCTCAAAACATATTTCATAAATGAATGAGAGACATTACCTAATTTTCCTCCATACCAATCCTAATCATGAAAAAGGCTGGTGTGTACATATGTGTGTTGTGTATGTGCATGTATTTCATTGAATCCCTGCTTCTGAAGTACTTCTGAAATAGTAAAGCTCCTAAAGTACCAAAGACCAGGAAAATATGACCTCGTGTCTATGTGTAGCTGGCTAGATGATGAAAGGATAATATGGTCTGGTCAGAATATCCTACTAATTGGAGATTTTGAGTCTAGTTATCCCAGGGATAAACCATACATTTGAATATTTTAATATTCAATTATCTTTTTTTCCCTTTGTGAGAAAGAACTGAAACATCTCTAAAAAGGAGCAAATGAAGACAGTTTCATCAAGACCAGCACTCTAGGGAAGGAGAGCCTTACCATATCAGTGAAAGAAGGAATCAGGAAATTATCAGCTAGCAGCTGAAATAGAACTGTTGTCTGTCGGTCCCTAAAATGCAACTAAAAGTCTCCTATGAACACCATCACCCATTGTCTCTTTTTATACCCCTCAAGTTTCTTGTTATCCCTTTCTGGTATCTCATCTCAGAAATACCTCTCCAGGGATAATTACTGACCACACCTACCTTGGACATTTTATTTAACCAATTTTTGTCCATATTCCTATTTCAAATGAGGGATAAGCCCCTTCCCTCACCTCTGCTCCTTTGAAGCTAGGTCCTAAAAAGTGGGCAATAGGCCTAGATATTTCAGGACAGAGAAAGGAGCTATGCTAAGTCATTAGCCCACCACAAAACAGAATCTACTGTGAGAGAGGAGCTTCCACTTACAGAGCTAACTATAGGAGCACAATTTTCTGGGAAGATAAAAGTCAACGATCTTGGCAGCCAGGCTCCAGGTGCTCCTGCCTCCACCATGACATTCTCTTCTTAAGGCAAGAGCATGGTCCAAGAGTACCTTTTCCAGGCTGTCTTCACATCCTCAAGGATAAAAGCATACAGCACTAATTCTTCCCCCAAATCTACTTCCCCATGTTCAGGCGGGCCAACAGTACTACTGCCCGTTCACCTACATGCCACTCAGTCCTGCCACTAGAAAAGCCAGCATCTTTCCAGAGGGCTACCAAGCACTGCCAAGACACTGGACACAGTTCTCAAGCAAAATGGGTCCTTAATGGAAGACGCTCAAAATCTAGCTCTTGGATTGGGAGCAATGGAAGGCTGAATGCCCTTGGCCCAAAGGCTTAGGGTTGTTTAGGTTATGTTTCCTGGTCATCTTCAGCTGAACAGCCTGAAAAGGAAGGTTCCTAAGTGCTGGGAGGGAGAATGAAAAGGAAAACAAACAGAATGTAGAGACAGCTGTAGTGTGGATACCCAAGTTCCTTCTGAACTTTGTACACAGAGACCTCACACGTTCTCCTTTCCTCCCTTGGAAGCAGGGACAGATAGACACTGCTCTGCTACATGGACACATACTGGGAGCCCAAGCTTCCTTTTTGAAAACCCACGGGGATTTTTCTCTCTGGACCTCAGCCTGATACACTAACATAAAGAGGAATAGCCTTGTTTTCACTTCCTTTCTGTCTCAATTATCACTCTTTACACTCCAATCTCTTCTAATCCCCTTCATCTCTCCTGTCCCTCCTAGTTCTGTTCCTAGCCCTCCATCCCATTCTCACCAAAGTAAATGGGAAAAGAATTCTCAGGAGGGGGGAAAAAGATGACTTTCTCATCAGAAAAATAAACTTTTGGTGTTTATACTCAAAGATTATTTTAAATAACATGTGTGTTTTCACTCATTCAATAACTATCAATACCAACTCTGTACTCAGCCTTGTGGAGAAGATATTAAGGTGAACTAAGCACAAACTCCACTGTCCTAGGCCTCCCAGTGTTCTAATAATTTGTTCTGGTCTTAAGATTTTTATACAGATAGAAGCAAGGCATTATGGGAATATGGTGAAATAAACTCTTAATTGTCTCTAGAGATATCAAAGAAGGCTTCTTGGAGGAAACAACATTTGAGCTGGCTTTTAAAGGATGAATAATGATTCTCTAGCCAGACCAAGAAAAAAAGGAAAGAGTTTATGAGGCTAAAGGAAAGTCAACTTAAAAAATGTGAAGATGAAGACTAGCTTATGTATTCAGGGAACTGCGTTCGGTAGCAGTATTAGAGATGAGACTACCCAAGCAGAAAAAAGTCAGGGCATAGTGCATCCTATGATCTCTACGTTCTTTATTTAGTGGTTTGGACATTGTTGCATGAAAATTAGAGAAATGTAAGTGGTTTAGATTAGGATGCATCATGATCAGATTTGCATATTAGAAAGATCCCTACGGGCTGGGTGAGGTGGCTCACACTTGTAATCCCAAGATTTTGGGAGGCTGAGTCAGGCACATCACTTGAGGTCAGGAGTTCGAGACCAGCATGGCCAACATGGTGAAACCCCTTCTCTACTAAAAATACAAAAATTAGCCACACATCGTGGCACACACCTGTAATCCCAGCTACTTAGGAGGCTGAAACCAGAGAATTGTTTGAATCCAGGAGGCAGAGGTTTCAGTGAGCCAAGATTGCACCACTGCACTCCAGCCTAGATGACAGAGCAAGACTCCATCTAAAAAAATAAATAAATAAATAAAAATATCCTTCTGGCTACAGTACCAGGGATAATGCAACTGGGGTTAGACCAGAGGTGGGGAAACTAGTGAGGAAGGTACCACAAAGTCAAGCAAGAGATCGGGAGGGTCTGAACAAAGGCAGTGATGTGGGTTTGGAAAAGACGGCTTTGTATTATTTATCACTCAGTTCCTAAGGTAATATTTTTTTCCTGCCTAATATTGTAATGTGGAATCAGGCAAGAGAATGTCTGCATCTTAAGGCAAGGATTATGTGTGTTTTGGGCTTATCTTTATTAAAAATTACCTTATCCTGAACCTAACCTAAGCTCTTCCATCCAAAGTGAGTGGTGGCGGTGGTTATCATTGTTGACATGATTGTTATCATGATGATGATAATGATGACAATGACAACCCATTTAGAATATGAGAGCAGACCTTTAACTACTATAAATTAAATTTGCTATGCTCTGAATGTTTGTGTCCCCCCAGAATTCATATGTTGAAACTTAACCTCCAAGGTGATGATAGAGCCTTTGGAAGGTAATTAGTTCATTAGCGTTCTGCCTTCGTGAATGGGATTAGCACCCAATATGGTTTGGCTGTCTCCCCACCCAAATCTCATCTTGAATTCCCATGTGTCATGGGAGGGACCCAGTGGGAGATAATTGAATCATGGGGGCAAGTCTTTCCCATGCTGTTCTCATGGTAGTAAGTCTCATGAGATCTGATTGTTTTATAAAGAGGAGCTTCCCTGCACGAGTTCTCTCTCTCTGTCTTTGCCTGCTGCCATCTGTGTAAGTCATGACTTGCTCCTTCTTGCCTTCTGCCATGATTGTGACCCCCCACCACAGACACATGGAACTGTAAGTCCATTAAACCTCTTTTTTGTAAATTGCCCAATCTCGGGTATGTCTTTATCAGCAGCATGAAAACGGATTAATCCAGTAAATTGGTACCAGTAGAGTGGGGCACTGCTGTAAATACCTGAAAATGTGGAAGCGAATTTGGAACTGGGTAATAGGCAGAGTTTGGAACAATGTGAAGGGCTCAGAATAACATAGAAAAATGTGGGAAAGTTTGGAACTTCCTAGAGACTTGTTGAATGACTTTGACCAATGCTGATAATGATATGGACAGTGAAATCTGGGCTGAAGTGGTCTCGGGCAGAGTTGAGGTACTTGTTGGGAACAGGAGCAAAGATGACTCTTGTTGTGTTTTAGCAAAGAGACTGGTGGCATTTTGCCCCTGCTCTAGAGATCTGTGGAACTTTGAACTTGAGAGAAATGATTTAGGGTATCTGGTGGAAGAAATTTCTAAGCAGCAAAGCATTCAAGAGGTGACTTGCATGCTGTTAAAGGCATTCAGTTTTATACAGGAAGCAGAGCATACAAGTTCAGAAAATTTGCAGCCTGACAATGTGATAGAAAAGAAAATTCCATTTTCTGAGGAGAAATCCAAGCCAGCTGCAGAAAATTTGCATAAGTAAAAAGGAGTTGAATGTTAACCCACAAGACAATGGGGAAAATGTCTCAAGGGCATGTCAGAGACCTTTGAGGCAGACTCAAAGGTCCCAACACAGACTTGGAGGTCTAGGAGGAAAAAGTGGTTTTGTGGTCTGGGCCAAGGCTCCCTGTGCTGTGTGCAGCCTAGGGACTTGGTGCCCTGCATCCCAGCTGCTCCAGCAGTTGCTGAAAGGAGGCAATGTAGAGCTCAGGCCACAGCTTCAGAGGGTGCAAGCCTCAAGTCATTGCACCTTCCATGTGGTGTTGAGCCTCCCAGTACACAGAAGTCAAGAATTGGGGTTTGGGAACCATCACCTAAATTTCAGAGGATGTATGGAAATGCCTGGATGCTCAGGCAGAAGTTTGCTGCAGGGGCAGGGCCCTCATGGAGAACCTCTGCTAGGACAGTGCAGAAGGGAAATGTGGGGTCAGAGCCCCCACACAGAGTCCCTACTGGGGCATCACATAGTGGAGCTGTGAGAAGAGGGCCACCATCCTCCAGACCCCAGAATGGTAGATCCACTGACAGCTTGCACTGTCCACCTGGAAAAGCCACAGGCACTCAACGCCAGCCCATGAAAGCAGCCAAGAGGGAGGCTATACCCTGCAAAGCCACAGGGGTGAAGCTGCCCAATACCATGGGAACTCACCACTTGTATAAGTGTGACCTCGAGGTGAAACATGGAGTCAAAGGAGATCATTTTGGAGCTTTAAGATTTGACTGCCCCGCTGGATTTCAGACTTGCATGGGGCCTGTAGTACCTTTGTTTTGGCCAATTTCTCCCATTTGGAATGGCTATATTTACCCAATGCCTGTATCCCATTGTATCTGGGAAGTAACTAACTTGCTTTTGATTTTACAGGCTCATAGGTGGAAGGGACTTGCCTTGTATCAGATGAGACATTGGACTGTGCACTTTTGAGTTAATGCTGAAATGAGTTAAGACACATGATTGGTTTTGATTTCTTTTGTTTTTTTTTTTTTTTCTTTTTTTAGACAGAGTCTCGCTCTGTTGCCCAGGCTGGAGTGCAGTGGCATGCTCTCAGCTCACTGCAACCTCTGCCTGCTGGGTTCCAGCAATTATTCTGCCTCAGCCTCCCTAGTAACTGGGACTACAGGTGTGCATCACCACACCCAGCTAATTTTTGTGTTTTTTAGTAGGGATGGGGTTTCACCACATCGGTCAGGCTGGTCTCGAACTCCTGACCTCGTGATCCACCCATCTCAGCTTCCCAAAGTGCTAGGATTACAGGCATGAGCCACTGTGTCTGGCCACATGATTGGTTTTGAAATGTGAGGACATGAGATCTGTAAGGGGCCAGGAGCAGAATGATATGGTTTGGCTGTGTCCCCACCCAATTCCAATGTGTTGTGGGAGGGACTTTGTGGGAGATAACTGAATAAGGGGGGAAGCCTTTCCCCTGCTGTTCTTGTGATAGTGAATAAGCCTCACAAGATCTGATTGTCTTATAAAGAGGAGCTTCCCTGCATGAGTTCTCTCTCTCTTTGCCTGCTGTCATCCATGTAAGACATGACTTGCTCCTCCTTGCCTTCCACCATGATTGTGAACCCCGCTCCCCCCCACTAGCCATGTGGAACTGTAAGTCCATTAAACTTCTTTCTTTTTTACATTTCTCAGTCTCAGGTATGTCTTTATCAGCAGGGTGAAAATGGACTAATACAGCACCCTCATAAAAAAAGCCTTGAGGGAGCCTATTCATCCCCTCTGCCCTGGGAGGACACATAGAAAGCACTAGCCATGAGGAGAGGCCCTAAGCAGACACTGAATCTGCTGATGCCTTGCTCTTGAACTTTCCAGCCTCTAGAATTGTGAGCAATACATTTCTATTGTTTATGAATTACCCAGTCTAAGATACTTTGTAATGACCACCCAAACGGACCTAAATCAGAATTGAACACCAATTATTCTTTCAAAAGGTTTAAGTTGTATATTTAGAAATAAAGATATTATTATTGATTGAGGCTATTCTTGGCTTCAAATGGGATACTTCAGGGACTGCTAAACCCCCAGACCAAGGAACAGAAACACTCACTGTGTTCATGATGTTGGAACTTAAATATAGAGCAAGAGGTCTCCTTATGCTCATTCTTGCTGACACTTGCTCTTCTCTCCAGCACACCAACCACAGCCCTGGTCCCCTGTACTGCCATTGCCCCTTCTCACTGGACTTTTACAAACTTTTCCACACTTTATTGCCCTAGTATGTGGTGTTTCATCTAATTTTTTTTTAAACAGTCTTTCTCTTTCACCCTGGCTGGAGTGGAGGGCCACATCTTTTCCTCTATCTACTCTGCCTTGGAAACTTGAGCTCATTTCTCAATTTCCAGCTCAAAGTTCCTCCTGCCTCTTGGCAATATTCTCTGATCCCAAAGAGGAAGCTCGTTGTTCAATATTTTATGTGCCTATAGCAATGCGCTCATAGCTGTGTTATAGTACTTAGATATTAAATTGAAAGAAAGGAAATTGATTAAAAGAAAGAACAAATAAATGAGAAAATATAAGAAAAAATAGGAAGACAGAAATACCACAAAAAGTGAAGTGCAGATAAAGAATTTAATATAACCCAGTAATAACCAATAATTAAGAGCCGGGACAAAATGTCTTATATGTGTGTGTATTTTTCTAGAAAGAGAATCTACAGCCTGTCAGATTCTCAAAGGGGTCTGAGAAATAAAGTTTTTAGAAAAATACTTGTTGTACACAAAATGAAAAAGAGTTAACATAAAACATTTTAAAAGAGAGTGAAATACTTTCATGTATTTCTGTTGAGCCTTGTTATTCAATCACATTTGTGTACTGACAAAGATTAGGAAGAGTGAATATAAATAAAAAGCAGTTTTTAACTCCAGGGAGAATAATAGTAGAATTACCCAGTGAGTTCTGGCATCAAATCAGACAGAGCCATATAAAATATTCAAAATCTAATAAGATATAATTTAGGTATATTTAAGTGTCGTATGGTCCTAGCAGAAAGAAAGATTTCAAAGGTTCAAAAGTGCATAAAGTTTCAATTCTTAGTATTCTATAAAATTCAAAGATTTAAACATATAAAAGGAAAGACATGTACATATGGTAAGAGCTTATCAGCCTAGTAGAGAGATGGACTTCTCCCAGTTGACGGAAAAATAAAATAAAATGTATAACTTACATTCAAGGAAGTGGACTTCCCTCTCCTAAAGTCAAAGAATCATTCACATTACAACATAAATAAAGTTAATACGTTCTATCAAGGTCACAAACAAGAATCCAGTCTCCTGGCCTAAATCTCTGCTGCTAATAATATAAATTGTAACAAAATAGAGGTCAAGTGCCCAAAGTCCTTCCATTTGTTTTCATGAATATACATCTACAGGTTCAAGGGTACGGGGTTCATCTCAAGGTGAAGTCAATTCTTTTTTGGCTGTTTCTTCCAATACTCAGGAAATACATTGCTACGACTGTCCTTCTGCAGCATGAATGTAGACTGCCAGGTCAACAGCAAATTTCACATCAACATATCCAGTCCAGCAGCAGAATGGGTCCACATGGAGGAAGTCTGAAGAAAGAGGTGTCTTACATCCAAATGGACCAGGTCCTGTGAAACTCTCCTGGCAACCTTGAAACCTCTTTTGTAAAGATTATGACAGTGAGAGAAGTCTAACAGGGCTGACTCCATTTTGCTTCTAGCCTCACAGGCTGACTGTCTTTGCTTATTCCTGGGCGTAGGCCAAGCTAACCATGGGAGGAATTTAGTTTATAGTTTAACTTGGAAGCAAGGATGAGAACAGTTCCTCCCTAAAACTAATTCTCCCCTTGCTCAGTGCAAAAACCTGGTGAAAGGCCATGAGATTAGGATTATGGGAGGAGCCTGAACTCCACTAAAATGTAGATATAGTTTCTATAACCTCCTACCGCTCAGGAGTCATGTGGCCAGAGGTTACAAGATTTGTGCCTTCTCCAATTGTTCCTATAGATAACATTACTATTATAGAACCTGAGATTGGTCTTTTGAGATGCTTTTCAGACCTTTGCATTCTGGAAACTCAGTAATCCCACCTAGACTCATGGCTCATGACTCAACTGATCTTCTGCACCCCCTAAACCTACCCAGAGGCATACTCAGCACACGGACCATTTTCCACACCCTATGACTGCATCCCCAACCAATCATGTGGACCCATTCCCTAGTCCCCTGCCTTGAAAAAGCCTAACCTCCAAGCCTTTGGGAAGACTGATTTGAGTAATAATAACTCCATCTTCCATGTGTTTAGCCTAGCATTAATTAAACTCTTTCTTTACTGCAATACCGTGGTCTCAGTGAATTGGTTTTGTCTGTGCAGCAGGCACAAAGAGGGTGTCAAGTGATTACACCTTTGTGGATAGAGTCTCTCTTCTGAGTCAGCCACGTACTATGAACCAGAGACCCATGGACCACAAAACTTACCTACATAAAAAGTGCCATCAAAGATGGGCATCTGCAAAGATGAGTATCTGCAAATGACAGATACCACTTAATCTAAAAAAGAATCCCTACGTTTCCCTCCCTGTGGCAGCTTTAGCCTAGAATATAAAAATGTATGCCCCTGAGGATCTGATTCACCAAAATTAAATCTCAAAAAACCACATTAAAACACAGGATAGGAAACTTCAGAGCTGCTGGTGTGCTCTGAAAAACTCTGGGCTGATGGAACTAGCTGCAAATCAAGACAGTCTTGACCTTGCTCCAGTGGTAGTTTGCTGCTGCTCACCGGGAAGGGCTCCTTCCCTGCCCCTCACTTTGACCACCTCCCTCAAGTTCCCCTTACAATAACAGTGAAGAATTACAAGCTTAGAAACTTACCATTTTAGCCAAATGAAATATGGATATGAATGTGTGATTTGTACATACACAGAAGGGAGGATAAAGAGGAAAGTAGGGCTCCAGAGTCACAAGAACTTTATGTCATGTATTCCTAAAACTTTAAAATGCTGAAAATATTGTGACTTTTCTTTTAAAATGTATATCTGAATCATTTTTTCAAAAATGTACTGCATTTACTGTGACTACCTTTGCTTTCAAAATGCATGTTTGAGTCCCTTTTTAAAGTTTACTATGATTCTCTTGAAAAAAAAGTGTGTGTGTGAGTGTGTGTGCGTGTGTGTGTACATATATATAGGGACTAGGGAATGGGTCCTTGGGTCCTGCTAATTGGTTGTGACTGCAATCAGGGGTGTGGAAAATGGCCCTTGTGTACTGAGTCCATCTCTGGGTGGGGGACCACAGACATAGCTAGATAGCTAGATACATAGATAGATAGATCTATAAAATAAATATTTAAAATAAAAATACATAAAGACTGAGCCCAAAATAAGATGGCCTTGGCCTCAGGGTTTTCAAATATTTGTGGCCATTTCAGAACCTTTTAGCAAGAGTCCATTTGCATTTCTGGGGTATAACCACACAGGAGCCTGAAACACCATTCTGAGCCCTAGCAGCTGAGCCACTCCTGGTGTTCTTTTCCACCTAATATTCACCCAGATGGGCTCCTGCCTCCAGGTCAGATCATCGTATAGATCTTTGCTACTCAAAATGTGGTGCCCAGACCAGAAGCAACAGCAGCACTTGTGACCTTGAAAGAAATGCAGAATCTCAGCCAGGCATGGTGGCTCATGCCTGTAATACCAGCACTTTGGGAGGCCGAGGTGGGTGGATCACTTGAGGTCTGGAGTTCAAGACCAGCTGACCAACATGGTGAAACCCCATCTGTACTAAAAAGACAAAAAATTAGCCTGGCATGGTGGTGCATGCCTGTAATCCCAGCTACTTGGGAGGCTGAGGTAAGAGAATCACTTGAACCAGGGAGGCAGAGGTTGCAATGAGCTGAGATCATGCCATTGCAATCCAGCCTGGGAAAAATGAGCAAAACTCCATCTCAAAAAGAAAAAAAGAAAAGAAAGAAAAGAAATGTAGACTCTCAGGCCCCAGCCCAGAACTACTAAATCAGAATCCATATCTGTCTAAGATTTCCAAGTGAGTTCTACGCACATGAACATTTTAGAAGTCCTGGTGTAGAATACATTGTCTCTCCTACTATGGGTACCTAGAGAAAAAGGAAGAGAGGCATTCACATTGCTACCTCACAGATGGAGGAAGAAAGGACGGAGCTGTTTGCCCTGACATTTTCTTGCTTGGGACAAGTAGGAACTAGATTTGGACAATGATGATTCTGTCACTCCCTCAGGTGCACTGGGCATTTGCAGGCTTGAGTGATTTTTATAAATGTAATTAAATCTCACCCTACTTCTATTTTGACTACTAGCTAACATTTTTTGACCATTTACTATATGTCACAAACCACTTTAAATTTATAATAAGTACTGTCTCATAGAATTCTTTTAATGATCCCATGAGTAGCTTCCGTTACTACCTTCATTTTGCAGAGGAGGAAACTAAGGCACAGAGCCATTAATTAGCTTGCTGAAGATTACATGATAGTAATCCACAATTCCCTCTAGGCATATTGACTCCAGAGCTCCAGCTCTCATCCTCCACACCAATCCCATTGTTCTTGCAGGATACAAAGGTGGGTCACATGGTCACGAGCAGAACCTCTATGCATATCTGCATTCAGATGATCAAGCTGTAGAATGGCTAGCCGAAAAACACAATGCTGAAAGTTCAGGGTTGCAGAAAGTCAGAGGCACACATCAGCTTCAAAGAGAAGGCTGTCAATGGAGACGGGAAGTGGGGAAGGAGTGGGTAGCCTTCTCTCTGCCACACAGAAATGGCTCCAAGGCTATGATGCAAGGTGGCCCCAGCTCTGTGAAAAGGCACTTTCACCTTTAAAGCACTTTGCTGAGAGGGAAAATCAATGCTGATGTCCTCCTTGAATAAAGCACTCAGGTCTACTGGGGAGTCCAAAAATAAAAGCATGACGTTAAGTATTTCTCTACCTGTAGCTACTCCTCACCCTTAAGAGGAGGGGCAAGGTGGAGCTGTTAAGGGAGCAGGTAGAGGGAGAGGCAGGTGGGGGACCGTGGTTGAAGCACTAGAAAAGGGCATCTGGGAAGACTCGCAAATGGGAGTGGGGGAAGGGACAGGCTTCCAGAGGAAGTGGTTTTGGTTGAGGCTGGCTGAGAGCAACAATGAGGCTAGGAACACCGAGGACACCGTGGGAAGGTGAGTGACCCAGAACTCATCACATGTGCTTCTCAAAATCAGAAGACATCTACTGACAGTGACATCTTTTAAATTGGAGCCCTGATAGCATAAACAAGGCTTCAAAAGTCTTTAAAAAGTCTTTATTTTGGTCAGAATAAAACCTGATCCCTTTGCGGGCCATCTTGTCCTGGCTTCAAGACTTTTTCATCCTCCTAGACTTCAAAGCACAGATGTCAGGTTTCCAAGCCAGCAAGTCTACCTTCAATATTAGAAGGAAATGCAAGAGCAAAAAGAGATGAATGACACAATCCAGTAGGTTGCAAATGGAAATGTTTGTGTGAGGCACTAGAGTTGCATCAGCTCTGCCAGGTCATGTGTGAAAAGCAAAGTGATTACACCCAGAGCAAGAGGCTGAAGTGCCCTCCACTGGCCAAACAGATTCCCCAGTAGCCTCAGTGTCACCGCAGAAATGGCTTGAAAGGACAAGAGTTTTTGGAAGTTGCTCCATCTTAAATCCTGGGGTTCAAAGATGTCGATGATGCAACCAATGGAAGAAACTAGCTGATAGTGTTGCTTCCTTTAATCCAAGCTTTTAATTTTATTTAATATGGGAAATTCTCTTTAATCTTACAACAAAGAGATTTACTTTAAGTCTTTAATATCTGAACCACAGAAGCAGAAATAGAAACATGCTATACTCAAGAAATTATCACAGATTTATCTTTTGTCTTAATGTTGTTTCATTTTGTTTGTTTTCATTCTCCATCTTTTTCCAGGCAATTTTTATTGGTAATCTGGTTAGCAAAAGACTAAAGTGACCTAGTTCTGCAGATGAAGCTGAAAGCAGATTCTATTTCTCCAGCGGGGTTTACCTCAATCTGTGAACACAGGCTTAGCAGAAATGAGTGAAAAACAGACAGGGGCTCTCTGGTGCCTCAAGACAGCTTCAGGCACACATGGAAGAAGGGGAGGGTCTTTGGGCAAGAGAAAAAATGGGCACCTCCCTCACCCTTCCAGGCAGAGTCCAGCACAATCTTTGGAGGGCTAGAGGTCGGTTTGAGGTTGTCGCAGAAGCCTTTGAACATTGCAGAAGCCACTTGAGGTATTCCCCCAAGGATGGCAACATCTCACAGGGACCAGCTTCACTGTTCAGGAAGGAACAGCAGCGGCTTCTTACAGGGACACATGCATGTGCAGTGTCTGGAGAGTGGCTCTGCTGGGCCAGGCTGTCCCACAGAGACAGCCAGCAGGATGTTCCTTTTATTTATTTTTTCCAGCTTTATTGAGGTATAACTAACTGACAAAACTCTATCAGTTTAAGATGTACAATATTAGGATTTGATATATGTATATATTGTGAAAAAATGATGACCACAATCAATTTTGTTCATACATCCATCACCTCACCTACTTACCAGTGTGTGTGTGTGTGTGTGTGTGTGTGTGTGTGTGTGTGTGTGTGTGTGTGTGTGGTGTTGAGAAGGAATGAAATCAATAGCTCAAAGAGATAGCTGCACTCCGTTATTCATTGGAGCACTGTTCACAATAACCAAGGTATAACCACCATAAGTGTCCATTGACATGAATACATAAATTGTGAAATACATGTATATGTGTGTTTGTGTGTGTGTATATATATATAATTGTATATTATTTAGCCAAAAAGAAGCAAATCTTGCCATTTGCGACAACTTGGATGAACCTGGAAGACATGATGCCAAGTGAAATAACTCAGACAGGGAAAGACAAAGACGGTATGATCTTGCTTCTATGTGGAATCTAAAAAAGTCAAACTCATAGAAATAGAGTGGAAGAGTGGCCGCCAGAGGCTGGGGATGGGGGAAATGGGGAGAGGTTAGTCAAAGGCTGCTCCTTCTAAAGAGTGAACTGAATGCAGACAAGCTGGCTAAGCAGTTACTGGTTAACCTGTCTGGGCACAAATAACTACAAACTTCTCAAATCAAATCACTGAAAAACAATCACACTATTTTATTACTAACTTGTGCACTATGACAAAATGATATCATCTTGTTTTCAATTTAAGGCCTATAAAATCTTTAGTGATTTGTGGGAGAATTTGGTACACAAGGGAGAAAGCCTAATTAGAAAGACCCAGACACAAGGAGGGTAGAAGATGGTTCCCAGGAGCCGTTATCTATGCAAAACCTTAGGGGTAAAAATTTAGACTTTCTTGATGCCGTGAGACCTGCCTTCCTGTGCAGTTTTTCCATTAACTGCAGTGAGACCTTTGTCTAGTCACTTACTCTCCCAGGAGCCCCATCTCCTTGTTTGTTCAACATTCAACGAGCACATTTTGAGCCCTAAATGCTTTCTGGGTACAATAAACCGAGATGGTTTCTAACCTTTCTAAGTATAAAAGAACATATCTTAATACCAGAAAATTTCCAAAGCACTTCTACATGAATGTCATCATACTTTTCCTTTTGCTTCATTTTTTAAAAAGCTATCTAAATGGCAGAAAACAATGGAGTCAATGATACATCTAGTACTTTTATATTTATTAATCAGAAGAGCATCTATGCAGACCACAAAAGTGGCAATAAATACATTTGCAAGACGTAGTATTCATGTAGTCTCAATGCCGGTGCACCGACATATCCACTGGCTCCTCACAAAAATTTAAAGGTCCCAGGAGCACAAGGTCCCATCTTTGCTCAAAATAGAAAGTACTAGTCTAGGTGTCTAGGTGTTCAACACCAGGGCACTGGACACTGAGATGTGGACATTATCGTCTCCCAGGTAAACAACTTCCCATAACTCTAAGGTGCCATTGGACTCAAAGGGTCATATGGCTGGAAACAGTTCTGGCTTTACTTTAACCACCAAAGACTCACTGCCTGAGACAGTCTCAACATTCTCAAACTCCCTTGGAATTCTCAAACCGTTATAGTCAGCAGATTTGGTGTTATTTATATTTTTATCTGTAATTTTCCTCTTCCCCCACTGCCTCATGCTCATGAGACAATGCTATCAGTAGGGAGTATCTGAAATCACTCCAAATAAGAAGAATAAGCTACTGATACATGTGTGAATCTCATAGACATAATGTTCAATGAAACAAATTAAAGACAGAAGAGTACACACGGTATGATTCCATTTATATGAAGTCCAAAAGTAAACAAAACTAACCTATGATGGTGGAGGTCAGACTCGAGGCTTCGTTGTGGGGTACTGGCTGAGATGGTCATGCAGGAGCATTTCTGGAAGCTGGAAATTCTCTAACCTTGGTTTAACTGGCAGCTACATAGGTGTACATATAAGTAAAAATTCATCACATATATATTTAAGAAGTGTGCACTTTAAGGCAAGTAAGTCATACTTCAATTTTTACATTCAAGGGGAAAGGCAATGGGAATTAAACCAGGCAAATGGTTAAAAGGAACAGGTGGGTTCAGAAATAGAAGCAAGGAATCTGGAAGCAAATCCTGGATGACTTCAGCATGTAAGGATGAGTGGGGGTTGTGAGGTGCCCAGCAAAGGAGACTGGGAAAAAGAACTCAGAGAAGGGGGAGGAAATGGTATAGGGAGGGACAAGGAGACAGGAGTAGTTCTCAATGACTTGCAGATGTGAAAATAAAATCTAGGCTGTGGGGACTCCAAACTATTTTGAGTTTTAAAGAAATATGACTATAGTGCCTGAGTCATGTGAGAGGCATCTGTAACCTGGGCAGGTGTAACTGTTGTTTCTCTCATTATAGATTAGACTTCTTCCTTACCTGCATTGTTTTTTTAAATGTTGTAAATGACTAAAGGGAGGCAGGGAAGACCCCATCCCTCTTCACAGTTGATCTTCATTATAGATTAACTTCCCTCTTACCTTTCTCATGCAAAGACTTGATGGTTATCACATTTTCTAAAGATGGAATGTTGAATACATTCTTTTAAATTGGAAAGAAAATGAAAACAAGCCCTGTGGAAAAGAAAACAAACTGTAATGAATTAAATTGTTGTAAATCACCAACAAGCCCTGTATAGAAAATGCTATAATCCTATCAAGCTTCTTTGTTTTCTGCCAATATAAGCAGGAAGGTAACTTTTAATTTTGGAGGACTGAACCCATTTTTCTGGAGTTTGTGTCTTCTAAGTGGTTATTCCCAGCTTTTCACTTGAACAAACTCTTGAATACTGGATTCTGATCCTTTTGATTATTTCATGTTGACATAGATAAAGAAGGATGGAGACAGGGTGATAGAAGGGAAAGACCTTCCGGTCTCATTAGTGAAAATAACATACATGAAAAAGCCATATCTTTTCACAAGTTTCAGAAGTATCTGGGTAACTTTAACACTTGCTGGAGAAGCATCATGTCTCCATTCAAGGAAACTTGAGTATCACGTCCAGGTACCACTGTCAGAATCCAGAGCAATCTGGGGACCCTCTGGAACGATGTTCCGAGCCCTTCAGAAATACCCACCCAATGGCCTGCTTCTGCCTGGAGAGGGAACATTCACCATCTTTAGCTGGACAACAGAGTGACCTTCAGGGGCACCAAGCCAAATGCAGAGAAGAAAGGAACGGAATGAAGCAGAGGCAATACTGGGCAACACCTGCCGTTAAGTGGAACAACCTGGGCTGTTAAACACACATTCACTTGTAGGGAAAAATTAGAATCAGGTTGGTTTAGGCTTAATAGTGTATTTATACTGTGCTGGAGAAGAGTTTTGAAAGCAGGGGGCTTCTGCAATGCATCTGACATGGCTTGTATGGAAATACCATTTTCTTCTCTTAATTTCTATAGCACTTTGGTGAAGATATTTCTTAAGAAATCTGCTACATTTTTTCTTGTACTGTGCTTATTTTATAGACTTTTATTTTCCTCCACATTAGACTGTAAACACTATGAAGACAGAAAGCAGGTCTTTTGGCCAGGCACAGTGGCTCACACCTGTAATCCCAGCACTTTGGGAGGCCAAGGTAGGTGGATCACCTGAGGTCAGGAGTTCAAGACCAGCCTGGACAACATGGCAAAACCCTGTCTCTACAAAAAATACAAAAATTAGCTGGGCACTGTGGCACATGTCTGTGGTCCCAGCTATTCAGGTGGCTAAGGTTGGAGGATCGTGTGAGCCCAGGAGGTCCAGGCTGCAGTGAGCCGTGATTGCACCACTGCACTCCAGCCTAAGTGACAGAGCAAGACCTTGTCTCAAAAAAAAAAAAATGTTCTTTTCATCTTGTGTGCCCCCAACTCCCCCATGGCTACTCACAGTTGGAGGAATGTAGCAGGTGTGCCCGGCGCCTGGGCCCTGGTGCCTGAGCCACTCCTCTGCTGTGACGAGGCCTGAAGGGTGAGGTTCACCCTGCAGGCAGCCAGTTGTACCCAAATGCATTGTCTTTGAGCCAGAGGCATTGCTGCTTCTCTGAAAAGGGTAAAAATAAAGTGTTTAAAATTCAAGAAGAATTTCAGAGAAATAGGGACTAGGTAAAGACAGCCCTGTGGCAGTAAATAGCAGACAGTGAAGGATGAAGACAAAGTTTCAGAAGGAGGAAGACAAGGTCGCCTTGCCCTCTGGTCTCATTAGTGGAAATAACACCTACAGGAAAGTAACATCTTTGAAGATATCTGAAAGTTTCCTGGGTGATCATGAAATTGCAGGTGGCAGTATGAGGTTTTCAAAATACACAGAGCATGCCCTCTGAGAGAAACTCAATTGGCAATTAGGACATTGCAGGATCATAGAGCTTTTCTTCCCTTCTTTAGCTATGAGTCACAAGCTGCCAATTAAGAAATCAGTGACCTGTCAGGAGCTTGATATTACCTAATGGGCTAAAGCCCTCGATGGTGATGTCTAATAACATTGGTGCGTTCAGGATTTAATCTTTAACTTGATTTCCTGGGGTGATTAGATGATGAAAAATAAGACGGGTTATTTTATTCTTCAATAGATCCTTTATATGGGGATCTGGGTGATGCAGTAAAGCAGAAGGAAGAATTGTATCCTCTTGCATTCTTCCTCCTCCCCCTCCCCAGCAACAGACATGTTAAGGTCAGCAGTCTTGAAGTACAGACAGTTGTTCTTGGTAAGATGTGCAGGAATCCACAGTGATCAGAATGCGTGTGGACCCCATTGTTTTTACTGTGCAACAAATGTGTCAAAAGCTCATACAGGACAGCAAAGCAAAGACATTTTTAAGAACATGAATTCGGAGTCAAACAGACCTTGTTTGACTCCTAGATCTGCCCCTTACCAGTCTCAAGCAAACTTCTTAATCCCTCTGAGCCTCCACTTTACTCATCTGTAAAATGGTAATAATGACAGTACCCACCTCATATGATTGTTGAGGAAATTAAATGAGATATTGCATGTAAGGCTTCATGTAGTGCCTACTTCCTGATGAAGTGCTAACAGACATCAGCTAATATTATCATTATATTTATTAGCAGCCTGTGAAAATGTCTTATAACTTAGCCATCTGTCTTTACAGAGTATAAACCATGTCTCATTACTTCATCCAAGGAGAGAAGAGATTCCTGTTGATAGAGGAAGATACCAAATGAGCTGGTCATATATACAGATTTCAACCTACATGCTTAGAAGACAGCTCTGTGACCGAGGCTACTGAGGACCTGTCAGGAGGCCATTAAGATTTAAAAAGGACCTCTTTTTAAATATCACGTCGTTGTAGGTTTATGGTTCCAAAGCAAGCCATGATCTTTGAAGAGGGGTCCTCCACTTGTCTTGTTCTTTCCATTGCTAGCATAGAAGGATCTCTTGGATTGGTGCTGGTTTGTTATCAGAGTATTGGTGGCCATTCTTTGGGAAACTCTTGGCTTTTCCCATCCCTGGTGAATAGGGTTATCCAGCCCTACTTACCAGGGACATTTTGAAGAGGACACTAGGAGAAGTGGGCATTTCTTCAAGAGAGGTCAAAAGAGGAAATGCATGATGTCACTATCACTTCATATGAATGGCAAACACATATCAGTGTATATAAATTACTGGCACAAGCAGAGTCTCACTTACTGGCTGTGACCTACACACCAGGTCATTGGCCAGAGCATCATGGACCACAGCACAAATAGTGCTGGATGATAGGGTTCACTGCCAAGACGAAGAGGAGGGATGAAAACAGGAAAGGAGAAGTTTGCCACATGCTCAACTCAAGTCTCCTTACAATAAAAAGTCAAAAATTTATTTTCTGAACTACATATCTGCTCAGATCTTACCATCTTCATTTAGCCACCAAATTGTTGACTTAAAAAAAGGGGGGGGCAGGTGCGGTGGCTTTCGTCTGTAATCCCAGCACTTTGGGATGCCAAGGCAGGCAGATCACAAGATCACGAGTTTGAGATCAGCGTGGCCAACATGGTAAAACCCTGTCTCTACTAAAAATACAAAAATTAGCTGGGTGTGTTGGCGCATGCATGTAATCCCAGCTACTTGGAAGGCTGAGGCAGGAGAATCACTTGAACCCAGGAGGTGGAGATTGGAGTGAGCCAAGATCGCACCATTGCATTCCAGTCTTGGCAACAGAGTGAGACTCCATCTCAAAAAAAAAAAAAAAAAAAAGGGAAATCAGATTCACAAAGTTACAGAATCTCTTTCTTGGCTAAGACCCGAAGCTCCTTCATTTCTGTTAAAATTAGGCAAATAATTCCCAAATGGCAATGTGGAGTCCAGGACTAATATGCAGCACCTGGGAAACTTCTACAACTTACAGATGCCTTGAGCTTACCCCACGTGGATAGATCCAGAATCTTTAGGGGAGGGTTCCATCCTTTTGAGCATCCCTGATGATGATGATGAGGGGCCAGTCTTGGGAACCCCTGAAACAGGCCATTTTCATGCCCAGATTTACAGAGTCTGCATCTGAATGTCATGTTCATTAATTAATGCATTTCCTTATAACTTGCCATTAGGAAGTTTGCCCAGCAAGTTTCAAGAAGATAACATAACGCTGATAGCCAGTCCCTCCTATTTACCCAGGAGTTTCCCTTCTCCTCTGCTGCAAAAGTCTTTCCTTTCTTCCAAAGTCCTGACACTTTCCACTTAAACTGGCCTTGAGTCATATCTAAACCTCCCCCCTCTCAAAGTGAAACCCAATTTACCCCTTCTCACCCTAAATACTTTTTCTGTTGAGATTCTTATATATGCAACATGAGTGCGTCCCCTGGACATATTGGCTAAATGTCCAGAAAAAGAATTGCTCCAATAAGTGCTCAGTAAAACTCCTAATGAGCATGGAGTAGATGCTTAAAATAAATTTTTAAAAAACCAAAGTTGTATTTCAGTTCTGTGTGTGTGTGCGCGTGTGCGTGTGTGTACATGACTGTGCGTGTGTTGAAAGGAAGGGAGAGATTTTTAATCAAATTTAAACAAAGCAATAATTTATATTCCAATGATGGAAAAAAACAATTTGGTCTCGTATATGGAATCTGAGGGAAAGACAAGCTTCTCATTTATAATTTGGAAAGATGCCAGGGGTAGGAGGTGGGAGAGCTGAGGAGGGCAGGGGTGCAGTTTTTTTTCTTTTTTTAATAACATTTTTTAAATAGTGTGACATGTATGGTCATGCCTAAATCTCCCTAAATTATATTTTAGAAAAAAAAAATTCATTTAACCTCCTTTCCTTTGTTGGGAAGACAGATGTCATGGAAACCATGCCTGTGCCTAAAGGAAGAGATGGTAAAAATGATATCGCTATTTCCATGGCTTCAAAAAGTGATGCTGGTTCTCTGTGCAGGGACATTGTCAAGCATCAGGAACTTTTCCCAGGCTGAGCTGCCTTCCGCACTCAACCCCAGCTACTCTCTGTCAATACACTACCCAACCTTCCAAGTTCAACTCAAAACATGTCAGCCTCTCCAGTAGCTTCCTCTGCCCTGGGTTAAGAGAGAGCTTCCTGTGCTAGAATTTAGTTCTCCACTTCTTGAGTTAGAACAGTGCTCTCAATCAGAAAAGATTTTGTCCTTTGGGGATCTGTGGCACTCAGCGTCTGGAGACACTTTTAGTTGACACAGTAGGGAGGGAAGTGCTACTGGTATCCAGTGGGAAGAAGACAAAAATGCTGCTAAACATCCTATAATGCACAGGGCAGCCTTTGACAGCAAAGGATTATCCAGCCCCAAACATTGGCCGTGCTGACATGTAGACCTCTCCCTCCTCCTCAGCCTTTTACCTACTTGGCTTCCAGGACACCACATTCTTCGGCCATGAGTTTTCTCCGACCTCACTGGTCCACCCTCTTCAGTTACCTCTGCTGGCTCCTCCACACCTCCCCAAACTCTAAACATTGGAGCGCACTAGTGTTGGGCTTTATCTCTTGTCTACCCATTGTCACTCCAGTCTATGCCTTTAAATATCATCTTCAGACCTGCTACTCCCAGATTTATATCTGACTGGACCCTGCCCCTGAATTCTAGTTTCATAGATCTGAACATCTCCATTTGGACATCTGAAAGGCATCCCGCACTCAGCATATCCCAAACTGAGTTCCTGATCTTTCCCCCAAAAACCTGCCCTTCCAAATTATCTCAGTTAATTGCCATTCCATCTGCCCAATTGCTCAGGGAAATAACCTCAAAGTCATCCGTGACCCCTCTCTGCCTCTCAAATTTTCATTCAATCTACCATCAACTCTACTGGCTCCAAAGATATCCTAAATCTGACCACTTCTCTTCACTTCCACTGTCATTCCCTTTGGGCCTGGTCACCACCATCTCTCACCCAGACATGGCAGCTGTCTCCTAACTGGTCTTTCGGCTCCTGCCTGTAGGACCTTCTCAATGCAAGAGCCGGAGTGATCCTTACAAAATGCAAGGCAGATCATGCCACGCCTCTATTCAGAACGCTCAATGGCTTCCAGCAATTTCCAAAGTAAAGTCGAAAGTCCTTATACTGTGCTGCAAGGTCTCGTGTGATCACTCAGCTTCGAAATCTCCGGCTTTTCCCCCATTAGAATCTCTCTGACTCATATCCTGCCCTGCCCCTTCACCTGCCCCAGCAGCCACATCAGCCTCCTGGGTCCTCCATGCCTCCTCCAGGCACCTCCCGACCCCAGGACCATTGCCTTTGCTGTGCCCACTGCCTAGAATGGTCTTCCCCTAAAACTCCCGTGGCTCACACCATCAATCCTTCAGGTCTTATTGAAATGTCACTGGCTCCAAGAGGTCTCCGATGCCACGCTATTTAAAAGTGAAACCCTGCACCTCCAGTGGTCGGCTGTAATATCTTTCCCGTAGTGCTGACCACCATCTGGCACACTCGTTATTTTTCTGGTATGAGTTTTTGACAGATTCAAGCTCTCTAAAGACCGGGACTCTTCCGTATGACTGTCTCCACAGCATGCAGACGAGTGCCATCCACGGTAAATGCCCAGCGATGCACAGCTGAACCCCCCGCAGACTTCAAGATTCCCCAGGAACAGGAGGTGTCGTATCACCCACAGCAGCTTATCCAGGTCTCCTTCCACGCCTTCCTATATGACCTCCATCTCTCTTCCAGGCTAAGCCCTGCACAAGGAGCTTTTGTACACATTTGTCATTTCATTTTGTTTACTGGAACCCAATCGATTTTTAATTGAATTTACAATCAGAATCCCGAAAATGTCAAAGGTATCTTCACCGCGGTGAAAGCTTCATGCTGCTCTCCAAACCTCAATTTACCAGCAGCCTGCAGAGGCTGCAAATCACTCCAGAGGTGGTGCCTTTGGAGGACAGACTGTGAGCAGGGTTTCTGCACCATCTTGTGGACAGCTTGGGAATGACACCTACTGAAACGTCTTTTACGTCCCAGCGTGTGTGTGTGTGTGTGTGTGTGTGTGTGTGTGTACACGAGAAAGAAAAGCTTACTGATGTCTCCTCCCCACACCAAAATGAATACCTCCTCTCCTCACCAGTCCTCAATGCTAAAGGCTTCTTGGTTGTGTTTTAAGCTGGTAATTCCCTTTTTCAGTTAAAAAAAAAAAATTCCTCCTCCTGGCCCAGTAAGGAGAGAACTGAAGGCTCCTTGCGGTTTGGCTTCTCCCAGAGTGTCTTTCCCTTAGCAGCAGCATCTAGTTCACTCTCTGAATCAGGAAACTGAGCAGGTAAGATGAGTCTTCAGTATCTAAAGGGGCTGTCCTAGGAGGCATGATTTCAGCAGCACCATGTGAGGCCAGCACACCACCCCCTAGTCCGGTGGGCCCTCTGTAATATGCCTTTTATTCCACTGTCAGAACTCAGGTTTTAGATGTAAACACTCCTGGGAGAGGAGCACTAATGTCCAGTCATACCGACCCGAATGACCAACAGCCAACCTACAGGCAGGAGGTGGAGAATGAGGGCAGACAAAGGCCGCTAGTCACCTAGTGGGGAAGGCAGGTCTGGGACAAGAAAGGCCACCTGACCCTCCAAATTCCACTGCACACACCTTACAATTTCCCTCCTACTCGGCCTACCCATGCATAGTGTCAACTCACTGATTCCATCCTGTGTGTTTGGGATTGAAGAGGGGAAAATGGCCAGATCCATCTTCATTGTGAAAATTCTACACTCCAAGGGTTCGTACAGCAATTCCACTACCTCAAGACCCTCGAACTATATTAACTACAGCCACCCAAGCTTGCCTGGGGAAAGACGGTGGACAAAGAGCCATGATTTGTAACCAGCACATGGTTTGTTTGAAAGAAGCATGCACTTCTGAGGTGTGAGAAAGTTCTAGAATCATTTTAGCCAAGATCAAAGAGATTGTTTGCTTTTGTAATATGTTAAGAAAATGGAAGAAAGAGTGTGGACTCATAAGTAAATTTAAACTTTAGACCAGTATGTATGAATTAGCATCAGAAAGGGAAGGGAAGAGAGTAAAGATTGATTGAAAGCCCATTTATGGAATGCACTATCCAGCCACAAAACAAAAAATAAAGCATTATTTCCTCCCCATTCTGGATTATAATCTAGTTGTGCCTTTTTGAAAAGCCAGTCTCATCAACAGAAAGCTATCTTGATTTGAATGGCTCATTAAATAGGATAGAACAGGGGAATTCCAGCTCTAAATGGAAGGCTGTTTACAAACCTAAATTTAATAATCCTCATTAGAGGCCAGCTATGCGATCCTGAGCTAGTAGTTTAACCTCTCTGAACCTCATTTTCCTGATCTGTAAAATGGTGTGCTGATGCTGTGAAAAACAGTTGGGTGTTTCCTCAAAAAGTTAAACATAAAACTACCATACGATCCAGTAATTTCACTTCTGAATATATACTTAAGAGTGAAAGCACAAACTCCAACAGATATTAGTACACTAATGTTCATAACATCATATTCACAATAACCCAGAGGTAGAAATAACCCAAATACCAATGGACAGATTAATGAATATACAAAATGTGGGATAAACATACAATGTTTTGTTTTGTTTTGTCTTGTTTTCGAGACAGGGTCTTGCTCTGTCACCCAGGTGGGACTGCAATGGTACAATCATGGCTCACTGCAGCATCAACTTCCCGGGCTCTAGTGATCCTCCTGCCTCAGCCTCCCGAATAACTGGGACCACAGGAACACACCACTATGCCTGGCTAATTTTCAAAACTTTTTTGTAGAGATGGGATCTCTCTATGTTGCCAGGCTGATCTCAAACTCTTGGGCTCAAGTGATCCTCCTGCCTCGGCCTCCCAGAGTACTGGGAATATAGGTATGAGCCACAGCACCCAGAAAATGTATTATTTTTAGGCCTTAAAAAGGAATGAAATTCTGATGTAAGCTACAACATGAATAAACCTTCAAAGTGTGTATGCTAAACGAAATAAGCCAAACACAAAAGGACAAATATTGCATTATTCCACTGAGGTACCTAGAATAGGCAAATTAATGGAGAAGAGAAGTAGAATAGAGGCTACTAGGAGCTGTGGGGAGGGAGGAATGGTGAGTTAGTGTTTAACGGGTGTGGAGTTTCAGTTTGGGGTGATGCCAAAGTTCTTGAAACGGATAGTGGCAATGATTGCATAACATTGAGAATGTATTTACTGCCACTAAATTGTACACTCAAAAAAAGGTTAAAATGGTAAACTTTATGTTATGTATATTTATCACTATGATAGAATAGATGATAAATAGATGATAGATAGATAGATAGATAGATAGATAGATAGAAAATGGTACTGGGTTACTATTCAAAGTCATGTCTTTCTTAGCCCTAAATATATATATATATATATATATATATATATATATATATATATATAACAATTTAAATATATATTACAATTTATATTTGTAGAAGGAATATATATATATATCCCTTCTATTATGTTGTCTAATTCTATGTTTATTGTATTGCGTATTTTGCTAAATTTTACTCTGTGCAAAACATGTGTTGAATAGGTGTGAATTAATTAATTATATAGTTTTATTGACTACGGCAGTACAAAAGGAAAAGATGTTACGATAAATTTTCTCAATACACAATACAAACTAAAAGGACTCTTCCAGTCCTCCTGAGCTGGTTCCATCCTGAACCAGGTATGTCTCCCAAGAGGCCCCAGCAGGGCAGGCTCTTCCTCTACAGTTTGATGAGAAAAGTCTCCATGATGTACTCTTCTCATATTTACAGTATGAAGAATGGCTTTTTTTCCCTCTAGTTTTAATTGAGATGGAACATTCCAAGGCCAAGAAAATGTCATGCATTCACTGGTGAGTAAGCTAGACATGACGGGAATGACAGTTACAGGACACAGCTATTTACCAAAAACGTGACCTATGGGACTTAAGAACCATGTCACGCTGCTCTGCCTGATGGTATCTATTTGGATGACCTGAAATCAGAAACTTGGTTTTCTTTTGAAGAGAAAAATGTCCAGAGTATACTGAGATATGCACGGGGGTAAGGGACACGTGCAAGTGTGCACATCCACGTGTTCACAGCCATGGGGAAGGGAGGAAAAATCACCCCTTAACTCAAAGAACTCTGGAAATTACAATAGGAAACAACCTACTTTCCCTATTGAACAGCAACAAAATGAGAAGCAAGCAATAAGGGATAATAAAATGCCCAAGTTATGTTTTTACATGCAAGTAAAGTGAGTCAAGAGGACTATAACTTTGAAGACAAGTTATGGAATATGAATCTCTCCACATAGGGTGCTTACTGTATTTTCTCATTTCTTTCAAATCCTGTAGAAGTGCATAGTCAAGACTGAAAATATAAAAGGCCATAAAAATGGAGATACAAATGGCTCTCCAGATGTTTGAGTCTGTTCTAAGAGAAATCACATTTGTGAGAGCAGACAAAAATGTGAAACAAAAAAAATGGTAGAGCTTAAATGTTAAAGCAAACTCAATTGATAGACATTAATTGAGCACCTACCAAATAAAAGATACTGGGCTAGCCTCCACAAAACAAAAAATAAGGCATTATTTCCTCCCCATTCTGGATTATAATCTAGTTGTGCCTTTTTGAAAAGCCAGTCCCATCAACAGAAAACTATCTTGATTTGAATGGCTCATTAAATAGGATAGAACAGGGGAATTCCAGCTCTAAATGGAAGGCTGTTTAACTCCATCTTCAGCTGGGTTCTCTTTAAAATGACAGCAAGACAATTTAAAAGGATTTAATGCACAACGATAAAGAAAGTAAAAGAAGGGCTGTCACTGAATAGAAATTCAACAAATGACTAGAAGATGGATGAAAACAGATGAAGTAGATCAGAGGAACCATGGCCTAGAGTCCTTATGGGAGGCGATACGCCCATCTACCTTGCCAGACTCTGATAGGTTTCAGCACTCAGAAACAGAATAATGAAGGCAGTGAAATGAAGGTGTGGACATGGGCTGCCCTGTCCCACTGCACTCTCTCAGCACACTAGAAACCAGACATCTCCCTGGCCTACCCCACCTTACTCCCCAGTCTAAGCATCAAAGGGTCCTCCTTGAAACAAATTGATAGCCCCACTGGAAACATCTCTGCATTCTGGCACTTAGGATGTCCTCAATCTCCCAGACGCAAATCCATCTACCTGACAGATCTTGTTCACATGCACGATTTTTCATTGCCTCGCACTTCGACTTAAATGAACGAGGATGAAGACTGTGCAGTTATTTCAGAATAGAGACAAGTTTTTTAAATGACTCCAACCAAAACAAAGATAAGTTAAGCTATAGAACACAAAATAAAATCCTCTAATTAGAAATTAGACCCATGAAACAAAAATAAGATGCTATATCAAGAGGAAAAATCAGATACCAAAAAAAAGAGCTATTGGAAATTTTTTAATGACTGCAAAAATAGGAAAATTCATTACAAGGTTGGAGAATAAAATCCAGATGACTTCCCAAAAAACAGATCTCAAAATAAGAGATAAAAAAGGTAATAGAAAAAAATAGGAGACCTAGAAGACCAATCTGTGGATCCAGTGTCTGACTAATAGAACTAATACAAAAAAAGAGAAACCAGAAGAGACAGAGAGAGAGGAAGAAATTATCAAAGACATAACAGAAGACAGTAAGAATTGAGAGGTGGGACTGATCACTGAGGATTCAGGTAGTCAGAAAAGTCGGCACAGAGGAGGGAAGTTTTCAGCCCAGCCTTGAAGGATGTTCAGGATTCTGACCAGTGGGAAGAAAGAGAGGTCTCAAGATACAAAGCCCAGCAAGCAAAGAATTCAGACCAGAAAGAGCCTGAGTTATGCCTACAGAAGCTGCCTAGATTCAGATTCAACCACCATTTCTCTAGCATTGGCATCTTCAGACATTGTTCCGAGCCCCTTTAATGCTGCACCCAGTGGAATCCTCACAACCATCTCACAGCTCTCATGTATAGCTCAGGACACTCAGCCTAGGAGAGAGAGGCAATGCATTCATGTCACACAGTGGTTGATTCTAGAGTAGAATTCACACCTATGATGACCCCAGGCTCTAAGTCCCTCACTCATAAATCTCATCAGGGATGAGAGTTCTCACAATTAAAAAGAGGGCTCTATGACTAGAAAGGTAAGTTGAGGGTAGATTTTCAGGGGCCTAAAATATTAAGTAAAGGAGTTCTTTTTTTTCATATGACACAGTCTTGTTTTGTTATTCATACTGGAGTACAGTGGCAAGATTATGGCTCACTGCAGCCTCAACCTCTGAGGCTCAGGCAATCCTTCCACCTTAGCCTCCCATGTAGCTGGGACTGCAGGCATGTGCCACCATGCCCGACTAATTTTTTTTTTTGTAGAAACAGGGGTCTCACTGTGTTGCCAAGGGTGGTCTTGAACTCCTGGCCTTGAGGGATCCTCCTGCCTCAGCCTCCCAAAATGCTGAGATTACATACATGAGCCACCACACCTGGCCAGGATTTCTAACTGTATCATTAAAGCAATGAAAAGCCATAGGAGATTTCTGAAAAGAAAATGACACAGTGAAGGTGGTGTTTGAAGAGGATAAAGCTGACAGCAGTTGGAGCAGTCGGGAGGGAAAGAGACCTCTGAAGCTGTGACTATGGCTCCTACACAAAGGAGCTGGATCTGCCCATGGGAGCTGGCAGTGGAATGAAAGAACGAGAATTCAAACATGCTTCAGCAGTGTGCGGGGAATGCACATGAAGTCTTTGGCCTTGACCTTTACTTGTAATGCACACCCTAGCAGGGTAAGGGGACATTGTCCGTGCTCCTCCCCTTGGGTCCCTTTTTACTGTTTTTGTGTTTCCCACCTTCTTTCCTGTACTTTTGTTTCCTGTGCTTATGCCAGCACCTGTGGCTCTTCTTGAGAGGCCAGGGCTCCTGGGGCAGGTTTGGCCCAGGTGCAGGGAGTGGAAATGGAGAAGCTCTGAGCTGCCAACCCCCTCAGGCCCTTGACCCACAATGGATGGGGACAGGGATGTAATAGCCCACTCCTGGGCCTTGGCTAGAGCATCTCTTCCCTTCCACAGCCCCCTGCAGGATTCAGTGGGAGCTTCCTTCTGTGGACATGGGAGAACCACTCTCACACTTGGCCTCCCGGTGTTCTGCTGCTCCTACCATGCCCTCCTGGGGACCTGGGAGTGCATCCTCCACCTGTCACCCACACACCCTCACCTTAAGGTCTGCTTCTGATGACCCCAGACTGAGACAGATAGGGGAAAAGTAAGAGCAAGCTTGAAACAGGGGAAGGAGAAGGAATGGGAGGAGATTAGCCCTCAGAGTCTGCTATAGTTTGGCTGTGTCCCCACCCAAATCTCATCCTGAATTGTAGCTCCCATAATTCCTTCATGTTGTGGGAAGGACCCGGTGGGAGATAATTGAATCATGGGGGTGGTTTCCCCCATACTGCTCTCATGGTAATGAATAAATCTCATGAGATCTGATGGTTTTATAAGGGGTTTCCCCTGTCACTTGGCTCTCAGCCTCGCTTACCTGCCACCATGTAAGACGTGCCTTTCACCTTCCATCATGATTGTGAGGCCTCCCCAGCCATGTGGAACTGTCAGTCCATTAAACCTCTTTTTCTTTATAAATTACCCAGTCCTGAATATGTCTTTTTTTTTTTTTTTTTTTTTTTTTGACAGAGTTTCACTCTTGTTGCCCAGGCTGGAGTGCAACGGCACAATCTCAGCTCACCACAACCTCCGCCTCCCAGGTTCAAGTGAGTCTTCTGCCTCAGCCTCCTGAGTAGCTGGGATTACAGGCATGTGCCATGCCCAGCTAATTTTGTATGTTTAGTAGAGATGGGGTTTTTCCACGTTGGTCAGGCTGGTCTCGAACTCCCGGCCTCAGGTGATCTGCCCGCCTTGGCCTCCCAAGTGCTGGCATTACAGGTGTGAGCCACCACGCCCAGCACAGGTATGTCTTTATCAGCAGCATGAAAACAGACTGACTCAGAGGCCCACGTGTGATGCGATGAGGAGACTTACTCCTTACTGACCATGGTGCTCGGGCACAGCGGCCCCACAGGATGTGTATCTGGCCTTGTGAAGCAGCTCCGAGACAAGACTCAAGCTGCTCCCAGAGTCTGGAAAGGTTCCTCTGGTCTGCAAGAGATCTTGAGGATGACCCAGGGGGTCCTTTAGGAGTTAGCATTATTGCTCCACAGCCTATCTTGCAGAAATTTCCTGTCCTGGAGTTTAGAGAACTGCAAGAAGGAAGCCTCAGCGTTCAGAAGGCAGGCAGAACTTTGCTCTCAGTGCAGCTTATTCCTTAAAACCCACTGGGGGAATTACAAAGAAGCACCCTCTTTGTAAAATGTTCTTGTTTCATAGTTTAGGGGAAGGGAGGAGACACTCACTTTATATTCTAATTAAATACACTCACTTTATATTCTAATCCCTCTGAGGCACATGCAGGGATTAGACAGGAAGCCAGTGGAGGTGTCCTGTCACAAAACCAAGCTATGAGCTTCTGACCCTAAGAAATACACATCATTTTACCCTAGAGTAATTTAGTTTGGTGGCAGACCTTGGGGTTCCTTGCTCCATGAGAAACAACATTCTCATCCCTGGTGAGTTCACTTTCCAGTAAGCCTCCTGACCTCATCCACTGTTGAGAAGTTACCTGCCACCAGTAAAATTTTATTCAGTTGCTGGTATGGTCTTTGGATAGGCTGTGCCATTTCTTTGTTGATATCTATGTCATATTTTAACTGAAAAAATTTTAACGCCCAGAGAGAACTTTCCAGACCTACAGTTTAGTGAAGACAGGGGATGAAAAAAAGCCCACTGTGGCCCAAAGTCCTGGAGCAAAAAGAGGAAATAGAAATCCGTCTGTATTAGTCCGTTTTCATGCTGCTGATAAAGACATACACCTGACCCGGAAGAAACAGAGGTTTAACTGGACTTGCAGTTCCACGTGGCTGGGGAGGGCTCAAAAATCATGACAGGAGGTGAAAGGCACTTCTTACATGGTAAGAGAAAATGAAGAAGAAGCAAAAGTGGAAACCCCTGGTAAACCCACCAGATCTCATGAGACTTATTCACTATCACGAGAATAGCACAGGAAAGACCGGCCCCCATGATTCAATTACCTCCCTCTGGGTCCTTCCTGCAACACGTGGGAGTTCTAGGAGATACAATTCAAGTTGAGATTTGGGTGGGGACACAGCCAAACCATGTCATTCCACCCATGGCCCCTCCAAATCTCATGTTGTCACATTTCAAAACCAATCATGCCTTCTCAGCAGTCCCCCAAAGTCTTAACTCATTTCAGCATTAACCCAAAAGTCCACAGTCCAAAGTCTCACCTGAGACAAGGCAAGTCCCTTCCACCTATGAGCCTGTAAAATCAAAAGTAAGGTAGTTACTTCCTGGATACAATGGGGGTACAGGTATTGGGTAAATACAGCCATTCCAAATGGGAGAAATTGGCCAAAACAAGGGGGTTACAGGGCACATGCAAGTCTGAAATCCAGCGGGGCAGTCAAATTTTAAAGCTCCAAAATGATCTCCTTTGACTCTAGGTCTCACATCCAGGTCACACTGATACAAGAGGTGGGTTCCCATGGTCTTGGGCAGCTCCATCCCTGTGGCTTTGCAGGGTATAGCCTCCCTCCCAGCTGCTTTCACAAGCTGGTGTTGAGTGTCTGCAGCTTTTCCAGGTGGACGGTGCAAGCTGTCAGTGGATCTATGATTCTGGGGTCTGGAGAATGTGGCCCTCTTCTCACAGCTCCACTAAGCAGTGCCCCAGTAGGGACTCTGTGTGGGGGCTGTGACCCCACATTTCCCTTCCGCACTGTCCTAGCAGAGATTCTCCATGAGGGCCCCACACCTGCAGCAAACTTTTGCCTGGGCATCCAGGCATTTCTATACATCCTCTGAAATCTAGGTGGAGGTTCCCAAACCTCAATTCTTGATTCCTGTGCATCTCAGGCTCAACACCACGTGGAAGCTGCTAACTGAGCTGTACGTAGGCCCCTTACAGCCATGGCTGGAGCAGCTGGGACACAGAGCACCAAGTCCCTAGGCTGCACACAGCACGAGGACCCTGGGCCTGGCCCACGAAACCACTTTTTCCTCTTGGGCCTCTGGGCCTGTGAATGGAGGGGCTGTCTCAAAGGTCTCTGACATGGCCTGGAGATATTTTCCCCATGGTCTTGGGGATTAACATTAGGCTCCTTGCTACTTATGCAAATTTCTGCAGCTGGCTTGAATTCCTCCCTAGAAAATGGAATTTTCTTTTCTATTCCATAGTCAGGCTGCAAGTTTTCCTCTGCTTCCCTAATAAAATTGAATGCCTTTAATAGAACCCAAGTCACCTCTTGCATGCTTTGCTGCTTAGAAATTTCTTCCACCAGATACCCTAAATCATCTTTCACAAGTTCAAAGTTCCACAAATCTCTAGGGCAGGAGCAAAATGCCACCAGTCTTTTTGCTAAAACATAACTAGAGTCACATATACTCCAGTTCCCAACAAGTTCCTCATCTCCATCTGAGACTACCTCAGCCTGGACCTTATTGTCCATATTGCTATCAGCATTTTGGACAAAGCCATTCAACAAGTCTCTAGGAAGTTCCAAATTTTCCCACATTTTCCTATCTTCTTCTGAGCCCTCCAAACTGTTCCAACCTCTGCCTGTTACCCAATTCCAAAGTGGCTTCCATATTTTTGGGTATGTTTTCAGCAACACCCCACTCTACTGGTACCAATTTACTGTATTAGTCTGTTTTCATGCTGCTGATAAAGACATACCTGAGACTGGGAAGAAAAAGAAGTTTACTTGGACCTACAGTTCCACATAGCTGGGGAGGCCTCAAAATCATGGCAGGAGGTGACTTCTTACATGGCGGCGGCAAGAGAAAAATGAAGAAGCAGCAAAAGCAGAAACCCCTGATAAATCCATCAGATCTCATGAGACTTACTCACTATCACAAGAATAGGATGAGAAAGACTGGCCCCCATGATTCAATTACCTCCCCCTGGGTCACTGCCACAACACTTGGGAATTCTGGGAGATACAATTCAAGTTGAGATTTGGGTGGGGACACAAACAAACCATATCACAGTCTGACAGTAAGATTGGACTAATCATGTAATATATGATAGATATATCATAGAAATAGAAATCAGTAAATGATTAAGGTTGATTTAGATTAATATTTGAGATTGTTCCAGCCAAAATATGACACAGACATCAACAAAAAAAATGGCACAGTCTATCCAAGGACCACACCAGCAGCAAGGCAGGTGAGGGTCAGACCATATGGAAACTTGGGCACCAAGAAAAAGGAGACTGAATTCATCATAACAGCCATGAAATGCCATTGAAAAGCTTGTAAAAGAATATAATATAATTAGCATATGGTCAAGTAATTCCATTGCTAAGTATATATCTGAGAGAAATGAAAACACATCTACGCTCAAAAACTCTTATATGTGAGGCCAGGCACAGTGGCTCATGCCTATAATCCCAGCACTTTGGAAGGCTGAGGTGGGCAGATCCTTGATGTCAGGAGTTCGAGACCAGTCTGGCCAACATGGTAAAACCCTGTCTCTACTAAAAATACAAAAATTAGCCAGGCGTGGTGGCACATACCTGTAATCTCAGCTACTCAAGAGGCTGAGGCACAATAATTGCTTGAACCCCAGAGGCAGAGGTTGCAGTGAGCTGATAGTGCCACTGCACTCTAGCCTGGGCAACAGAGCAAGACTCCATCTCAAAAAAAATAACAAAAACTCTTATATGTGAACCTCTCAGAAGCATTATTCAGAATAGCTGAAAAGGAGAAACAGCCCAAATGTCCATCAAGTGACTAATGAATAAACAAAATGTGATATATCCATGCAATAAAATATTATTCAGCCAAAAAAAATGAAGTACTAATACGTGTTACAACATAGATAAACTTTGAAAACATAGTAAGTGAAAGAATCTAGTCACAAAAGACTATGTATTATATGATTGTATTTATGTGAAATGTCCAGAATAGGCAAATCCATAGAGACAGAAAGTAGATTCGTGGCTGCCCAGGAATGGGGTGTGGGGGAACAGGAGGTGACTGCTAATGAATACAGGGTTTCTTTTTGGGATGATGGAAATAATCTTAAAATTAGATTGTGGTGATGTTTGCACAACTCTGTGAATATATTAAAAAGCATGAATTTTATGCCTTAAATAGATGAATTGTGTGGTATGTGAATTATATCTCAGCAAGTTATTTTTTAAGATGTAATTAAATTTATGTTTTGGAAAGATCAGCCTGGCAGTCATGTGGGAAAAAATTAGAGGAGTATAGAAATGAATGCAGAAAGGCCAGTGAAGAGGCTATTTTTACCATCAACGTGGTTATGAATGACAGAAGGCACGAGTGGAGGTGGTGGTAGAGAAAAGTGAATCACTCGAGAGAGACTCAGAAGGCACAAGACACAGGAGTTGGTGCTTGGTTGGCTACGTGCACGAGGGTGAGGGGGAAGTCCAGCATGACTCCCAGGTTCTAGCCAGATGGAGAAGTGCTACACTCACCACATTAGAGCAGAGTGCAAGAGGACCAAGCTTGCTTCTGTGCACAGGGTTATTACGAATTTAGCTTGGAGGTACTTTTGAGACATTCAAGCAAAGATGTTTAGCAAGTAGAGAAAGTGCTACAACAGACATGTGTGGGTAACCTTCATGTAGCAATGAAGCTCTGAGATTGGGTGAGACCACCTGGGAAAAGAGGACTGAGCCTAAAGAACTCACTCTGTTTCAATGGCTGGATAGAAGAGGACAAGCTGAAGAAAGGCCACGAAATGTAGGGGAAAGCCAGGGACGTCATCAGGGAACACCTGGGCTTCAAGAACCATGGATCTGTGGCATTGAATGGTGCTGTGAAGTCAAGGAAGACAGAACTAAACTGTGTGCACTGGATTCAGTGACATCGTGTTTTGGGGGCTGTCTGAAAGAGCTGCTTCCCTGGAATGATGTGCCCAGAAGCCAAATTGTGTTGGGCTGGAGAGTGAATAAGAGGGGAGGAGATGGAGATTAGGGGTCTTGGGTTAGGTTTTTCAGATGCAGACTGGGACATTCAAGTGCAAGTGATTGATTAAAATGCCCCAAGAAAATGCCAGTCAGGGGAGGGAAAGGAGAACAAAGAAGACAAGAGAAGGAGGCCAACCAAGGTGCAATCTCAGGAAACGCCAGCAGAGTGTGGCTTCAGCCGGATCCTGGATCCCACTGGAGAGCTCTGTGGTGTCAGTTGTTCCAGCCTGAGGCGAGGGAGCGTGGCTTTCAAGCATTGCCCCTGAGTCACCCTGAGTAAATTCTAGGAACTTCTGGAATGTACTGAAATTACCTAGAATATATTCCAAGGCCTTCTGGATCTGTGGAGGGTGGAGGTGGGAGCTGAGTGGTTCTCATAGCCCAAAGGCAGTCCTCATGAAGCCATAGTGCTGGGTGTTAGAAGCAAAAGCACGCTGAAGGGGGGCAGGCACACACACAAAGCAGGGATTCAAAGGTCTGGGTGGACAGCCAACACTGTCTGATACATCAGATAAGAAAACATTATTTTGAAAAGTTTGACTTTGAAGAATAGGAGAAAGACAAAATCATAGCTGGAGGGGAAAAGGGACAGTTTTGATTTAATGGGAACAACTCACAAATGTTTAAAATCAACATGAAGAGTCAAGTTGAAAGAGAGAGGTAAGCTATTCAAGAAATGAAAGGATAATTGATCATAGAAGAGTTGAGAAAGAAGAAAGAGAACAGGTGCAAAGCACAGATGAAAATGTTGGCCTTCCGTTGACAACTTGCAAAGGGCACTCAAATACAGAGCTCATTCAAACCTCACAAAATCATGGGAGACTTTTTTAATGTGCCTACTCCATGCAGCCTTTTTTTACATGAACTATTTCATTTAATCCTGATAACTCAGTGAGGTAAAATACTATCACTTTACAGATGAAGAAACCAAAACTCCATTAGAATTTTGATTGGCTGCATGTGACTGGAAACTCCAAGAAATAGTAACATAAACAAGTTAAAAATTTGTTTTTTATCTCATGTAAAAATGTCCAGTGGCAGGCAGTCTTGGCTTGGTATGGGGCTCCTTGATAATTAAGGACACAGGCTCTTTCTGTCTTGCTAATGCAGCCATCCTGATGCATGGCTTCCATTCTCAAAGTCACCTTGCGGCCCAAAAAGCCCTCTAGAGGTCCAGCCATTACATCCCAATTCCAGGTAGTAGCAAAGTGGTGAAGGAGAAGGATCTAAAGTACCATATAATGATTCCACTTATTTCTCTTTTACCAAAATTTAGTCTCATTATCACACCCAGGTAAAGTTACATCTAGATTGCAGTTCTTTAGCTGAATCCACCGCTGACTGAGTGAGTTTGGGGTTCTGTTGCCAAGAAGGAGTGAGAAAATGGGATAGGAAATCAGCCCTCTGAAACACTGAGTAATTTGTTGAAAGCTATCTGTACTATCTCCACTACTCTTCAACATGTACTATAATCTTAGACAGTACAGCTAGATAAGATAAACTAAGCAGAATCATACAAATTTGAAAAAAGTGAAACTATAGCTATTTGCAGATGACATGAAAGAATACCTGGAGAATCTTAGAGAATCAATGATAAAACTAGCTCAAAAGATTCAAATAAGATAGCAGGATAATAAAGCTAATGTACAGAAATCAATAGTCTTCATATACGTAAGCCATAACCAATTAGAAAGTTTTATGATAAAACCTCATTCACAATAGCAACAAAGAAGGTATAGCAATAAACTTAAGAAATGTGCAAAATCTACATAAGAAAAACTTTAAAACAATTCTAAAAGAAAAGTTGACATGAACGAATGAGAGACATACTATATTTTTATTTTCTATTATTATAAATTTGAAAAATCTTTGTGGGTAGATAGCCATTGTAAATATTTATGGGGTACATGAGACGTTTTGATACAGGCATGCAATGTGAGATAAGCACATCATGGAGAATGGGGTATCCATCTGTCCCCTCAAACATTTATCTTTTGAGTTACAAACAATCCAATTACATTCTTTAAGTTATTTTCAAAATACAATTAAGTTATTATTGACTATAGTCGTCCTATTGTGCTATCAAATAGTAGGCCTTATTCATTCTTTCTATGTTTTTTGGTACCTATTAACCACCTTCACCTCCCCCACAATCCCCACTCCCCTTCCCAGCCTCTCATAAACATCTTTCTACTCTCTCTGTCCATGAGTTCAATTGATTTTATTTTTGGATCCTACAAATAAGTGAGAACACACCTTGTTTTTAAATAGGAAGAATCAATATCATAATGATATCAGGTATCCTTATTTTATAAATGTAATATCCATTCCAGCAAGCATTTTTATGTAGCTAGAGATATTAATACTGAAATTTATATAGAAAAGCAAACATGCAAGAATGACCATTAAACACTGGAAAAGAAAACACTGAAAATGGAATTCTATAAGGAAGGACTATCCCTACCAGACATTGGAACATACTATAAAGGTTCCATAATTAAAACAGTGTGGTACTGGTGCATGAGTGGATAAACTAATGAAGTGGAATAGAAAGTCCAGAAATAGACCCAAATACATATGGAAATTTAGCATATAACAAAGCAGCATCTCAAATCACTAGGGCAAAATTTACCTTTTAATAAACAGTACCTGCATATCTAATTAGCCATTTAGATTAAGAGAAAATTAAATCTATACTTTAGACCACATACTGAAATAAATTCAAAATGGATTAGGAATCTAAATCTATTAATAGGTCTCCACCCCCAGGCTACACCCATTCTCAGGCCTTCCGACTCTGAATACATCATTGGCTTTCCTGGTTCTCCAGGCTGTAGGTGGCATAGTGTACGATCTCTCAGCCTCCATAAGTGTGAGCCAGTTCCCATAATCAATCATGTATAGTCTCCTATTGGTTCTGTTTCTCTGGAGAACCCTGGCTGGTACCACGACTTCCAGGAGGTGAGTAGTAATGAGGGTTAAAGGGTGGGGGTGGGAGCAGGGTGAGGAGTTTAGGGGAAGGATAATTTCCCGAGTGTGTACCTTTTGGTATAATTATGTTATAGCATATATGTAGAATCACGTTAACGTTTCACATATCCAAATAAAAAGGATGGGTAGATAGACAGATAGATAGATAATTAAATGAGAAGGAGTAGGAAAATACCCAAAATTGAAAGTAAGCAGAAATAAACTAACCTATTTTCAAGTAAATTATATAAATACACTGAAGGGGGTTGAACACTTACTGGAGTAACTTTTGAATTCAGAATTTTGACCATATACCCTCAAGCTAAAGTCAAAAATGAACTGTAAACAAACATTGAATTCTAGTTCATATCTTCACTTTCCACAGTGATATGGTTAGCAATTCTGCAATGACTTTCTGGCCAGGCACAGTGGCTCACACCTGTAATCCTAGCACTTTGAGAAGCCAAGGTGGGAGGATCACTTGAGGTCAGGAGTTTGAGACCAGCCTGGACAACATGGTGAAAATACAAAAATACAAAAATTAGCCAGACATGGTGGTGCATGCCTGTAATCCCAGCTACTTGGGAGGCTGAGGCAGGAGAATCGCTTGAACCCGGGAGGTGGGGGTTGCAGTGAGCCGAGATGGCGCCACTGCACTCCAGCCTGGTGACAGAGCAAGACTCCATCTCAAAAAAAAAAAAAAAAAAATGTCTTTCTGTGTGTTCTAAGATTGAGGATTTAAGTGACTCTATTCTGAATAAGGGGAGCCAGGTTTATAACTGTTGAAGAGTGTTACAGACACGGAAAGAAGGAAGGCTAGAATGAACCTTGTGTTGCTGGGTTAGTATTGGAGGTACCAGTATGAACTCAAGGTTTTAGGAGGGATAGAAGGATGGACAGACAGAATAAAGCAAAGAAGAAAGGAAAACAGATACAGATAGTAATATAGGGTGTGTATGTGTCTGTGTGTGTGTGTGAATACATATGTGTATTTATTAATGCTGTCCTCTGAGACAGCCTAGAAAGAGTGACCCCCTCCCCCAGTAGGAATGAGTACATCTAGCACCTAGATCTTAATTGAGTCCTGGCCCCCAGGAGGAGGTGGATTTATTTATTTACTTATTTTTCTCTTGCCCTAAAGGACATTAACAGGACAACTAGAAAAATTTGAATAAAATCTATGTCATTGTTAACTAACCGATTTAGGTAATTGTGGCCATATAAGATAATATTGTTTTTAGGATATACACTCTAAAATATTTAGGAGTAAAGGAGTATCATGTCTGCAACTTACTCTCAATGGTTCTGAAAAAAATTTGAGAGAATGATAAAGCAAATACGGTAAAATGTTAACATTTGAAGGATTTGGATGAAGGGCATACTGGAATTCTTATACTATCTTTGCAACTTTCCTGTAAGTCTGAAATTATTTCAAAATATAAAATTATTTTAAAGAAGCCAATAAAAAATGTTAGCTCAGGAATTCTGAAGGTGGCACAGAATTGTGACTGGTTATTAGAGTTCAAACTGTATTAAACACCAGTCCAGGGAGACTGGTGTCCCTTACAAAAAAGGAACTTACAACACAGTAATTACAGTTTCGGGGGGGAAGTTGCCAGACTAACACCCCTTTTGCCATTAAAGTTTGCTACTTTTCTATTCAAAAAACATAGAAGGAAATTCATTCAAGAAAATGTGGGAAATGCTGAAAGCTGTAAACCAGATGATAGGCTAGTTTTCATTATATTTGTGTACACACTTATATGTGCCTTTTCATAAAATTAGGATAGGATCAGATCATGTTTTATACACTTTTATATGCTCCTAGTTTTGGAATATTATAAGCATAGCTCTTGCTATTAAAATTTTTTAAAGGTGGAGAGGGTTGAGTCAGTCATATTCCCCAGTGAATGACATGTTCGTGTGTGTTATATTTGTACTTAGCAACAGTACTTTTTACCTTCATTCCCTTCATCCCATTCTCCTCTTGTTTGTATGCGCTCCTGTAATGCACATAGCTCTGTGCAATGCATGCATCGTACACAGCTCATGCTGTCCTTAATGTTTTACTCAGCATGCTTCTAAGTTCCCTTTAGTCCACGACTTCTAACTGCTACAGATACTCAAATATTTTTAAACAGATGAATTTTCATGATTGCATAAAACATCATAGGACTGTACCATCATTTTCATCTCTTTCCCTGCTGTTGGCAAATAGATTGTTGCTGTTTTCTTCTTTGTTCCTTGCTCCTCCCAAGTCAGGAGTAAGACGAGTTTGTGTGTATGTCTACTGTGTGGCCATGCCAAGTCTCCTTAACATCTCTGAGCCTCAATTTTCCACAAATCTAGGGTTGAACACGGACTTGTAACACTGATATGCGAAGGACCCAAACAGAAGGAGGAGGGATTACTGTGGACAAAGCACTTGGCGACAGCAGTCTATATTCTACAAGGCTCAGTTCCAGGAGCCCAGTTCCTGGAGTAAGGATCTCAGTTCACACTACAATCCATAAGAGGCAGATCTGCTTTGACATCTTTTGCAAATTAAAAAAAAAAAGTGGGCAGAAAGGAGGGATCTAGGGAGATTAACATGTTGACCCTGGACTCATCTCTTGGGGTAAGGTGGGAGGGTGCACTTACACCTCACTAGCAATTTGATAACAGCTGGACCAACCAGCAAGCCACTCCAGAGACACTGGAAAGATGACAGTGCAGCCTCTCGACCCAGGAGAATCCCTGGAAGCAGCACCACTGCGACCACCATTTCCCCAGTGCAGAGGTAGGCATGGGCATGGGCATGGAGGTGGGGAGGTGTCTGGGCAAACATGGGCCCAGAGAAGGCTGCCAGAGATAGCTAAGGACATGCCAGAGGTAGCTAAGGGCATGGCAGTATGCTTTTGCTCCCCTAGAACCTCCCCATCAAAGTGAAGGGGACCCAAAGAAAGGCTGGGTAGAAATCCTGTTGGGACTGCGGTGGGTGTCACGCTCCCATAGATGCCCCACAGCAGGAGGCTCTGGGGGAAGTCACCAGGTGACAGGCTGCATTTGTCTGAGTTCACCTGAAGGAGCCAGCATCAAACATCGTGAGAGGTTGAGAGAAACAACATGCATTAAAGAAAATGTGGTACAAATACACCAGGGAATACTATGCAGCCATAAAAAGGAATGAGATCACGTCCTTTGCAAGGTCATGTATGAAGCTGAAAGCCATCATCCTTAGCTAACTAACACAGGAACAGAAAACCAAACACTACATATTATCATTCATAAGTGGAAGGTGAACAATGAGAACACAGGGACACAGAGAGGGGAACAACACACACCAGAGCCTGTCAGTGTGGCGAGGAGAGGGAGAGCATCAGAAAAAATAGCTAATGCATTGGGAGCTTCATACCTAGGTGACGGATAGATGCAGCAAACCACCATAGCACACGTTTACCTATGTAACAAACCTGCACGTCCTGCACATGTATCCCAGAACTTAAAGTAAATTTTTTTTTAAAGAACCAACATCCAGGCTATTAGCAATGATGTCCCACACCAGCTGGAAATGATACCACAGGGAGAGGGAACAAGGAAAAGCCAGAGGGTCTACAGTGCGAATCCTGCCCCTTCCCTGTGAAGTTATTTAAAAGTCCAGGGCCAGGGGCCAGGAGGGAGCAAATAAAGCCCCCAGAATAACCATAAATGGGCATGAGGCATTGCTGTGAGGTGAGGAACTTGTTCTAAAACTGGGCTGTAGTGATGATTGTCCAACTCTATAATTTACTAAAAATCATTGAATTATACACTTTTAAAATGATTGAATTTTATGGTATGTAAATTATACCTCAATAAAGCTATTTTTTTTTTTTGAGACGGAGTCTCGCTCTGTCGCCCAAGCTGGAGTGCAGTGGCGTGATCTCGGCTCACTGCAAGCTCTGCCTCCCAGGTTCACGCCATTCTCCTGCCTCAGCCTCCCGAGTAGCTGGGACTACAGGCGCCCACCACCACACCCGGCTAATTTTTTGTGTTTTTAGTAGAGACGGGATTTCACCGTGTTAGCCAGGATGGTCTCGATCTCCTGACCTCGTGATCCACTCGCCTCGGCCTCCCAAAGTGCTGGGATTACAGACGTGAGCCACCGCCCCTGGCCAAAGCTATTTTAAAAAAGAAAAAATCCTTAGATGGAAAATTTAATCATAAAATGTGGCCTCAATTTTAATATGCAACCCAAACTAGAAATAGCCAGAATGACTGAAGTCTCAAGAACAGAATAATTATGTTGCCTACTCTAAGCCAAAGTTAACAGAACTCCATTCTAAGGATACAGCAGTCTTTAGGTTTGCACATATCTAGTGTGTCCATTTATACTTGGTGCTACACAAGGCACCTGGCACAGTGCCAGGCAGGTGGCAAGCCAGCAGCCAAATGTTGTTTTATTAACTGCTCAGGGCAGATGGTCAGTGCCATGCTTGGAACTGGAGACCAGGTGGGCAGAATATAGTAAAGCATCATGGGTCAGCAAGGTGCTGGGGTGGGGTTGAGGGGTTTGGAGTCAACAAGCCAAGACCAACAGGATGGCTCAAGAAGGTCTGGCAGCATTAGTCAAAAGGCTGGAGTCGGGGGACCAGACCACATCAAACTAGTGTGCAGTGAGCTTCAGACAGACAAGGTTCCAACCTAGCTGTCACTTACTCTTTTAACTGCTGTAAGCCCCAGCTGCCTAATCTGTAAAACAGCATGAATAAGGACACCCATTTTTGTGTCACTGTCATGCGGATTTATGGAGGTAACATGTATCAAATATTTGGCAAATTCTGAGTTAACTGTTGTGTCCTGTTGTTCTGGTTTTTTTTGTTTGTTTTTTTGGAAACAGGGGTCTCTCTCTGTTGCCTAGGCTGGAGTGCAGTGGCACGATCACAGCTCACTGCAGCCTCAACCTCCTGGGCTCAAGCAATCCTCCCACCTCCCTAGTGGACCACAGGTGTGCACCATCACATCTGGCTTTTTTTTTTTTTTTTTTTTTTTGTAGAGCTGAGGTCTCCCTATGCTGCCCAGGCTGGTCTTGAACTCCTAGGCTGAAGAGATCCTCCTGCCATAGCATCCCGAAGTACTGGGATGACAGGTATGAGCCACCATGCCCAGCCTGTATAATGTTCCGGAACTCACAAGCATGAGGATTGCTAATGTCTCGCAAGCATAGCTTCTCAACAGGTTTTTCCAATAAAAGTGATCATCTTTCTGTATCCTTAAAAGCAAAGAAAAAGCAGGAAGGACTTGGAGGGGGGAAAAACAGGAGATCCCAATTAAAAAATTCAAAAAGCAATTCTTGTTACCAGTACTACAATAAAAAAAACTGTCCTTTTTTCACATATCTGTAATCATATCTAATTGTCAGCCTCGACATCACAGACACACAGGTGACTGGTGATCATGGGTGTCTTGCTATGAGTCTGCGTTCTTCACCATCTCTACCTGTGAAAACAGTATTGCCAGGGTTTGGGGTGGGAGAAAAATAAGAAAATTTTGTTTTCTACTGCACCAGATTCCCATCACTGTGTATAAGCAAGGCTCTGTGTCCGTGCCACTTTGGGGAGATGGAAGATACAGAGCTGGTGAACATCAGCTGCATGGTGAACAGCCCATAGGCTGGTGATTCAAAGAAGAGGAATGGGCGGCAGACGGTCACAGACAGCAACATCCATCACCCACGCAGCCCTGCTGCTTCCTGTAAATGCCGCAGAGGAGAGAAGATGAGATATACAAACACAAATCTGCCTTCGGATTTTACATCAAATTCCTGCCCATTTTTATTTTACTCATTATTAGCATATTCCCGGAAGGTAGAACAAAACAATTTCTCAAATGACTCAGAAGGCATATGAAATTATTGTTTATTAGCAGGGAGGGAAAGGAGGAAGGAAGGAGGTGGAAAAAAGAGACCCATGACAAAAAAAAACCTAACACAGGGCCGGGTGCGGTGGCTCACGCCTGTAATCCAAGCACTTTAGGAGGTGGAGGCGGGAAGATCACTTGAGGCCAGGAGTTTGAAACCAGCCTGGGCAGCATAGTGAGTCCCTTTCTCTACAAATAATTAAATTAATTAATTAGTTAATTAATAAATAAGCCAGATGTGGCAGTTCGCTCCTGTAGTCGCAGCTACTTGGGACACTGAGGCAGGAGGATTGCTTGAGCCATGATCACACCACTGCATTCCAGCCTGGGTGACAAAGCAAGACCTTATTTCAAAAAGCAAAAAAAGGGAGAAAAGAAAACTAACACAGTGTCTACAAAGGCTCAGAGGGACGGGACCTGCCTGGGTCACACTACACACCATGTTTCCCCTTCTTTCCCACATTTTAGCTAATTGATGATAAAAGGCTAATTAATGAAAATGATAGTATACCCAACATTCACTCAGAATCTCTTAGAAGAAAGTCATATGACACTAGACTTGGAGGATACAAAGAATCACTAAAACACCCATTCCTCAGGAATTTAAATTTATCTGAGAAGTCAGGAGATATATATGTACATACACACACACACACACACACACTCAAAACCAAATAACAATTGGATAGTTTACAAAACTGCTAAGGTTTGATCTACCTAGCCATTCCTGTTAGAAAGCTGTCCTGTAGATGAGCTTCCTCTTAAGCACAAAAATGGGAGTAAAAGCTTTGTGTTGTCACACTGATTCTAATGGTAAAAACTGAAATAACCTAAGTGCCTAACAATGAGAGAATGGTTTACATTGTGATACACCCATTCTGTGGAATATTGCCTCGCCGTTAACAAGGTTATTTATGAATCAGGTCCATTATATATGTACTGACACAGGAAGATGTCCAATGTATGCTCACAATAAAAAAGGCAAGTTATAGAATCTAGACCAGGATCTAACTGCGGTCTGTATTAGTGTGCTAGGGCTGCCATAACAAAATCACAGACTAGGTGGTTTGAGCAACAGAAATTCACTTTCTCACAATTCTGTTGGCTAGAAGGACAAGATCAAGGTGTCAGCAGGGCTGGTATCTTTTGAGACCTCTCTTTTTGGGTTGGCATCCCACACTCTTCACTCTGTGGAGATCTGTGTCCTGATCTCCTTGTGCAAGGACTCTAGTCATATTGGATTAGGGGCCACATTAATGACCTCATATTAACTTAATCACCTTATTCAAGGCCCTATCTCCAAATTTACTGACATTCTGAGGTACTAGAGATCAGGACTTCAACATATACATTTGGGAGGAGAGACAAAATTTAATTCATTATATGTTTTCTAAAAACCCTGTGTATATAGGGAGGATTTCCATTTTTAGTCTATATCTCCAAATTACTAGAAATTTTATAATGAGCATAAATTCATGTTATGCTAAATAAGCAAATCTTTCAAAAACTAATATGGTATTTTTACACCTGTTTGTCTAACATTCCAAATAAGCTTAAAAAAAAATCACAATAGCAGGGAGACTCAAGCCTGGTCTGTAAAGGACGTCTGGTGCAATCATCCACAGGTCTCAGCACTGGCCCTGATGAGGGATCACAGGTCAACACTGACACCAGACCCAGAGCTAGAATCAGCCAATAAAACAACCAAAAGGCAAAGAAGAACTGGGCAACTTTCAGGGAAAAGATAGAAGAAAAGCATCTTTCTGAATTTCCCTTTTCTTATAGGAGCTGTTTTTAAAAATTAGCAAATCATCTCCTCTTTTTAAAATGGATGATCTACAGAAAAATATACAATATGATATTGTATTAGTCCATTTTCACGCTGCTGATAAAGACATACTGGAGACTGGGTAATTTACAAAGAAAAGTAAGTTTCATGGACTCTCAGTTCCACATGGCTAGGGAGGCCTCACAATCATGGTGGAAGGCAAAAGGCACATCTTATATGGTGGGAGGCAAGAGAGAATGAGAGCCAAGTGAAAGGGGAAACCCCTTATAAATCATCAGATCTCGTGAGACTTATTCACTATCACGATAACAGTATGGGGGAACTGCCCCCATGATTCAATGATCTCCCACCAGGTCCCTCCCGCAACATGTGGGAATTGTAGGAGATACAATTCAAGATGAGATTTGGGTGGGGACACAACCAAACTATATCAGATATTGATACTAATAAAGTTTTACATTTAACAGGAGGAGGAGAAAGGGCATAGCAAATCTATTGGACACACAAGAAGAAAATCTTCTTGAAAAGAGCTATTTAGGGGCCAAGGTCCTACATAATTCAGTTACAGAAAAATTAAAATTGAGTCATGAAGCAGTAAATAAAAGGATTAAGAACATGAAAATAAAGATATGCAGAACATGGGCAGAATTACCAGAAAAAAAATGCACATACAGAAGACAGGCACAGATACCCATATATCACGTTATAAAGCTGGAACAAACAGAACAAGATTGATAAACAAGGGTATAGTTGAAGGGAGCTTTCAAAAAATATATAAATATGAATGGGATTAGAAAATAAAAGGGTTTCTAGTTTCTTCTTTACTAGAACACTTAAGATAGCTTCAAATATTTTTTCTTAACAATTGATAATTTTGCTAAGATAAAAAATTTTAAAGCTTATGGTCCATATTTTAAGCTAGGCTTCTTTACACAAGCTTGACTTTTTATTGTAGGAGTAAGTAAAGCCAATGTAAAGAATTTTGAAAGTATGAAGAGAAAAATGTCAATTACAATTTTTGGCCAATGATTGCACATTTCTTTCTAGACTTTTCTCTATGAAATATATACACAACACACACACACACACATTATGACATAAAGTGCCTACTAAATTTTGATTCCTACTTTCTTCCCCCATAAAATTCATAGTATGAAGTCCTCCTCACAATATAAAAAGCTGTATAAACATTTTTTGTGCCTCTATGATCAAGTGGATAGTGTCTAATATTTACCTGATATCTTACTTTAGTGCACTTGTTTCCAATTGATGGATTGCTATAAACAACTTCACAATGAAGGTCTTCCTGAAGAAATCTCAACCCGCGTCTCTTGAGTATTTTCTAAGGTCAGATTCCTAGATGTGGAATTAGTGGGCAAACCATAGGAACTTTTTTAAGCCTCTGGTGCATCTCACTTTCCTACATGAGGTGAACTGCTGATGTGCTGAACAGGGTAAAAACAGATTTGGGTGGCTATTTTTGACCATGGCTACCAAAAAGCCATCTTTTCTTACATTTGTGGAAACGTTTAAAAGAATTCTAAGGCCGGGAGCGGTGGCTCACGCCTGTAATCCCAGCACTTTGGGAGGCCAAGGCGGGTGGATCACCTGAGGTCCGGAGTTCGAGAACAGCCTAGCTAACATGGTGAAATCCCGTCTCTACTAAAAATATAACATTAGCTGGGTGTGGTGGCAGGTGCCTGTAATCCCAGCTACTCAGGAGGCTGAGGCAGGAGAATCACTTGAACCGGGAGATGGAGGTTGTAGTGAGCTGAGATCGTACCACTGTACTCCAGTCTCGGCCACAGAGTGAGACACTGTCTCAAAAAAAAAAAAAAGAAAACAGAAAAAAAATTCTCGGAGTTCTTGCCCCAATGCTCTCAAGACATCCAAAACATTCAAACCAAGAGAGGACTGGAGTGAGGATGGCGTTAGTGCTAAGGCTGAGCAGAGAGGTATTATACAGGGCAGGCAGAGCATCTAGCAGAATAAGGGACTGTGCCCTGGCCACTCATGGAGGTCCTCAGATGGGGTGACTCACAGCGGGGTTGGGAGCTTTGAGGACAGCACATTGCTGGGTTGTTAGAGCTGGATGTTTTATATGTGAGCACCTTCCCACACAACACCATTCCTTTCCCGCCAGGCCTGAAGCCCCATCCTTCCAGGCCCCCATTAAAGGCATTAGGACTTTTAAGTCTTCAACATCCTCCTTTTCCCAGATTCCAGACAAGGGCCTTCTGAGCGATAACAGGGCCCAGAATATGGCCATGGGGTTGACAAAGTGGCAGGGCTAGGCAGCGCGTTGGAGCTATAGGCTTCTATACATAAACATTTTGAAAGTTGGGGCATCAAATTATTTGGACAACATAGTTGTTTTTCATTTCTATTTTGAGGAAAAATGTGGAATTTTGCCTTTATCACAGAACAAATCTTGCAAAGCTATGTTCTTCTGATAGCTATAATCTTTTTTCTTGGGAGTCAGGGGTGGGGAAGGCATACATACAGCCCTCCTAATAAACCCTCATCCTGTGCCACTCTCTTATACCTTTTGTATTCTTAATATGATTATGGTCATGAAGAAAAATCAAAGTGAATGATTTACTTCTACATGTTTCATGATAAAATACAAACCCTTTACAAAGAAATACTGATAGATATAAGCCACATAAACAAACATTCTGGAGTTCTCAATAATTTATTTCAGAACATAAAGAGGTCCTGAAACCAGAAAGTTTGAGAACTACTGCCTTAATCAACATGAGAAAAATCATACAGGTGAGAAATCCTGTGAACATAAAGTATCTAAAATCTCTAAAGACTGCTCCTCCTTTGTTCAACATGTGAGAGTTCATGTAAGTTAAAAAACCAAAAACCTACGAATATAAAGAAGGAGGGGAAATCTTAAGCAAAAAGCGTCGTTTAGTAACCAGTAAAGAATTAATACTGGAGAAACTCCACAAATGTGGTCAATGTGGAGAATTTTTCCCTTGTAGCTCGCCTGGATTAAACACGAAAGAACTCACACTGGGAAGAAACCTACAAAGGCAGACGGTGTGGGAAAACCTGTAGCTATAGCTCTTCGCTCTCTCAACATGAGAGGGTACATTCCAGAGAGAAAAACTGTAAGTGCACTAACATGGAAAAACTTTCAGCATCAAAACATTCATATGGGAGACAAACCTTGTTTCTATAAAAGTAATCCACGCAGAAAAGTCACTTTTTTATAGAACAAAAAACCCACACAGAACAACCTTTCTTCAGAAACAAATGAGAATGAATCTAAGAAAAAAATCACCAAATGCAGGAAGTTGCTTTTGAATGAATCCCACCAAAGGGAACACAATTCAAAATCACTAAATAAAGACACTAATGGGGAAGGGTTTGCTGAAAAGCATTTTGGAAAATCCAAACCAGAAATAGGCATGTAACATTAGAGGATACGTATGCACTGTTATAATAATTTCGTTAACACTTCAAATTCACTCAAAACCAGTTACTGAACACCTCCTCTGGGGGCCATGCATGCACCATGTTAAGGCATCTGGTTTACAGAGGCGATTCTGAAATGGACAGGCCCTTGCAGACTATATGCTTGCATGTGGACCAACTAATTAGGAGGAAATCAGAGGCAGATTTTATCAGATTGAAGATAATGTTATTACATAAATCAGACTATAGATCTGCATATAACCGGTTTCACGTTATGCCATAAAAACCATTCCATGACACTATAGACCAGCCTCATCCTAAAATCATTTGCATATTTGGTGTGGTAGAAATATTGTTACCAATGTTTAAAAGAATAACCTGAGCAAAGTTAATGAGGAGAAATTAGGCACAACTGTCTAAGTTAATGCAAAACACACAAAGATGCCAAATGTTTATGTAAAGAAAGCTTTAACTGGTTTTGTTACAGGATTACACACAGAGACAAAAGTATGCTATGATAAAGTTACATATACCCACAAATATTGACTGGCAGTCAAAGATGGGGTGGGTGAGGGAGGTTAGTTTCTGAAACACAGCATGATACAACTCTTCCTCCCACAATTATTGGATTAAATGTTGGCACAAAGTTTAGATATTTCTGCCACATTGTAGATTCTACCCCATTAATTTTGATGCCAAATTTCAATTTACCACCTCTATTCAAGATTTTATGCTGTATGAATATTTTGGAATTTAAAATGCTGACAGTATATCTTCTGGGCAGTCAGAACCAAAAAGGAGGAATGGAAAGGAGGAATTCGGGAAGGGTTAGGGGAAAGTTAGAATATAAAAAGGCTAGGAAATAGATTATTAACAGAATTTCTAGAATAAAAAGTTTTCCTTTGGTTAGGTTGTTAGGTCAGGATGGAAAATTCCCCAAACTCCTTCTTCAAGTATTTCAGGAATGTCAATGAAAGTTTCACTTTTACAGGAACAGCTTTTCTTAAAAACCAAAACCAAAAAAAAAAAAAAAAAAAGCCAATATATTAAGAGCTTTAATATCAGAAACTTCAACTTTTATAGATCTTTATTCTTCAAACTTTATGTCAAATTACAAATAAATAGTCCATACCATGTAGCTCTTTATGATACACGTCTTCAGGCAGAAAACAGCAACAACCAAGAACACATCGGAAATGAACTCACAGTAAATAACCAATTTTAAGTAGAGAAAGGATATATGACATTTCAGTGTGGTCCAATATGTACACTGTTTAAAAGCGGATCCCCCTGTAAAACATCACAGATGTACATAATTCTTATGGGAAAAAAAGAGCCCACACATCAGAGATTTTTAAAAGTTTTTTCAAAGTTGTATCACAGGGACTGGTTGTTTAAAAATGGCAAAATCTTGAGTATTTTAGCAGCAAACAAGTAAGTTATTCCAGGTTAATCTATTTTTAAACGTTGCTGAAAAAGTTGCAAGCTTTAGAGAACATTATAAATATCAAATCCACTACTGAAAAGCAAAGTAGTATTTAGAAAGTAGATACTACTTTCAGGTTTGTTCTGTGTCAGCAAAAACTTTTTCATGAAGTTTCTGCTAAGAAGGATGTCAGTGGAGGAGCAGTGGGGAAATAAATGGAGGTGGCCACCAGTCTTGGCTCTAAGTTGCTAAACTTACTGGAACATGTAATGCTTACGAATTCTTCATAGAGCTTAGTTTATTCCCAGTAAACAATAGTTCTTAAGAACCATTCTTTTAGATCTGTATCTTATTGTCAGATATTTGTATTAGATTTAGCAATTTGAAATTCCTTAAAATTTTGCTCCCCAAATATCTCCTGGTTAAACCAGTATTTCTTATATGAGTCATAATTGAGTGGTTTTTTCATTGAACAGTTTTTTCCTCTTGAAAGGGTAATTTTAGAGGATATTATTTTTTAAGTCACTAAAGATAGTTTTGCTTACAGACAAATTTGTTTAAAAGGGGACTCTACTTAATTTCACTTTCTACTGTGGCATTTGACACCTGGCATCTGACATTTTAGGACTGAAAGGAATTATAAACTTCATATGAGAAAACAAACGAAACTAAATAGAGTTTAAGCCTGCCTCATTAGATGGTTCCATCAGTGATCAGCTACATAATTCATCTGACACTATTTCAAGTCACAATTATCAGTATCTCTCCTTTGAAGCATTCACACTTTTTTCCTAGATACAATCTCCTTTTTTTAATCATCTGAAAGCAAACAATTATTCTAAAGACAAGGCATCAGAAACAAATTCTCTCCGCCCACTGAGATTTAATTTTTAGATCACAGCATCCTCATATAGAAGTTCCATTCAATATTTTTACTTCTTCTTGGCAGTTATCCCAAACATTAATATTTAATTATGAAAAGAGAAAAGCATTCAAAACATAATACAAATATACAATACAAGAAAAGTTGAAAACAAAAAACACTGTATTGCAATGTCTCCACATACGATGTTTGTGATGCAACCAAACACACACTACACAGTCCTGGCTGCTCCTAACACTCCCCTTACTTTACACAGACCTAGGTTCATCTTTTTTTTTGTTTTTGTTTTTTTTTTTTTTGATTTTTGCCTTTTGATGCCTACAGTAACTGAGAATCAACAAAGTAACTAGTCTGACATGAAAAATGTGGTGCCTATGATTTAAGTCCTGATTTGAGCACATCTTAATTGGTGCACTATTGCTTTTGATAATCCAGATATAACAACAGACAAGCAGTAATAAATGAAGAGACTATGTATCACACAAGCAAGGTTTCTGAATTACAAATAACTTCAACAATGACATCAAAACCTATGAATTAAATCTTAACTCACGCGGTTATAAAGTTAAATTCTCATGTGTCTTAGTGAGAATGCTATCATCAAATACATTCTAAATTCTTTCATTTTTTAGTGTACAAAGGTTATGGGAGAAAGGATAAGGTGCTTTTTAAATAAGCTACCACTGACTCACACACATCCATACACGCATCAGTGCAAACTAGGAAAAACACTAATTTTAAAATGAAATAATGATTATCTAGACTAAAAGGAGACTTTGAGATAGAATAATTTTCCATGACTAATTTGTTTACAAATATAGATAACTCAATGTACATATAGTCAACGAAATATTCAAAGAATAACTTTATATACTCTTGTTCTTTAAATTCTATCCTCTCTTTCAGAATTCTTCCATTTAAGTTTGGGTATTTTCCTAGTTTCAACAGATGAACAGAAGACTTCATTGAACATTTTGACAGTAAGCTACTAGAGACCAATTATCAACTGGTGCTACACATGCTGTGTTATCTCCCTTACTATTAAACTATAACCCTCTCTTGCTATTTTGTTTCATGCATCACCAACCAAACTTCATTTTTTCTAATAAAAAATAAATATATAAAGAAGACACTGACAGGCATATATTCACAAGATCTCAACTTCTTAAAACATAAGTATGGGTATATTTATTTCTCTCAAATGCATACAAGACAATAATTACACAGCAACAAATCTTTTGTTCAACAATGATTTGATTCATAAGCATTTGAAATTTACATAATTTCATATCAATACCCTTGTATTTTTAAATACAGTAAGTAAAAAAGCCCCCAAATAACCAATTCTTATATTTCCTATTTATCCCTCTATACATCCAAACTTTTAAAAAGTTACAAACTGAACATTATACAGAACATATAAATCATGTTTAAAAACTTGAGGTTTTAAAATCACTGCTTCCCCAATATGATTCAGAAAAATTCTCATACTGACAAGTACAGTCATAGGTGGTAAAGTAAGTTGGTGGCGGGGAAAATGAAAGAAGAGACAGACACAAGTTTGCTGTCTTAATGTTTTACTAATCCTGTCAGTTAAAAATGGTGACGTCATGAGAAGTAATAGTTTAATATGAGGAATGGAGTTTGCCTTGCAGCTTGAGACATGCATTTCAAGTATTTTCCTATTTGATCTGAGCTCACTGTAGCAAACTGATGCCAGAAGAGAATAATTATTTTCTTCCATACATTCGCTCAATGTCCGCCTGGTAATGTGTTTTAAGCTCTTTGCGTTTCAGCTTGAAGGCATCTGTCACCAGACCAGTTTCAGGGGTCCACGGTTCAGGACTCAAACGAATTTTTACTGGAATTTCAAACTTTTCCAGACTTGCTAAGATGATTAAAAAAAAAGAAAAGAAGAAAAGGTATTTAAGTTCTTAGCAAATGGTGTAACTTCCCCACTTTTTGCGTATCCATCAAAATGCACAACCAACAAGTGAACCATGAATGTCACTTCTAAAGAATCTATTCCTCAAAATACAAACATAAGTAAAACAATAAACTATTTAACAAGTCCCCATCAAGAGGAAAATGAGTTAAATAAAATATGATATAGGAACAAAATAGAATATATATTCTGTCATTGAAAACGAGTTAGAGCCAGGCATGATGGCTCATGCCTGTAATCCCAGTAACTCTGAAAGCTCAGGCAGGAGGATCGCTTGAGGCCAGGAATTCAAGGCCAGCCTCGGTAACATAGCGAGACCTTGTCTCTAAAATAAGTAACTTAAAAATATTTTTTAATAGAAATAAAAAATATAAGCTGGGTATAGTGGCATACGCTTGTAGTACCAGTTACTCAGGAGGCTGAGGTGGGAGGATGACTTGAGCCCAGGAGATCTGAAGATGCAGTGAGCTATGATCGTGCTACTGCACTCCAGCCTGGGCAACAGAGCGAAACCCCATCTCATTTAAAAAAAAAAAAAATTACATTTAGACAGGTATCTAATAGGGTATCCAATATAGTCACGCATCTCTTAATGACAGGGATATGTTCTGAGAAATGCATCACACACTTGGCAGTTTTGCCATCATGGGAACATCATAGCATATCTTACACGAATGTCGATGGTATAGCCTACTATATATACATCTAGGCTGCATTATCTAGCCTACGGCTCCTAGGCTACACACCCGCACAGCACGTTATTGTACTGAATACCATAGGTAATTGTAACACAATAGTTAAGTATTTGTGTATTTAAGTGTATCTAAACATAGAAAAGGCAGTAAAAATACATTATAATCTTACGTGACCACTGTCATATATGCAGTCTGTGTCTGTCACTGACTGAAACTTCATTATATGCTGCATAAATGCCTATTGTTAGGTTAAAAAAAAAAAAAAAAAAGACAAGTTCCAGCACAGGCTGCATAAACTTATATGCACCTAGATGTGAGGAGAAGGATACATACCAAGCTATAAACTCCACACCTCTAGAGCCTGGTATCCAGGAGAAAGGAAATGGGGAAATTCACCTTTTCCTTTATGCCTATTTGTTTTCCTTGAATTTATTATGCAGAGCACATTTACTTCAGAAATTAAAAAATAATAAAGTTTAAGACAAATTATGTCATTGAACCAGGATATTCCCTACAAGCTATGTGGATACAGAATGCTTGCTCACTATTGTGTTACTAACATATTGCCTAATACTAAGGAGATTCATGATAGCAGCAAATGAAGGGAGAAAGGAAGGGAAGAAAGGAAAACATTTAAAGGAGATTAAGGGGCAGATGTAGTTTTGAAAAACCGTATGTCGTCAGTAGGACTGACTTATTTTTCTAAGCATTTGTTCAACAAATATTAAAAAACTATTACTACATGTAAAGTGCTTTACTAAACATTCTTTTAAAAATGCAAAAAAATGACAAGTTTCTGCTTTCAAGTAGCATGCAATCTAACAAAGGGAAATGGGTAAACAGCTAGCCATATGATACATGAAAGAAATGTGTTAAGGAGTGATGTCAGCAAGATGACAATATAGGAAAACGCAGTCCCTCCTTCCCCTACAGAAACATGGATTTAACAATGCTATATGGGCCTATTTATTGCCTGTGTAAGAAACCCAGAAACCACTTAAGAAGTTCCTACACTCCGGGACAGAAGGAAACCAACCGCATCAAAGGCTGGTAGAAAAATGCAAGGCATTCGCTTGCCAGAGACCCTCCCCTCAGCACAGTACAAAGTAATAGGGAAGAAATCCCTAAGAGGAGTGGAACACACATCCAATATTCTGACTTCTGGGGTGCAAGAAACTTGCTTCTGTCTTTCCTGAATCTAAATAACAGGAACAGGGCACCAGGTTGGGAGCTGTCAAGAACAAAGATTAACATGAACCAGAGGCTGCAGTATCACAGACACTAGGTAGAGCTCCAGTACCATGGCCAACTACAGCACCAGTGAGGCCACAATATCACAGACAGACACCAGAGGGAGCTCCTGAGTAGAAACCAGCAAACCTCTTCAATTAGATTGTACCCCACAAACTCAAAAAGGACACAGCCTCGGAAAAGGCTTAAGATGGCTGGCTCTAGAATCCGTAGTAGGGCTGACTGGACAAAGTCCTCTCAATACAAAAGCAGACTGTAAGACAGAGAAAGGTAGCTGATTTTTCAAATGCTGACATCCCAACAAAAATAAAGACATACAAAGAAATAGAAAAACACAGGCTATCAAAAGATCAAATTAAATCTCCAGAAATAAACCCCAGAAAGACATGGAAATAGATGAATTACCAAATTCAAAATAACCGTCATAAGAATGCTCAATGAATTACAAGAGAGTACAGACAGACACCTGAAAAAAAACAAGAAAACAACGCATGAACAAAATGAAAGTATAAATGAAAGAAATTTTTTTAAAATGAAGAACCAAATAGAAATTCTGGAACCAAATACAATAAATGGATTGAAAAATTCACTAGAGGATCGACAGCAACTTGACCAGGTAGAAAAAAGAATCTATGAACTCCAAGACAGGACTTCTGAAATTACTAAGAGAGGAAAAATGTAAAAATGAAGAGAACCTAAGGAATGAATGGGACACCATCAAGTGGAAAAATGCTCATTATAGGAGTTCAGAAAAAGAAGACAGAAAGGAGCAGAAAGCCTATTTGAAGAAATCATGGCCAAAACCTTCCTGTATCTGAGAAGAGAAATGGGAGTATAAATTCAAGCAGCTCAAAACACTCCACTAGGAAGAGAACTACACCAAAACACACTCGTAATCAAGCTGTCAAAAGTCACAAAAAATCTTGAAAGCAGCAAGAGAAAAATGACTCATCACATACAAAGAAGCTCTCATTGAACTATCATTTATCAGCAGAAAACTGGCAGGTTAGAAAATAGTAGTATTCAAAATACTGAAAGAAAAAAAATTGTCAACCAAGAATACTGTAACCTAAACCTGTCCTTCGAAAATAAGGGAAAAATTAAGACTCCTTGATAAACAACAGTAGAGGGGGTTTATCACCACTAGACCAGTCCTACAAAAAATAATGATAGGAGTACTTCAAGTTAAAGCAAAATGAAAACAAACAGTAACACAAAACCATAAGAAACTACAATACTCCTTGGTAAAGGTAAATACATAGGCAAATACAGAATTCTGAAAGTAATTTGATATAGGTGTATAAGTCACATTTAAATCTGTATAGAATTTAAAAAACAAAGACATAAAAAGTAATTATGAATCTATATTAATGACTACACAATAAAAAGGTCTTTTTTGAGGGAGGAGCAGAGTTACAAAGGAGTCAAGTTTTTATATGAGACGGAAGATTAAGCTGCTATCAAACTAAAATATACTGTTAATAATTTTAAGATGTTTTATGTAACTGTATTGACAACCACAAAGAAAATGTCTATAGAACATACACAAAGATAAAAGACAAGGGAATCAAAGAATGTAATTATACACACAAAAAATCAACAAAACAAAAGAAGGCAGCAAGAGAGGAAAAGCTACAAGATATACAGAAAATAGTTAACAAAATGGAAATAGGTATGAAAAGTCTTTCATATCAATAATGACCTGAAATGTAAATTAAATGCCCAATTAAAAGATACAGATTGACCAACTGAATATAAAACAAGACTCAAGTATATGCCATCCACAAGAAACATACATTAGATCCAAGGGCATGCGTAACCTAAAGTGAAGGATGGAAATAGATATTCCATGAAAATAAGAACCTAAAGGGGATGGCCATACTTAAATAAAACAGACTTTAAGACAAAAATTGTCACAATAGACAAAGAAGGACATTAATTACAATATAATGATAAAAGAGTCAATTCTCCAGGATGATATAACAATTACAAATATACGCGTAACTTGAGTGTTTCTAAATATATGAAGCAAACACTGACATAACTAGGGGAAGAAATAGAAAGCAATACAATAATAGTAGGAGACTTCAATACTCCACTTTCATTTATGAATAGAACAATCAGAAGATCAAAAAGAAAAGTTATATGTAGGAAACTCTAAAGACACACACACAACCTTCATAACTAATAAAGATTCCAGCAAAGTTGCAGGATAAAAAAAATCAACACGAAAAATCAATTGCATGTCTATACACTAACAATAACTGTTCTGAAAAAGAAATTAAGAAAACAATACCATTTAATGTAGCATCAAAAAGGAGGAAATACTTAGGAATAAACCTAACCAAGGAGGTGAAAGACTTGTACCCTGAAAACTACAAAATGTTACTAAAAGAAATTTTAAAAGACACAAATAAATGCAATGTCCTGATAAGGTTTAGTTCTGGGTCCCCACCCAAATCTCATCTCAAATTATATTCCCCATAATCCCGACATGTCAAGGGGGGAACCTGGTGGGAGGTGACTGGATCATGGGTGCGGTTTCTCCATGTTGTTCTCGTGATGGTGAGTGAGACCTCACAAGATCTGATGGTTTTAGGGGCTCTTCCCCCTTCGCTTTCTCTCTCTCTCTCTTCATTTGCTCTCTCGCCTGCCGCCATGTAAGATGTCCCTTTGCTTCCCTCTCTCCCCTTCTGCCACAAATGTACAGTAAGTTTTCTGAGGCCTCCCCGAGCCATGCAGAACTGTGAGTCAATTAAACCTCTTTCCTTTATAAATTACCCAGTCTCAGGTATGTCTTTATAGCAGTGTGAGAACAGACTAATACATGTTCAGAATTTGTAAGAAACTTGTACAACTTAACTACGGGGGTGGGGTGGGGGGGGAGGGTGCAGAATTCTGATTTTAAAATGGGCAAAGGACTTGAATCGACAATTTTCTGCAGAAGATATGTAAATGGCCAACAAGTATATATAAGATGCCCAACATAACTAATAAAAAGAGAAATGCAAATCAAAACCACAATGAGATATCACTTCACATCTGTTAGAATGGATATTAGAAAAAAATATACAAATGTTGGTGAGGATGTGGAGAAATGGAAACCCTTAATACCGTTGGTGGGAATGTAAATCAATAGTCATTAAGGAACACAGTATGGAGTTTCCTGAAAAAATTAAATATAGTATTAATAATTGCCATAGGATCTAACAATCTCATTTCTGGGTATATATCCAAAATAATTCAAAGCAGAATCTCAAAGCCATATTTGCACATCTATGTTCATCACAGCATTATTCACAATACCCAAAAGGTAGAAACAACCCAAATGTCCAAACACAGATGAATGGATAAAGAAAATGTGCAATATACATACAATGGAGTATTACGCAACCTAAAAAAGAAAAATCCTATCACATGGTACAATATGAATAAACCCTGAAGATACACTAAATAAGACAGTCACAAAAGAATAAATACCGTATGATTCCACATGTATGAAGTACCTCAAGTAATCAAAATTTTAGAAACATAAAGTAAAAAGGTGGAGGGAAGGGGGAGAGAGGGAAGGGGAATTAGTGTAATGGGTATAGTGTCTCCGTTTTGCAAGATGAAATAGTTATAAAGATCAGTTGTGCAATAATGTAAATACACTTAACATTACTGAATTGTACACTTAAAATGTTAAGATAGTAAATTGAACGTTATGAGATTTTTACTACAATAAAAGAAAGAAATATGCAAAATTAAAGACATAAAGTGCCTTGGGAGTAAAAAAAGATGTATTAACTCTAACCTGTAAAAGTAAACATAGAAATAATACACAAGGTTTCAGTCTTCAAAGATTAAAAATATTTCAGGAGTGGTTTCCAAAGGAATATACACTATGAGCAAAACCAATAAGGCATGTACCACAGGGCTGACTTAAAAGACTGTGTGGAATCTGACATTACTGAAATGTGAAGAGACTAAAAAGTAAATGCTGGAGCCTGGCATGGTGACACATGCTTGTAGTCCCAGGTACTCAGGAAGCTAAGTTGGGAGGATCGCTGCAGCCTAGGAGTTCAAGACTGGCCTGGCCAACATAGTGAGGCCTCATCTCAACAACAAAACAAAACAACAAAAAAATTTTTTTTAATTAGCTAGGCATAGTGGCATGCACTGGTAGTCCCGGCTACTTGGGAGGCTGAAGGGAAGAATCGCTTGAGCCTGGGAGTTCAAGGCTGCAGTAAGCTATGACTGCCACTGCATTCTGGTTCGGGCAACAGAAGAGACCCTGTCTCTTAAAAAAATAAATAAAATAAAAAATAATTCACGCTTGTTTTATGCTTGACACAACAACTCAAAAGACACAGATGTTTTTATTAGACCAACAATATTAAACTAGTCTTGGGCACTCCTCACCCCACCAAAAATGGTTATGAAACTATTAGTACAACCAACTACCAGTACTCTAACATTGTATAAAGTTTCAAAAGGAGTTTTGGCCTGATCACTATGGGCTAGTGTGGCCAGAAAACTGAGCAAGGCCTTGAAGAACAGCTGACATAAGAGAAAGGGTAACCCAGAAAGCAAAGGTTGCAGAGACAAGAACATTCAAGATACATGTACATCAGTTTGGTGGGAGTGGTTAATTTGTGTAGCAAGGCTTGAATGGGGGACTGATAAGTTTACTCTTCCATATACTAACGGTAGAAATGGTTTCTGAGCAGAAAGTAATGAACCCTAAACCTTAAAACAGGTTGAATGCATGTAAGTACTCTCTTCCCATCTCAGTTTTTAGTATCAGTTTAACCGAATACTCACCTGAAATAGCAGCTTCGGAAAGCACTTTAAGTACCTCATTTTCCATTTCACAACTGTTACACAGCTCCTCCCAAGTCCCTTTAAGTCCTTTCTTTCGAGCTAGTTCAGTTAGTTCCTTTTGATTTGGCACAACAAATCCAATGACATAAGAATGATAACTGAAATATAGAAAGGATAACAGATAAGGAACAAAATGGTGAACTGTGTTGACTGCAGTTATTATTACAGTGACAAGTAGTAAATAACTCCTCATTTTTTTTAAAATGCATGTGCCATACTTGGCACTGGCATATCCATTTCATGCAACCGCCAGTTTTACTGTTTGATTCATAATATTTTCCAATGCTTTGGCAGAGTTCGTTGCTAAATAAACTTCAATCTGACATTTCATGATGAATTTCAACTATGAAAAACTGTTATGAATACTGCCATGTACACATTTTAAAAGAAAGTTACAAATATTAGAATATTCACCTTTAAACCCTATCAGTATTTCATAGCATGTGTTTTAAAAAACTAAAATTTAACATAAATTAAAAACTATCTTAAAAATTCAGCAACGAATCAAAATGATGTGAATATATTCTTTTTTTTCTTTTGTTATCATCAGAATTTGTATTGATAGAGGAACTCTGACTATGCCCAACGAAGGCAAATACTTTTTTGAAGGCCATAAAATAGTAACATCAGGAAGAAGATGCTTCTGGTTACTATCACATGAATAAATCCAGATCTGTATCATCACTAAAGAAAATACTAAATGGCTAAAGACCAGAATCATTTATAAATAAATGCAATTCATTTCTAACTTGGGCTGTACCCCCAACATCTGTTTCTAAATTAGTTTTCCTGATAACAGATTTTATTTTCCCATAATAATTCATGTCAACTGTCGTAGACAGGTCCCCAGCTGCCTCTTCATCATCATGAGGTGGGGAGGCTGTGTGTTTAGGCTGCAGCTTAACACAGCTTACATAGGAGCCCCAAGACCTGCCTGGAGTGCCGAGCAGGCTCAAGTGTAGAGCAGGAGTAAGTAAGCAGCACACTCCTCACTGCCACTTCTTTACTCCCCATTCCTCTGGAGTAGTTCTGTGAAGCTTCCCCTGCTGAGGGACAGGTAGGTAGGGGTACCAAGGCAGCAGGAAGGAAGGTTTTATTTTCTTCACCTCCCTCCATGGGACACTGCAGTGAGACGTAAAGCAGAAAACAGGGACAGAGAGAAAGATCAGGGGAAGCCTTACAAGGAAAAGAGTCAGCTAATGGCTGCAATGAGAAGGAGGCCATTCCCACAAGTAACAGATAGGAAGAGTTCTCGGAACATTTTTACAAAGAAGGTCCATACAGGTAGGAAATGTCTATGGACATCAAATATTTTAAGTAAAAGTAGTATGAATTCCACGTTCTTACCTGTTTGCATATGCACAAATGTTATCTACTAGTGGAAGATTCTTCAAAGCTGCCTCTACTTTCCCAAGAGAAACATATTCCCCTGCCTGTAGTTTTACAAGGTCCTTTTTACGATCTGCAAAACAAAGAAAGGTGGAGAGGGGAAAACAATGAGTAATAATATTAGTAACATTTAATACATATATAAATACTGGCCATTCTCTAAGTAATTTGCTATCAAATTATTTAAAACTTTGCAAAATTAAGCATTAATGGTTATGCTGAAATTAAAAGCACATATTAAAATTAGGCCCTAATTTTTGTACTGCTAAATACATGCTTTTTTTTTTTTTTTTTTTTTTTTGAGACGGAGTCTCGCTCTGTCGCCCAGGCTGGACTGCGGACTGCAGTGGCGCAATCTCGGCTCACTGCAAGCTCCGCTTCCCGGGTTCACGCCATTCTCCTGCCTCAGCCTCCCGAGTAGCTGGGACTACAGGCGCCCGCCACCGCGCCCGGCTAATTTTTTGTATTTTTAGTAGAGACGGGGTTTCACCTTGTTAGCCAGGATGGTCTCGATCTCCTGACCTCATGATCCACCCGCCTCGGCCTCCCAAAGTGCTGGGATTACAGGCGTGAGCCACCGCGCCCGGCCCATGCTTTTAAAAGAAAAACAGGCCAGGTCCAGTGGCTCATGTCTGTAATCCCAGCACTTCGGGAGGCCGAGGCGGGCACATCACTTGAGGTCAGGAGTTCGAGACCAGCCTGGCCAACATGGTGAAACCCCGACTCTACTAAAAATACGAAAACTAGCTGGGCGTGGTGGTGCACACCTGTAATCCCAGCTACTCAGGAGGCTGAGGCAGGAGAATTGCGTGAACCCAGGAGACAGAGGTTGCAGTGAGCTGAGATGGTGCCACTGCACTCCAGCCTGGGCGACAGAGCAAGACTACATCTCAAAAAAAGAAAGAAAGAAAAACAATTAACTTCTACTTAATGGACTCCATTAGCAGGGCTTCAAGTATGTTCTTCTGAACAGGTTTATTTCTGGTATCCATTAGTACCAGGCAGGTGAAGAAGATATTCAATGCCATCTGCAAGTTCACAACCTATCTGGAGACATGCATAATGCAAAAACGTATTACTTCAATACATTGGTACTACAATGGTAGCGCTAAGTGTTAAGACTCTCCAACCTGGGGATTTGGAAAAAATTCTTGCAAGTGAGGCCTGAGCTGAGGGTTGGATGGTTGGTTGGTTTTGAGATTTTGAGACAGGGTCTCACTCTGTTGCTCATACTGGAGTGCAGTGGCACAATCACGGCCTCCTGGGCTCCTGTGATACTCCCACCTCAGCCTCCCGAGTAGCTGGGATTACAGGCCTGAGTCACTATGCTCAGCTGCTTGAGCCGAGTCCTAAGGGAAAAGTGAGAGGTCAGGTGCAACAACACTGGCAAAAGCCAGAAGAACATCAGCTCTAATTTCAGCTGCATCAAGGAGGAGGAGGAAAACAACTGACGATGAAGGTGAAGAGGGGAACAATGTTAACAGGGGCACCCTGAACTGAGCTTCTAGGAGACATTAAATGGTTGTGGCCAGTAAGATCCATGTTTAGTAATTACATGGTGGCAGTGAGAGGGTGTGTTTAAGGGGGTAAACATGGCAACAGAGAAATTATTGGGAGAGGGTGGCAGAAGGTACAGGCCTGACCAATGATCAAGTAAGAGAGACAAAGAGAGAAGAGTATGATTTTGAGACATAGCTCATAAAATAAACTAGTGGGATATAAAATAGGCATGGGAAGCTGACTGAAGAGAACAGTCTTGAGTCTCCTCCCAGGTTTCTAGTTAGCAAGACAGGGATAGAAATGCCATTAACTTTTTTTTTTTTTTTAGACAGAGTCTTGCTCTGTTGCCCAGGTTGGAGTGCAGTGTCGCGATCTCCGCTTGCTGCAAGCTCTGCCTCCCGGGTTCATGCCATTCTCCTGCCTCGGCCTCCCAAGTAGCTGGGATTACAGGTGCCCGACAAAGACACCACACACGGCTAACTGAAATGCCATTAACTTTTAAAAAAAAAGAACCTAAAAGGAGAAGCAGAATAAGGTATTTTTCAACCCATATGAGTCATAGTACTTGAGCTGCCTGGCTTTCCTCTATTCTCCTGGGCAGGGCAAGGCAAGGGTGCAGTTCAGACTGTGAGAGCTCCATCCACTAATCTCTAGATGTCAGAAACACAGGCAGGAAACAATGACTGAAGGTTATCTAAGAGTAATTTAAAATACCACTGCTGCTGAACCATCTTTGAGAACTCATAACATGTCAGGCCTCATAAATTCCACAGTCCGTAATATTTTATATTCCAGGAGTGATGCAACAACCCAAACTAAGATTACATAAAGATTTATATTATTCAGCGCCTCCTCTAAATATATTGTGCTTCTTGTGTAAACTATTTCAGAAACATTCATTTTCAAAAAAATATTAGATGACTTACCAATAATCTTTAAGCATCCATCGGGTTCAAACTCTCCAATATCCCCAGTACAGAGCCACCTTTGTCCATTTTCATCTTCAAAGAAATCAGCTTTTGTTTTTGCTTCATTTTTGTAGTACCCCATTGTCACACTTTGGCCCCCAATAAGAATTTCACCCCTGGGGTGTGGCTTATCAGTATTAAAGTATCCACCTAATAAAATAATAATTGAGTTAATAGTTGAGTTAAATACAACACATGAAAATTTGAAACTACTAGTTTCTAAACAGTCATCTTATTTTAATCCAATTAGAACTTCCCAAAGGAAAAAAGGCAGACACTATGAATGAACAAAGTTTATCAATTTAACAGTAGGCACAAAATCTCAGTTGCTAAACCATAAGTATTTATGTTTTCAAACTTCTATTCTGAGAAAAAAATTAAACTCTAAAACCCAACATCTTCCATTTGTTGTATAAAATTATAAATACAAGAGACAAATTATTTGAAAGATTCTGCAACATCTTAAATATCATATTGATAAACTGACAGAAGTATTAAGTCATGCAATTAATAGAACAAATCCCTATATAAGAATGAGTTACTGCTGGGCCAGTGGCTCATGTCTGTAATCACAACACTTTGGGAGGCCAAGGAGGGTGGATCGCCTGAGGTCAGGAGTTTGAGGTCAGCCTGGCCAACATGGTGAAACCCCACCTCTACTAAAAATACAAAAAATTAGTCGGGCATGGTGGCGCACACCTGAAATCCCAGCTATTAGGGAGGCTGAGGCAGGAGAATCACTTGAACCCAGGAGGTGGAGGTTGCAGTGAGCCGAAACCATTGACACTGCACTCCAGCCTGGGCAACAAGAGCAAAACTCCGTGTCAAAAAAAAAAAAAAAAAAAAAGTGAGTTACTACATATTAAGATTTATTCTTATAGATAATTTCAAAATGACTCCAAGCCTAAATTTATTAAATATTCCCACTAATTCTGCTAAAGATAGCTAAAAGACATCCAAGCCTTAGAATCTTTCTTTATTTATTTATTTTGGAGATGAGAGTTTCGCTCTGTCACCCAGGCTAGAGTGCAGTGGCGCAATCTTGGCTCACTGCAACCTCCACCTCCCGGGTTCAAGTGATTCTCCTGCCTCAGCCTCCCGAGTAGCTGGAATTACAGGCACGCACCACCACGCCTGGCTAATTTTTGTATTTTTAGTAGAGACGGTTTCACCATGTTGGTCAGGCTGGTCTCGAACTCCTGACCCCATGATCCGCCCGTCTTGGCCTCCCAAAGTGCTGGGATTACAGGAGTGAGCCACTGCGCCCGGCCAGAATCTTTATCTTTACTTAATGTAGAGGAAAGGTGCATCCCAATAAAACACAGATAATTTGTATATTTTAACAGGATCAAATAAATTTTTAAGTGACCATTATTTTAAATGGCATGAGAATAAACAGACTTCTATGGAATTGCAGTGAAAATTTCCTTCTAATAATACAAGGTTGAAGCCCTCAGAAAAAAAAAGAAAAAAATCATTTAAAAATCCACAATTTCATAAAATAAATTTTATAATTTTACTTCTGCAAAATAAAGTTATGATCACTCCTAATTTATTGACATTATTCACTTATTAGTACATTTCTCAAGTTTTTGCCATAATTCTTACTTGCATCTACGTAATAAGTAAAATGAAAACAATAATAGTTCTTCAGAAACATCTTTGAAACAAGAAAAATAAATGCATTCATATAGTTCGAGATAAAACACGTCTATCACAAAGGACAAAAATGAGCACTTATGGGTGTTTACATTCTAAAGCAAGAAAGTGAAGCACTAATTTTCAAGTTTAATACTTTAAAAATTAATGCTCTGTGGTTAAAATAGTTTATTACCTTCCTCCCAGTTTTTTAATTTGATTTCACAGCAAACTAATGGTGCTCCCACTCTGCCAGTATTGTAGTCCCACACTAGGAATTAAATGAAAAAAAGGATATTTGAGAACAGTAGCTAATACACTGCTTCATTTTTCTAAATTACCAAAAATGATTATTTATCCTAAGGCTGAGGTATCCCCAGCTATTCCTTAAAAGCAGAAGTCACATATTGGTGAAGCACAGGCCGTGAGGCCTGTAGAGTCGTATTTTTTGGCCTACATTGAGGTTTTTTTTTTTTTTTTAAATTAGTTATTGTCATTCTTAAAAAATCAGGAAATTTTAGATGTAAGTGTGGAATCGCCAGCAACAATGGGCCCACATTTCAGGTACAGCAGAACTGACGGCCTCTGTTAGAGAGGGCATGCCTGCTCCTGTTCCCTCAGAATCAATCCTTACCCATCACATTGTCTTACATTAGGGCCCACTTGACTCATTTAAATAGGTAGCTGCCTGGTTCTTGAGTTTGAAATCCCTGTCTTAAAGGATGATGAAAACAATGGTTTACGTCTATTCTACTTTCTTATTAGGCCTCACCGATGTGCAGTATAAAACACCTCTCTAATCTTTTCCCATGTAATGTATCACCATTTCAAAGTGAGATCTCTGCAGGCTTCCATCAGCTTATGCTATCACACCCTATTTAAAATTAATACAGCAATAGCTCAAGAGCCAGGCTGAAGAATAAGACTGGTGGCTTTCAAGGATGTGAGGAAAGAACCCTCCACTATTATGAATTACTATTGCATTATGTTTCCTCTTCAAAGACCAAATATCAGAAATGAAAGGCTGATATTTAACATTTTAAAGACTTTTATTTAAAACATAAACTGTTACTGATTAATCATTCAATTTGAATCTTAAAAATAGAAGAAATTAAGGATCCTCAGAAGAAAGAAATCCCCTATGCATGTATTTAAGATTGCTTATTTCCTACAAAACATGACTTAGAACTAGCTTCCAAAAATATACGAAAACAGAGAACATAACTGAAAAACAGAAAAATGAAGTAATACATGAAAATGGTATACAGAGCCACTCAAAATAAATAGGGAAAAATCAGTCATGAGGTTTTGTATCTATCCGTATATGGCAAATACAAAGTAGGAGAAGCACAGCTGTATCCTGTACCGGAAAGCAAAATAACTTTCTCCCATAAAAGGGACGCATGAGGCCCTATGCGATTCATCTCAGAACTGCTGATTAGTTGGTAGATCTCCTCCTCAAACACAACCACATGATAAACTCTGGTAATAATATTCCCTAGACCAGAACTTAGTTCCTTCTCTAACACTTACAGAAATCCTCATAAACATTTCTGAACCTGAGCCTTAATATACTCACCTACACAAATAAACAAAAGCACCTTAAGTTTTCTACATAAAAAGAAATTTAATCACTGATGTGAGAAAATAAATGTACACAAAACAGTCAGTGTTTGTTACTAAAGTTTCTCTTCCAAAATGCTAAGTGGTTTTTAATATTACCTATCAGTTTGATATAAAAACTTCTCCAGATAAATTATTGACTCCAGATGCATCTAATACATTCTAAAAATTGATATCAATGATCATAGTACTTGGAATCCACCATTATTCTGCCTCACAAACACCTTACTACTCTTCTCCTATATATTTGCAGAAAATATCCCATACCCCAAAAAAACGTCTGGCATCACACTCCAGCCTCTGACCATGGAGAACACTACCTTCGGAAATTGTTCCAGCCCCAGCAGATTCAGTGAGCCCGTATCCCTGACCAACAGGACAGCAGAAACAGATGTTCATGAATCGCTGCGTGGTTGCAGAAAGTGGAGCGCCACCACACAACAGGAGACGAATATTTCCCCCTAGCAAGCTTCGAACTTTCCGGAAAACAAAGCTAAAGAAAAAAATTAGAGAACCACAGGATTTTAAAACTGAATGGGATTTTCCAAATCACTTAAACTAATCCCCCAGTTTTGATATGAGAGATTTTGAGATTAAGTTACTTATCCAAGGTCACACAGCCAATTTGGAGAGTCTCTTGAGCCCCAAATGTTAATTTTTTGAAGTTCAACAAGGTAAAGAATTTATTATTTCCTCTTAAGAGCTTTTCAAGTGATATTCGAATTTGAATTGTCAGGTTTAGTTTTGTATAGTGACAGGAAAACCCTTGCTTATGGCCACTTTTATATCATTATTTACATAAAATATTTATCATATATTAATACTGAACAATTCTATCATCTTTATGAAATGTATTAAAATCAAATTAATTTTTGCTTTAATGTACTTTATTAGAAATGTGTATAATTTGTATACCACAATCTGTTTTTGAAGTTTCACTAATTCAAGCTTTGAATTGTTTGTTAAAAATAATCTAGTAAATTATCTGTGAAGCATTTAAAAAAGGAAACAAGTTAAACATCTAATTGATGTTTCTGAAAATACACTAATACAAAGATTGCATACTGCCTTGATCAAAAAGGAGAGGTAGTACTTAAAAAAAAAAATCTTTGCAAAAGGTGAAGACTACACGGTGACAATTTTTTAAAAATGGTATTAACAGACTTTTCAAATCAGCTTTTACAGTTATCCCTTGGCATCCAGTCCTCTGGATACCAAAACCCTCAGATGCCTAAGTCCCTTATATAAAACGGCATAGTATTTGCATAAAGCCTACACACATCCTCCAAAATACTTTAAATTATCTCTAGATTACTTATAATACCTAATACAATATAAATTCATTGTAAATAGTTGTTATACTGTATTTTCTTTTCCACTGTTATATTTTATTGTTTTTTCCCCAGAATACTTTTGATCCACGGTTGGTTGAATCTAAAGATGTGGAACCTGTTGATACAGAGGGCCGACTTTACAACTCACTGAAGAAATAACTAACGTAAGGCAGGAAAAAAACTTACAAAGTTCTAAATTATGTGAAGCATCTGAAAACTATATTAATATTACCATAAAAAATACTTTGAATGTCATACTTCCATTTTCTAACTTCTAAGCTATTTTATGATCAAATCATAAATCTATGTACTCTATTAACACTACACAAATACAAGCTGGAACAAAACTGATCATTTAAAGCTTTAAATACAAAACATTTAATTATATTCATACTGAAATAAATATAAAAGCAAAAGAGAAACTATTTCTCAAAATAATTAAAACTCCCTAAGTGTTCACAGAAAATATAAACTCACAAATAGCAAAATCTTAAGTGAAAACACACTTTTAATGACATTGCAGGTTTTTTAAACTGCTCATACTATTACAAAGGTTTTTTGTTTGCTTGTCTTTTAAAGAGACAGAGTCTCACTTTCACCCAGGGTGGTGTGCAGTGGTGCAGTCATTGCTCCCAGGCCCAAATAATCCTCCCACTGGGGGCCCAAACAATCCTCCTACTTCAGTCCCTGAAGTAGCTGGGATTACAGATATATGACACCATGCCCAGCTAAGCAGAGAAGGAATCTTGCTATGTTGCCCAGGCTGGTCTTGATTTCCTGGCCTCAAGCAATCCTCCCATGTCAAGATGGATTTTTTTTTTTTTTTTTTTTTTGAGACAAGAGTCTCGCACTCTGTCACCCAGGCTGGAGTGCAGTGGCACGATCTCGGCTCACTGCAACCTCTGCCTCCCGAGGGAGTTCAAGCAATTCTCCTGCTTCAGCCTCCCTAACAGCTGAGACTACAGGCACATGCCACCACTCTGGCTAATTTTTGTAATTTTAGTAGAGATGTGGTTTTGTCACGTTGGCCAGGCTGGTCTTGAATTCCTGACCTCAGGTGATCTGCCCGCCTTGGCCTCCCAAAGCACTGGGATTACAGGAGTGAGCCACCGTGTTCAGCCAGGATGGATTTTTTTTTTTTTTTTGAGACGGATTCTCGCTCTGTCGCCCAGGCAGACAGATCGTGCAGTGGCGCAATCTTGGCTCACTGCAAGCTCCGCCTCCTGGGTTCGCACCATTCTCCTGCCTCAGCCTCCTGAGTAGCTGGGATTACAGGCGCCCGCCACCAAGCCCCGCTAATTTCTTTTTGTGTTTTTAGTAGAGACGGGGTTTCACTGTGTTAGCCAGGATGGTCTCGATCTCCTGACCTCATGATCCACCTGCCTCGGCCTCCCAAAGTGCTGGGATTACAGGCATGAGCCACCGCGCCTGGCCTGGGATGGATTTTTTTTAAAGAGTTCTCTTGACTTTATGAAATATATTTCTTTCTTATAACTATCTCAATTAATTGGGCTATTAATGTGAACTAAATGATTAAATTATCAAGAGGAGAAAGAAGGAGGTAGAGAGTCTTTACTTACCTGTCGCACAGTGGAGTATTACGTCCTTTTGAAATCTGTTCCATTTTGTAATTATAGGCCAGAATAAACAGATTACGTTGAAAACTACTCATTTCACTGACTTTATTCATGACATTTTTGTAGATCCGATCCATGATTTCCTAAATGTATAAAAATGAGTTTAACATAGTTAATAATAACAGCTGCCTTACATATTCACTTAGCATTAGATTAACATTTCTAGCAATATTAAGGCATTTTAAAAGAAGTACTCTTCAACTGTGGATGTGATTCAGCAAGAAGGAAAAAACCTTTTGTGAATTTTTCAAAAAGATGTATCCTATCAAGATCAAACTTTTAAAATCGAACCACAATTAGTTTAAAAATAAAGTTTCCACAAAAATAATTTTTAAAAGCAGAAATATATCTAGATACTCATATAAATTGTAAGATATTCTTTATATTGCTTTGCTTATCTTACTAATTCTGAACTAAAACCTACTCACAAAATAAACGAACAACCGTCTGAAATGGTTTTTCAAAATGTCCTAACTTTATCTTATAAAAATATACAGTACCACATTCTTTGCTCACAAAAAGACCATGCAACGTTTGGGAGTTTTTGTTTGGCTATTTGACTTTCGATATTGCACCAGGAAGTTTTCCTTGTCTGTGCTGCATTTTGCTTGCTAGGTCCATTACTGTGAAGTATACTTTAATGACTTAAAATAATGTTTCCTCCACAACTTTAAATTGTACGTCATTTTTAAGTGAACTAAGAATTTAAGTTGGATACTAAAGAAACTATAATTATAGAAAGAAACTACTGATTATTTATATTTGACTTTGAAGTAACTATGTAATTATTCTTGACGTAAGCATTTAGGTACCCGACAATAATTCCCATCATTTCCAAACAAACTCAGCCTATGTTATAAGGAGCCAGAAAATCACTGCTGCCCCATTTCCCTTGTCTTATTCCCAGGCCCCTATATTATGTAAGGATGAACAGCCCCTCTTAAGTCATTCAAAGCTGCACCAGCTTCTCTGTCACTTTGTTTGGTGTTTAGGCCAGACTTTCCCTGAGGACTCAGGAGGTAACTATACAGCTTGCTTAAAAGGAGGTGATCTCACACTTTCCCTCCTAGCTCTCAATAGGCTTCAAGTGTCAATGAATTCACCAACAGATATCATGAAAATAATTTTTATTTTAACAAGAAGGTATTTAGGCAAACAAGTTGATAATTACACACAGAAGCTGAAATTAAGTTGAGTGCTTAGTAAATAAGAAAGCAAGCTAAAACAAGACTGAAGAAATCCCATAGCGCCTAAGGCAATATTTATAATCAATAAGGAATAAATCCTACATAAACTACCTTGTCAACAATATATTTTTCACTAGCACTAATGCTTTGTAGCGGGTGATACTTCTTTAATACTCAATATTAAATAAGGGTCACTTCTTACCGGAACTGCTGCCATCAGTGTTGGTTTCAACATGGATGTATCCCCTTTGCTTCCTTTTTTAATTTTTGAAGACTACAAAATAAGAAAAAGTGATCCATATAAAGTGATCCTTATTTTTAAAATTCAATGGTATTCTTAGATCAAAAAGCCTATTATAAATTATTTTAATGTACTTACAGTCTAAGAAGCACTTAAAAGGCTAAAGCTCATTTTAAAATGAACCATCGCTCTCGCAATATACTGTCATACTGACTGAAAAAAATGCATTACAATTCACTATGATTTTTTAGTATTTCAAGTCACAGACACTGAACTTACCTGATCTGCTAAAGTCTGTGGTGAAGAGTAACCAATGCGGCATCCGTGAGAAAGACAGACAAGCTCAGCACTTAATTCTAGAACATGGGCCAGAGGCAAATATCCAATGTAGACATCTTCCTCTCTAAAAGAAAAGGGAGACGTCAGAAACAAAAGTCAGGTGTCGTCTATGCCAAAAGTGCCCTATAATGGGAGCAAGCTTGAAGGCACATGGAAGGGCCCCAGGGCATCAATTTGCTGGTCAAGTGTGTATGTGTTTGTGAGAGAGAGAGAGAGACAGGTGAAAACAGAGGATAGGCAGATGCTGGGGATGGGAGGGAAAAAGAATTACAGCTCAACCCAAAAGCAAGGAGGCGCACACTTGCAGGAAGGAATGCTGTTTCCCGTCCTACTTAAAAGCACTCAGGAATTATAAGCGTTGCTGAAGCAAAGTACTGAGGCACAAGAAACAGTGGCTTAAACAAATAATAATACAGGGTTCTTTTGAAGAACAGAAGAAATCATCCAAGGAGGAAATGGTCTTTACATCTAGTGGGTTGCCAACCAGAAGAGTTAAAGTAGAATCCACAACTATCTGCCAGAAATTTTACAGATAAGACTCTTGTTGTGGGAATTGGATTACATAATAAATTAGATCTTAATATACAGAAAATGTGTAAGTATTTGTATATACTTCAAGAGCTGCCCCCATAACCAAAATATAGAAGGTAACTGAGGCAAACCTGTAAGAAAATTGTTGCACTTAATTTTTTCTGAAATGTATGCATACGTAAGAGACATTCCTCCATCCCCAAGTTCAGTACCATAGCAATTACGTGAGTGTGTGTGTGCGTGTATGTTTGTAATTTCTGTGCATAAAAGCATCAAAAATATCCAACCACTGTACCCTATCGGTCATCAGAATACCAATTGCATCTCTGGCAATGTTTCCTTGACAGTCCCTCAAACTTCCATCTGGTTTCCTCCATCAGTCTCTTCCCCACTCCACTCTACCTTCCACTGCTACCACTGGAGTTTGTATTAACAAGAAAAATCAGAGACCAAATACTGAAGCTCAACAAATACTTAGTGGATAAATTAAGTTACCTGTTCACCTGAATTGTATTTAGATATAAAAAAAACTACAGCAGCAAATACAAGCTGATTAAAACAAAGGATTTACAACTATACAAATTTAAGTTCTGTACTTTTTAAAATATATCTATATGATATATTTTCAACCTCACAACTATAACTATTTTGCCATTAATTTTAATGTCCTTTTTTATTTTTTAAGGAAATGCCTACTACAAACAGACTCTGAGGGACTAATTTAGCCATATATTAATAAAATGACACAAATGCTAACATTATAACAGACATAAATACTTAACTACTCAATGTTACTTTACTATGACATACCCTAGTTCTGGAATCCTTTCTGCCATCCCAGTTATACCAGCAATAATGTTACTATGTGAGATCATGACTCCCTTTGGAAGTCCTGTGGATCCACTTGTGTACATGATTACTGCAATATCTGAGGGCAATGGTTTGCTATGAGGTTGGTTTTCTGCATTGAAGAGAAAAAACACACACATACACTTTCATGAGATTCAGCTGTATCAACAATTTCTTTTCATTATCATCAAATAAATAACTCAATCAAATTGAGTTAATTTAACTCAATTCAACAAATATTAGTTATACTGAGATCAACAAAACAGATCAAGTCCCTGCACGTATGGGAGATATATTCTATTGAGATATACAAACAGATTAACCTATGAAGAAAACTGAAGCAAGACAAGGTGAGAAGATGACAATAGATGCTATTTGGATGGAAAAGCCTGGAGACCGTCTCTGTAGAGTTTCGTTTAGCAAAGGCCTGAATAAAGTGAGGAAGGGAGCCATGGAAACCCTGGAACTGGGAGAAGAGTGTTCTAATTAGAAGGAAATAAGCAAATGCAAAGACCCAAAGGTAGGAATGTGCTCAGCATATCTAAAGACCAGCAAGGAGTGTGGCTGGAACAGAGTGAGCAAGAGGAAGAGTGGCAAGAAACAATAGTCAAGTGGCTATCAGGGACCACACATAGGACCTCAAAGGCCACGGGAAGAACTCTGGATTACGTTCTGGATGTAAAGCAATGTTGTTTTGAACAGGAGTATGTTATTATCTGTGAAAAAAAAGATCACTTTGGCTGCTGTGTGGCTAACTAACTTTACAAGGGGAAAAAAGGTATCAGGGAGACAAGATTATCCCAGTAATTCAACTAAGAAATAAAGGTAGCTTTGGACTAGAGTATCTAGGTGTTTGCTAAAAACTATTCACTGCTTCAGAATGGTGACTAACTTGGTTACACTCAGAGTCCTGCATTAAAACACGATGTGAACCATTTGAAATCAGAAGAGTACCAGCCTAAGGACAACAGCTGAGAAGCTATAGAGGTGGCACAGCAGAAGAACAAAGAGAAATAGGTCATGGTTGGCATTGCTGATATGTCTGAACCACTCCCAGAACTACTCTACATGTGAACTTCTAAATGAGTGTGAAAAAATTATTTAAATGTACTCCCAATAGAATACCCTTCCTCTCCTGTCAGTCAAGATACATTTCTTAAATAATGTTTACACTTGGAAGTCTTTACTTCCAAATCAGCCCTTCACTCCTTCAATGCACAGCACCCTTCTCCAACACCACCACTTCTTGGAAATTACAATCCTTGTGTCATCTGACCTCTGCATGCAGCCCCTGATCCTGCTGATGACTCACCAAGATCTCCTTTCCCTTGGCTTCCAGGAACCACATACTACTAGATATTTTCTTCTTTCCTCTCTGACTAGTCCTTAGTAGCCTCTGAAGCCACCATTCCCTGTTGGTGACCTCACCCCCTACTCCCACAGCTATAATTAAAACCTAACTGCTTCTAGCTTCCAAATCTCTAAGTCCAAACATAACTCGAGTACTAGACTTTTACACACCACTGTCCACAATATATCTGCATCTAAATATCCCACTACCACTCAAATTCCAGGTGCCTAAAATTTGAGTTGAGTGAATGCTTACATCTAATTACTAGGTTTCCAACTACAGAGGAAATGCAGTCCCAGCATCCCAGCAGCTTTTGCAGTATCTCTAAACACTAGTACACTAGCTAACATTTTCTGACGCTTTTTTGAGAATAGGAACTTGTAGAGTCACCATGCCTAGGTGTGCTAGTTGGAGGGTAAGGTTTTCACCTCAGGAAAGGGAAGAACTGGAACAGGGAGTAAAAGGAGGCCTCCAGGTTTAGCCACTCTGTTAACACTTACAGGTAATTCACATAGGACAAGATAAATGTCATTATTTATAAACTAACTTTAAACCACCCAAAACTATCACCATAAAAAAGAAATGAAAACTGAATGTAAAATATTTTAAATTTCAAATAAATACTACCTTTAAAACATTAATAATTAATGTTTATATTTTTCCTTAAAACTTTCTTTAAAGACAAGATGAAAGTATACCTAGAGGGACCTGTTTTCCTAACTGATGTTAGAAAACTGATGTGTCATTTGAGCTAACCTCAGAATCAAAACTTTGGCATAATTCTGGAGAATGTGGTCACCAGAAAGCACAGGTAAGGAATTAGAAAAGTGTAACATACCCATGCTGGCCTTGGCTCCCAGGGCCTCCACTGCAGCCATGGTATGCACAATGATGCCCTTGGGGAACTCGGACCAGGTCGGTGGCTTTCCATCAACAGTGATGATGTGCCGCAGGCGTGGGACCAAAGAAACTATATCCTAGAAATACACCAACATTCATCACGTTCATTATTTTTCAAGCAGCTTAGCGAATAAGAATACTAGTTTACCATATTCGGTGAATCATTAAGTAATTTCTTGCCTCAAAAAAGAAAGAAGAAAGGGTACACTGGCATAATATCACTTTTTACAGATGATTAAGTATTGGTCTGAATTTAAATTATTATTTTATAGCATTAGATTCACTGTGTGTACCCTTGGCCTTTGGTAAAACCCTGATCAAGAAGGGTACTGCCTTATAAAACGGGCATGTAAACACAGGTTGCCTAAACTGTAGAGAAACCAGAAGCCCCTCATATTTTCAAGAGACTACATAAAAATATATGGGGGAAGGAGGAGAAAATTCACATGCAAACTTGTTCAAAATTTTCTTTTTGAACAAGTTTACATGTGAATTTTCTCCTCCTTCCCCCATATAGAATAGCCCAGATATTTCTGGGAGTTGTCTAGAGACCAAAGAAACTCTTTTTACTGTAATATAATTAAAAGTCTCCCTTTTTAACTTCCAAACAATTCTGAAAACTTGTAATTACTTAATGCTTCAGAAGTAAAATAAAAATTACTAGTTTAAAATATAACCCTTCAAAATTACAAATTTACTAAAAGTAAACTAGAAAATAGATGAGCACAATAAGAGAAAAAGTAGTCGTAATTTCTTCAATTTAAACATAGGCATCTTAACAATTTATAACTCTGGATTACTTATACATGAATATATACAAAATCTACTTTTTATTTTCTAAAGGAAAAAATAAAGTATGATATTCATAAAAGTCCACAAAGATTAAGGACTTAAAAGTCATAAAAGAACTAAGTATCAATAATAGGGCTCATGACACTGAAAATTCTAAAGTATCAGACAGTTAGAAAGTAACTAGAGTCCTCACCTTCAACTTTGTTTGTAAGAGTTCTTTACTAGTAATGATGTTGGTCACCTCTGTTTCATTTAATGCATGAACAATGGCTGGACCTCCTAGAGTGGCATATAATGTAACAACTAAAAGGAAAAGCAGCAGCCAGTCAAATATTCAAACATTTAACTACAAATGTAAAGTCTCTGAATGTGGAGATGAATCATAATAACGCATTAGGAGCCCTAAACTGTTAAATCCACAGTCTATAAGTGTTATGTTTTTTAAAGTTATCTTATCATACTAATCAACATTACACCTACTCATCCTCCCCTAAATGCCCCAAGATTTCCAATTTTTAAAGATGAAGATATTTAAATTTTTATTTTGTTTCACTTACAGATGTTACTCTGGGACTACCACATTGTGAAGGAATTATAACTGATTTCTAAGACTTCAAATTCTTAATTGTTGGCCACTTGGCTTTACAATGTGAAAAAGAACATATACAAATAGGATGACACACTGAATGTCAGATTTACGGTGTATGTCAAGAAAAGAGCACAAACAAGTGGCAGTACCGTTTATTCTCAAGCAAAAATATCTAAAGACAAACATTCTCTGAAATGCTGAAATTACATAACATGAATAGTGTAGATTTTTATTTACTTTCTGCCTAACTCAAAAAAGATACACAAAATGACTTTGAAAATAATTCTTTTAAAGCTCCTCAAAAGAAACAATGTAAATCCAAACCTGTGACAACAAAAATGGAATGTTTGTTTAAAAGAAAAGGTGTAGGAGGCCTAGCACGGTGGCTCACGTTTATATTCCCAGCACTCTGGGAGGCCGAGGTGGGCGGATCACAAGGTCAGGAGATCAAGACCATCCTGGCCAACAGGGTGAAACCCCATCTCTACTAAAAATACAAAAAATTAGCCGGGCATGGCGGCATGCGCCTGCAGTCCCAGCTACTCGAGAGGCTAAGGCAGGAGAATTGCTTGAACCCGGGAGGCAGAGGCTGCAGTAACCTGAGACTGTGCCACTGCACTCCAGCCTGGCGACAGAGTGAGACTCCATCTCAAAAAAAAGAAAAAGAAAAGGTGGAGGAATTTACAGCAAGAAATCTGGTGAAAGTGTATTTTCTGTTTCATCTGAAGGATGAGACTAAACATCCACAAATTACTGTCACATTTTGGCACCGAGACCTCTGAACTTATGCTTCCAGAACTATCTCACAGACTGAGCCACCACAATTACCATTCAGATAATTACAATATGAAAACTCTATTGTTTAACCTGCACCTTGAAGTTCACCAGGTTTCAGTATGGAAGTGTTTCGGAGGTCAACTGTTGTTACTGATAGAGGTGACAGAACAAAATTGACAGTAACTTCTAAAGAGGATTCCTGAGAAATGGTATTGGAACAACGGCCCCTAAGTGTAGGTCTAGTTCTCAAGACCTGAAAGTCTCCCATGAAGAGGTTCAAGCCTCACTGCAACACTGATTGGTACAATTTGTCATATAATTGATTTATTTTCCAAAATAAACCAAAAATTCCAAGTCACAACAGAGTTCTCCACTAACTGGACACTGGGTGAAAATTAACATCAGAATTTTAACCTCTTCAGAGTAAAGTATTTCAATAAATATCAGTTAAGTTCATTCTTCCAGAAGATAAGAAAGTCTACATACGCTGAAAATTATACATAAAACACGCCTGTGCAGCTATCATCCACTCGGCCCTGGTCTCACAGAAGATGGCGATGTTGGTCTTTGGTTTCTGACCCAACATCTGTAATCCATTTCCAAAATTAAAGGCTCGAACAAAGACATCTTCATAGGAAAGCCAATTATACTGTCCAAGAATAACCTGATAAAACAAAAAAAAATTTTTTTAATGTAATCAAAATAATAATTTACAGAAGAAACCAGAATATCGTCCAAATGTTATGATGAACCAGAAAGTTACGTTTGCATAGAATTATCTTTTTAATAAAAAGCCAGAAACTGAGTTTGAGTGAAAAATCTATTTTAAAAATTAGCTATTTTGTGACATCTTCTATAACAACTCAAATCTTATATTGTAACTGGGGGGTTTTTTGGCTTTATTTTTGGTTTTCAAAAATATTGAGAGTTTGATAGGCTCGTAAAGGTCAACTGCCTGGCCAAATGGTCATACACTAATAATCTACTTATAAATTTCACCTATTTAAATGATGTAGGTGTTAACTTAATATTTAGCCTAGTACCAAGTACCGCAGATGCCAAAATTTTAATTTCTCTCTATTTAGGAATTCCTAAATGTCAGTATCAGACGGTATAAAATGATTCACAGAAACTTTCTCTATCCAAGCTAACAGAAATCTTTATGATTGCTGAACTTGAATTGCCATACCAAACTCTGGATAAGCAAAAGCAAAGTAAACAAGTTTCTGTTTACATAACCAGGTGGACTAGTTATATTATTCAAAGTCCCTCTATTCAAGCCTTAAATGCTTACTGGCACCGCCAGGTTTTCAATATTTTATCTGTTTATCGTAAGTGCTGGTAATACCAAATATGCATTAGTAAAAACTCCCTTTTGAAGTTTTTTAACATATTGTCTTTAGAAATTTTCCTCAACTTAGACAAAACCATAAATCCCTAATTACATACGGACTGTATAAAAAGCTCCTCTCTCTGCAAAAATATATAGGTAATTAATTCCCAAACATGGCTGTGTCAGTAATATACATCTCAAACACCTTAAAATCATCTGACCATGTTCATTTTATAAATGTAAACATTTAAGAAATTTCTAGAAGAGGTTGGATAAAAACGGAAAAGGATAAATGCTGCCATCTAGTGTCCCATGCAATTACGCATTTAAGAAATAAATTTTTATTTTGATGGATAAAGCAACTGCATTTAAGATGGTACTTATTTACTTTACTGGTCCCAAACTCTCACCTTGCTCTTTACCCCCATGAAATGCTCAGCACAGGGAGCTCCAATGACTTCAAAAGGAGCTCTGTGAGGGTTAGAAGACAGATGACAACTTGGCCAAAATGTGCAGGAACTGGATTATAATTATTAAGAATTTTACACTCTAAAGGTTAAGAATGCACTACCTTCCAGATTCTAATATGTAAGTGACAGGATTTATAAATTTCAAAGACTATGTGTGTTCTGAAAAGGTGTTTGATATATAATCTAAATATGTAAACTCATGCAATGATGCCACCATGTGGCAAAGGAATCAAATGAGCGTAAGATTTCCACATATGTAAAAAATAAAATATAAAACGAAATCTGAATCTCATGATTTTAATTCTTTAAACCACTGAATCATCTAGTAATTATGTTTTTCATAAATATTACATTTAGAGGACACTACCCACTCTATATTGTATCTGATTTGTGCTGGAAAAGTTTCTAATCCTAACTTTGTCCCTATGGCTAGCCCAAGACAAGATTAAACTATTTATTCCTTGCCAATATCATTGAACACTGCTGCAGAACAGCCAACCTTATTAAATCTAGGACCTCAACACCCTGAAGCAATCCTATCATACATCCCTGGTCTATTCGTTTTCTCACCCTCTGAAATACCTCTGAAACCTTCTCTCTATTCAAATAGCCTCCTCTGGGCAGGTGCACTGGCTCATGCCTGTAATCTCAACACTTTGGAAGGCTGAGACAGGCAACTCATTTGAGGCCAGGAATTCGAGACCAGCCTGGGCAACACAGCAAGACCCCATGTCTAAAAAAGTGTAAAAATTAGCCAGACGTGCAGTACATGCCTGTCGTCCCAGCTACCTAGGAGGCTGAGGCAAAAGGATCACCTGACCCCAGGAACTCAAGGCTGCAGAGAGCTATGATCATACCACTACACTCCAGCCTGGGCAAGAGTGAGACCCTGTCTCAAAATACACACACACACACACACACACACACACACACACACACACACACGTACACACACACCTTCCACCCTTCCTTCTCTCTACTTACAGGTGGTAATCTTGTCTCCTACTGAAAACCTCTTTAAGCACTAGGACTTGTTTTACTTTCACTATTTAGAAATATTTCAAAATTACACACATTCCTGTCTTCTTCAGTAAAGTACACCTGGCTTCATTTAACCATTCTCTCTGCAACTGAAGATCACTATGAAAAAATTATTCTGAGGGGAGCCACAGAGTAAAAATATTCAAGAGATCTGGATAGTTGTAATAATCATGATAATGATAATGAGGGTAACTAACCTTTATTAGTGCTTACTACATGCTAAGGACACGGCAAGTGTTAACTTATTAAACTCTTACCATACCTGTAAAAAACTGTTACTATTATTATCCCTATTTTACACATGAGAATATGGAGATGTAGAGTAAATATAACTTGTTCAAAATCATGTAACTAATAAGTAATGGGACTAGAATATGAACCCAGGCAAACTCATTCCAGAGATTAAGCATAAAATCACAATGCTTCAACTGCACTGTAGAAAGAAGTCCGGGTCTTATTAAGCAGGTGAGTAAGGTGGCCTGATTAACAATTGTGAAAAATCATTTTTATGCTGTGTGTGAGTGAATTACAGTTGGGGGCAAGTGTGGAAGCAAGGAGGCCTGCTAAAAAAAAGGCGGGGGGAGGCTGTAAGGGATGTAAATCAGACACCCCTGATTTTTTGGCTTCAACAATTTGGTATGCAGCAGTGCCTTTAATAAATAGGATGAAAGGAGAGGGACAGTTTGGAAGGGGAAACTAAGAGAAGAGTAATATAATAACCAACCCACAAATCCCAGCCAAGAGACTGACCATAATTTGTTACATATAGCATGATGCAAATGTCCTAATAAATCAGAAAATAAGTTTTATACACATACACAAACAGGGTAAAAAAATGTGACTAAGAAATAACACAAAAGACGGCATTAAGAAAGAGGAAAAGAAAGCTAAGTCAACTTACAAGGACATAAATGAGTGTTTCTATTATCTTTTTGGATCAATTTAGAAGGAATGTCATAGTGAAGTCTTCTCTAAGCACCATATTACATAATCCCTCATTCTCTTCTTATTTTTATAAAATATCTAAGAAAAAATCAAGTGTTTCTGATGGCTCACAAAGTATATGAGCCAGCTTGTACTCTTTTCTGTTTCTATTTTTAGTCTTTGCAGCTTTGTTCTATTTCAGGTATACATGTATTTTAAGGTTGTCCTGAAATCATTTCACTGTTCATTTCAAGACGACGTTAGTGCAATGCATTTACTGCTGGGAACACTGGAATCAGGTGATGCTGACACAGGTTCCAGCTCTTAACTCTGCTACAGTTTTATAAAACCATATGAAACTTAAAAGGACCCTGAAAAGGCCTGCCAAGCAACCAAGTGCCTTTTGTTTTTCTGTCCCCCAAGGAAGAATCTGGTCGTAGTGAAGCTGGTGGCTACTCTACCTTGGACACAACGAGAGCAGGGTCATCGCCACTGCCTTTTTTCATCCACTCATCCTCCCCTCAGGACCTCAAAATAGACTGTTGGGATAAGATGGAAACAAAGCTTCAAAGTTCATTAATTTGAAATAAGGCTTGTGCATCTTTCCTTCAACCATATCAGATACAACATTCTGGGGTTAATCCCCAAAAGTCTTACTCAAAAAATATTTTAAATATTGCTACAACATTCGTTTTCTTTTCCAGTTGAAGATTATCTTCAAATATGGAAACTATTTAATGAAGACACACTTCACTGAGCTTGATCAGCTAGCAGGCACTAATAGCAGAAAGTACACAGCTTAACCCACCAGTTGTGAAAGTTCCCCTTTTCAACACCCTAGGCAGATGCTGCTACTGATGCAATGCAATGGGTGTAACAAGAAACCAAGAGAGGGGAAAACGAAAAAGGCCTAGCATGTTTAACATGCAGCTGAGATACCCACTCTGCAGTCTGCAGATCACTGCCACAGCTGCAACACAGAATGAACAGAAACTAAAGCCTCAGCTAACCAGCGACACTGCACACTTTCTTCTTGAGTATGGCCAAGAGAAACTACTTGTTTCATTTATTATATGCAAAATCTAAAAATTAATTCTACTTTCCCAATGAACCTAAAGAAAACTATAACATGTTCCCAAGACACAGTCTAGACACAGCCTTCTGAACAAAGTTTGATGAACCACAAATGCCAATTTCATAGCAAATGCTAGTAGGCAGATCTTCTGACATATAGAAATTCAAAACCTCCTTTTACTAACTAAATAAAACTTCACAGTAATGAACTATAGACAGAAAAAGTTGCTAAAAAACAGTCTGTCTCACCTAACTTTTATGAGTTCAAATACTTCATACTTTGTTGAATAATCATTGAATACAAAGGCACTATGGTTAAGATAAGCAGGAAAGAGCCACATACACTTACACACGCACATTTAGGAAACAACTATCATAGCTCTAGGATTTTATTTTGTCCAGTTATACTGATACACGAATTAGGAAGAAATTTCATATTCACCACATAAGCTTTTCTTCTTTTTACACAATTGAGAACTAGTTTGCTGCTGTACATACCGAATGACGACTGAAAGACAATACTAGCCACATTAAAATGAATAAAATATGTGTGGGATACCGGAGAAAAACGAAGCTTCCTGAAACATAAGACTTCTGTATATATGCTTAGACTAAAAGAGAATCCAACCTTTGAATTCAAATAGCATATCAAAGACAAAAAAATGAATCTATAAGCAGATAGAAAAGTAGAAAACTTTTGCACATAAAAATGTACTGTTTTCAGTACCTTCTCATAACTACCCGATTTCTCAAAAACAGACTCAAGAACAGAGTGCCATAAAAAGCTGTGCTGGTTGGGCGCTGTGGCTCATGCCTGTAATCCCAGCACTTTGGGAGGCCGAGGTGGGCGGATCACCTGAGGCTGGGAGTTCGAGACCAGCCTGACCAACATGGAGAAACCTTGTCTCTACTAAAAACACAAAATTAGCCGGACGTGGTGGCGCATGCCTGTAATCCCAACTACTCGGGAGGCTGAGCCAGGACAATCACTTGAACCCAGAAGGCGGACGTTGCGGTGAGCTGAGACGGCACCATTGCACTCCAGCCTGGGCAACAAGAGTGAAACTCCATCTCAAAAAAAAAAAAAAAAAAAAAGGCAGTGCCAGATATGTAAATATGACAAAAGCAAACTTCATTATGATAAAATGTTTTGGAAATTACAATCCATAGGCTGGAAAAGAAAAATCAAACATGCTTAACTCATGATTTCAATTTCTAGAAATGTGCTATTAACTTCAGCGAGATCTTAAATAGAAAAAAATTCAGTTTTTTCTAAGTCTGCAAAAGAAATAGGGAATATGTCTTAAAAATAAGGTGACCACATAACTATCCAAACTAGGGCACTTTTGAGACTGTAAGGGGGCACTATTAATGTCACAGCAACAAGTATAAATCAGGATGGTTTCAGATAAAACAAGATACACAACTACTCTATTTAAACGTGAGGAAATTTACATATTCTGTTGTCAAGTTAAAATGTTTTTAGTTTCTAGGAATTACTGACATCAACTTGCTTGGCATCTCCTTCATGTTTTGAGGAAAATGATGTATGAAATTTGTTTAAGTGGCAAAATTAATGGGCCATATATAGAGGAGGTTAAGCAACATCCCTCTGGCCCTCCAGTAAAAGAGGAGCTCTGAGTTTTTCATTCCATAGTTGCAGTTATTTGGACTCTCCTTCAAGAGTTGACGGTTTCCTTGTAACTGACAGGAAAAAAAGCCAGTTGGGGATCAAAGTAGCTGGAAATGGTTAAAAGATATTAAACCTATTACCTAACCAAATTATCAACCAACTACACATCACTTCACTGTACCCCCTCTAAAAAATACTTTATCTTCAATTTTTAACTTACTAGAGTTTCAAGAACTGCTCATAAGGAAGTCACATATCCAAGTTCATAAACGGCATTCTCACGCCATTTCTATACTACCAGTGAAACACACTATTCCACGATCTAATTTTCCTCATTGAATTTTCTACTATAATTTTCCTCATTGAATTCTCAAGATAATAGTAATCTAATAATAAAAGCTAGAGCATTTACATTAAGTGCCACAAATTGTTCTAAGCACATTGCAGATATATACACACACACTCAATCCTCACAAGCATGAAAGCTGTGATCAGTGAAGAATGGAGGGTATGAGTTCTGGAGCCAGAAGGCCTGGATTCCAGTCCCAGCTTCCCTAGCTGTAGTGTCCCTGGGGTAGGTTACCTCAACTATCTGTGCCTCAGTGCTGTCATCTGTAAAGTGAAAATAATAACAACTAACTCATAGGGTAACTGTGAGTCTTAAGATGATATATGTAAAGCTCTTAGAACAGCTTGGCTCTTGAGTGTCAGTAATGATCATTATCTTCATATTACAGAAAAAGAAACTGAGGCGAATTAGTTAACCTACTTTTCCAGGGTCAGAAAGCCAGTTAAGTGGCAAAGCCAAGATTCAGACCTATAGTCTGGGTCTGGAGTCCAGGCTCTTAATCGCTGTTACACTGCCTCTGAGAACATCTTGCCCGTTGTTTCAAATCAACAATGGCAGGTTTCTCCATATTTCTGAAAAGAAATGTTTTAAGAACCATGCAACTGCCACAGCCAAAGTACAAAGACATGAAGCACTCACTGCAACCCACATCTAAGCCACATTTAACACAGCAGGTCCCACCCCAAAACCTGGAGCCATTTCCAGCACCCAGCTGCTCTAGAGACAGGGAGTATGGTTTCATACTCAAAACTGCCCTAGACATTCCAAACCCTGGTAGACACTGGGGAAGAGCTCCACACCACTGGGTTGCGATGTCCTTCTGAAAACTCAGAACATATCAGTGCTGGTAAGTACAGGAAGAAATTAGAAGGTAGTCTAGCCCCCTTCCTACACTGCTTCTCCTTCAACAGCGAATTCTAATGGAGGCAGGCTGTGCTTGCCCTTTACTTCATTTCTAACAGGATATTTTATTCGAAAGAATTCAAAGGCAATGAAAGATCATCTTACCTTTTTAAAAATTTTTCCATTTGGTTGTACTTCATCTTCCTCATTTAAAACTTCACGTGTTCCCAAGAGTCTTTTGTTCTTAAATTTGTTTTTTGCATATGTAAAAACTTTATCTAAAGTATCACATCCAGGGTATAATACTGAAGCCAAACCATCCAAACTATTAACAGATCTGTATGCAGAATCAGGTTTTGAATTTACAGGCTTTGCTTTAATTCGGTTTGATTTTTCTTGTCTTGACTCGGAGAAAAAATAAAACGGAATGTATGTTAAAATAGTATAAAGTGATATTAGAAAATGTATAAAATATAAAAGAATAGGGTTGATGGTATGTTTTAGCTTCATGGTAGATGGTTTTGAAGACACGTGGTTATTCATAAGTACTCAAAAAGTAGAATTAACAGACTTCAGCGAGAATCTAGGAGGAAGAAAAAGAAAGGCGTTAGTTCAAAATCATTTTAAAATAATTTAAAGAAAAGTTACATCGGCAAATGAAGATTTTTTTTTTTCTATCAGGCAGCAGCTACCACACTGGTCCCCTACAATGTCTTGATATTTCTAAGAGACTCATTTGTACAATATCTATTAACAACGGAATTACAAGAAAAGTTTCCACATCATACTGTAAACAGGCGGCTGTTCCAACCAAAACCTTAAGTATCCACAAACATTTCCCAGTAGTAAAAAGGGAGCAAGTCAGAAAGAGGGTTGGGGGAAGACCAAAAATTTACCCATTTCCTGTGCTTTAGCATCTCACTGCATTAGGGATGGCAAGTACTTTACAAATACAACACATCCATCCTCTCTCACAGCCCCAGCAGCCACTGCCAAATAATCACCACATTCCTTCCCTGTGAGCCCCATTCTCACTCTAGTCAGCAACAAGCAACTGGAGTTTGCAAACACAAAAAATTCATTTTCCACAATGGCTCTACAGATAGTTTTCAAGTTAGGTTAAACTATGACGCAAGAAAGCAGTATACTTTGGTCATTCTGTACTTTGCATTCATCAGATTTATTGAAAATCCACTATGTTAGATATCGTTCTAAGCACTGCGAAAGTAACAGTAAACAAAACGGCCTAAGTTCCCACTCTCGTGCAACCTACACGTTCACTGGGAGAGGTAGACAAGCAAATATGTAGGTATGCATGCATGCATGTGTACGTGCCAGATGGTGATAAATGTTATGAGGAAAATAAACCCAGGTAAGGAAAATAGAAAGTGACTGGGGCAACGTTGGAGAGGTGCTACAGCTAAGTGATATCTGAACAGAGACTCATAAGGAAGAGAGAGCGTACCATGTGCCTATTTGGGTAAGAAAGAGCACTCCGGGCAGAGGGGAACAGCCATTGTGTGGCAGGTGGGTAATAATACCTTTTTTTTTTTTTTTTTAAAGACAGGATCTCACCCAGGATAGAGTACAGTACAAGATTATAGCTCACTGCAGCCTCAAACTCTTGGACTCAAGCGATTCTCTCTCCTCAGCCTCCCAAACAGTTGGGACTACAGGCATGTGTGACCACACTCAGCTAATTTTTCAAAATTTTTTTTGTAGAGACAGGCTCTCATGATGCTGCCCCAGCTGGTCTCAAACTCCTGGCTTCAAGCAATTCTCCCACCTGAGCCTCCCAAAGTGCTGGGATTACAGGTGTTAGCCACCACATCCGGCCATCATTCTTGAAGAAACAAAACTGAAGCTAACTAGTAACTAGTTAACCCTACCCAGCTCCAAATCCAGGACTACGATTTCTTCCCAAGTGACGCAAGCAGCCAGCATTTTTCACCTCCTACCCCTAGCTCTGTGTTGCAGAAATTCTATTCCAGGCAAGTGTAGATAGATGAGAGAACTGAAGAATCCTTTCTCTTTCATCCAGTCCCCATTCTTAGGGCAGAAGCTCTACCCCAGATGCATCAGGCCAAGGACACCAAGCACAGATCATCTTTGCCTCACCTCTTGTAAAGCAGAGGTTCCATGCAGGCCAAGAAGCTCCAAACAGAGAAGACTGATGGGTACATTGATGGCCTAGTAGACCACTCACAGAACAGATATAACTATAAGAAAATCAAGCTGCTGTCCCCAGCCCCAGCTCCAGAACAATGGCACAAAGGTTCTGCACAGGCTGGAGAAGCAGGCTGTAAGAACACAGAGCCCCTTAGCAATTTCTAAGACCGACTATATTTAGAACAAAGAATGGAAAAGTTCATGCCTAATGGCACTGTCAAAAACAACACAGACATTGGTGGTAAGCAATTATGATGAGGCTGCCCAGTACTTTGGGAGGCCAGGGAGGACAGAACACAAAATCAGGAGATCGAGACCATCCTGGCCAACACAGTGAAACCCCGTCTCTACTAAAAATACAAAAATTAGCTGGGCGTGATGGTACACGCCTGTAGTCCCAGCTACTCGGGAGGCTGAGGCAGGAGAATCGCTTGAACCTGGGAGGCGGAGATTGCAGTGAGCAGAGATAGCGCCACTGCACTCCAGCCCAGCAACAGAGCAAGATTCCATCTAAAAAAAAAAAAAAAATGAGGCTGGTAGTTCTGTGACAGCAGCAAGTGAAAGACTAACCAACTACTGTAGAAGTTTCACAGAGAACCAGGGAAAGAGATACCTAAGAATCCTCCTTTTTGACATGACAAGCCTCAAAGACTGCCATCAAACACAACCCCTATACAAAGGGCATCTTAATTTAACTGGATCACAAGTGGGGAAATTTATGGCCCAAAGCTTTGTCCAAAACAATAAAGCAATCAGTTAGCAATTAGTGAAGAATAGTTGCTGGGTGGTGATACCAATGAAAGCAGAAGCTTAACAAGGAGATCTGAGAGTTAAAGAAAGCCCTGCTGAAAATCGGCTATCATCTCTCAAGAAGGGCAGTCCAGGGTGACTATGTGCGTGCCCAAGTGTACCCTCTTGAGGAGAAACATCTGAGGGTACACTGTGCAGAATAAACAAACCTCAGTGTAATAGCTCAGCCAAGTCAGTTAACAAATAAGGAAACAACACAACAAGCAGCAGCCCTGGAAGAGGGGAGGGAAAATCAGTATTCCGAGTTGCTACAAAATACTATCTAAAATGCCCAGTTTACAACACAAAATCATGAGGCATGCAAATAAACAGAAAAGTATGACACACAGAAAGAAGGGAAAAGCAGGCAGCAGAAATTGTCCTTGAAGGCCCAGATGTCAGACTTAGTAGACAAGACAGCAAAGCAGCTATTATAAATATGTTCAAAGAACTAAAAGACTGAATTCTAGCACTCTGGAAAAAAAAAAAAAGAACTAAAGGAAATCATGCTTAAAATACCAAAAATCCAAATCGATTTTACAAGTTAAGGAACACCTCCAAATTTGCTCATGCACAGCTGATGAGAAGTCAGGACTCCCAACTGAGCCTCAGGCTCTGTTCACCATTCCAGGCTATTTTCTTTGACAATGTATTGTGTAGTAATCCAAAGACTGGTCGAGGGAATTTGGTTTTTGCCATAAAGGTCATGGGGAGACATTAAAGCTTTCTGTACAGGAAAATGGCAAAATGAAAACAAACGGTCTTGCTACACCTAGAACATCAGAGTTGCAAAGAATAAACATACCCTAATAACCCAGAAGAAAGATGTTATCCAACTAAGTTCTCTCACTAAAATTTAATTTTGCATGTTTGTTTTTGAATTAAAAATAATATCATGGCCAGACATGGTGGCTCATGCCTGTAATCCCAGCACTTTGGGAGGCCAAGGCAGGCGGATTGCTTGAGCCCAGCAGTTCAAGACCAGCCGGGGCAATATAGTAAAACCTCATCTCTACAAAAAAGAGAAAAATTAGCAGGGTGTGGTGGTGCACACTTGTAGTCCCTGCTACTCGGGAGACTGAGATGGGAGGATCACCTCAGCCTAGGGAGATCGAGGCTGCAATGAGCTGTGATCCTGCCACTGCACTCCAGCTTGGGCAACAAAGCAAGACCCTGTCTCAAAAAACATATATAAAAAAATTAGCCAGATGCAGTGGCTTATCATGAGGCTGAGGCAGGCCTGTTTGAGCTCTTACCACCCCTGAACAATCCTTTTCAAAATCTCACCTGGGACCTAACAAGATGGCAGAAGCTGAAGACAATGTCACAGCTACCTCCCTTAACTGCTGCTGGCAGCAAAGGACTTACTCTAGAGGTCTCCCCAAAGCAAGCACCTCAGACCCCCCTTATTCCACTGTAGTTTCCTGGGACACAGGATCCTGCTGGCAACATCAAGAAAATTCTGACATCCTACTAAAGGCTGTGGGACATGTTCCTATTATGAAAACAAAGAAGCAGGCAGTAGAGTGAACTCGAACCATCCAAAGACTCCTTGACTTCATCAAAAAAGTTCCTTAAACTTGCAACCTCAGTTGTTTATTTATGTGAGTCAGGCTTTTGCTCTTTCCCTGGACCAGGAATTTGGAACCTTCTATGAGTGTTTCAGCAGTGATGGTAAACTAGTTCTACATTACTGCAAATCTCAGGCATGGGAATGAACCACAGAAAAAAACAACTTGCTACTTAAAATGAATTTTCACAGAGGAAATAGTTCTGAAAAGTTTTGATGCTTTGTAGCAAGAGCCTTAACAGATATGACCTATTCAGTATGTGTCCACTATGACCTATGCTAATGCCTAAGAAAACATCCACAGCATGAATGGACTCACAAAAACGTGATTTGTATTAATATACAAATCATCATAAAAGACTGACATCAGAGCAGACCCACCGTTCCTATACATTACTATTCTCATTGCCACAGATCTGCCTCCAAGGTTGAAATGGAGACTAAGACCATATAAACTTCACTACCAGTTCTCAAAATGACCATAATTGTTTTTTGTTTTGTTTTGTTTTGTTTTTTGAGATGGAGTTTCGCTCTTGTTGCCCAGGCTGGAGTGCAATGGTGCGATCTCGGCTCACTGCAACCTCCGCCTCCCAGGTTCAAGCAATTCTCCTGCCTCAGACTCCCGAGTAGCTGGGATTACAGGCATGCACCATCACGCCCGGCTAATTTTGTATTTTTAGTAGAGACGGGGTTTCTCCATGTTGAGGCTGGTCTCGAACTCCTGACCTCAGGTGATCCGCCCGCCTCGGCCTCCCAAAGTACTGGGATTACAGGCGTGAGCCACCGCGCCCAGCCGACCATAATTGTTTTAATGGTAAAAGTTTATTAAAGGGCTTTTTTTTTTTAACTATTCAGGGAACTTCAGTTTGTTTGGGATATGGGATGTTTACATTTATACCCACTGTGTTACCTTCTTGTAAAATAGTCATATTGACCTGCTCACTGAATACCTTAAATAGTCCAGTAGAGGGCAGCCCTGCTGGCAAAAAGGGTTTTACATCTTTACCACACAGTAACAGGAGAAAAGACTGTTTTGTTAATTTTTAGCTAATATCTAGTCAGGAGAGCAAGCATGTTGGGCAAACTGGAAGACTATTTCAGAGAATATACATAGTTTAAATTTATTCCATTGGGATACAGAAAAAAATTTTATAAATTCTGGACAAATGACTCATATAACTCTTTTCAATCCTATCATTTAATATTTCTTGAGTTCCAATCATATAACTATGGTGTTACTCTGTCATTTATTTATATAGTATCAAAAGAACTAAATAATCCCAGCAACATCTTTGAGTGTTTCACAATGCACTTTCCAACTTGAAAGCAATCAATAATTGAAAAACAGGCCAGCATGGTGGCTCACAACTGTAATCCCAGGACTTTGGGAGGCCAGGACAAATGGATCACTTGAGCTCAGAAGTTTGAGACCAGCCTGGGAAACATGACGAAGCCCTGTCTCTACAAAAACTACAAAAGTTAGCCAGGTATGGTGGCACACACTTGTAGTACCAGCTACTCAAGAGGCGGAATCAAGTGGGAGGATGACTTGAGACCAGGAGATGAAAAGTGCGATAAGTTAAGATCATGCCACTGCACTCCGGCCTGGGCCACGAAGCCAGACCTCATCTCAAAAAAAAAAAGAAAATCAACCTTCAATTTTACGTCTATTTCATGACATGACTAACAGTACCATTTTTACTGATGCTACTAGGCTGTAATTTCCTAAGGTGTGATTTGACTTTTTTTTCTTCCTTCTATTTGTAGTACCATATTGATAGAGGCTGGAGGCAGACAAATACCTAGGCAGATAGGGTAGAGTCCCCGGTGAAACCTCACCTTCAAGCCTAAAGCAACCTGAAGGCTGAAAGACTGGACTGCTGGTCCAGGTTGAAACCCGTGACCCAGAGGGAGAAAGTCTGTCCCAGTTTGCCCACCGTTTCCTGACTGATTCTTTCTGAATAATGCCCTAGGGTGGAGCCACCAGGAATTTGTGCCTCATGCAGAGGAGAAGTCTGCACTCTTCAGCTCCTGTGTGGTGGCCCTGGTATTCAATTTGTGAGGTAGAAACCTGCCTGCAGGACCCCTCTCTTTGCTGAGCTTTCCTTTTGCTTAATAAATTCCGCCCTCCTCATCCTTCAATGTGTCCACATGCCTAATTTTTTTCTGGTCATGAGACAAGAACCTGGATTTAGCTGAACTAAGGAGCAAGAATCCTGCATCAATATCTTTTTTAAAGCATTATAATAAATTGAATGGCATGTACAAACAAGATCTAAGGTATGTACTAGAATTCCAAGTATTTATTTTCAAAGGTAATGGTGTGAATGGTATGATTTTATTGAAGGATTTGAATTATATTTTAATCCCTTAAAGCCCAGAATGCAATTTATGGCTACAGGGATCTGCCATACATTAGCCTCAGGGGACGCTAAGTAACAACTAAATTTATAGTGATGAAATCACTGTCTAGTTCTCATTTTCTACCCAAACCTATGAATTTTTGAGTCCCCTTACATCAATGTCTTTATGTAATTAATATAGCTAATAGCACTAGAATAATACTGACAAGTTGAATTACATAACATTATCTTACAAGATTATAAAAATTTGCAATTATGTTGAAAGCTGGAAAGTGTATCAAGTTAAATAAGTTGGATATGAAAAAAGACTTATCTAATTTTGTCCACTTAGTTTACTTAAGTGAATATATTTACACGCATGTATTTAACAAGTAACAAAAATATGTTAAATTTGGGTATTGTGTTTACCACTGAGGTTTCAGATGATAGAATATTTGCTACCTCAACAATATTTGAGTTCTTTTTTTTTTTTTTTTTTTTTGAGACCGAGTCTCACTCTGTCACCCAGGCTGGAGTGCAGTGGCGCGATCTCGGCTCACTACAACCTTCGCCTCCGGGTTCAAGTGATTCTCCTGCCTCAGCCTCCCGAGTAGCTGAGACTACAGGCGTGCTCAATCACGCCCAGCTAATTTTTGTATTTTTAGTAAAGATGGGGTTTCACCATGTTGGCCAGGATGGTCTCGATCTCTTGACCTTGTGATCCGCCCACCTTGGCCTCCCAAAGTGCTGGGATTACAGGCGTGGGCCACCATGCCCAGCCTTTTCTTTTGGACCTAAATAACTAGTTCATTAAATCTAAGGTTAGCTTAAAAAAGATCTCAGCTGTATAAAAGCTGGCTTTTAGACAGAAATAAGTAAGCTGATTTTAAAATTCACATGGATATTAAAAGCACCCAGAACAGCCAAACAATCTTGAAAAAGAACAAACTTGGATGACTTATATGTCTTAATTTTAAAATTTACTATAAAGGAAAAGTAATTAAGATGGTGTGGTACTGGCAAAAGGACAGACAGATAGATCAATGGAGTCAATTTAAGAATCCAGAAATAAATCCTTATATTATGGACAACTGAATTTCAATGGGGTGGTGAGAAAATTTAATGGGGAAAGAACAGTCTTTTCAACAAATGGTACTGAAATAACTAACAAGCAAAAGTTGTAACCCTTCCTTACACCATACAAAAAGTTAACTCAAATTGATCATATAACCTAAAGGTAAGTATTAATCAAGTGTTAATGGTGCTTCAGGAAGAGTACAGTAAAAGGTAGAGACTAGTTCTGGCATTTTCTGAGAAATCTTCTTGGATCAAATGGCAATTTTTTGTGATCTTAAAAGGCTGAGGACAAGTGAAGATGGTGTAGGGGAGTGGGAGTAGGGATGGAGCTTTAGAAGTTATGGCACCACACAGATTGACCAAGCACCAAAAAGTTTGTCTTTTGTTCAAGCAACAAAAAATAAACCAGAAGAGCAGGGCTGGGAGGAGACGAAGTTGAACTGTTGTGCCCTTTGAAAAGAACTTAGTTTGCATTCTAATGTACACAAATGCAGGTTTAGAAAATAACTATCTGTAGAAGACAATGTGAAGGCAGCAGAAACAAAAGGCAAAGAAATTAGATAAAAATCAGTGAAAGTAATTCTTTACCTTCCTCGATCAAGAGGCTAAGGTGGTGTGACACAGGACCAGCAGCTTCTGAGGGTGGCAAATGTTACAGCTGTTTCCCCAGTCCTTCCCAACAACGAATTCTGTATCTGAATACAATATAGAATTAAGTCATGAATTAGAGCTGTAACAATACAAGGAGAGAAAATGATCTTGGTGCCTTCCACCAAGACAGAAATACAAGAAGTAAAATAGGTGGTCAGTGGTTGCATGGTTGGTAGAAAGAAAATAAATACAGTCTTGAAAATACGGGTTTAAGATTCCTGTGAGTCATCCAAATATACACAAACTGTGAAACTTCAGAGAGGCCAGAGCTAGAGGCACACATTTTGGAGCCATAAAGAGAAGGATGAGAATGCCCAAACAGAACACATAGGAAATCTACAAGATCAAGCTCAAGGACAGAAAACTTTGAAAAGAAACCAATCCATGGGGCCGAGAAGGAGAAAGTACCACTGAGGAAACCAATAAGAAAATGGAGAGGACAGTGTTGCAAAAGCCAAGGGAGGGGAGAGCCACAGAGCAAGTATTCAAGGGCGTCAAATGCAGCCTAGTGATACCAGCCACATTCAATTAAGCCATTTAATTTTTCTAAAATGTTCTAGATAAATTAAGTAAAGTAACAAATTTGGACAACCGCATCTTATTTGCTAGGTGGCTCTAAAAAATCTTTAGAACTAGTCATAGATACTTTATGTTGCTACACCTTAGAATGAGTATTACTGTCAGAGGCGTTTGAACCAGAGCGACTCCGTCTTTGGTGAGGGCTAGGAAAATGAGGCTGGGACTTGCTGGGCTGCATTCCCAGAAAATTAGGCATTCCGAGCCTCCGGGTGTTTCCAGTTAAGGGAACAAATTAATAATGTTTAAAAAACAGATCCAGACTTGGGAGTGTCCAGATATCCCGATATCTGGAGAACAAAGGCATTCCTAATTTTGCTTTAAAGATAACATTGATTTTTGCAATGTTATCTTAATATAGTAATTAAGAAAATTATTCCTTTATCACAAACCCTGTAGCAGAGCACATCTTCCCATGTATACCAGCACTGTACCCAGGGTGGGCGCGTTCCTCCTCTTACTTTCAGGAGCATCCTACTCTGTCTATGGAGTAGCTATTCTTGCGCCACTTTATGTTCTTAATAAACTTGCCTCTATTTTGCACTATGGACTCGCCCTGAATTCTTTCTTGCGCAAGATCCGAGAACCTTCCCTTCAGGTTTAGATCAGGACCCCTGTCCTGTAACATTATCTTTCTCTTTTTATTTATTTATTTTTTTATTCTTTTTTGAGAGAGAGTCCCGTCCGTTGCCTGGCTGGAGAGCAGTGATGCGATCTCGGCTCACTGCAAGCTCTGCCTCCCAGGTTCAAGCGATTCTCCTGCCTCAGCCTCCTGAGTAGCTGGGACGACAGTCGCCTGCCACCACGCCCAGCTAATTTTTGTATTTTTTAGTAGAGATGGGATTTCACCGTGTTAGAACATTATCTTTCAAAAGTAAAAGTAAACTTGAACAGCTAAATCTGTCAATTTTTCTTTCACAGCTTCTAGGTTTCCAATCTAGTTTTAAAAGGCCTCAGCTATCCAAAGGTTAAACTATCAGTCTCCTGTATTTTTTCCAGTGTTTACCTAATTTTTACATCTAGATCTTTAATTCAACAGTGTTTATTTTTCTATATCGTATGACGGTGAAAGCTAAATTCTTTCCTCTCAGATAAACTGCCTAAAGCATTTTTAAATAAACCACTCTTTTCTCAAATAGACAAAATGTCCTCTTCATTAATAATTTCTCATTCACACTTGAATGTGTTTCTAAACACCATTCTGTTCCTGCCATGTATTTGCCTACTACTTTGCTAATACCCCTTTATACCAAATATAAATTTACAGCAATGCTTCTTTTTTTGTTTTGTTTTCGTTTGTTTGTTTTTGTTTTTTGAGACAGAGTCTCACTCTTTTGCCCAGGCTGGAGTGCAGTGGCGCAATCTCGGCTCACTGCAAGCTCCGCCTCCCGGGTTCACGCCATTCTCCTGCCTCAGCCTCCCGAGTAGCTGGGACTACAGGCGCCCGCCACTGCGCCCGGCTAATTTTGTTTTTGTATCTTTAGTAGAGACAGGGTTTCACTGTGTTAGCCGGGATGGTCTCGATCTCCTACCTCGTGATCCGCCCGCCTCGGCCTCCCAAAGTGCAATGTTTCTTAAATGTGGCCCATGGACCAATCATATCAGAATTACCTTAGAGGTCATTTAAAATGAAGATTCCTCAGATATGCCTCCCTATGTTCCTTACTGCCCCAATACCTAAAAATTGAAAACTCCTGTGACAGATTCATTTTTAAAATGCAACCATGCAGGTTTTTGTACACTAATGCTTGAGAACTTCTGCTTTAAATATCTGGTAAGACCTTCACTACCCACATTTTTCAAAATTCTCATTGATTCTTATAGAGTTATTTTCCTACAAAATCCAGAGGAGTTAACATTTCTGTATGACGAAACACAACTTTAAAAGAATCAAAAGGAAAACAAGTGTCCAGGAAAAAATGCTGACAAAATATACAAAGAGCGCCTATAAATTAAAATAAAAGTCAAGCAACACAAGGAAAATGGGCACAGAGTATGAACAGGGAAGCCAAAAAAGAGGAAATAAAAGAGGAAGCCTGAGAGTTAAACACTGGTTTTGATAATGTGAAGGTCTCCACTGACCTTAAACTTGAAAAGAGCTTAAGTGTTAAGGACCAAAGCTCAAATGAAGAGGGTTCAAGAAAGGGCAGAAAGACAGTAAGTAGAAAGAGCTCTAAAGAACAAAGTAGCTCCCCCTCCCCCTCCCCCTCCCCCTCCCCCTCTCCCTCTCCACGGTCTCCCTCTGATGCCGAGCCGAAGCTGGACTGTACTGCTGCGATCTCGGCTCACTGCAACCTCCATGCCTGAGTCTCCTGCCTCAGCCTGCCGAGTGCCTGCGATTGCAGGCGCGCGTCACCACGCCTGACTGGTTTTCGTTTTTTTTTGGTGGAGACGGGGTTTTGCTGTGTTGGCCGGGCCGGTCTCCAGCTCCTAACCGCGAGTGATCCGCCAGCCTCGGCCTCCCGAGGTGCCGGGATGGCAGACGGAGTCTCGTTCACTCAGTGCTCAATGGTGCCAAGGCTGGAGTGCAGTGGCGTGATCTCGGCTCGCTACAACCACCTCCCAGCCGCCTGCCTTGGCCTCCCAAAGAGCCGAGATTGCAGCCTCTGCCCGGCCGCCACCCCGTCTGGGAAGTGAGGAGCGTCTCTGCCTGGCCGCCCATCGTCTGGGATATGAGGAGCCCCTCTGCCTGGCTGCCCAGTCTGGAAAGTGAGGAGCGTCTCTGCCCGTCCGCCATCCCATCTAGGAAGCGAGGAGCGCCACTTCCCCGCCGCCATCCCATCTAGGAAGTGAGGAGCGTCTCTGCCCGGCCGCCCATCGTCTGAGAGGTGGGGAGCACCTCTGCCCCGCCGCCCTGTCTGGGATGTGAGGAGCGCCTCTGCCCGGCCGCCCCGTCTGAGAAGTGAGGAAACCCTCTGCCTGGCAACCGCCCCGTCTGAGAAGTGAGGAGCCCCTCCGTCCAGCAGCCACCCCGTCTGGGAAGTGAGGAGCGTCTCCGCCCGGCAGCCACCCCGTCCGGGAGGGAGGTGGGGGGGGGTCAGCCCCCCGCCCGGCCAGCCGCCCCGTCCGGGAGGTGAGGGGCTCCTCTGCCCGGCCGCCCCCACTGGGAAGTGAGGAGCCCCTCTGCCCGGCCGGTCGCCCCGTCCAGGAGGGAGGTGGGGGGGTCAGCCCCCCGCCCGGCCAGCCGCCCAGTCCGGGAGGGGGGAGGGGGGTCAGCCCCCTGCCTGGCCAGCCGCCCGGTCCGGGAGGGAGGTGGGGATGTCGGCCCCCCGCCCGGCCAGCCGCCCCGTCCGGGAGGGAGGTGGGGGGGTCAGCCCCCCCGCCCGGCCAGCCGCCCCGTCCGGGAGGTGAGGGGCGCCTCTGCCCGGCCGCCCCTACTGGGAAGTGAGGACCCCTCTGCCCGGCCAGCCGCCCCGTCCGGGAGGGAGGTGGGGGGGTCAGCCCCCCGCCCGGCCGGCCGCCCCGTCCGGGAGGTGAGGGGCGCCTCTGCCCGGCCGCCCCTACTGGGAAGTGAGGAGCCCCTCTGCCCGGCCAGCCGCCCAGTCCGGGAGGGAGGTGGGGGGATCAGCCCCCCCGCCCGGCCAGCCGCCCAGTCCGGGAGGGAGGTGGGGGGTCAGCCCCTCGCCCGGCCAGCCGCCCCGTCCGGGAGGGAGGTGGGGGGGGTCAGCCCCCCGCCCGGCCAGCCGCCCCGTCCGGGAGGGGGGAGGGGGAGTCAGCCCCCTGCCCGGCCAGCCGCCCCGTCCGGGAGGGAGGTGGGGGGGTCAGCCCCCCGCCCGGCCAGCCGCCCCGTCCGGGAGGGAGGTGGGGGGATCAGCCCCCCGCCTGGCCAGCCGCCCCGTCCGGGAGGTGAGGGGCGCCTCTGCCCGGCCGCCCCTACTGGGAAGTGAGGAGCCCCTCTGCCCGGCCAGCCGCCCCGTCCGGGAGGGAGGCGGCGGGGGGGGGGGTCGGCCAGCCGCCCCGTCCGGGAGGGAGGTGGAGGGGTCAGCACCCGCCCGGCCAGCCGCCCCGTCCGGGAGGGAGGTGGGGGGGTCAGCCCCCCGCCCGGCCAGCCGCCCCATCCGGGAGGTGAGGGGCGCTTCTGCCCGGCCGCCCCTACTGGGAAGTGAGGAGCCCCTCTGCCCGGCCACGACCCCGTCTGGGAGGTGTGCCCAGCGGCTCATTGGGGATGGGCCATGATGACAATGGCGGTTTTGTGGAATAGAAAGGCGGGAAGGGTGGGGAAAAAATTGAGAAATCGGATGGTTGCCGGGTCTGTGTGGATAGAAGTAGACATGGGAGACTTTTCATTTTGTTCTGTACTAAGAAAAATTCTTCTGCCTTGGGATCCTGTTGATCTGTGACCTTATCCCCAACCCTGTGCTCTCTGAAACATGTGCTGTGTCCACTCAGGGTTAAATGGATTAAGGGCGGTGCAAGATGTGCTTTGTTAAACAGATGCTTGAAGGCAGCATGCTCCTTAAGAGTCAGCACCACTCCCTAATCTTAAGTACCCAGGGACACAAACACTGCGGAAGGCCGCAGGGTCCTCTGCCTAGGAAAACCAGAGACCTTTGTTCACTTGTTTATCTGCTGACCTTCCCTCCACTATTGTCCTATGACCCTGCCAAATCCCCTTCTGCGAGAAACACCCAAGAATGATCAATAAAAAAAAAAAAAAAAAAAAAAAAAAAAGAACAAAGTAATGGTAACAGGCCAGGACAAAAGAGGTTCTTTTGTTTTTAACATAAATAGTAGAGCTTGTCTGCAGACTGATAGCTATGAACCAGCAGAGGAAAGTATTATGCAGAAGAGAGCCACACCTCTGGAGGAGGAGAGAGGGTGGGAGAAACAGGGACACAGATGTGCAGGAATAGGAGCTTGCAGAAGATTTTCTTCTGGGTGCTTCTATTTTCTCAGAGTAATAAGCAAAATCATTGGATGTGAGGGAGGCAGAAAGGAAGGTATTAGAAAATTAAGGAGAAAGTATAAAATAGTCATCTAGGAGAGTGGCAGAATGAATGGTCATGGAAAAGGAATAGCAAAGGCAGGCTGGAGTATGAAATAATAAGACCACAGTGTTAGAACGATATTGAAATCACTAAGAATCACGACAGAGTAGTGTCAGGGTCACAGGAAGACATATTTACAGATTTGGGGATGAGTAGTTAACTGCAACTAGTAGTAACATAGTCTGAAGATAAAACTTGGAAAGACACACACACACACCTGGGAGACATGGCAGTACTGTTTCAGTGGCAAAAAACCAAAAATAGAAAATGATCTAAAGATTCATTAATCAAAGAATGCCTGAAAAACATATATACCCATTGAACAGACTATTATGCAGCCATTAAAAGTAAGCTACATGTACATGCATTGACCTAGAAGAACTTCTATGATACCTTGCCAACTGAGAAGAATGTATACACGGGCATGCCTGGCTTCATGCCTGACTACAGAAAAAGATATAGGCAAGTCAAGGTTTTTAAGAAATTATCCCTGAATATTTAAATGCAGGTCTAAGTCCATTAATCTTTCACCATGAAGAATTTAACAACTCCCAACTTCACTAAACTCTCACAACTGCTAATTAAAATAACAAGATGAATTAAGTTTAACAGCATTAAAAGAAAATGACCTATTACTACTTATACAATAAAGATGAGCAAACAAAATCTTGAAATATAAAATTGTGTGATAAATAGCTAGGTTCAAACACTTGAAATGTGTTTTTTAAAATGTTCTATGCCAATGGTCAGTTGCATTAGATCAAAGAGTTATTTACATCTTATATTTTAATTAGCAATTGTTTTAAATCAGAATGATCAAGCACAAGGAAGATCTCTTCTCTGTATGACCTCTATTATTTGAGAGGAAGAACACAGGTGACTTGGAAAGACTGAAGGAAAAGGAGACCAGACAGGATTTTGTGTTATTCAGATCTTGTGTTATGAAACAAATGTAAGTAAAGTAACGGAGCTTAACCATCAGCCAGGAAATCACTTTCAAATGATATACTTCCAAAAGGTATGAAGTGGATGTTAAAATAAAATTTTATGTTAAAAATTGCTATTAAATAATATTATTAATATCATAGTCAAATGCCCTGTAACAACTCCCAATTTTTCAAAACAAAAATTGCTACAAATGCTCATATGAAAGCTTCTTGCCGGGAGCGGTGGCTCATGACTGTAGTCCCAGCTACAATGGAGGCTGAGGTGGGAGGATCTCTCCAGCCCAGAGGTTGAGGTTGTGGTGTGCTGTGATCACACCAAAGCACTCCAGCCTGAGCAACAGAGCAAGACTTTGTGAAAAGACAAAGTCAGAAAGAAAGAAACCCTGTGAGAAAAAACAACCCTGTGAGGTGAGAAGAGGCAGAGGAGGGATGGGGAGAGGTGGGAAGGGAAGGAGAGGGAAAGGAGGCGGAAAGCGGGGGAAGGGAGAGGAGAGAAAAGAAGAGAAGAGAGAAGGAAGAAAAAGAGAAAAGAAAAGAGAAGGAAGAAAATCTTCTATCAGAGATGACGTGTTTTCCTAAGAGAAAAACAGGAAAAAAGTAGGTTGCCACAGGGATCACTTTCAGACTAACGTATCAAATGGTTCTACCTGCTTAGATCTGGGGTTTCAAGAATCTCTTAGGCGCAAGAGAGATACAACATGGTAACTCAACCCAAAATTGGCAGACCTGTGAAATTAACCTCCACAAAACTCATGGACTGAACAAAGAAAACAGGAGTCACTCTCAGAATCTAAGACATGTACACTGTCTAAGGAGGGAAGAAGTCAACAATGGTATTATATTCACACCCTACTGACAGAGCAAGCAGACATTTTATGCCCCTCACATCCACCACCATCATGAAAAGGAATCTGAAAACTCAACTTGCAGAGCAGGCAGAGAGCCCCAACACTTAGAAATGCTCCCACAAAGTCAAAGGCAGCAGAGGATGAGGACAGGGGGAAGAGAGGACAGAAAAGGAGAAAATACTGCAGACGGTGCATCTTGATATGCCACAATTTACTTCTCAGTTAATCCTGCCCACCACTCAATCTGATTTCCTCCTCTGTATTTTTCTTTCAGCCTACCACACTCAGGCACCAATACTATACAACTGTTCATATCTGCAAATAACAATAATAATAATATGGCTTAGCATTTTATCTCTAATGAAGTATAAATGAGTGGCTTGCACAATGCTGGATATCAAGGAATCCGTATTTGCTAGTATGAAATGTGGCTGGAATTTTTCACCAAGCTTGCAATAAATGGGAAACAATTCTGAGTGCAGGCAAACAAGCACAGTGAAGGGAACTTTTTATGTTATCTCATTTAATTCTCACAAAACCCAATTTCAAATAGATTGTCCCCAAAGGCACTTACAGCTAGCAGGTAAGGTAGGATATTAACCTACATGTCTCTCCAAGGCATGTCCAAACTTTTTAATGACCCTATACTCTCTTAATAAATTCTATAGTTAATACCTTATTGTTGGGGAGAAAAAAGTATCCTTTAATACACTACTTTTGAGAGTCTCCTTTCCACAAAAGTTAGGTGACAGTCATACACACTCTACAGAGACTTAAGAGTCCCAGATGAATGACGCAAATCATGTATTATGAAATAGGAAACCAGGGTCAAGAAGGGCAGAAAGAACTATTTCCTACCCAGAATTAATCTCTCAGAGTTATAATGGAAAGTGCAACCAGAGACTATTATTTACTATCGGGAAAGAGTTTCTTTTTTAGAGGGGCACCCTGGTTCTCACAAACATGTTTGCTTCTCAGGCATCCAAAGCTAAACACATAATAAAAATACATACCTAGATACCTAGTTCAAGAGAATGGTTTTAAAACATTTACTTACTATATATCCTGCTGCCTCCCTCCCGAAAAAAAGCAGACCTAAAAGTAGGACAGTTGTTTTAAATTCTTACAAATATCAACAACACACAGACTAACTTATTATGTGTAATACAGTGGTTCTTATGTATTTAGTAAAGACAAAGAATTTTTCCTCTCCAAATCCTCAAATACTAACACAATCTTTCAACAACTTCAAAGATTTCAACTATGCCCACACAGTTGCAATGTATGACATCGCAATGACTACAGGGCTGAAATCGAGATCATTAATCCATGCAAGAACCTCCTTAATACAAAAATAAAATTGTCGAAAAGATTCTGGACAGGAAATCAATTAAAAACATTATTAGAAGGTTTAGTCATATTACTATCTGGATTAGATAAAAAGTTCCACTTTACAACTAGGAAGTTTTATGAGGAAATAATAATTTGGTATTTTATTTTTAAGAAAACTATAAAGCCTATATTTATTTTAACCTCAGAAAATGAAATGTTGGCATTAAAGATAAACATTGGAAAGGAGAGAGGGAGGAACATTTATTATAGCAAGTCTTTCCCATGAATATATCTACATGAAAAAGCAGTTTAACAAAGCCAACTTTTTAAGTTTCAGTTATCCAGTGTAATTTTAAAATTGTTTCAGTCCTATTAGTATGATAGCGGAAATAACAGTAGGACTCTTGAGTACTCTCCCTAAACTATAAATACAGTCCCCTCAATTTCCCCAAAACTGATCAAGACCCACTATTTCTTTAAAAAACAGCTTTTATCCCTCTTCTAGATAAAAATCAACAGGAAACAGAAATCAGGCAAAGGAATATATATCTTTTTCAGTTAGATACACAACAGGGATTTTAAATACATATACACACATGCATATGTGCATAAACACATACACTAGACTAGACTGAGCTCTGCTGCCAATTACTAAGAGATCTTGAGCAGGTCACTAAATCTTAATTTGTTCACCATTAATATTGATGCAGTTCAACTAGATCGATTTTAAGACTATATTCTACTGATGCCTAGGGTTCCCAAAACTGATTAAGACAATACTGAATAGGATTCTTTACTCTTTTCAGTACTACTCCTTATTTATTCCAATCATTTCCTACAAAATGATTAATGAGAAAGCCAGCTATATAAGTATTTCAGGAGAACATGAACTATTGGATTACTTAATGACATCAACCTGGCTCATGAATATTTGAGGATCTTCATAATTCCAACTCAATCCAGCTACGTACTACATTTGGCATTACATGAACCTGTACTAAGGAGAGTGAACAGACAGCCTAATTTTTAAGTGAAGGTTGTGTTAGTTGAAGTAACAAATTCACTTTTAAATATACCTCTTTTCGGCCAGGTACAATGGCTCACGCCTGTAATCCCAACACTTTGGGAGGCTGAAGTGGGCAGATCACTTGAGGCCAGGAGTTCAAGGTCAGCCTGGCCAACATGGAGAAACCCCGTCTCTATTAAAAAATATAAAAATTAGCCAGGTGTGGTGGTACGCACCTGTAATCCCAGCTACTTGGGAGGCTGAGGCACAAGAATCACCAGAGTCTGGGAGGCAGAGGTTGCAGTGAGCCAAGATTGCGCCACTGCACCTCAGCCTGGGCCACAGACCAAGACTCTGTCTCAAAAATAAACAAACAAACAAACAAATCTACCCACCTCTCTTTCCCCCAGGGTGAAATAAAAAATAAAATTAAAGAAAATTCAAAGGCCAGAGGAAAAATATAACAGTTCCAAACATACAAAAAAAAAGTTAGCAAAAGTAAATCTAATGAACAAAGTATGCATATTTGAGAGAAGACAGCTCTTCCGGTTATGTTTAACCTTTGAGAATGTAAAAGAATTAAAGGTTCTGAAGATTTTCAAGATGATTTTAAAATGCTTATTCCATTTATAAGAGGTACAATAGCTTAAAATAATTTTGCAAGCTAAGTCTACCCAGAATATATTTTCTTTAATTTCAACGATTTATATATCATTCAGTAAGATTACTTAGATGTTTCCTTTTCTCTTCCTCCACTCCCCTTCCCACCCCCAAAAGCCCAGTTTCTTATCTGTAGTCTGCATGGACCAGCTAAAAAAACAAAGTTAAGAAAAGGAAAATAACATATAATTAGAACTTAAAAGTATGTTGTGGAAATATACAGAATAAATAACCTGCATCACAATTAACATATTGTCTTCATTTGTACTATGTAAAGGTTAAGTAGCTAAAAATAAGGTTTAAACATCCGATTACTTCCTTTAGTCAATAGTCTTGTGTTGTATTCAAATATTACTTGCTTTTTTATCTTTAAATTCTTTACAACATATTTTCTTCTTCCTACAAATTCCCAATTATTTTACCACTAAGAAAAGCTATTCCTGAACAACATATTTCAAAATCAAAGCAACTAAGATCACCAGTTGTCTTCCCTCTCACCTCCATTCTCTGCTGTGTCATTCCCTGGCCTCTGCAGCTTTTCTGCAAGTGCTCAAAAACCAGATTACACTTAAAAACAGAAGACACAGAAAAAAGGAATCCACCTTAAGTAGCTATGAGAAACATCTGGCCCAGCTCTTAAAAACCATTTTCCTCTGAAACCAAGGGAGGAGCAAACTTGCTGCTGTCTCCGTCTCCTTCCATACTTCTCATCTAGGTCACTTTCACATACAAATCCAAATTTGCTTCGCTACATTTCTTAAGAAGTTTAAAATGTTTCAATCCGACAATCACACAAAGGACACGTACAAATGTGAATTAACTTCCATTTTTACATTATCTCTTAAATCATGGGACTTCTGAACATAAGCAATTCCCAAACGTGAAAAGGTTGAGTTCTAAGTTTCGGGATTCAAGACACTGGGTTTCCCAAGTAGTTCATGACATTCCCTTTACTTCATCGCACAGTTAACCTATATAACATGACTACGAGTCTTATTTCTCTTTTTAGGCAAAATTATGACAAAGTTATCTTTGTCACTGTACCATAGTACTTCTTCCTGTGCACCACCCTCCCACATCAGTTTCTGACGGCCTTTTCCCTCCTCAAATATCCTAAGTACCCTACTGAGCACACATAAATGCACTGAAGCTCCAAAACCACTTCTTCACCTACACAAACCTAGCTGATCCTCAACAGTAATTACAGTCATTTCTATAAATGTCTACCTATTTAAAATCTATCATTTAATATGTCATAATTATCTTTGCAATTTCAATTTTATTGTAAATCTGCTAAACTCTCTTGATGCATTCTTAGCTAAGAATTCAAAGTTTGGAGTTCCCATAACCCATTAACTACTAAAAGAAATTTGTAGAGGAGTACTGTGTTACAATGGGTTTACCTAGTCACTTCAAAAGCACTCTTAATTTGATCACGTATATCCCTCAAAGAGACGCAGGCACAGACATGTCTAAAACAAAGTGAGGCGTACTATTAAAGTGGACAAAGTATATTCCTTTTTCCATCACATCTACTTCATTAAAAGATGGCAATCTTGGATACGCAAACAAAGCGTCGCAAACAAAGCGTCTGGAAAGATACACTCTATGAAAATAAGGGATAATCCCTAGCAAAAGAACCAGGGTAACATAGGAGTTTCCTGTTTACTTAGATGCTCCTACATTGCTTACAGTTTTTAATAATAAACATATTACTTGTGTGATTTCCTTTTAAAATCAGTTAAAAATGTTAAGATTAATAAATTCAACTGATATGAAAAAAGACTTCGAAATGAGATTCTGAAAAGAAGGATGTCAACTATCATGATTCTAATGGATAAAATGCTTACTGCCTTTACGTCATCATCAAAGCACTTTACCAACATAGACTATTCCCTACAGCAGTCCTACTCAATTTTTTCATTTCACAGAACGCTAAAAACCTTCGTCCTTAAATTTTTGCCCTAAAATTTCATAAACTCTAATTCACTTCAGATGACACAGAAAGAATAAAATTGTGCTATATTTCTTATGCCCCATGACAACTGTAATAACCATGCAGAACCTTCTATGGGTTGACAAAAAGCCCTTGAAACTACAATCTCTACTAAAATGTCCAGTTAGAAATTTACAGTAACATTCATACAAATTTTAAATGACCATCACATATTAAAATGGTCTAATTCATGCTAAACTATCCAAAATAAAGAGGCCACTGAGTTCAAATCCCTTGCAGATACTTAGTGAAATTCAAGTTAAGGAAAGGAAGATAGACAATACTGCTCAATGACATGGTTTAATGTCCCAATTGATTTATACAGAATTAAAGTAAATATAAAACTATCTTCCATATATAATCATAAAATGAGAATTACAATTTTTTGGTCAATTTAGCCATAATTGGTTTTAACTTAATATTTATTTTATAACAAATAAAAGAAATCTATTGTAATAAAAAATTAAATATTTTACCAGTTGACAATGGTAGGAGGTACTAGGTGCTTTGAAGATATGCGCCCTTGTGTCAAAACCTGTCAAAACAAACATAAAAAAGACAAGCATTACTACTCATATTCTAGTTAATCAGAGCCGAATGCCAACTTTTTCCTGGAACTATTTTACTTCTAAACCTCACATGAAAAGTTTCCGGTGAGTTTTTCTGGAAACACCAACCTATCACGCTAGCAAACAAAATTTTTATCATGTAACTTTTCTTCAAAAACATATAGTACACACACTACACACCAGTAAGAATGCCCAAAACCCAAAACACTAACACCACCCAATGCTTGCAAGGATGTGGAGCAACTCTCATTCATTGCTGGTGGGAATGCAAAATGGTACAGCCACTACGGAAGTTTGACAGTGTCATATAAAACTAAACATACTCCAAATATATGATCCAGCAACCACAGTGCTTGGTATTTACCCAAAAGAGTTGAAAATATGTCTACAAAAACACCTGTACATGCATGTCCATAGCAGTTTGATTCATAATTGCCAAAAGCTGGAAGCAATCAACATATCTTTCAACAAAGTAATGGATATATAAACTGTGGTACATCCAGACAATGGAAAATGAGTCAGTGTTGAAAAGAAATGAGCCATCAAGCCATGACAAGACATGAAGGAAACTTAAATGCATATTACAAAGTGAAAGGAGACAGTCTGAAAATGCTATGTACTGTATGATTCCAACTATATGACATATTGGAAAAGGCAAAGCTATGGAGATGGTAAAAGGATCCATGGTTGCCAGAGGTTAGAGCACAGAGGAGGATGAATAGGCAGAGCACAAAAGGACTTTTAGGGCAATAAAGCTATTCTGTATGTATTATAACGGTAGATACATGTCATCATATATTTGTTAAAACCTGCGGAGGGTACAGTACTAAGAGTGAACCCTAATGTAAACTATGGACTCTGGGTGATAACGATGTGTCAATGTAGGTTCATCAGTTATAACCAATGTAGCACTCTGGGGAGGTAGGGGGATGTTGATAAAGAGGGAGGCTATGCCTGTGTAGGGGAAGGGGTATATGAGAAATCTCTGCACCTTCCTCTCAATTTTGCTGTACACCTAAAACTGCTCTAAAAAATAAACTCTATTATAAAAAATAAGGTATTTCCAAAACTCAAAAAGTATACTATAAAGGCTGCGTTCATTTACTCATGATGATGATAAAGAATAAGTATTAAGATGTATATGTGGTGATATTAATACATTGTTTTTAAAAAACACTTTCAAATTTTTTCAATGATTTTCTCTATCACCTGCGAAGCAAACAGGTTAGCAGTCATTATATAGTTATTTTTAAGAATATATTAACAAGTAGAGCTAAAAGCTAAGTTTTTTTGAATCACTTAATTCAACATACCACTGCTTCATTAACTTTTAATTTGTTATTAATTTTTGTAAAAACGGACAGACCTTGCAGCCATAAAAAAGAATGAGTTCATGTCCTTCGCAGGGACATGGATGAAGCTGGAAGCCACCATTCTCAGCAAACTAACACAGGAACAGAAAAGAAACACCACACGTTCTCTCACTCATAAGTGGGAGTTGAAGAATGAGAACACATGGATATAGGGAGGGGAACATCATACACTTGGGCCTGTAGGTGGGTGGGGTAAGGGGAGGGAGAACATTAGGACAAATACCTAATGCATGTGGGGCTTAAAACTTAGATGATGATGGGTTGAAAGGTGCAGCAAACCAACATGCCACGTGTGTACCTACGTATACATGTAAACCTGCACGTTCTGCACATGTATCCCAGAACTTAAAGTAAAATAATAAATAAACTTTTTTTTTTAAAGTCAGGCATGGTGGCTCACGCCTGTAATCCCAACACTTTGGGAGGCTGACACGGGTGGATCACCTGAGGTCAGGAGTTCAAGACCAGCCTGACCAACAAGATGAAACCCCAACTCCACTAAAATTACAAAAATTAGCCAGGTGTGGTGGCGTGCACATATAGTCCCAGCTACTCTGGAGGCTGAGGCAGGAGAATCACTTGAACCCAGGAGGCAGAGGTTGCGTTAAGCCGAGATCATGCCACTGCACTCCAGCCTGGGTGACAGAGCGAGACTCTGTCTCAAAAAAAAAAGGACAGACCTTAAACTCAGATACTACTGGGTTCAAAATCCCTGCTGTTTCTTATTAGCTATGACTCCAGACAAGGTCATGCATCTATTCATCCAGGGGGGAAATAACTTAGAAATCTTCTTGTTATTAATAATTTCTTGTGCCAGTTTCCTCACATGTAAAAGAGAACAGTGCTATATATAATTCATATCCATAGTTGTAGAATTTCTATAAATAAAAAAGAGCAACAGGAGAAAGCAGGCTATGTATATTAACAGAAAATTCCACATTGTTTATTACCTATTAAAAATGGTTAACCTCATTAATTATCAAGGAAATACAAATTAAAACAGTATCATTTCCTACATTAAAATTTTTTTAATGAAAAAAATTCACAAGTGTTGGCAAAGATATGGCAAACAAGATAGATCTTGGCACTCTTACGGAAGTACAGCCAGTTAAGAGAGCAATTTGGCAGCATCTAGCAAAAGCTGAAAATGTAGACTCCTATGACCCAGCAATCCCTTTTGACAAATATGCCCTGGGGAAACTTATGTGCCATGCTTACTTTACCCTACTTTATTAAATGGCCCAAGGTGACAGGTCCTACTAGGTATGTAATTGGCCCTCAATAAATGTTAAAAATCTCTTCAACAAATATTTATTAAATGCCTTACTCAGCTCCAGACCCGACACTTTGCATTCTAAGAATGACACCATAGTACTGAAAAAAAAGAAAATTCCTAGTCAGTGGTAGAGCCTGACAAATCACTTTAACGTGGCAAAAACTATGAGAAGTGCATCAGCTGCATTAGGAAAACAGGCAATTGCAGCCTTTTGTCTAGGGTGGAGAAGACAAGGTCAAGGAAATCACTATAAACTGAGTTGATGCATGTATTTTTGTTCAAGCAGACAATAACTGCAGGCAATAATAACAATTATTTGTAAACGCGAAGGGAACTGTACAAGAAAAGAGAAATTTCAGAAGACTCTAAGTAGTTGTAGTAAGCTGAATAAAGGACCTCAAGGTTATCAGGCCCTAATCCCTAGGATCTACAAATGTTACCTTATTTGGAAAAAGACCCTAGATTACCCAGTGGTCCCTAAATGCCCTCACAAATGTCCTTATAAATAGAGAGGCAGAAGGAGATTGGACACACATGAAGGAGATGGTGACGTGAAGATGGAGCAGAGAGATTTGAAGATGCTGGCCTGAAAGATTGGACTGATAATAGGGAATGCCAGCAGCCACTAGAACTGAAAGAGGCAAGGAACAGGTTCTTCCCTGGAGCCTTCAAAGCTCTGCTGATACTTTGATTTCAACCCAGTAACACTGATTTGAACTTCTGGTCTCTATTAACATTAATAGAATAAATTTCTGTTGTTCTAAGCCTCCCAGTCTGTGGTGATTTGTTGCAGTGGCCCTAGAAGACAAATGCCTCACTGCCACTGTGAATGTTTGCTGCCCTAAGTGGTTGAAACATTATCCAGATCTCTTAAAAGTCTTCTAACTTTTATTAGCAGGGGGATGACATACTCGGATCTGTTTCATAATATTAAACCTGGTGCCAAATGTTGAGAATTTATTTGTGGAAAAAGAAACTAGAAACAGGAAAACCATTTAAAAATTCAAAATCCAGACAGAAGATAAAGTTCTTAATCACCAGATATTTGTGAAAAACCATCACTATCAAAGAAAGAGACAAACAGCAGACAAAAAGTGCCTCAGTGGAAACAGACAATGTAGGAAATGTGGGAAATTTTAAAATATGTCTATGTAATATTCTCAAAGGCATAAGAGAGGCTATTGCCATCTATGAAACAAGAATGCAATGCTATATATTAACAGAAGGAATAAAAATAAGAAAAAGTTCTTTGAAATTAATAGCAGCTGAAATTAAGGAGTCAATACAAGTGTCAGAAAATGAGGTGGAGACTCTTTTCCAGATAAAGAAGAGCAAAAGCAAGGGGTAGAATATAGAAAATTTAATTCTCATTTTAAAAAATAAGGTGTTAAATTAATCCAAGAGATTCAAGTTCCATTACAAGGAGTTCCAGAAATAGAAAAAAAGAACAAAGAGGCAAAAATTCCTGAAGCATTTTGCAAGCAGAAATTCCTAAAGCACACTGCAATATAATATCCCAGAGCTGATAAATACTAGTCTTCAGTTTGAAAGGACTGGGCAGATGAATGAGGGAAAAAATAACTGACTTCTAGACAGAGCCACGTAAATTCTCAAAGCTCAGAGTATAAGAATATCCTCAAATCTTCCTAAAAAAACAAAAGGCTGGCTGGGCATGGTGGCTCACGCCTGTAATCTCAGCACTTTGGGAGGCCGAGGCAGGCAGATCACCTGAGGTCGGGAGTTCGAGACCAGCATGACCAATAAGGAGAAACCCATCTCTACTAAAAATACAAAATTAGCCAGGCATAGTGGCGCATGCCTGTAATCCCAGCTACTAGAGAGGCTGACTGACACAGTAGAATCGCTTGAACCCGGGAGGGGGAGGTTGCAGTGAGCCAAGATCCTGCCACTATACTCCAGCCTGGGCAACAAGAGCAAAACTTTGTCTCAAAAAAAGAAAAAAAGAAAAAAAAAAAAAACAGAAAGCAAACCACCTACAAATAAGGTGATTCTATAACTGATCAACAAAGAAGGATACATATCAGAATAAAAGGAGGTACTATTAAAAAGTGTGATTTGGGCCAGGTGTGGTGGCTCATGCCTGTAATCCCAGCACTTTGGAAAGCCAAGGCAGGCAGATCACAAGGTCAGGAGATTCGAGCCCATCCTGGCTAACACAGCGAAACCCCATTGCTACTAAAAATACCAAAAATTAGCCAGGCATGGTGGCATCTGCCTGTAATCCCAGCTACTCAGGAGGCTGAGGCAGCGGAATCACTTGAAGCCAGGAGGCAGAGCTTGCAGTAAGCCAAGATCATGCCACTGCACTCCAGCCAGCCTGGGCGACAGAGCGAGAATCTGTCTTCAAAAAAAAAAAAAAAAAAACAGTGATCTGGAGGTATTCCAGACAAATCAGGATATATGGTCACCCTTCCTGTAAGGCAGGAATTCTCAACCCCCAGGCCACAGACCTGACAGCAGGTAGGCAACAGCAGGTGAGCAAGTATTACCGCCTGAGCTCTGCCTCCTGTCAGAACAGCAGCTGCATCAGATTCTCACAGGAGCAGGAATTCGGCATGCAAGGGTTCTAGATTGTCCGCTCCTTATGAGAATCTAATGCCTGATGATCTGAGGTGGAGCAGTTTCATCCCAAAACTATCCCCCACCCCACTGCCTCCTCGACCCCTGTCCATGGAAAAACTGTCTTCCACGAAACTGGGTCCCTAGTGCCAAAAAGCTTGGAGATCGCTGTTATAAAGAAGTAAGAATCATAATGGCATCAGATGTCTCAGAAACACAGGAAGGTAGGCAACTATGAACAAGGCCTTAAAAGTTTTAAGGGAAAGTTTTAACCTAGAATTCTACTCTCAGCTAATTTCCCAATCAATTGCAAGTAGAATAAAGAAATTTTCAGACTTTCAAGGACTTAGAAAATTTACATTCCACAAATACATTTTGCTAAGAAATTACTTTAAAAAGTCCTCAATCATGTGCATATATTCCTTTAAGTTTTAAAACAATTTTGTTAAGCCAGAATGATCTGAAGTTTTGTTACCTAGTTTACAAGAGCTGATATAATGCTGATTCCAAAACGTGACATACCACATAGGACAATCTCTTTAAAGAATATGAGGGAAAAAATCCTAAAATGTCAGCACATCTAATCCAGTTGAGTTAAAAGAATGATACACCATAACCAAGCATGGTTTGTTTACTCTGAGTGAAAAGATGCTTCACCATGAGAATTCTTTATTACTACCATCCTCTATATTTAACAGGCATAAGTAGGAGGGGAAAGGTGTGAGCATCACCATACATTTTCTTAAGTATTTAAGAAAAGTGAGGCCGGGCGCAATGGCTCACACCTATAATCCCAGCACTTTGGGCAGGTGGACCACCTGACGTCAGTTCATGACCAGCCTAGCCAACATGGTGAAACCCCATCTCTACTAAAAATACAAAATTAGCTAGGGGTGGTGGCGCATGCCTGTAATCCCAGCTACTTAGGAGGGTGAGGCAGGAGAATCGCTTGAACCCGGGAAGCGGAGGTTGCAGTAAACCAAGATCGCACCATTGCACTCCAGCCTGGGCGACAAGAGTGAAACTCCATCTCAGGGGTGGGGCGGGGAGTGAATATCAATTACTAAGTTTTAAAGGAACATCTTATTCAGAAACAAAATTGCTTAAACTTAAAAACAGTATATTTATTAGAAATCAACATTAAACATCATACTGAAAAGCAAATTCCAACCAAGTAAGGGACAACAAGGCCAACTATGATCATAATTATTATATATCAAGAAGGCTCTAACTCTATGCTGTCCAATGCGGTAACCGCAAGTGCCACTGCACACCTGAAACGTGGCTAGTCCAAACTGAGATGTGATCTAAGTGTAAAATACACATGGGATTCCAAAGACCTAGTAGTAAAAAAAGAACATAAAATAGTTAATTAATAAATTTTATATTGAACATATACACTGAAATAAGATTTTGAATATATTACATTAAACAATGTAATGAAATCAATTGCCTACTAGAAATGTAAAACTACATATATGGCTTACATTTACGGCTCTCAAGGCATGTCTTCTGAACAGCACTGCACTTTAGCCAATGCAATGAAAAAATAAACGACAGTTATGAATACTGAAAAAGACAGAATCATTATTGTGTGCAGATAAGTGCCTGCCTGACAAGAAAATCTGAAGGAATCATTTGAAAAATATCCAACCAGAGGGAGAATTCACAAAAATACTTCGATACCAAGTAAATAATAAAAATAGACAGGTTTTTTTTTGTTTTTTTTTTTTTTGGGAGACAGAGTCTCGCTCTGTCACCCAGGCTGGAGTGCAGTGGCGTGAACTCTGCTCACTGTAAGCTCCGCCTCCCGGGTTCACGCCATTCTCCTGTCTCAGCCTCCTGAGTAGCTGGGACTCCAGGCACCCACCACCACGCCTGGCTAATTTTTTTTTTATTTTTAGTAGAGACAGGGTTTCACCGTGTTAGCCAGGATGGTCTTGATCTCCTGATCTCGTGATCCGCCCACCTTGGCCTCCCAAAGTGCTGGGATTACAGGCATGAGCCACCGCGCCCGGCCAAAAATTGACAGTTTTTTTATATATTATTAATCACCAGTTAGAAATTGAAACGGAAATATAGTCACAATAGCAAACGCAAGTTTAAAATACTTCATGTAATATAACATTCATATTTACATATGGGTGTCTGTGTATGTAAAATGCTACTGATAGACACACACAAAAAAACCCTGAATATATGAAAAGACAGACTTGCTCCTGAGTAGAAAGGATAAATGTAATTCTGCCAAAATTAACCCATAAACCAAATGCAATCCCAATGAAAATCCTACTAGGATTTTTCTTACGTGTTTGTTTTGTATGCTTATGTGATATATTAATTCTAACATTTATCTAGAAGAAAAAACTTTGAGAAACAGCATATTTAATGCATATTTGCCCTATTCCATATCAAAACACGAATTGTTAATACAGAATTTTAAAACCAGAAATAGTCATGGGACTTTTGTATATGGCAATAGTGACATCACAGATCAGCAGGTAAAATCTTATTCAGTAAGTTGCACAGCATCAAAGAAAAATTTTAACAGAGGTAGTAGCTGAATTAAGTCCTGGAAAGATGAGAAGCAGATCCCTGAAGCAAACAACCAGCCTAGTAATACCTCTCTTCCACAGCTCCCATATTCCATAAATAGAAAAAAAAAAAAAAGGTTTATTATTGGTCTTTATTCTGATTCTGAAACAGTCTCCAGTGATGTCAACCCACAGTCCACATTGCCTGGCCTACGACTGTTGGGAAGGGAAGCACTGGCTCTGTTTCACATATGTGATACTGTTCTGTCCCCATCTCCAACACCGCAGACTACGGCAAATGTGTGCATCCACAGGTATCCAGCAGACCTGTGACCAGTGAAGCCTGTATCAAAAACATGAATGTGCTGGTCCAATCATACTCTTCTGTCCAAAACTTGGAATGGGGTATGGAATTGGAGAGAGACAGAAGCAGCTAAGAGGACTGTCAAAATAAACTCATCTTTCAAGATGCAGGATGAGTATAATTACCCACAGACAAAGCTGAATAAATCCCTCCAGGCTCTTATTCCTCCTTCACTCCTGCCTAACAGGGAGGCATGGGTGAGCATACAGTGAGTAATCACAAGTAGCCTGAGATCGCTGGAACACAGGAAATATATGGGGGGAGTTAGCAATGAAAATGTTGTAGATAGCATGAGATCGGTTTTCAAGTAAAGCATTTAACTAAATTTGTTTTTTATTTTATTTTATTTTTTTGAGACAGTCTCGCTCTGTCCCCCAGGCTGGAGTATAGTGGCACCATCTAGGCTCACTGCAATCTCCACCTCCTGGGTTCCAGCAATTCTCCTGCCTCAGCCTCCCACGTAGCTGGGATTACAAGCGCCCGCCACCATGCCCGGCTAATTTTGGTATTTTTTGTAGAGACAGGGTTTCACCCATGTTGACCAGGATAGTCTTGAACTCCTGACCTCAGGTGATCCACCCGCCTTGGCCTCCCAAAGTGTCGAAATTACAGGTGTGAGTCACTGTTCCCAGTCCTAAATGTGTGTTGTTGTTTTTTTTAAGAATGATTACTTGGGTCAACACAGAAAATAAACCGAAAGGGATTCCAGGTATGTGGTTATTACCACAGCCCAAGTGATGAAGTGCAGAATTTAAGGCAGTAGACACAGAAGAAACAGGACCAACTGTACAGGCTTCTCTGAGGTAAAATTAGTAGGACCTGTCAGGTAGGATGTATAGAGTAAGGGCTCTGAAAATTAAAGTCTACATTTCCAGAATGAAAGAATGGTGGCGTGTAACGAGGAATACAAGAAGAACAGACACAAATATGAGCGCATAAATATAGGGCTGGATGTTAAGTTTGTGGGAAAGACCAGAAGAGAGATTCACTATATTGTTAGAAATACAGGGCTGGGGCTCCAAACAGCTGAAGATGCAGAGGTCACAGTCATCATTGACTCTATTCATAGAACACAGAATTCCTCAGAAACAGTATATTCAATTGTAGGATAAAGGATTAAGGGCAGATGCCAGAAGAACCAACAAGAAAGGTAAAGGAACAGGAAACAGTGCCCTAGAAGCCAAAGACAAACACTTGTTGTCAGGAGTGTCAACAAGGCTGCAGAGAAGGCGATAAGCAGCAATGACATTAAAGTACAGCAAGCAGTGGGCCTGGCCTGAAACAATCCATCGCTTTCCTGCCTTCACAATCACATAATTTTTTAAATTACATTAGCATATATTACTCAACCAGTTAGTACATATTTACCAACAGAAAAGCTATTCTTCAGGAATTCCTGAGCTTCCATTAATAAGTATATACTGGTCATTCTGATATGAGATTTTTGGCCTTCCAAAAATTTTCTGGTAATATATTCAAATCTTTCAACTCAATTTAATAAATGCTTACTCAGTATCTCATGTCCATTACTGTGCTAGGTGGCAGGGATGCAGAGACTGATTCATTCATTCAACAAATGTGAGTGTCTCCTATACGCTGGGCACTGGGTGTGCAGCAGTGAATAAAGCACAGTATCTTTCTTTCTAGTGGAAGAATAAATTAAACTTACTCTCCCTGAAGGAGCTCAAAAGAAACACATTATGTTCTTGACTTATCTAAGAAAGACAGCAAATATAATTATTTCATAAAGCTATTTGAAATTAATAACAAGAAACAAAAACTGTGATCACCTATAATTAACATGCCTGTACTCTGGCATCATGTAATACAAAGAAATTTTATTAACTTAAATACACAGCTCCCAATTGTCTACGGGTAAATTATCCATGCATCAAGGGCAATTCCCAAATAGTGACTCACAATTCTGGGTAGTGTTCCATCCAAATTTCTAGCATGTAATCTAACACATGATGTAGTATATAATATATAGGCATTACATATGCCAGTTTTACACTATGTCCACCATTCTCCCCAGAAACATCAATGCAAAGAACAGAAACTGTTACATGCCTACAAAATCATTTCTGAACTAGGTATTTATAAAGGTATAAGTGTATATGTAGCCGTCACTGAGGTTAGTATCTAATAAAAACAACAAATGCCAATATAGATGTTTCTCACCAAAAAAGTAAATCTACGAATGTGCTATGCTTTTCATTCTCAATACCAAAGTTCAGATTTACATAAACAGGCCCTGAGTATTCAACTGATCCTGCCCTCATGGAACTTTCCATCTGGGCTATCATCTGCTCCACCTCTTCATTACAAGGAAAATCACAAAACTAACTTTTAAAAAACACCCTCTAAACAATCTAAGTACAAAACCATCTCTCAAGTACAAAACTCCAAAACTACTCTTAACCATAACCAGTCCTATTCCACCAACTCTTTCACTTCAATCCTTTGACCTCATCCAGAACTCCAATCCCCTTGAGCTCTCCACCATCTTTCTCAATCTATCAGGCCTCCCCCTGCCTGATCTCTACTGTTAATTGACTTATCCTGTAACACACCCTTTCAGTTCCCCAAGCATTCCCCATGTGTGTTCTTGTCCCATGCCTTTATGCTTGGTATGTCCCCTGGGTCCCATCTCCAATCCCCTCCTAACTCAGAAAAACTATGCTCTATCCAGAAGTAAAGGAATATAGATTTTCAATGAACTCTCTCCATCTATTTTTACCTCCATCGTTTATCTCCCCTCCTCCATCAAGGCTGGGTTAGATGTCCTTCCTATGAGCTTCCAAAACACTTCAGGCATACCATTAACGTAACTTATTACAACTGTATTTTAACTTTGCTTTTCTGTCTCCCCACAACAGACTGTGAGCTTCTTGAAGCAAGGACTTTTTTTTTTTCTCTGCTTTCCTAGAATCTAGCCGAGTATGTGATACATAGCGGGTATGAATAAATGTATACTTTTATAAATACTATTTTATATTCTATAATTTAAATAGGCATAAAGAAAATATTTTAAAGTCATAAAGTAGGACCAGGTATGGTTGCTCATGCCTGTAATCCCAACAGTTTGGGTAACTGAGGCAGGAGGAATGCCTGAGTCCAGGCGTTCAAGACCAGCCTGGACAAAATAGATCTAGTGTCTACAAAAAAAAATGTTTTTAATTGGCTGGCCATGGTGGCACACGCCTGTAGTCCCAGCTACTTGGGAGGCTGAGGTAGGAGGATCACTTGAGCTGGGGAAGTTGAGGCTGCAGTGAGCCATGATTGTGCCATGGCACTTCAGCCTAGGACTGAGATTCTGTCTCAAAAAAAAACAAAAAAACAAACAAACAACAACAACAAAAAAAACCATAAAGCAATAACTAGCTCTTGCTCAAACATCTGTTGAGAAAAGCTATCCCACATGAGGGTAGGGAATGGGTACCAGAATCAAAGCTGCTCCTATGATTTACAAATCACACACTATTGCTCCTTCCCCTGCTTATTAATCCCAATACTTTTATACTGGTGAAACAGTCCAAACTCTAGCTCAAATGTCACCTCTTTTATGAAGTCTTCTAATATCTACTTGCAGTCCTCTAAGAACCCAAAACACTTTGCACATACATCTACATTAGCACTTTTAACTATGGATTGTATGTTTACTGTTTTACTTTCTATCTACTTCAACGAGGTAAACACTCTAATGATGCATCTTTGAAATATGAATCCCAAGAAACCTACAAAGTATTACCTAGTATATGTTCAATAAATGTTGGCTGATTTTATGAATAAAATTTTAAAACAGGGAAAAACAAAAAGAAACATCATCAAAAAAAACCCAGCAATAAGCTAAGGAATTATGTCTGTGCTTATGACACTGAACTGGACAACCCAAAAGGGGAGGGGAGGAGGGGTAGAAACTCTGGTCAATATCAGCTCATTCAACAACCCGTCAAGCAGCAATCAGTAAGGCCATCTAGGTTCATAGATGTGATCATTTCTGCGCTATAACGTCATGCAATTAAAGAGGAAAGAAGCCTCACCAATAAGTCATCTTCCATAGGCACTTCTTTCTAAAATTGCCATATGAAAGTTAATACCAATAAGGTCAAATTTACAGAAATTATTCCTATTCTTTTCCAGGAACCAAAAGGAATACAGAATGGGATATAAATCAATCAGTGAAAAGCCAAACCAATGAATTTTTTTATTTCATTGAATAAAAATCAAGATTTCAACTGGCACTACACAGATCAACTCATTATTATCCTGATCTGAATCATGACGAATAGATATGAGATTCCTCCCTCCAACCCACCACTCCAAAGGTTTTTATTCAAAAACAAAAATCCCATTCCTTCCGTCCCCAATCTTCTTGATTTTATCAGTGATAAGATCAGTGATAAAGTTTTATCAGTGATAAAAACTTTGAGAGACACTGTATTATATGAGCTAATCTTCAGAGAGCTGGAAGGAGACATTTTTAAAGTAACAATAACAATAGGTACATTTACTGAGCATTTAATACGTGCCAGGCACTGTTCTGATCACTTTGTATATATTATCCTTAACATTAGCAGGTTATACACAACGCAAAAAAAAGTAAATCAAAAGCTAAATTTTTACAATTATTCCTAACTTCACCTCTCCATTCAAATTTTCACATAAATGAAGATTTTTAATTCTTCAATTCTATTTTTACTTTTATATCTTTTTTTTTTGTTGGTAGAGACGGGTTATCACTATGTTGCCCAGGCTGTCTCAAAACTCCTGGCCTCAAGCAATCCTCCCATCTCTGCCTCCTGAGTACTGGGATTACAGTAGTGAGCCAATGTAATTTAAAAACTGTAAATCTATAAAATTTCTATTCTTTCTCCAAATCCTTCAGCAGGATATATCCAATAAGCAAAATTATTGCTTTTTATTTAAATCAGGTCTAGATTAAGACTGGTTTAACTAAAATAAATACTCGGGTTGCTAATTTTTTTTTTTTTCAGACAGGGTCTCTTGCTCTGTCACATGTTGGAGTGCAGTGGCTTGATCACAGTTTTCACTGCAGCCTTGAACTCCCAGGCTCAAATAATCCTCCCAAGCAGCCGGAACCACAGCACCCAACTCAGTTAGTATTTTTTATTATTTTTATAGAGACCAAGTCTCCCTATACTGCCCAGGCTGGTCTCAAACTCCTGGGTGCAAGTGATCCTTCCTCCTCAGCCTCCCGAAGTCCTGGGATTATAGACGTTAGCCACTGTGCCCAGCCAAGAAATTTTTTTAATTATACAAAATATTATTCATATGAAACAACATCTCTCTTCTGGTTTTCAATATATAAATGGAAGTACAAGGCCGGGCACAGTGGCCCACGCCTGTAATCCCAGCACCTTGGGAGACCGAGGCAGACGGATCACCTGAGGTCAGGAGTTCAAGACCAGTCTGGCCAACATAGTGAAGCCTGGTCTCTACTAAAAATACAAAAAAATGAGCCGGGTGTGGTGGTGCGCACCTGTAATCCCAGCTACTCGGGAGGCTGAGGCATTGAGAATCACCTGAATCCGGGAGATGGAGGTTGCAGTGAGCCAAGATCACGTCACTGCACTCCAGCCTGGGTGACAGAGTGAGACTCCGTCTCAAAAAAAAATAAAAATAAAAAAATAAATCCAAGTACAGGTGCAATGGAAAGACACACTCAAACTAAAGGGCACAGATATATAAGTACAACCTCTCTGGGAAGCAATTGTAATTTTTATTAAGAGCCTTTAAATTTTTCATACCTTTTGACCAAACAATTCCACTTCTGTGAATATTTAATGAAGAAAAACAAATTTACTTGAGAACTTCCATTTGCTATTTATAATAATGGGTAATGAAAATATGCAAATCTAATAATTGGGAAATGGTAAAGTACATTATGTACATATAGTAGATTATTATACAACCACTAAAAATATTTTCAAAAACATTCAATAACATGGGAATTGCTCATGATATGATAAATGAGAAGTAGGTTAAATATTTACACACAATATATTTCCACTTTTGTTAACATACACACAAACAGGTATCAGGACCGAAAGCACCTCAGCACTGGCTATATCTAGAATGTAGAATTTATGCTTTTACGTATTTTCCAAACTTTCTCATCAAACACACATTCTTAGAAGAAAAACTTAAAGCAAATATATAAATTCATTATAATTTCTACAAATTTATATAGCAACAGTATTGACATGCCTGAAACACTAGGTCAATTTATGATCTTTTAAACAAGAAATTGAATAGTAAACTTAGAGAAGACACTAAAAATATTTCTGTTCAAAACATACAACTCTATGGAATTATGAAATAATATCCAATCTAGCTGAAAAGTTTCCCATTGGCCTTAATAGGCGAACAATACCAAAATCAACATAATATATGGTCAGGTATATTGTTATATATATTTATAGATGTTTTAATACTGCTGAAGATAATTTTGGTAAACTGTAACATTGCTAATCATAAAATTCAAATCATAAAAAGTTAACTGTTTGCAAATTTTGTAATAATAAAATTTAAACTTTTTGTAGTAACTGAGGACCAAAGAAGCATACTGACTTGATACAGATATTGCTAACTAGTTGGCACAGTCAAGCCTCCAAGTTCCCTCATCTTCCCAGTCTACTCTCAATGGATTGCTTCTAAGAGACGGCTTTATTTTTATTTCTGTCTCATGCATGCTGTGGCCCATTTATTTTTGCATCCAGCTTCATCTCAGAAGACCTCTGCACAAACTCCTGCCCTTCTTGTGGATTTTCCCCAAAGCCAAGTCACCATCCCACCCCACCCCACATTGCTTCAAGCCTCTGCCTAGAAAGCGGCCCAGTTGCCCCACCACCACACCGCCCCACTACCATCCCCCTTCTCCTAGATCAGTTGGATGCCACTTCCTCAGAGAAGCCTCTCAAGACAGCCTACTCTGGTTCCCCACCCTCGGCACCCCACAACTTTGCCTTCACAGGACCTACTGCAACTGTAATTAAATAATTACTGTGGAACTGCTTAATGTTCACCTTCCCACTCTATGCACCAGGGAAGGGCCGTATTTGTCTTATTCATCATTCTATCCTTGGTGTCCACTAGCAAAGTACCTGGTGGGAGCATCCATCACACCGATAGACAAACAGATGGATGGATGACAGATGTTAAGAATAATAATTTATTTAAATTTTCCTAAGATACTTTTACTTTCTTTCTATAAAAAATATGTAACTGTCGGCCAGGAGCACCTGTAATCCCAGCAGTTTGGAAGACCGAGGCAGGAGGATCACCTGAGGTCAGGAGTTCAAGACCAGCCTGGCCAACATGGTAAAACCCTGTCTCTACTAAAAATACAAAAAATTAGCCGGGCGTGGTGGTGGGCACCTGTAATCCCAGCTACTCGAGAGGCTGAGGCAGGAGAATCACTTGAACCCAGGAGACGGAGATTGCAGTGAGCCAAGATCGTGCCACTGCACTCCAGCCTGAGCAACAAGAGCGAAACTCCGTCTCAAAATAAAACAAAAAATTAATTGTCTTAGTACTATTATCTATTTTATAACCTTAGGCACACCTGTATTCTAAATTATGAACTTTTCCCTGTTGAGCATTTGCCCTACTTAAGTTTTTCCCTAGAATTATACATCTTTTTTACGGTGACTATTATGTTCACCAAAAACAAGGGAGTCGGGGGTGGGGGGGAATGCCACAAGAGCAGTAATGCCACAGATAAAGCAGAGAAGCAAAAATAATAATAATAACATTCACATCTGTGGTCCCAAAGCAACAAGACTCCTATCATTAGAAAACTAATTCAAGCCTTAAAAATTAACAGAATGAGAATAGGCTGTTAGTAACCCCACAACCCCTCACCCACTAGACCTGCTCTCCCACTCCATCTTGGCCACCAACTCCCTTGTGTCTTCTCTTGTCCCCTGAAAGCCTAGTCCCAGGAACCAATGTTTCTGTGACAACCATGTCCTTCCTGGAGGACTCCCGAGCACTTGCTATCCTAGAGCTCTAAAACACAACCGCTCCCTGCAGATTCACTGCATTTTCTTCACTCCTACTCACAAGGCTGCCAGCTGGAGAGTTATACAGCCAGGACCAATGCCACATGTTTGTGAGACCCAGCCTTAGCTGAGGCCTCCCTAGACAATGCCTACTGGGCCCCTAGTGATAAGCACTTTACACATCTTTCACTGACTTCTCACCTCATTCTATAAACATCTAAGCCCAGAACTTTGTTCACTTTCCGCCACTCCCTGATCTCACCATCGCCTACCCAGATGACCCCTCATCTGGCTTTCTTTGAGGAGATCCCAGCTATCCCACTTCGCATTTTTAAAAATAAATTTTTTTAACTGAATTCTCCTTTCCACATCTTCTACTGTCACTCTGCTTTCACCTTTCCCAACTCAAATGGAAAGCTGACTCTTCCCATTTCTAGAACTTACTCAAAACTTAAAAAGCATTTGGTAATGTTCCCTTCCCTTGCCCTGCAAAGATCCAGTCAGTTGCCAAGTCCCGATGGTTCTGCTTCCTCTGTCATCCCCTGCCTCCTGCCCTTTCTCACGTGTTACTTTATCAGTTCAGGTCCTTACTCCTGTCACCTGGCAGAATTCAACTGTATCCTTAACTATTCCTCTGTCTCTAGTCCCCTCTCCCCCTCCTCCATCAATGCATCCTTCATTCATGTTGCCAGTGTGACGTTGCCACTCCCTTATAACCCGTATTTCACATCAATCCTCTCTTCAAGAATCTCAATTCCCTCCTCATTGTCCAAAAGGGGAAAAAAAAGAAGGAATAAAAAACAATTCCAAACTCGTCTGCCAAGTACTTAAGACTCTCCACAACTTGAAGTCAGCTTACTTTTCAACTCTCACCTTCCAACTCTCTACTTCGCACACTACAAACAAATCAATTCCATCCACTTCTTTGTCTCCCTTACCTGTCTTCTCTGCCTTTGCTCATTTTGCCCTGTTAGCTCTACCTGGAATGTCCTTTATTCTTCTGCATACATTCAAAGCCTAGTTATCTCTTAGCATCTAAATTGATTAGGCATTCTCTGATACCCAAACCTCCACTGGCCCTAGCCCCAGCCTGAACTTCTCTACCCATCCGCTGACCCCTTAGGGCACTCTCTCATGGCACTCATTTTCTTTTGTAATTATTTGTTAAACAATTGTACATCTCAATATAGAATGCAGAGAAACAGTTCTGCCTCATCTTTCACTCCATCTATTTACTGCCCACTGCCTCTGAGATGGTTTCCATGAGAATCTTGCTTATTGAGATGTCAAAAGAGGAAGAGACTCATGCAAACACCCCATTAAATTCCAGGTAGTAAACACATCAATGAATACATGGGGAAATGCACAAAGCTAACTGATAAAGTCAAAGACACCTAAGAAATAAATATGGCACAGGTAACAAAAATCCTGAGTCAAGTAAAGGAGGGGGAAAAGGAGGTAAAAAGAACAGTGATGAAGCAGATCCCTCTCCATCCCCCAAAAGCAAGAAAGGATTACAGACCAAAAAAAAAAAAAAACCAGAAGTCCAGTCAGACTAAATGGCACAGACAATGCCACACCACCAGTCTCAACGGCAGGGTTACAAACAACTCGGGCCAGACCTTCAAAGCTCCTCCTGCAACAACTCAGAGCCACTCAATTCTCTCCATTTGCTAGCTGCTAGTTCTCCCTTTCTATTCCTAGAAGGTTTAATTCATTCAACAACTACTTTCAGAGTTTAATCAATAAATAAAGAGGTTACGCTAGGTCTTAATTGCTTTTGTCCTCCAAGTCCATGTGCCTTTCTTCCCCATGGGATGTGATTTATCCTCACAGCTTCCTGAGTCCTCCCAAGCAGTTGATGGCTCAGTTTTATTTGCCAATCTTCCAAACTCCACTGCCCACTGGACATCCTATGTGAATACCTTCCTCACAAATCTTTCTTCAAATCTAACATTAGTCTCATTTTGCTCAGCTGACCATTCCCTGGCTACTGTGGCAAAACATGACCTCTCTGTCCTTTATACTGCTCATTTAACATTTACAGCATCTCCTCTGTAACTTCATATGGCCTAAATCCTCTTGTCCTTACAGAATTAACATTTCCTAGTCCCCTTTAAATAATGTGTATTTTTATTAATATAATGGGTTCACTCACACACTGGTTCAGAATGTCTTGTTACCATTTACCAAAAAACTACTTGTGAAGGGCAGAGAAGGGATAAAGAGGAAGAAAGAATATACATAGGGAAAACAGAAAAAAAGGAAGTTACAAGAGAAGACAGGGGAGCCAGAGAGATGAAGGAAGCAACTAACATAAGTCATGATAACCTTGTGAGGTAAGAATTGAAATCTTTATGTTACAGAAATTGAAATGGAAGGCTGAGAAAGGTTAAGTCACTCGCTCAAATTTACCTATGAAGCTTTACATACATGGATGGCAATGGTTCCTTCTCCACTGAACAACACAAGGTTGATGACATAGGATAATATACTTAGAAACACCATCTGAATCATTATCAGGGTCATATTACAAAAGGTATTTAAAACTAACAAGAGTAGACCCTTGGTAATTATCTGAGAATTTCACCATGTCAACTCACTTTCAAAGTGCTTTATACGTATTTCAAAAAAATTGAAACACGATAAATCCTAATTTTTTTTTTTTTTTTGAGACAGCGTCTCCCTCTGTTGCCCAGGCTGGAGTGCAATGGCATGATCTTGGCTCACTGCAACCTCCACTTCCCAGGTTCAAGCAATTCTCCTGTCTCAGCCTCCCAAGTAGCTGGGATTACAGGCACCCGCTACCACACCCAGCTAATTTGTATTTTTAGTAGAGACGGGATTTCACCACATTGGCCAGGCTGGACTCATGCCACATTGGCCAGGCTGGACTCAAACTCCTGACCTCAGGTGATCCGCCCTCCTCGGCCTCCCAAAGTGCTGGGATTAAAGGCATAAGCCACCATGCCCAACCAAATCCTAAATTATTGATATTAAAATATAACAATCTAGTTAATGTACCTCAACTTATGGTTTGCTACAGTTTACAGTATCTCTTCCCAATCTCCACTAACAGTTATAAAACATCACACATTTCCTTGAGGCATAGATGTCTGTGTTAAAATGCTGCTTCAAAAAAGAAGGCAACACCACAAACTGAGTAGGCTTAGAAAATACTGCATACTCTAACAAAAAATAAAACTAATAAAAATAGCTAATATGTATTGAGTAATGACTATGCCAGACACCTCATTTGAATCTCACAACAATCTACGGGTAGATTTCTATTATCTCCATTTTACAGATGAAGAAATTGAGACATAGAAATTAAATACGCTGCCCAAAGACACACAGCTAAAAAGTAGAGCCCGGATTCCAATCCAAGCAATCTTAACTCTGAGCTCATGTTCCTACCCACCAAACTGCAATGAAAAAAGTGCACTACATTTAGAGGAAAATATTTAAAGGAAACAAACACTAAAATACAGAATTAGCTAAATCAAATGTACATCAACACAGAAACGTTTCCCAAGAGAAAGGGTACACGTGAATTATCCCTGCAGTCATGCATGGAATTACAAGTAAAATAATATATATCTGTAAAATATGTTCAAGATATTTCTATATTTTAAGATATTTTTATTTAAAAAAAAAAAAAGCAAAGAAAGTTAACTAAAGTAAAGATTACTAAAAAGAGCCTTCGAGGAAAAGTGCCCATTACAGTTTTGTACTGTTAAGTATAATGGACAAAGAATGGTACCTTAGCTCAAATAATGAAACGATTAGAGGAAGGCCGAGACAAAAATGTGAAGAACAGAGAAAAAGGAGCACAGGTTAACTACAGTGTCAAAAATTAAAACAAAGACTTGTGTTCAATAATACTTAACGGTAATAATGTTTGTAATAACAAAAAAAATGGAAACAGCCTAAAAGTCTATCAAGAGAGCAAAGGGGAAATAAATATGGTATAGACCTAAAATGTACTAACTTGTCACAGTAAAAATAAATGACCTAAATCTACATGAACCCACACTGATGAATTGAGTTGAAACTCAATTCATGAAACCACACTGCTAAGTGATTTTGAGTGGGGATAAAATAAACAGTATGCTGAACAAGAATACATGCAGTACCATCTATATAAAGTTTAAGAATACACAAAACAATACTATACACTGTCTAAGGAAACACACATGTGTAATAAAGCTGTACAGAAATACATAGGAATAATAAACACCAAATTCAGAGCAGTGGTTAGCTGTAAGATTTGGGGGAAAGGAGTGGGTTTCTTTAAGTGGATTAAATTTTATGAAATATTTTTCAAACATACAGAAAGTGCGTCAATATTTTAGTTAAAAGACAGGAAAAGAAAATGGAATTAGCAGACTATGGGATCCCAAATTCCTTTATATTCCAATCTAAAAAGTCAATAACAATTCCTGCGAAGTAAGGTTAAAGGGGAAAGCATCCTGAGGAATTATGTTCAAGTCCAAAAAGAAAATTCTAGGCCGGGCATGGTGGTTCACATCTGCAATCCCAGTACTTTGGGAGGCTGAGATGGGCAGATCACGAGGTCAGGAGTTAGAGACCAGCCTGGCCAACATGGTGAAACCCCATCTCTACCAAAAATACAAAAATTAGCCGAGTGTGGTGGTGGGTACTTGTAATTCCAGCTCCTCGGGAGGCTGCGGCAGGAGAATTGCTTGAACCCGGGAGGCGGAGGTTGCAGTGAGCAGAGATCACACCACTGCACTCCAGCATAGGTGACAGAGCAAGACTCTGTCTCAAAAAAAAAAAAGAAAAAGAAAAAAAAGAAAATTCTAGTTAAATTCTCTCAATTTCCTTATGATTTCCCCGGGGCGGGGGGGGGGGGGGGGGGGGGGGGCGGGGGGGGCAGGGCAGTTTTATTTGGGGCAGCAACTTTGTGTAATTAAAACAGACATAAAACTGCCCCTAAATGTCATCACAGCTCCTTTCCCTACACAATCATGCCTTCAAAGGTTAACATGAACTTCAAACTGTCACTCCAGAGAGGAGATGCAGCGCCCAGGTTAAGAACAGGGACTCTGGAACCAAAGTGCCTGGGATGAAATCCAGCACACATTTAGCACACAATCGTGCAAGTCACTTAAATTGCTCTGTGCTTCAGTTTCCTCAGCTGTAAAAATTAGAATGATAAAAGAACCTATTTTGCAGTCAGCGCAGTAGCTCCCAGCCTGTAATCCCAGTACTTTGGGAGGGCGAGGCGGGCGGATCACAAGGTCAGAAGATCAAGACCATCCTGACTAACATGGTGAAACCCCATCTCTACCGAAAATACAAAAAATTAGCCGGGCATGGTGGTGGGCACCTGTAGTCCCAGCTACTCAGGAGGCTGAGGCAGGAGAATGGCGTGAACCCGGGAAGCGGAGCTTACAGTGAGCCGAGATCATGCCACTGCACTCCAGCCAGGGGGACAGAGCGAGACTCCGTCTCAAAAAAAAAAAAGTACCTATTTTGCAAGGCTGAGATAAAAATTAGAACAGCATTTGGCCACAGTATACTATAAAGGTGTTGGCTATTATCCTTATTCCAAAGACCATTCATTTAGAAAAACAAAAACTAGGCTTTGTATCCAAATAATATAATTAAGTTCAGTTACTTTCTGCATCAAATAGGAGACAGAAAAGTTGACCATGACAGGACAGGGGAAAATGTGCAGCTTTTCACAGCTAGAGCAATCAACATGAGGATAGTAAGATAAGCAATTTTTAATTTTTCTAACAATATTCTTTGGTAGCGTTATAACATCTCCAATGCGTACACATCTGTGTACACACACACACACACACACACACACACACAGAGGATCCAAAATCAAGGTAAAACATTCTATTTCCTGGCTCCCTGTTGACCTGGGAAAACTCCAGTTCATCTTGGAAAACCTAGTTCAGCTATCATCTCCACTGAGAAGTCTCCCCTTTTCCTTCCCTACTCTGTGCCTGCTCTGCACTTTTTCTCTATTTCCTAGCAGATTCCACTGCTGCACTGATTATACCATCCTGTAATATATTTGCTCATATACCTTCTTCTGTTCCACCATGCTGTAATTTGTTCATACACCTCTTTCCTGTGGTGAACTGTGAGCTCCTTAAGAGCAGGAACTCGCCCAATCATTTCCAAATTCCGAGTACCTTGCAAAACAGACACTAAGTAAATACATGAATGAATGAATCCTTAATAACAAATACCTTCACAAACAAGCAGAAAGCTGTATTTGGAGGCCACTTATCCAAAAGGTTGGTTATTTAAGTATCTTCAATTCTAAACAAAAATTAGCAGATCAGTTGAAACTACTGAATCATCCAATTCTTTACCCTTCAAAATGGGAAACATCAAAAATACGTAAATAAACATATTCCAATAATAACAGAAGCTAAACTTTAAATTAAAAGAATTAAGGCACCTATGATGTCAGGAAAACAGAAACCGTCTGAAAGCTTTTTTCTAATGAAACCAAAAATAAACATGTAAGGAAGGCACCACAGGATTTAACATTTACAATGTCTCCTTTTTCAGAAAATAAATAAATTACAATCAAAAGTCAGATGAAAATATATACTCTATTGAGGGATGAAATTAAGACTGAGCCACATTTTAAATCAATCACACAATGCTCTTGCAACAAAGTTTTCTAAAAGACTGTCATGAGTCAACTAAAATTGGGCTAATTTTTAGAAATTTAACAGTTCTTGACAATTTTTGGCATTTGCTTAGTACTCCATAGGTTACAGGCCTGTATTCTGTTACTGTGGAAGGTGTCCCCTCCTCCCAGCAAAGACACAGGCCTCAGTTGTACTTTGGGTCCCATCCCAACCCCATCCTTTTAGGAACTCTGCACAAACCCTTTTCTAGTCTATATTCAACCACTCCCTCTCCACTGAGCCTTCCCATCAGCATTTAAACATGCTGAAATCAAACCTATTGGAAACAGTTTCTGTCTCCGTTTTCCTCACCTCCCACTGCTCCCCATCCCACCCCTACCTGCAGATCAGCATCTCTTTCAAAGGTCACCAGTGACCTCCATGTTGCTAAATTCAATGATGGTTCTCAATTCTTCTCTCATAGGAGCATTCCACAGTACTGACTCATCGCCTTGCAGGAACATCTGTTTCTGGCTGTCCTCTGACCTTCCTGGCCACTCTTGTCTCCTTGACAAGCTCAACCTCCTCTGCCCAGCTCCATCCCAGGCCTCCTTCTCTTCTTATTCTATAGCCTCCCCACAGGCAATCTCACCCATACCCATGGTTTGAGCTCTTGCCTCTACATGGAGGTCTTCAAAACGGTAAATGGCCACCCCAATTCTCAGCACAAAACCAGTACCTCAATAAAGGCCTCAAAGGCAGCTCCAGCTGAACACTTCCAAAACTAAAGTCATGCCCTTCCCATATCCAGAACCTAGTTCTCTACCAGTTAAGCCCCAGCTCAGTGAATAGCACACATACCTCTTTAGTTGCATAGGTCTGAAACCTAGTAATCACTTAGCACCTCTTTCTCCCACTCCATTTACTATTTATCACCATATCCTGACAATTTTTTATCTCCATTTTCTCAGTATTTCTGTTTATCATATATGGCTCTTAAAAGGATCAGATGAGATATGCTAGCACTTTGAAAAAAAAAAACCTTAAATTTGAGTATTAGTATACATTAACTGAAATCTCTTTGAAAGCAGTAACTTTGGCAAGTTCATCTTTTTTATTTATGCCACATGGTACCCCTAGGACGGTGTTTTGCATGCAGATGGCCATTAAGTAAATATATTGCAATGTATTATTTGAATTGGCTTCATACATGTTCAACTGAGACATTTATATATTTTTAACAATCTATATTTCCCAATCCAGCCATCAAAAAATGATCTCCTAAGATGATGAGACTTTTAAGTTAAATGACCCTGTGAAGCGTATGCTACAATGGATACTTTTGAGTCATTATGATGCTCGTTGTTTTAAAAGCCTATCACCCTTGGCCTAGCTTTCCTAAAAAAAATCTAAATCCAATATTCAAGCCCAAATCTCACATAAAAGAGTCTTACTCCCCCTTACAGTTCATTTTGAGTGGGAGAAAGTATTAGAGGACTATTTAAGCTTTAAGTACCCTGAAGGCAGACAGAATGACAACTTGTAAAGTTGCCTATCTCATTTTCGTATCTTGCAATGAGAGCCGGGATGACATTCTGAGTATGAAATACACTGTGCAATGAAAAGAATTATTGTTGCTGACAACTTCCCAAACTCTTGCATTATGTACATAATTGCAGGCTCAGATTTCAAGACTGTCCTCTAGCAAAATCTCACCACATCAATTCAAAAAACAGCTCCCTAGACTAGATTTCCATCTACATCACAATCTTGCTCATAATCCTCATTCACACAATACTTTTCCTTCATCGTACCTATCAAACTTGCAACCACCTATCCGTTTGTATGACCATTTGCTTCTTGTCTATTTTTCCCTCTATTCACAGCTGTATTCCCAGCACCTAATAAGGTGCCTGACATATCACAAAAATTAAATGGCTCTAGGTGAGTCAATTAATCAAATGAGGAATGAAACAGTCACTTAACTGGAACCAAACAGCAGGGAAACACAAAAGCAAATGAAACAGACCTCGAGGCTTTAAGATCTGATTCTCACCCCAAACCAGACAGAGGATGATTTTCCCCTTATAATTTGTGCGTTCTTCATTTCTCCCATTCTTCCTTTCTTCCTTCAAGGAGAACATTTTAGACCCTCAGAATATTTAAGCTTTAAGTCACTGAGTCTAAAGCCTTACAAATTCAGTAACTGAGATCCAAAGATACGAGGTGACTTGTCACCTTGACCCTTAGGTCCAATGGACCACTCTGCCCCACACCCAATGTCATCCTACAAAACCAATATTTTTATACAAAAGAGAAACCAGGAAAAGTCTAGAGAGAAAACGCATGCGACAATTAGAAGGCTTACTCATCCCCAAGTGTGAGGAACTGCCCAGAAAAATGCCAGAAAACAAAATCAAGTCTGTGCAAAAGATTCCCATGTCACACCACCTGTCCCCTATAATACCCTTCTAATACACTTTCAGGAGCAACTCATCAGCACCCTTAACTCTCAGAACTAATTTGGGGAAACAAAATAGGTTGATAAACATGAAAGAAGGTATCATCAAACTACAACTCTCCTGGCCACCCAGACTAAAATCCACTGTGGAAACTATTCAGCCAGCCACCAAGGAGAGGCAGCAAAATATAGTGCTTAGATTTCAGAGCTCTGGATTTACACAGGCCTGTCTGAATCCCAGCTTCTTACTAGCTGAGATCTGAGGCAAGCTAAGTCGTCCAATCTGCAGTTTCTCCCGCTGTAAAATGGGAATAACCCCCACCCCAGAGGACTGTTAACAGTGTGAAGACACTGTACATAAAGCTCTCCAAACAGTGCGTGGCATGTAATAAAAGCTCAATAAATGTCAGCTATTTGTCATTCTTTTCAGCTATAATTTCGTTCACAAAGCCTACTGCCTTTCTAGCTTCCATATAATTTTAAAGACATTCCTCCAGCCTTTTCATTTTCGAGGGATCTTTTATACAGCAGCTTAGAGCACACTTTCTAGTATCAGACTTCCTGCGAAAACCATTTGAAAACCTGTGCCTCGGGCTCCTCATCTGTGAAACGAGCCTGATAACACCTACCCCACAGGACTGCTGGTAGTAAGCAGTCCCCGAGTTACCCAACCTATCAACAGTATATGATTAAAACGCACTTGGGGAAAAGCAAAGCTGCAACTCTCAAACCCCAAACGACAGTCTTAATCCCAGTCCCACCACCACGATAGTGCCCAGAACCAATCACCAAGGTCGACCCACCTCACGCACCTAGTTTCTTCTCACCCCACGCAGCAACAGCCCCTCCCGCCCCGCCAAACAAGGGTTTTCCGAAATCGCAGGGCTGAGTCTCCTTCCACGGACACCGCACTGCTGGGGCCGCGGCAGAGCCCTCTTAATTCAAGGGGGTGGCCTCCCCACCCCGCCCCACAGCGCCGGGAGGCACGCAGTGCATCCTCCCTGCCTGGTCAGCGCCGCCCCACGCCGTTCGCGCTGCAGCTCCCGGCTCGCGTGGGCTCAGGGCCGAGGCCCCACGTCAGCCGCTTCCCGGACCCCAGCGGGCCGCCTCCCACCCTGCTCGCCGCTGCTCCTGGTGCCGCGGGCCGCCCGCGCGCACACCCAGCGGTCAGGTGCGGCGCCGACGACAGGGTCCCAGGCCCCGAGGCTGGGGAGCCCCTCGGGCCCAGCCGAACCGCACGCGGAGGCCGCGCCGCCAACCGGCTCCCGCCGCTCCCACAACCGGCGCCGCACTCACCGCTACGCCGGAGTCCGGGTTCCTCCGGCCTCGGGCCCGCGCAGGCCTGGCTGAGCCCCAGAGCGTTCACGCCCCGCGCCGCCGCCCGGGGATCCTGGCGCAGCTGTCGGGGCCGCAATGCGAGGGGACGAACGTATGCGACCCCGTCCAACGCCTCCTCGTCCCGGCCCCGGCCGCGTAGACAACTGCAGTGTCGCAGCCCGGCGCAGCCACAGCAGCGTCTGTTGAGCGGAACCGCCTGGGACGCTCACCCCCGGCCGGCACTCGTTGCCTATGCAGAGAGGCTGCCACCCATTGGCCCGCGAGCGGTGGCGCGTGCGGGGCTGGGCCTATCGAATTCGGGCCGGGGAGCGCGGCGCTGGCGGCCCGGGGCGGGGCGAGGTTACTACGGGTCATTCCGCGGAGCCGCCGCGGACCGGACCTGGCTGCAGTCTGCGCGGGGCGGGGGCGGGAACGGGGTCGACCAGGAGGGACGGACCGCGGGTGGGGGAGGGGAGCGGGGATCTGCGGCAGCGACGTGGGAGGAGCGGCTAGCCCAATAGGGTCTGCAGGAGCTCCGTCCCTCCAGGAAAAAACACCCCTCCACCAAAAAAAAAAAAAAAAAAATTACAGTCGCACAATTATTGCTGTAATGTATAAATTTCAATATAAATTATGAAATAGTATGCATATTCTTTTTCGTTTTTAACTGGATTAGTTATCCCGTTCTTGCAGAAATTGCTGTCAAATCCTGCCAAATAAAATGGCTTTTGGAACTGCCTGGGGCAAGAAGAGCCTCAAAAACTCAAAGCTTATCCATTATCATTTCTCTTGTTTTGGCCTCACTTGACCTAGCATATAACCCGTTTTCCTCTAAATGCACTCACCATGCAAATTTGCTATTTCTTTTCAAAAAATAAAGTTTACTCCAAATTATTGTTTTTGAACGTTCTTAGGAATCCACAGTGGTTCTGTATTTTAAGGAGTTTGCCATTGTTTCTCGTTTTAGACACTAAACAAGGATAAGAAAGAAAGCATCCAGTGCAGGTAGTAGAACTACATGTACTGTAAGAGAGAAGATTTTCACTCACCCAGTACTAGTAGGATTGGTCTCTTTTTTTAACCCAACATATTGTTTAGTTTGCCTGTGAACTTTTCCTTAAGTAGGTGAAAGGTTGCCTTCCTGAGCCAGCCTCAGGCTAAAGCAGGCCTCATTTCCCAAGAGAATCAAAATCAGGAAGCCGCCAGAACTTGAACTAGGTGGAGCGATGATGCACCAAGCAAAGAGAGCTCACTCACCGTGGGCCAAGGGCCAATCGAGAACCTAAAGGGATGGATACCTGACTCAGGCAAACTGTTCTCCCACTTCAAAATATGGCAGTTCAGTTGCTCATTAATCTGTTGAAATCTTATCAAAGGATACATCCTGAAGATAAATGGAATGCAGAATTTCTTATCTGAAAAGACATTCGCAGCTCTGCAGAGAGAAGCAGGCTTTAGAAGTAGTACTTCTAGAACCATGAAATCCTCTGGAAAATACTGGTTTTTTTCCGAGAGAAGAAAACTAATATTGCACCTTTTTATCTATCCATAAGCCTAAAACAGACTAGAAGAATTCCAACAATATCTTTCTTCATTATCTTTATATTATGGAATATATATTATGGATATGGACCTATATTTAAAAGAAAATGGTCCTGGGAATTAAAATTCTAAATTCTCATCTTGTTTGCTGTTTAACAAGCTAAGTAGAAATACATAGAGATACTTCAGAGACATTGTGGGTTTGGTTCCAGACCACTGACACTTAAAGGGAATATCAAAATTAAGTGAGTCACATGAATTGTTTGGTTTCCCAGTAAATATAAAAGTTATGTTCGCCGGGAGCGGTGGCTCACGCCTGTAATCCCAGCACTTTAGGAAGCCAAGGCAGGCGGATCACCTGAGGTCAGGAGTTCGAGACCAGCCTGACCAATATGATGAAACCCTGTCTCTACTAAAAATACAAAAATTAGCCAGGCGTGGTGGCATGCGCCTGTAATCCCAACTACTCGGGAGGCTGAGACAGGAGATCGCTTGAACCTGGGAGGCGAAGGTTGCAGTGAGCCGAGATCGTGCCATTGCACTCCAGCCTGGGCAACAAGAGTGAACTGCATCTCAAAAAAAAAAAAAAAGTTATGTTCATACTATAAAGCGTGCAATAGCATTATATTTAACAAAACAATGTACATATCTTAATTTAAAAATACTTTATTGCAAAAAAAATGCTGGCAATCACCTGAGTCTTCAGCAAGTTGTAATCTTTTTTGCTGGAGGAGGGTCTCACCTCAGGGTTGATGGCTGCTAACTGATCAAGGTGATGGTTGCTGAAGGTGGGGATGGCTGTAACAATTCCTTAAAATAGACAACAATGAAGTTTGCACCATAGGTTGACTCTTCCTTTCACAATTTCTCTGTAGCATGTAATGCTGCTTCATAGCATTTTGCCCACTGTTAAACTTCTTTCAGAATTGGAGTCAATTATCTCAAATCGCCGAGCGTGATGGCTCAAGCCTGTAATCCCAGCACTTTGGGAGGCCGAGGCAGGCAGATCACGAGGTCAGGAGTTCGAGACCAGCCTCGCCAACATAGTGAAACCCCATCTCTACTAAAACTACAAAAATTAGCTGGGCATAGTGGCACGCACCTGGAGTCCCAGCTACTCAGGAGGCTGAGGCAGAATCGCTTGAACCTGGGAGGCAGAGGTTGTAGTGAGCTGAGATCGCATCACTGCCCTCCAGCCTGGGCAACAGAGCGAGACTCCATCTCAAAAAAATAAAAAATAAAAAAATCCTCTCAAACCTTGCCACTGCTTTATCCACTAAGTTTATGTAATATTCTACATCCTTTCTTGATATTTTAACAGTGTTCACAGCATCTACACCAGGAAGAGATTCCATCTCCAAAGACCACTTTGTTTATCCATATGAAGCAACTCTTCATCCGTTCAAGTTTTATCATGAGACACAGCAATTCAGACATATCTTCAGTTTCCACTTCTAATTCTAGTTCTCTTGCTATTTCTAACATATCTGCAGGTATTTCCTCCACTGAAGTCTCAAACCCTTCAAAGTAAACCATGAGGGTTGGAATCAGCTTCTTCCAAACTCCTGTTATGTCAATATTTTTACATCCTCCCATGAATTGTGAATGTCCATAGTGGGATCTAGAATGGTGAATCCTTTCCATAAAGTTTTCAATTTACTTTGCCCAGGTCTATCAGAGGAATCACTATGGCAGCCACAGCCCCATGAAATTTCTTAAATGACTTGAAAATCAAAACTACTCCTTGATCCATGGGCTGCAGAATGAATGTTGTGTTAGCAGGCGTGAAAATAACATTAATCTCCTTGTACAGCTTCATCAGACTTCTTGAGTGACCAGGTGCATTGTCAATAGTAATAATATTTTGAAAGTAATCACGTCTTCTGAACAATACTCCCAAAAATGTGCTGAAACTGTTCAATAAACCATGCTGAAAACAGACGAGCTGTCATCTAGGCTTTGTTATTTCATTTATAGAGCACAAGCAGAGTAAATTTAGCGTAATTCTTAAGGGCCCTAGGATTTTCAGAATAGTAAATAAGCATTGGCTTCAACTTAAAATCACCAGCTGCAATAGCCAGTTACAAGAAAGTCAGCCTGTCCTTTGAAGCTTTGAAGCCATGCATTGACTTCTCCTCTCTACCTATGAAAGTCTTAGATGGCATCTTCTTGCAATATAAGATTGTTTTGTCTACCTGGAAAATCCGTTGTTCAGCATAGCCACCTTCATCAACAATCCCAGCTAGATCTTCCAGATAACTTGCTGCAGCTTCTGCATCAGCACTTGCTGCTTCATCTCGCACTTCTTTTATGTTATAGAGATGGCTTCTTTTCTTAAACCTCATGAACCGAACTCTGCTAGCATCAAACTTTTCTTCTGCAACTTCTTCATCTCTCTCAGCCTTCACAGAATCCAAGAGAGCTCCGCCTTGCTCTGGAATAAACTTCAGTTTAAGAGAATGTTATAGCTGGTTAGATCTTATACCCAGACCACTAAAAGTATCTCCATATCATCATTAAGGCTAATTAGCTTTCTTATGCATTCACTAGAGTAGCACTTTTAATTTTCCTCAAGAACTTTTCCTTTGCATACACACCTTGGCTAACGGCTCGGCACAAGAAGCCTAGCTTTCAGACTGTCTGGGCTTTTGAACATGCTTTCCTCACTAGGCATAATCATTTCTAGCTTTTGATTTAAAGTGAGAGACGTGTGACTCTTCCTTTCATTTGAACACCTAGAGGCCATTGTAGGGTTATTAACTGGCCTAATTTCAATATCCCTGTGTCTCAGGGGATAGGGAGGCCCAAGGAGAGGGAGAGGCTGGGGACTGGGGTTGGGATGTGATCTCAGCTCACTGCAATCTCTGCCTCCAGGGCTCAAGCGATTTTCCTGCCTCAGCCTCTGTGTAGCTGAGATTACAGGTGCACGCCACCACACCCAGGTAATTTTTGTATTTTTAGTAGAGACAGGGTTTCATCATGTTGGTCAGACTGGTCTCGAACTCCTGACCTCGTGATCCACCTGCCTCAGTCTCCCAAAGTGCTGGGATTACAGGTGTGAGCCACCGTGCCCGGCCAACTCTTCTTCTTCATAAATTACCCAGTCTTGGGTATATCTTTATTAGCAGTGTGAGAACAGACAAATACACCTCCAATTTGTAAAAAACACAATAAAGCAAAGTGCAACAAAAGCAGGTATGCCTGTAGTATTTCTACTTTCTACATTTTTTATTTTTTTAATTAAAAAAATCATGTGTATAATTGATTTTCTCTTGAAAAGTTTTCAATATATTTTTATTGACAGCTTTTGAGAATTATAGAATTTGGCTATATTTTCCTTTTTATAAAAATTAAATTCAGAAACTATTATGTCCAAATGAATGAAAACATCTGTAGGAGTACAGCAGTTCCTTTTATAGTTTTGTTATTTGTCCAAATAACAGGGACATTGAGAAGAGATGTCTTCATAATTCTCATGAATACCTAATGATCTGTTTCATGTGAAGGGTGGCAGAAATAGTCTGTGACTATATAATAAAATACTATAAGCACTTTCCATAGTCATTACAGTACAATACCAAGACCAGCTGATGTTTAAAATTTTAACAGAAATCTTTCAGTTCTTTCACTTCTGGTGAATTTTGGGGGTAGAAGGCAGGAGTTAAGGTGGCATATGATACTGCATGTTTGAGTTCAGATGACTCTGGCTTTGAGAAGCAGAACATTCAACAAAAAACAGTTTTTAAAATGACATTTATTGTCTGGGTGCAGTGGTGCATGCTTGTAATCCCAACACTCTGGGAAGCTGAGGTGGGAGGTTTGCTTGAGGCCAGGAGTTCAAGACCAGCCTGGGCAATGCAGAGAAGCCCCATCTTTAAAAAAAATAGGCCAGGCACAGTGGCTCCCACCTGTAATCCCAGCACTTTGGGAGGCCGAGGCGGGCGGATCACAAGGTCAAGAGATGGAGACCATCCTGGCCAACATGGTGAAACCCTGTCTCTACTAAAAATACAAAAGTTAGCTGGGCGTGGTGGTGCACGCCTATAGTCCCCAGCTACTTGGGAGGCTGAGGCAGGAGAATTGCTTGAACCTAGGAGGCGGAGGTTGCAGTGAGCCGAGATGGTGCCATTGCACTCCAGCCTGCTGACAGAGCGAGACTCCATCTCAAAATAAATAAATAAATAAATAAATAAATAAATAAATAAATAAATAAATATTTTAAAATACAAAAATTAGTCAGGCGTGGTGGCTCATGCCTGTAGTACCAATCACTTAGGAGGCTGAGGCAGGAGGGTTGCTTTAGCCCAGGAGTTCGATGCTACAGCGAGCTATGATCGTGCCAGTGCACTCCAGCCTGGGCGACAGAGCAAGACCCTGTCTCAAAAAAACAAAAAAAAGACATTTTTTATGTCATATTAAAAGAACTAAAGAGGCAGGGCAAGTCCAAGGTGAGTTCAGGACTCTGCATATCATTGAGGACCTGGGTTTTCCCTATCATTCACTGTGTCATTCTCAGCATATTGGTTTCATCCTTAGACTGTCCACTCATAGTCACAGATGGCAGCCACAGTTTCAAGTATCACATGAATACACAACAGCATCTGGCCAAAGAATAAGGGCATGTTCCCTAAATGTCACTTTTTATTAAGGAGGAAATCCTTTCTCAGAAGGCTCACAACAGACCCCTCCTCAAATCTCATTGACGGGAACTGAGTCACACATCCATATCTTATCTGTAAAGGAGGCTGGGAAAGTGTTAGAGAGGCATTTTGGGCTTCTGGAATGGAAATGAGGCACTATCAGCACAAAGGAAGCCATGGGAAGGGATAAATGTGGGAAAGCCTAACTAGCAACATCTGCCATGAATATCACCTGAAATTACCCATTTTGGACTAAAAGTGGCTTAATAAAACCATCTGTTATTTCACTTAACAAAATGTCCAGAGGAAACAGTTCCATGGCTGCTTTTTGGTTTTTTTTGGGGGGGGGGAGGGGAGGGGGTTTGTTTGTTTGTTTGTTTATTTGTTTTGAGACAGGGTTTATTCCCATCTCCCAGGCTGGAATGCAGTGGCACAGTCTTGGCTCAATGCAACCATCGCCACCCGGGCTCAAGCAATTCTCCTGCCTCAGCCTCCCAAGTAGCTGGGAATGCTGGCATGCACCACCACGCCCAGCTGATTTTTGTATTTTTTGTAGAGATGAGGTTTTGCCATGTTGGCCAGGATGGTCTTGAACTGTTGACCTCAGGTGATCAGCTCACTTCAGCCTCCCAAAGTGCTGCGATTACAGGTGTGAGCCACTGTGCCTAGCCCCAGGGCTGCTTTAAAGGCTCAATGGTGTCATCAAAGACCCAGCTCCTCCTGTCTCTTTGCTCACTCTACCATTCTCAGTCTCTATGTTGTCTCTCTCTTCATGGTGATAAGATGGCTGCCACTGCTCCAAATGTTATCTTACACAACACATCTAAAGCCAGAAGAGAAAAGCAGTTTCTCCTTACACGTCAGTATGGGTTTATTGAACAGCTACATCTTTCCAGGATGCACTCAACTAATTTCCCCTAAATCAATCACTGGCAAATGAAATTACCCTGATAAATCTATCTCAATCATAGATTATCTACTAGGGTTTGGGGAGGGTATTCTAGCTACTGGGGACACAGTAACATTTGACCTTTGGTTCAAAGTACTATATATGCCACATTTTGAAAGACAAGGCCCCACTCCAATAGAATATCATCCTCAAGCTGGCTCCTTTGCTGGGTTTTTAACGGGACTCGAAGTGTTCCATCTGGTGACACTTCTCAGTGATGAGGCACTTGGTAGGACCCATAGGTCCCACTGTCACATGCTCATTGCTGCTCCTCTGCCATAAAGTGGGCCCTCACTCCCAGAACGATGCTATGCAGGATTCTATGATGGCAAATCAGACATTTTGTGAGCCCTCGGATTGTGGTACTGGCAAGGATCAGTGGGCAGGAAAAGCAAACTCACACCGAGGTTACAGATCTATCTCAGAAAGGACAAATCACTGGCTTAGGCACTGGTAGAGGCACTGAGGTGTCACAGGTGTCAACAGCACATCCTAGACATGAGAACACTAAGGGGATGTATGCAGGGCACCCAAAACCTCTGCTACAAGTAGACAATCAACAGTGGCTGCTAGGCTGGATGCGGTGGCTCATGCCTGTAATGCCAGCACTTTGGGAGGCCGAGGCAGGAGTAACATTTGAGATCAGGAGTTTGAGACCAGCCTGTCCAACATGGTGAAACCCTGTCTCTACTAAAAATACAAAAATTAGCCTGGCTTGGGGGCACATGCCTGTAATCCCAGCTACTTGGGAGGCTGAGGCAGGAGAATTGCTTGAACCCAGGAGGCAGAGGTTGCAGTGAGCCAAGATCAAGCCATTGCACTCCAGCCTGTGCAACAGAGCAAGACTCTGTCTCAAAAATAATAAAAAATAAAAATGAAAAACAGTGGCTGCCTTTTCCCCTTATGTTAAAAAACTGGAATATATATATATTTTTTTGAGATGGAATTTTGCTCTTGTTGCCCAGGCTGGAGTGCAATGGCGCGATCTTGGCTCACCGCAACCTCCACCTCCTGGGTTCAAGCAGTTCTCCTGCCTCAGCCTCCCGAGTAGCTAGGATTGCAGGCATGTGCCACCAGGCCCTGCTAATTTTGTATTTTTAGTAGAGACGGGGTTTCTTCATGTTGGTCAGGCTGGTCTCGAACTCCAGACCTCAGGTGATCTGCCTGCCTCGGCCTCCCAAAGTGCTGGGATTACAGGTGTGAGCCACTGCGCCCAGCCAGGAATATATTTCAAGGAATTTTCCAGTGACTGAATTTCAAAGAAAGAGTCAGGAGAAGAATTCTAAGAGTTTCTGTGGCCAAACATCACTCTGTCTTTCTAGGAAGTCCTTCTTTTCAACACAGGCTCTCAGCTTCAGGAGTGAGGCTCATGGTTGATCATGGGGAGACACATGACAATGGGATGTCTCCTACATCCTCTCCAGGATTTATAAAGATCTCTAGGGACTGAGATTCTTCTGCCACCTTCAATCACACCAGATTTTGTCAACACTATCAATAAGCAATTTCTTCAACCTAAGGTCATTTGATTCTGTTCTACTTTAGTGATTAAAAACTGACTAGCCTTCTTTAATAACTCTTCACATGCATGAAATACTTTGTCTTCTTTTTATTTTCCAAGCCAGACAAAACTTTTTTTCTAACTTTTATTTTAGATTCACATTCAGGTTTGTTACAAGGGTATATTGCGTAATGCTGAGGTTTGGGGTATAATTGCACCTGTCACCCAGGTAATGAGCACAGTATCCAACAGGTAGTTTTTCAACCCTTGTCCTCTCCCTCACACCTCCTATAATCCTCAGTGTCTGTTGTTCTCTTCTTTATGTCCATTTTTAGTTCTTTGAGAAATCTCCAAACTGCTTTCCACAGTGGCTGAACTAATTTACTTTCCCACCAACAGCGTGAAAGCTTTCCCTTTACTCTGCAGCTCTGCCAGCATCTGTTATTTTTTGACTTTTTAATAGTCATTCTGACTGATATGAGATGGTATTTCATTGTGGTTTTGATTTGCATTTCTCTAATGATTGGTGATGATGAACATTTTTTCATATGCTTGTTGGCCGCTTGTGTGCCTTTTCTTGAGAAGTGTCTGTTCACAGACTTTGCCCACTTTTTAATGGGATTATTTGTCTTTTGCTTGTAATTTTTTTTAAGTTCCTTACAGACTCTGAATATTAGACCTTTGTTGGATGCATAGTTTGCAAGTACTCCCATTCTGTAGGTTGTCTGTTTACTCTGTTGATAGTTTCTTTTACTGTGCAGATGCTTTTTGGTTTAATTAGATCCCACTTGTTAATTTTTGTTTTTGTTGCAATTGATTAGAGGACTTAGCCATAAATCGTTTGTCAAGACTGATGTCCAAAATGGTATTTCCTAGATTTTCTTCTAGGATTTTTATAGTTTGAGGTCTTACATTTAAGTTGTTAATTTATCTTGATTAATTTTTGCCTATGGTGATAAGTAGGGGTCCAGCTTCATTTTTCTGCATATAGATGGCCCGTTATCCCAGCACCATTTAGTGACTAGGGAGTCCTTTCCCCATTGCTTATTTTTGCCAACTTTGTCAAAGATCAGATGATTATAGATGTGTGGCTTTATGTTTGGGTTCTCTATTCTGTTCCATAGGTCTGTGTGTCTTTTTTTGTACCAGCATCATGTTGGTTTCATTACTGTAGCCTTGTAGTGTAGTTTGAAGTTGGGTAAAGTGATGCTTTCAGCCTTGTTGGTTTTGTTTGGGATTCTTTTAGTTATTTGGGCTCTTTTTTGGTTCCACATGAATTTTAGACTAGTTTTTTATAGTTCTGTGAAAAATGACATTGGTAGTTTGATAGTAATAGCACTGAATCTGTAGATTGCTTTGGGCAGTATGGCCATTTTAACAATATTGATTCTTCCAACCCATGAGCACAGAATGTTTTTCCATTTGTTTGTAGACAAATCTTTTTTTAGAAAAAAAGTCTTTCTGAAATGACCTATTTTCTATCCCTTTGATTATTTTTAGTGCACTTTTCCCCTTTTCATCATTTGGAGAATAAAATAGCATACCCAGATTTTAACCAAGGACCTGACAATTGTAAAATATATTAAAAGGGTCTATTCCCAGCCCTTATACATCAGAATTTCATTAAAATATCCTAAAAATGCATTTGCTTTTTAAAGTAACAAAGCATACTTTCTTATTCCTGTTTCATTTTGATTGATAATAATTCCCAGTTAAGGAAGTGAACATTTATGAGCTACACACTCTTATGTGTGTAGAAGTCTCTTTGAATCTTTTGTTGGACTTGTTTGTTTGTCGTTCTATGTATGAGACTCTGCATATAAAATCTTTTATATTATACTTACTAAAGCTTCCCTGCAATTTATCCATTTATTTGGGCCTTTCTATTTTATAAGTATATATGTAAAGAACCCTGAATTCAGGCAGTTTCTGAAATAATATTTTCTCTCCAAAATAGCTGTTTCTCTATTATTTCTTAAGATCTTTTATAATATAGATTTTATATATTTGATTAAAAAGAGAAAAGCAAGATCATTAGAATTAAGTTTGATTGTATGTAACTAAGAATGCAAAATAATAGTAGCTAAAACACATAAGGATTTTTATTTTACATAAAAGGAATCTGGAACTTGGTAATTTAGGGCCAGTATGGAAACTCCATGAAATCAGCAGGCACCCAACCCAAGATGCTTCTCTCTTTTTGTTCTTCCAGTCTCTGTATGTGACTTACTAGCATCTGATGTCTATATCCAAAGTCATAAAATGGCTGCTGGAGCTTTAGCCATCACATCTGTGTTCCAGGCATCAGAAAGAAAGGAGAGGACAATACAAAAGAGATGCAATTCCTAGTAATTCCTTTAAAGAGTTTTTTTTTTTCAACACAACACCTCATCTTACATCACATTGATCAGAATATCACCACATACTAACGAAGCCGGAACATACAATCTCTTAGAAGCACACAATGGCATCTGAAATAAAATCAGGGTTCTGTTACTAACCATGAAGGGGAGAAGAGTTACCGGGTAAGCAACCAACAGTCTCTGCCCTCTTGATAAAGGTAGGGTAGCTGAAGAAAGGCACAATATGTTGGGCGCTGAAAATACTACTTCCCAGAACCTGAAGATAGTTCAAGTTCTTCTTTAGGGCCAGTGAAAGTCCTCTTCTTTGTTTCTCCTTTTGATTTAGAAGTTTGTGACAATACAGAGCAGTTGCTTTTTTTTTTTTTTTTTACATTTTTCTAATAAAGAGCCTTTATATAATTGTGAAATACATAAATGGTTCCTGAGTGTTCTCCAAAATCATTCATATTAATTTCATTTGAAGTTCCTTAGTGAACTTACTTCTCTTTTCTCTAGAACTGCTGTGGCTTCTCTCTATCAATGAAAATATTTGGAAGTCAAGCCTGGATTCAATGTCCTAATTAATTGAACATCAATTCAACAAAATGTAAGTGCCACCAGACAAGAATGCTAGACACTGCAGATATAGCACTTACGGAAACTGAAGAGATTCTGACCCTTAAGGATTTTATATTCTAAGATAAAATCATTATGATAAATAAATAAAAATAGTAAACATTATTATTATTTTTTGAGACAGAGTCTCGCACTGTCGCGGAGCCTGGAGTGCAGTGGCGTGATCTCGGCTCACTGCAAGCTCCGCCTCCCGGGTTCACGCCATTCTCCTGCCTCAGCCTCCTGAGTAGCTGGGACTGCAAGCTCCCGCCACCACTCCCGGCTGATTTTTTTATTTTTAGTATAGATGGGGTTTCACCGTGTTAGCCAAGACGGTCTCGATCTCCTGACCTCGTGATCCACCCACCTCGGCCTCCCAAAGTGCTGGGATTACAGGCGTGAGCCACCGCGCCCGGCAAACAATATTATTTTAAAAGACAATTACAGAATCAAAGTGCTCTTCAGACATTTAAACAGATGACTCGGGAAAAAGAAATAGAGACAATTTTGGGTGGGGAGGTCAGTGAAGGCAAATCAGAGAGGTGACATTTAAGCTCCAATGAGGAAGTGGCTGATATTTATAGTGCGAACAAGATTCCTCCAGCTTTCGAGAGCCTCTGCCAGAGATTAGGAACATATTGTTGTATCCTGTGGACCGGGCCTGACATTTTTAGGAATCCTGCCCTATTTGCAGAATCCATAAATGTAACAAGGAATACAGTCTCATCATCTACAGGTCCATTAGGCATTGAACTCAAATATCAAGCGGTCTGTGAGGCTCCCATGCAAAATTACTCCTCCCATTCTCTCTGTTTTGTTTATGCTATTGGTTAGGTATTGTGTTCTCAGTTATTAGCTATGTTATCAGTTATCTATTGGTTAGGTATCATGTTCTCAGTTATTAGCTATGTTATCAGTTATCTGTTGTTTAGGTAACATGTTATCAGTTAGGTCTCCTTAGGTTACAAGGAACAGAAAATGTAAATTAGACTTGCTTGAGCAAATGGAATTTATTGGCTTACAAAATTAAACAGCCCTGGAGTATATCTGCCTTCAGGGAACACTCGAGACTGGGCTCAAAAATATCAGAAAGACAGACCGGGCACGGTGGCTCATGCCTGTAATCCCAGCACTTTGGGAGGCTGAGGTGGGTGGATCACTTGAGGTCAGGAGTTCGAGACCAGCCATGGCTAACATGGTGAAACCCCGTTTCTAATAAGAATACAAAAAATTAGCCGGGCGTGGTGGCGCATTCCTGTAATCCCAGCTGTCAGGCCTCTGAGCCCAAGCCAAGCCATCGCATCCCCTGTGACTTGCACATATACATCCAGATGGCCTGAAGTAACTGAAGATCCACAAAAGAAGTAAAAATAGCCTTACCTGATGACATTCCACAATTGTGATTTGTTCCTGCCCCACCCTAACTGATCAATGTACTCTGTAAACTCCCCCACCCTTAAGAAGGTACTTTGTAATCTCCTTCACCCTTAAGAAGGTTCTTTGTAATTCTCCCCACCCTTGAGCATGTACTTTGTGAGATCCAGCCCTGCCCGCAAAACATTGCTCTTAACTTCACCGCCTATCCCAAAACCTGTAAGAACTGATGATAATCCACCAGCCTTTGCTGACTCTCTTTTCGGACTCAGCCCGCCTGCACCCAGGTGAAATAAACAGCCATGTTGCTCACACAAAGCCTGTTGGGTGGTCTTTTCACACGGACGCGCATGAAACCAGCTACTCGGGAGGCTGAGGCAGGAGAATCACTTGAACCCAGGAGGCAGAGGTTGCAGTGAGCCAAGATTGTGCCATTGTATTCCAGCTTGGGCAACAAGGGCAAAACTCTGTCTCAAAAAAAAAAAAAGAATCAGAAAGAACAGCTTTGTCTGTCTGTTCCACAGATCGGTTTCCTTGGTGTTGGTGTTTGCTCCAGCCTGAGGTCCCCATGTCAGAAAGATGGCTAGAAGCCCCTTCAGACTCCTATCTCACTGGAAATTCAGAGTCTCTTCCCAGAAATCTTATTTCTTTTGAGAGATTATGTGTCCCTCCTCACTCAATCTTTTTTTTTTTTTTTTTTTCTCTTTGAGATGGAGTCTCACTTTGTCACCAGGCTGGAGTGCAGTGGCACAATCTCAGCTCACTGCAACCTCCCCTTCCCAGGTTCAAGCGATTCCCCTACCTCAGCCTCCCAAGTAGCTGGGACTATAGACACGCACCACCATGGCCAGCTATTTTTTTTATTTTATTTTACTAGAGACAGGATTTCACCATGTTGGCCAAGATGGTCTCGATCTCCTGACCTCGTGATCCACCTGCCTTGGCCTCCCAAAGTGCTGGGATTACAGGCATAAGCCACCACGCCCGGCCGTCACTCAATCTTTCTGTCTGTCTCAGCCTAACTCACTTGCTCCACCACTGGATTCTAGGGAGGGTGGAGTTCAGCCATGCACACCCCAAAACAGAGAGGGAATGTAGCTGGGGAGGCAGGTGTGAATTCGCCACAGGAAAAATACAGTTATCAGTAGAAAGGTGAAGTGGAACAAAATATCAGATGGCACCACCCTGAGCTTAGTACTTCTTGTGCTGTATTACTGTCCGTTGTGTTTATTTCCTTCTGTAACACAATGATAAGCTGTTTGAGAACAAGGAGCACATCACTTTCATTTCTTTATCCCTAAGATCCATCCAATGTGGTGATTGGTACAATGTCTCTCCCAATACACAGTTGTTGAATTCAACTATGAAAACTGTGCATACACGCACATGTTCAGAGGGGTACATACACCAATGTTGGCTAAACATTTAAATATCTCACAAGACATCAAACTGTTTCTTAAAAGTTTAACTGAAAAACTATCCTCATGCTACATATACTTCAGTGATTTCTTCTGCGATATTTTCAGTTTGTTATTCTTTCTACAATGAGTTTATTCCTATATGTTTTTTCTTATTAATATTTCAGAGGGATAGTTTTCTGTTTGTTTGTTTGTTTGTTTTGATACAGGGTCTCACTCTATCACCCAAGCTAGAGTACAGTGGTACCATCTCGGCTCACTGCAACCTCTGCCTCCCAGGTTCAAGCAATTCTCCCTGTGCCTCAGCCTCCCAAGTAGCTGGGATTACAGGCATGCACCACCATGGGCAGCTAATTTTTGCATTTTTAGTAGAGATGGGGTTTTGCCATGTTGGCCAGGCTCGTCTCAAACTCCTGGCTTCAAGTGATCCACGTGCCTCAACCTCCCAAAGTGGTGGGATTACAGGGGTGAGCCACCATGCCTAGCCCTTAATCACATATTTCAATCCACGTTTAATCTTCATAAATCTTCTAGTTCCTTGGTAGTCAAAGTGTGCTGCATGGAACAGCAGAATTAGCATCAGCATCATCTGGAAGCATATTAAAACTGCAGAATCTCAGGCCCCACCCAGGCCTATGTGACCCAGATCTGCATTTTCACAAGATTTTCGGGTTGATTTAGAGACACAAGAAAGTTTGAGAATCGCTAGCCAACTGCTGTAGACCTGCACCATTCACTGGAGACGGAATAGGAGATAAGTATGTAATTTAAAATGTTCTGACAGCACATTAACAAGTAAAAAGGGTTGGGCATGATGCTGCAATCTGAGCACTTTGGGAGGCCAAAGTAGGTGGATTGCTTGAGCCCAGGAGTTCAAGACCAGCCTCGGCAACATAGGGAGACCCCCGCCTCTAAAAAAAAAAAAAAAGAAAAAGACAGAAAAGAAAACAAGTGATATTAATTTTAGTAATATATTTTGTGCAACTCAAGATGTCCAAAATATTATCATTTCAACTTGTAATCAATATAAAAACTTATTAGTGAGGTTTTGGGGGATAGTCCTTTAAATCTCATGTTTATTTTATATTTACAACACATCTCAATTTGGACTAGCCACCTTTCAAGTGCTCAATCACCACATATGGCTAGGGGCTACTGTATTGATCAGGTCAGTTCTGGACTATAAGATGCATGAAAACAAGAAAGTATGTCTGTTTCACTCACCACTGTATCCCAGCACCTAGCACCGTGCCTGATGTGTAACAGGCACCCAGTGTGTGTTTGTTGAATTAGTATATTTGAGGGGAAGGATGTTTAAAATATTTGTCAGCAAAGGTGCTGACAAAGCAGATAAGTCATTTTAATTTTTCTCTTTTTGCTTTTTCAGATCTTGCCTATCGAAAAGCTTTATTAGCCAGGTGTGGTGGCTCACACCTGTAATCCTAGCACTTTGGGAGGCCGAGGCAGGCAGATCACTTGAGGTCAGGAGTTTGAGACCAGCCTGGCCAATATGGTGAAACCCTGTCTCTACTAAAAATATGAAAATTAGCCGGGTTTGGTGGTGTGTGCCTGCAATCCCAGTTACTTGGGAGGCTGAAGCAGGAGAATCACTTGAACCCGGGAGGCAGAGGTTGCAGTGAGCTGAGATGGCACCACTGCACTCCAGCCTGGGCAACAGAGCGAGACTCCGTCTCAAAAGAAAAGAAAAGCTTTTTGTCATTTATATTTTTCTTACCATTATAAGGACAGTTTCCAGTCTAGAAATTTTTAATGAAGCAAGACCATGCCATCACAACCAATGTTTTAAAAATAAACTCCTTGTAAAGGTTATTAGTATGCATCTTGCTAGTAATTTATTCTTGTTTTTATTGCATCTCTAATGATCTTGGGGAACATTTCTAGAACCCACACACAAATATAAAAACATTTTATATGTTGTATATTTTATCTGTTTTATATATTTTCTATGTAATCTTTAAACCACAACAATCTTGTATTCATTATGTCATCATACTTTGCTTAAGAGCATATTTCTCAAACTTGCATAAATTGTGGAAGTATCAAAGGATTAACTAAAAGTCAAACGAGAGTACCTATTTACCTCACCTAGGTACAAAACAGCTTTACTTAAAATTTGGGAAACCCTGTGACTTTACTGCTTTGTTACTTAAGATGTGTTCATGGACCAGGAGCAGCAGTAGCCATACTTAGGAGTTGCTAGAAAAGCAGAGTCTCAAGCCCAGATCTACGGAGCTATGCCCAGATCTACTGAATCAGAATCTGCATTTTCACAAGAGTTTAGCCAAATGACTCATGCGCACGTTAAGGTTTGAGAAGCACTGACTCAACATTATTGTCAGTTCCTTTTACCACCAAATGTGGATATATTTGCCGCTTACTTTAGAGCCAGGCACAGAGAGAAGAAAACGACAGGCCCAGAGAACAGATACAGGAGCTCTGATTTCTAGTGCCTTGGCATGCCGAACAGGGACCTTGTGGAGCTTTCTGCACATAGATGGAGAAAAGGCTGGGGGAAGAGCCGTGGGAAGACAGACTTGATGTTTATACTAGTTGTTTACTACTCATCCAAAAAGCAGGAGCTCCTGCCAGCCCCTGAGCATCTGGGCTAAGCAAAAAAAAAAACAAAAAAAAAACAAAAAAAAAAACCAAACAACAACAACAACAACTATATATATATATATATATATATATATATATATGGCTGTTTTGCTGTTTTAAAGAACCAAGTTTAGAGGCCACAGTGGGTAGATCACTTGAGGTCAGGAGTTCGAGACCAGCCTGGCCAACATGGTGAAACCCCGTCTCTACTAAAAATACAAAAATTAGCCGGGCATGGTGGTGCATGCCTATAATCCCAGCTACTAGGGAGGCTGAGGCAGGAGAACGGTTTGAGCCAGGAAGGCAGAGGTTACAGTGAGCCGAGATCACACCACTGCACTCCAGCCTGGGCGACAGAGTGAGACTCTGTCTCACAAAAAAAAAAAAAAAAAAAAAAAACAAAAGAACCAGGTTTATTCCAAAGTGTCACCTAACCTTAAAGACAACCTTCCCTACTCCCATCCTCTCATGGAACTAAACTGAGTGATGACAATGCGTATGCAACAAAGTCACATGCTTCCCAGCCTCATTTTATATCAGTAGGATTAATTCAAGAAAATCAAAGTAATTCATCACACATTCATTTTAACTACAAAATTGCAAATTCTCATCTATCCACTTCTGAATCAGCTACTTTTAGCAAGTACAGAAAGAAAACCACCAAATTAACAATTAGTAAGAATTTTTTGGTTTTGGTGAGATACCTCATCATAGCCCTCCCTATTACCACTATTAAAGCAACTCTAAAAAATAATAATTTCCCTCAATACGTTAGGACACATTTATCAGGAGTAATGATGTGACAAACACACTCTCCTAGGGAATAAAGAACGTGATACATAAAATTTCAAAACTCTAATCTATATAATCACAACAAATTCTAGCTATTCGATCATTTATAAAAGATTATCTCCAGCATGGACCTCTGGTTGTATTGTCTGCCCTGCAACCCCCTCCTACTTTTTATATTAAAAGCTATCTCTTACCTTTGGAAAATAGCCCCTCCCAATTCTGTATGTTTCTGTTGGAACTGCAGGACATCAAACCTCATCCACATTAGCCACAGAAGTGGGTACAGAAACCAACCCACCAATCAAAACATCCCCTCTCCCCTTACCACAGGTATTGGTTCAAAGGGTGGTCAGATGGTCTAGGGAAGACCAATTAGAGTTCATCCCTGGCATTTTACATCTGTATCCTGAGAGACTGATTTGGAATATCCAAGCTTCAAGTTTGCTGAATTCATATCTACTCTCTCTCAGAAGCCATCTGGCCAATAAGCAGAGAGTGGAGCCCAGCAAAGAGATGGGTATGTGGATCCCCAAATCTAGTACTTCTTGAGGTCAACACCTACCCGTATTCTTTCCCGTAACATGATTCAGTATACTCTGTGGAAAGGTATGTGTGTGCTTGCATTTACTTAAGCTAGTTTGAGGTCATTCATAACTCAAACTTCCTGATATATACAAACAGGAAAATGAAAGAATGTTAAAAGGAAATTCATTGACTCTTAGAAAGGTAGCTCGTTACTATTGTGAAATTGGGGTTAATGTCTTTACTGAACAAACATTTAGCAAGACATTATGCTAGTTCCTGTATGTGTTTTGCAGATATTCTATCATCCTGTCTCTGTAAAGCAGGAATCATATTTCTAGAGCTTCCTTTTCTTCCTGCACTAGGTCATGCAAGCTCAGGTTTCTGAGTGAATACAGCAAAAGAGAAACATAAAGCAGTGTTTTCTTTCAGACAGATAATCTGACTGAATTTCTCTCTTCTTTTCTGCCTTGGCTGACTTGATGGGTAGTATAAAATTTCCACAGACTATTCTCAAAATCAAAATGCTAAGATGGGAAAATAGTACTCCTTTATTGTCTTTCTGTTTTATCTCCTGGAATTAGTAGAAGTACTCATTTATTGAATCAGTGTTATATGTATAATTTTTTTTTAATCTGACAACTACCCCAGCAGGCATTTCCCTGTTTTATAGAAGAAAACACTGAGACCTGTGAGGCACCTTCTTGAGATCATGAAACTAGTGAGTGGTATAACCTGGATGTACACCCAGGCCTGTCTAACTTTCTATAGCCCATCACTTTCTCCCTGGCACTACATTACTTTCCAGAAAAAAGGGCAGTATGGTCAGTCATCCTGGTGATATATATATATATATATATATATATATATATATATATTATTTTTTTTTTCCTAAGGCAAAGTCTTGTGCCCAGCCATCTGGTGGTATATTTTATATCACACCAAAGCCCATATACTCCAGTCTCTTGGAAGTGTATTCAACATTCTGTGAACCTCAGCGTAAAACAGTTGGCATGTTAGATAAGTAATCATGAGACTGAGCCTAAATTAGGGCCAGGTACGGTGGCTTATGCCTGTAATCCCAGCACTTCGGGAGGCTGAGGCAGGCGGATCACTTGAGTTCAGGAGCTCGAGACCAGCCTGGCCAACATGGTGAAACCTTGTCTCTACAAAAATACAAAAATTAGCCAGGCGTGGTGGCGCATGCCTGTAATCCCAGCTACTCGGAAGGCTGAGGCAGGAGGATTGCTTGAACCTGGGAGGTGGAGGTTGTGGTGAGCCGAGATGGTGCCATTTACTCCAGCCTGGGTGACAGAGTGAAATTCCGTCTCAAAAAAACAAAAAAAAAAAAAAAAAAGAAAAGAAAAAGAAAAAAAAAAAAGGAGGAAGAGGAAGAAGTTAAGAAGGAAGTGGAGCACAAGGAAGAGGAAATTTCTACCAGATTAAAAAGAAGAGAACTCAAAACAAGAACAATTCTTCAAAGATTCAGTTTACAAAATTACCACATAGGAAGGAAAAAGGTATTTACCTTGATTTATCTGAAAAAAAGGAACAATAAGCATTGTGGTAAAAAAAGAAAGAAAGAAAGAAAAAAAACCCTGAATTTTAATAGCAAGTAAGAATACAAACCATTAGAGCTCCATTACTGCCACTAACACAGCCATCCTCCCAGGCTCAGGATTTGACAAGCAGGTCTGGAAAAATTGGAAAGTCAGTGAATTTTGCTTTTGACACGGCCCCACTGAGTGCCTCCACCCATATGAATGTTCAACACACCACCCGACCCAGCCCAGCCTTCCCTATTTAGGCTTGGGTACAACCATTCCTAAACCCTTCCCGCCCTTCAAAACTTGCCCATCCTGTACGTCATTACCAAATGGCATATTCGCTGTTTTTCACAGCTTAATCTTTTAATCTTATGACATGGACTTGAAAAAGTTTCTAAAATATATTGCTGCATTACATATATAAAATAAAAGTACATATTAGGTTGGTGCAAACTGCAATTACTTTTACACCAACATAATAGAAAAAGGACTAGAAAAGTATGCCATATAACAAATACCTAATGCATACGAGGCTTAAAACCTAGTTGAGGAGTTGATAGGTGCAACAAACCACCGTGGCACATGTATACTTATGTAACAAAACTGCACATTCTGCACATGTATCCCAGAACTTAAAGTAAAATATAAAAGAGAAAGAAAGAGAGAGAGAGAGAGAGAAAGAAAGAAAGAGAAAGAGAGAAAGAAAGAGAGAAAGAAAGAGAGGAAGAGAGGAAGGAAAGAAGGAAAGAAAGGAAAGCAAGGAAGGAAAGAAGGAAAGAAAGGAAGAAAGGAAGAGAAAGAAAGAAAGATTACCTTTTGTTCCATGTATTTCTGTCTTTTGTAATCTTTTAAATTAAGCACATGTTCATATATTACCTATATATTATTTTGAATGAGTGAAAGAAAATATGAGAAAAATTATATTTAGCTTATCCTCCCCTTCCCAAGAAAGTTTTAAATAGCAGCCTTTTAGAGAGGATTTCTGAATACATAGAAGGGATTTAAAAGAGAGTTCGGTTTCAGGTATCTCTGGGGTTGGATGATGGAGTAAGACAGGAAGTGTTTTTTGTGGCTGGGACATTTTAATTCAACTTTACTCTTGCTGTATATGTGGGCAGAACCTACATAATCACACTCACTGTCACCTGCACAGCCACCGTGTGACACAAACCTCTACATGCCTATATGCTCCTTCACTGAGTTACAGGGTTTTAAAGGATACTAGCTGGATGCAGAGTGACCTCTGGAAGGGAATGGTCAAGTAAAAGTCAGGGGACTTTCTCCTTTATCTATAATGTTTCAAACAAGAATGTATTCATGTTTTGCTTAGTAATTAAATATGTAAAACAAAATAAATTTGGAAACCCCTTTTTTTTTTTTAATATGTGAATGGAATGGGGAGTAGGTATGCTCCATGTAAGTGGACCACAGTTGAAGTAGTTTGAGACTACCACTCCCTTACTGTACTACATGCCCAGAGAGTCACTGGGTGAGATGATTTGGATGGAAGGAAGCACATCCATGTCACATGATCACAGAACATCTGTATTCACATTTTTTCTATAGATGTGTTGGCTATTCTGATTTCTATATTAATAAACACTCTTTAGGTTGCAAGCAACAGAGATCCAAATTGAATTTCCGTATTCAAAAAGGGGAATTTGTCCGGGAGCGGTGGCTCATCCCTGTAATCCCAACACGTTAGGAGGCCAAGGTGGGTGGATCACCTGAGGTCAGGAGTTCGAGAGCAGCCTGGCCAACATGGCAAACCCTGTCTCTACTAAAAATACAAAAAATTAGCTGTGCGTGATGGTGGGCACCTGTAATCCCAGCTACTTGGGAGGCTGAGCGAGGAGAATTGCTTGAACCTGGGAGACAGAGGTTGCAGTGAGCTGAGAGCGCACCATTGCACTCCAGCCTGAGTGACAGAGCAAGACTCTGCTTCAAAAAAAAAAAGGGGGGGTGGAGGGGTTTATTTTATCATGTAACTAGAAAATCAAAACAAACAGGCTTGGTGTTATGCAAAGTTGGATTAGATACTCAAAACATTACCAGCAGCAATGTATTTTCCTGCCTCTCAGGACCTCTTTCTTTTACATAGGCCTCATTCTCAACTCTTCTTCCAGATGTAGGCAAAAATGGTAACTAGTCACCGCAGGCTTATAATTCCACCTTATATTTCCACCAAAAACCCCACTGGAAAAAGAAACTCTTTCTAGATAGCTCCAGAGAATGTCTTGGTGTTTAGTATCATTGGTCTGGCTTGTGTTATGTGCCTATCACTGAACCAACTGCTGAGGCAAAGGGAATGGAATGTTATGATTTGACAGACCTAGGACCTGTACTTATCAATGGAGTGAAAGCCTGGAATCAGCCCCACCTGAACCACAGGGATTGGGTTGGTATCTCTAAGACATACTAAGCTACCATTACTAAAAGAAAGGCGAAGTATCACTGGGAGGCAAAAGCAAGGGATGTCCACCAGCTTCCGGGATGAGTGGTCGCACTGAATAATCCAGGCTCATTGTCATTAATGCCCTTTTGATGTCTCCAATGTCTGTCTAACAAGCTCTGACTTTCAGTCTCAATCTATTTGTCTTTTCTCTTCAACCCTGGCATCTTAAGGAGCCCTTAGGACATTACTGTTGTTGCTGGGAGGGGTTGTCTATCAACTCCTTGTGATTTGGACTGAGATGGAATTATTTTATTTTATTTTGTTTTGTTTTATTTTGAGATGGAGTTTCGCTCTTGTTGCCCAGGTTGGAGTGCAATGGCACGATCTTGGCTCACCACAACCTCCGCCTCCCGGGTTCAAGCAATTCTCCTGCCTCAGCCTCTCAAGTAGCTGGGATTACAGGCATGCGCCACCAAGCCTGGCTAATTTTTTGTATTTTTAGTAGAGAGGGGGTTTCTCCATATTGGCCAGGCTGGTCTCGAACTCCCGACCTCAGGTGATCCACACACCTCAGCCTCCCAAAGTGCTAGGATTACAGGCATGAGCCACCGCGCCCGGCCGAGATGGAATAATTTTCTAAGCAGGAAGCATTGATTCAACATGTCATTCATTCTCTCCTATGTATCAGACATGTGCTTGATGCAGTTCTCATCTATAATAATTAGCCTAATGAAGGCACCATACAAGAAAATCCATGTGATAAGGAGTAGAGTTCTGCACAGGCTAATAATTGGGAGAGTTACAAAGAACAAGCTTCCAGATCAGCTCAGTTGTCAGAACATACCTCTAAGAAATGATGTTTGAGCTAAGTCCCTGAGGATGCATAAAAGTTGGGCAGAGAGGTAGAGGACAAGGGAGTGGGTAGACATTCCAAGTAGAGAGAACAATTTGTGTAGAAGCACATAGGCAAGATGGGCAATGGCATATTTTTAGAATTACGAGTCGGCCAGGATGACTACAGCTCAAGTTGTGTGTAGGAAAGTGGCCCGAGAACATGTGATGAAGAACATGAATAAACTTGTCAGCCATGTCAAGCCTGGATGTTTGAAATTTATCTTGTGAAATTTACCTTGAGCATTAGTCACTTTTAGGTAGAAGAAAAGTATGACCAAATGTAATCTCGTTTGTTTGTTTAAGCATTCCTTAGAGAAAAAAAATTGCAGAAGACTAAGACTGGAGATAGGGAGAGAAACACAGTCTCCTGTAGTGGTCTGGGTAAGTTTTGATAAAAAGGAATTAACTAAAGCACAGTGAGGGTGGAGAAGAGGGACTGAATTAGCAACGTACAGGAGATACTATTGACAGGACAGGAAAAGGAAGTAGAGTGCAGGAAAAGAAAAGAGAAGAGAAAAGCGGGGATTCTGGGAGCGGTTCCCAGGTTTCTGGCTTGGGTGACTGGCTGGTTGGTGTTTTTATTCAAACAGAAACTCAGGTTTTGGAAAAAGATGATGACTACGGTTGGGTGCATCCGGTTGGAAATTTGTGATGGATAGATGAATCTAAATTCAGTGGAGCCGCCAGGCTAGAGATGTAGATGTCCTCAAGCCAATGTAGCTGAAGCCATGTTTGCGGATGGGATCAGTCAAGGGAGAACGTACAATATGAAGAGAAGTTGGAAGGACAGAACCCTGGGCATCACCAACATTTAAAAATCCAGTGAATAAAGAGAAGTCAGAAAGGAGACAAAAACGAAGGAACCGGACATGGAAGAGTGCAAAGAGGATGTCCACCTCACCAGGCAGGACAGATTCTCTTCTTCTTTCTTTATTTTATTTTATATTTATTTGTTTATTTATTTTGAGATGGAATCTCACTCTGTTGCCCAGGCTGGAGTGCAATGGCACATTCTCGGCTCACTGCAGCCTCCATCTCCTGGATTCAAGTGATTCTCCTGCCTCAGCCTCCCAAGTAGCAGGGATTACAGGTGCATGCCACCACGCCCAGCTAATTTTTGTATTTTTAGCAGAGACAGTTTCACAGTGTTGGCCAGGCTGGTCTCGAATTCCTGACCTCAAATGATCCACCCACCTAGGCCACCCAAAGTGCTGGGATTACAGGCATGAGCCATTGCATCCAGCCTTCTTGAAAAAAAAATTATAATTATTATTTTTCTAGAAGAGAGTCTTACTCTGTTGCCCAGGCTAAGTACAAAGGCACAATTATAGCTTACTGCAGCCTCAATCTCCAGGACTCAAGCAATCCTCCTGACTCAGCCTCATGAGCCACTGTGCCTGGCTAATTTTTTTTTAAAACAGTGTCGTGCTCTGTTGCTCAAGCTGGAGCACAATGGCTCTATCATGGCTCACTGAAGCCCCGACATTTTGGGCTCATGATCCTCCTACCTTAGACTTAGTAGCTGGGACCACAGGCATGCGCCACCATGCCCACGTTTTATTTTTTTTATTGTTATTTTTTTTTATGTTACGTTGCCCACCTGGTCTTGAACTACTGAGCTCAAGCAGTCCTCCCACCATGACCTCCCAAAGTGCTAGGATTACAGGCATAAGCCACTGTACCTGGCTAATTTTTTATCTTTTATTTTTTGTAGAGGAAGGGTCTCACTGTTTCCCAGGCCAGTCTTGAACTCCTGAGCTCAAGCAATTCTTCTGCTTTGGCCTTCCAAAATGTGGGGATTATAGACATGAGCTACTGTACCTGGCCAGATTCACTTCTTTACAGTCACTTGCAATTCTCTTGAAAAACTGCCTCCAGTCAGGCAAGGTAACTCACACCTGTAACTCCAGCACTTTGGGAAGCTGAGGTGGGCAGATCGCTTGAGCCCAGTTCAGGGCCACTCTGGCCAACATGGTGAAATGCCGGCTCTACTAAAAATACAAAAATTAACTGGGTGTGGTGACATGTGTCTGTAATCCAAGCTACTCGGTAGGCTGAGGCAGAAGAATCACTTGAACCTGGGAGGCAGAGGTTGCAGTGAGGCAAGATCGTGCCACTGCACTCCCAGCCTGGGCAACAAAGTCAGACCCTTTTTTTTTCTGTCTCAAAAAAAAAAAAAAGAAAAGCTACCTCCTTTCTCTGCTCCAGCTTCTCTCTACTAAAGCTGCAGACAGGGAATGGCAATGAGAAAAGGCGTTGTAAAAGTATGCAGAGACTGCAGCCCCCAACGGAATAGCTAACCTTGATACCTTTGCATAACTTTATTATTTTCAGCTCTCCTATGTTGTCAGCAGGTGATTTTTGCTCGTGCTGGATCCTTGGCTGTCTTCCAGATAACTGAGGTCATAAAATACATGAGGCATTACAGTGGCACTTTCAAGGCAAACCTTATATTTATAAAGAATCACCTGGACTCCTTGAGAAAACTCTGTTCAATTTCCCCTCAGAATCAGGAAATTCTCCTTATGGAGCCCAGAGTATTCTTCCTCCCCACTAACCTGGATCTGCTGCTGTAAAGAAGGAATGGATACACACATATACGTCTGGGCTGTCTCGGAAGATCATAGACAGAGAAATCCATGTATTGACCACTTAGTGTTAGAGAAAGGTAGACTCAAGCACAATCCCAGCTCAGTGAGTAGCTACTTGGCCATGAGCCCTTCACTGAACCTTAGTTTTCTTAGTTGTCACGTGGAGACAATAATCCTTACCTCGTGACACGTGTGAAGATGAAATGAGATAATCATTGTGAGCAGTTTGGAAAGCCTCTGGTTTCACTTTGAAAAGAACAAAATGATTATGTAATCAGCCTTTTTTTAATTTTATTATGGTAAAATGTATATTTGTTATTTTTTTAAAGTATACAATCATTGGCGTTAATTACACGCAACGTTGTACAACTATTAATATTACAACTATCTGTTTTCAAAACTTTTCCATCACCACAAAAGAAACTCTGTACCCATTAAACACTTAACTCCCATTCACTTCTAACCCCAGCCCCTGGTAACTTCTAATATGCTTTCGGTCTCTTATTAATTTGCCTATTCTAAATATTTTATATACGTGAAAGCATGCGTATCTGTCCATTTGTATCTGGTTTATTTCATTTAGCATAATGCTTTCAAGGTTTATCCACGTTGTAGTGCATATCAAAACGTCATTCCTTTTCCTGTAGCTGAATAATATGCCTTTGCATGCATATACCACATTTTGGTTACCCATTGATTTGTTGATGGGCACTTGGATTATTTCCATCTTTTGGCTGTTGTGAATGATGCTGCAATGAACATTGGCACATGAGTATCCTCATTAGTCTCTGGTTTCATTTCATTTTTTTCTTTTTGAGACAGGGTCTCACTCTGTCACCCAGGCTGGAGTGCCATGGTGTGATCACAGCTGACTGAGCTCACTGTAGTCTCAACCCCCCAGGCTCAAGCAATCCTCCCACCTCATCCTACCAAGTAGCTGGGACTACAGGCACGCACCCCTACGCCCGGCTAATTTTTGTATTTTTGTAAGAAATGGGGTTTTGTCATGTTACCCAGGCTGGTCTTGAACTCCTGGGCTCAAGCGATCCTCCTGCCTCAGCCTCCCAAAGTGCTGGGATTACAGGTGTGAACCACTGCACCCCACCTGGTTTCATTTCTTTGGGGCACATACATAGGAGTAGAAATGCTAGGTAGGTCATATGGTAATTATATGTTAAACATTTTGAGGAACACCAACCTGTGTTCCACAGCACTGTACCACTTACCTTTCCACCAACAATGTACGAGGGTTCCAGTTTCTCCACATTCTCACCAATACTTGCTATTTTTCAATGTTTTTAGTATAGATATCCTAGTGAAGTGATATCTCGTGGTTTAATCAGCTTCTAGTTATCACTGACAAAGCAAGAAAAACATTCGAATACTCAAATCTAATCAACAGTCCAAAGACCATCTGTATTTGGTTTTGTAATGTTTAGGTATGATTTTAAAGTGCCTGCACCACATAAACCAAGCATGATTATCTGGTTTAAAAAAATACCTTTAAAATAATAAAGCCCTGTGTGCCTATCTGGGTCAAAAGGGGCTGGAAGCTGGTCTCTGGCTGGGTGACTCGTTGAGCCGGCCCAATGCTGCTAATTAATATACAATGTCCCCAGATTGATCCACAATGACTTGTCAAGAAAGGCTGAGTTCTGGCTCTAAGGTTGTCATCTTTCTGGTTTACTGCTTCCTCAATACATAAAGATAATTGATTGTTTTGCTTCAGGAGACTTAGCGGCTTTGGTCATTGGGAGTCGATAAGAGAAAATAACAGCAATATTTATAATAGACACTGGTGGACAGAAGATGTGGTGCTGAGCTTGAATCTCTAAGAACTATACAAATTACAAGGATCAGACTACCCACCATTAGACCATGAGCATTTGTTGGCAAGTAGCCAATGGGTCTTATGTGACCCTCTTGAATTTATAGGCACCTAGAAAGGATCTTATCTATATTAGCACAGTGAATACTCAAAAGGTCTCCATAGTAGGTATTATTCATGTTCTTATTTCAGGCTTGAAGAAACAAAGTAACTTAACCAAGTGATCAAACCAGGATTGAGTCTTGTTCATCAACTCCTGAGCTACCTTCGTGGAAGATGACGGTATGGATATGAAATGGAAGGCTGAACAGGAAAGGTGCTGTCAGAGTCGCCTTATGTGTTTCCTGGGACTGCTGTAGTCAAGTATCACCAGCTGGGTGGCTTAAACAGTAGAAATATATTGTCTCAGTTCTGGAGGCTACAAGTTTGAAATCAAGGTGGCAGCAGGATTGGTTCCTTTTGGGGAATATAAGACAGAATCTGTTTCGCATCCTCTCTCCCAGCTTCTAATACCCTCAGGGGTTTCTTGGCTTGTAGATGGTGACTCTGTGTCCAAATTCCTCTATTCTATAAGGACACCAGTGATACTGGATTAGGTTTCACACTAGTGACTTCATCTTAACCTGATTACCTCTGTAAAAACTGTATCTCCCAATAAGGTCACATCCTGAGGTACAAGGGATTATGACTCCAACATATCTTTTGTGGAGGGGAGGCAGAACACAGCCCACCCCTAACAGTCAGTGACTTTTTATTTTCTTTTTTGAGACAGAGTCTCGCTCTGTTGCCCAGGCAGGAGTGCAGTCGTGTGATCTTGGCTCACTGCAACCTCTGCCTCCCGAGTTCAAGCAATTCTCCTGCCTCAGCCTCCTGAGTACCTGAGACTACAGGCAAGCACCACCGTGCCGAATTTTTTGTATTTTTTTAGTAGAGACGGGGTTTCACCATGTTGGCCAGGGTGGTCTTGAACTCCTGACCTCAGGTGATCCGCCTGCCTCGGCCTCCCAAAGTGCTGGGATTACAAGTGTGAGCCACCACGTCCGGCCCCAAACTCTGACTTAACATTGAGTTGTTCATACCCTCAGGTGGGCTTGCATCCCTGACTTCACATCAATTCATAAAGTCTGAATGGTCCTAGAATGTACTCTAAATTCAGGGGAAAAAAGAACATATAAGCTTTTAGCTGGAAGCCTGCTGAGTATTCCTTAAGCTACTTTAAAATTCTGCCACACACTCTAGGATATCTGTTATTACAATCTTTTCGAATTCTGAAGAACTCTGAAGAACTTTTGTTCACAGCACCTGTGGGTCTGCTTAACTCTTAGCATTGGTTCAAATGGAATGTCCTCTTTATTTTCAAATTGCTTCAAGGTTTATTTTTGAAATCAAGTTTTCATTTCCTACAGATTTCACAAAGTTTGGTGCATCTGGAAAAGAATGCTTAGGGCATCGGAAATGTGTTTTGGAACATAGACGTTAATTTACAAATAAAAGGGTTGATGTCTGAACATCAGACATCATTTAAAAAAAGGGCTTTTCTTAAGAAAATAGGACTATTGGCTGGGCGCCGTGGCTCACGCCTGTAATCCCAGCACTTTGGGAGGCCAAAGCAGGTGGATCACCTGAGGTCAGGAGTTTGAGACCAGCCTGGCCAACATGGAGAAACCCCATCTCTACTAAAAATACAAAATTGGCCAGGTGTGGTGGCGCGTGCCTGTAATCCCAGCTACTTGGGAGGCTGAGGCAGGAGAATATCTTGAACCCGAGATGTGGAGGTTGCAGTGAGCTGAGATCATACCATTGCACTCCAGCCTGGGCAACAAGAACAAAACTCTGTCTCAAAAAAAAAAAAAAAAAAAGAAAAAAGGACTATCTGGTACCAGAATTTTTACAAGTTTTTCTGTTTGTTTTTTGAGACGATGCTAGATCTCTGATTTTTAACCTGAAGATCTCTAGGCAGAGATTAGGGTGAGGATTTAGTGATTGGTAGAGACTTAGGAGTGGAAGAGTGTAGACTTCCAGGTGCCACGCTTCCCAGATTCCTACTCCCTCCTTCGGGGATGAAGGATTTATTTCCTCAGCTGCTGGGAATGTTGGAAGCCAACAGCTCTCAGCTGTCAGCCCTCTTTAGGAATTACCTGGACTGAGTCAACCCGCCACACCCAAGGTCACCATCTCTTTCCAGAGCAGCCTGCATCCAACGACTGGTCTGTCAGGAGCTCATCAAGGCCGAGCATTGGGACAACTCTGAAGAGCCATCCAGCTTCAGGGCTCTCTGTGAAATGGGGCCTTTTGCACCTGTGTGGCAGCCCATCTGATATGGTTTGGGATCTGTGTTTTTAACATGCTATACGGGGTTGTAGCCTAGCAGCAATAGGTTACACCATATATCCTGTGCACAGGTGCACAGTAGGCTATAACACTAAGGTCTGTGTAAGTACATGCTATGATGTTTGCACAACTATAAAATCACCTAATGATGCCTTTCTCAGAGCTTATCCCTACCATTAAATGATGCATGATTATCTCTCTGTGTGTGTGTGTGTGTGTGTGTGTGTGTGTGTGTGTGTGTGTGTGTATCTACAAAAACCCTAAAAGGTACCCAATGGCAATAACCCAAACTAAAGAATGAAGAGGAAGAGTGGTCTAGGGAAAACTTAAGGGTTAGGATCTAAAAGAAAAAGCCATGGCCAGACGTGGTGGCTCATGCCTATAATCCCAGCACTTCGGGAGATCGAGGCAGGTGGATCACCTGAGGTCAGGAGTTCGAGACCAGCCTGGCCAGCATGGCGAAACCTCGTCTCTACTGAAAATGCAAAAATTAGTTAGACATGGTGGCGAGTGCCTGTAATCCCAGCTACTCAGGAGGCTAAGGTGGGAGGATCACTCAAACCTGCGAGGTGGAGGTTGCAGTGAGCAAAGATCTCCAGCCTGGGTGACAGGGCAAGACTCCACCTCAAAAAAAAAGAAAAAGAAAAAGCCTATTGTCTAAAATGGGGAAAGGATAGCAGTAAGTGCCAGAAAATACTCTTTAACAGTTTGAAGTCAGGATAAGCCAACAGAGGAACTTGACACTGTATTCATAACTCAGCTCAAGTAAGATCTTGACGTTTGCTCACAGTTATAAGAGACTGTTTTAAACTTGAACTAGTTGCTTGATTCTAGTGAACAGCGCAAATTAAGAATGAAGCTGGATAATAAGCCCAGGCTGTGAGAAAAGGCGAGGATTCACAGGCATGGTTTTGAGGAAGAAGGGGCTTTATTTTTACCCTAGGTGATGACAGCTAGACCTAAACAAGGGCAATGACAAGGAGGAAGACTGCTGTGTGTGCTGAGATAGGCTGGGATGGGAGTGTCTATCTCAAGGGAGCAGTCTGCTCCACCTGGATAGATTCTTTTTTTCTTTTCTTTTTTATTAATTTCCAAATAGGTACATATCCCATCTTCTTTTGCCATTGACTTAGTTTGGGTCTCTGCAAAAGCAGAGCCAGGATTTGAGTGCAGATAATTTATTTATTTATTTATTTTTTAAGACAGGGTCTCATTCTGTTGCCCAGGCTGGAGTGCAGAGGTGCGATCTTGGCTCGCTGCAGCCTCGACCTCCCCAGGGTCAGATGATCTTCCCACCTCAGCCTCCCGAGCAGCTGGGACTACAGGCGCATGCACCATGCCCAGCTAATGTTTGTACTTTTTTGTAGAGATGGGGTTTTGCCATGTTGCCCAGACTGGTCTTGAACTCCTGGGGTCAAGCCATCCAGCAGCCTTGGCCTCTCAATTGCAGGTATAGTTTAATCGGTGGTGATCCCAGGTAGCAGGAGTGAGAGAGAAGTCAGAGATAAGAAAGGAGGAAGCCTGGGTGCGGTGGCTCACACCTGTAATCCCAGCACTTCGGGAGGCCAAGGCGGGCGGATCACCTGAGGTCAGAAGGAGTTCGAGACCAGCCTGGCCAACATGGTGAAACCCCATCTCTACTAAAAATACACAATTAGCTGGGCGTGGTGACACACGCCTGCAGTCCCAGCTACTCGGGAGGCTGAGAAAGGAGAATCACTTGAACCCGGGAAGGGGAGGCTGCAGTGAGCTGAGATCACGCAACTACACTCCATCCTGGGCAAGACAGAGCAAGATTCCATCTCAAAAAAACAAAAAAACAAAACAAACAAACAAACAAACAAACCACTTCCTTTTTCCTCTGTGGAGTTCTGAAGCAACTGAGACATAAGACACAGGGAGTTGACAGATGGAGGGAAAGTGGCAGTTGATGGGAGAACATGAATTTACACCTGTAGCCAAAGGCAGGGCTGGCTAACATTCCAGCCCATCTCACGCAGTGTGAACTGTAGGACAGAGCACCTTGGCAGGTGCACCTATCTGGAATCACTGCCTTGCACTGGTCTGGTAGAGAGGAAAGAGAATGAATCTCTGATGAATGCAGCCTTGCAGCTTTTAAGTAAATTAATTTTACACAATCAAGGAACATGCACCACTAGGTGTGGAATCCTCACTATCACCATTAAGTAACTCACTTCTAAGATAAATGCATTATTCTAATGGAAGTTCCTCCAGGTGGAACAATGGGAAAAGGCAAAAGAAGCTTTCCCCAAAATTGTGAAAACAAAATGAAACAGCAGAAGGAATGCACACTAAAGTTCCTCCGGCAGTTTTTACTGTTGTTAATATTCCATTTGACATTCAACTACATTTGTACAGTTCGCTTTGACAATTAAGAGCAGCGTTGTTTCTGTAAGACCTGTAATCCAACTAGACTCTAAGTTCAGGAAGGGTCTGTGTCTTAGTTTCTTTTTAGGGATTCAGAAAAGAACAAGTTGGGAGTTAGAAATACTGAATTCGGATGGGTGCGGTCACTCACCCCTGTAATCCCAGCACTTCGGGAGGCCAAGGTGGATGAATCACTCGAGCCCAGAGGTTTAAGACCAGCCTGGGCAACATGGTAAAACCCCGTCTCTACGAAAAATACAAAAAATATTAGCCAGGCGTGGTGGCCTGTGCCTGTGGTTCCTGCTACTCGGGAGGCTGAGGTTGGAGCTTGAGCTTGAGCCTGCGAGGTAGAAGTTGTAGTGAGCTAAGATTGTGCCTCTGAACTTCAGCCTGGGTGGCAGAGTGAGACCCTGTCTCAAAAAAAAAAGAAAACCTAAATTCTACTACTAGTTCCCAGTAAAAATGTAGTTCTATTAGCATAGTCTTCTAGATCCATTCAAATCTTGTTTTTTTTTTTTTTTTTTTTTTTGAGATGTAGTCTCGCTCTGTCACCCAGGCTGGAGTGCAGCGGCACAATCTCGGCTCACTGCAAACTCCGCCTCCCAGGTTCAAGGGATTCTCCTGTCTCAGCCTCTCAAGTAGTCCTACAGGGGCACGCCACCATGCCCGGCTAATTTTTTTGTACTTTTGGTAGAGATGGGGTTTCACTATATAGGTCAGGCTGGTCTTGAACTTCTGCCTCAGCCTCCCAAAGTGCTGGGATTACAGGCATGAGCCACCGTGCCCAGCCCCATTCCAAATCTAAGTCTTAGTTTCAGAATTACTTACTAAATTGAATTTAATAGACACTGTTAGGATAGCTGGGTTTCATTGTGACCTAATAATGAAAATAAGGTTTGATATTTAGTAATGCTGCAGTGTACCATGGGAGAGAGAGGCCCGTGGAATAAGCACTGGTTTTGGCATTGGACAGACCTAGGTTTACACCCTGGTTCTGTTGCTTTCCACCTTGAGAAATTCACTTGGCCTTTCTATGCCTTCATTTTATAATGGTAAAATCATAATTCTTACCTTAGTGGTTTGTGTAAAGAATTAATAACCTAATGTAAGTAAAATGAATAACTTAGTGCCTAGTAGGCATTCAATAAATGGCAGTGATTACATTTGTTATCTAAGGAGATAATTTAAAAGTGCCATTAAAAGATACTTTGTTTGAAAATTGGAGCTTCCCAAGGATTATCTGTGAATAGCTAATTAACTACCTGGAAAACTCCCAGGCATTTCTAGGTGAGAGTGGGTGGAGTTAGTCATATGCCTATAAAGAAAAGCTCTTGGCAGACCTGTGTATCAGCAAGGAAAATTACTCAAACATCGTCCCCTCTACTCCCATTACCTCTGAGCACACTGGCTCTGCCTGGGTTCAGCTCCACCAGGCCCAGCATCTTCACTCAGTCTTTTTTTTTTTTTTTTGATAAGGAGTCACTCTGTCACCCAGCCTGGAGTGTGGTGGCACAATCTTGGCTCACTGCAACCTCCACCTTTCGGGTTCAAGCGATCCTCCCACCTCAACCTCCTAAGTAGCTGGGACTACAGGTGTGCACCACCATGCCTGGCTAGGTTTTGAATTTTTAGTAGAGATGAGATTTCACCATATTGGCCAGGCTGGTCTCTAACTCCTGGCCTCAAGTGATCCGCCTTCCTCGGCCTCCCAAAGTGCCGGGATTATAGGCATGAGCCACTGCGCCCAGCCTATAACTCAGTCTTAAGAGAAGATATGGGAAAAAAAGCACAGAACTGGGCACGTAAATATATATTAAATGAACAAATGAATGAACAAAATAGTGAAATGATGGCTGAATGAATTACATCAACAAAGGTGTAGAAACATATGTTTTGCCCTGCAGAAATGGCCAGAGACAACAGGCTACTCTGGAGGACATAAATCTAAAAGCAGTCAAGTAGGTTGTCAACATCTAGAAACCTATTTTCTATATCCCAATGTCTTCCACTAAAATTCAATGGGAAAGAAAAGAGTATGGAGAGGAAGGGTGTCATGCCCCATCACCATCCATCCAACTATGACCCCATCTCCTGCCATTAGGGTACAGCAAGCACTCCACCTCTGCCTAAGGAATCAACCTCACTTCTGGGAAGGGGGTTGGGGTGCTAGATCTAAGATTTATCAACATGTTCCATCCCCTTGGCCACAGAGATTGGCTCAGGGATAGACAAGTGTGATATTCTGATTTTATATATATATATATATATGTTGGTTTTTGTCCATGGCTCCTGGCTCATAACTCTCATAGCCCTTGCTGCAGTCTTTTGTTATAATGTCAGGGCACTTTAAGCCTCAGAAGCAGGTCTTAAGAAATAGAATCTCTCTCTCTAACCCTCTCCTATTCTCTTTTCACCTGCCCAAGACAAAACTCTAAACTCATTGTGGGTCAAAAGCCCCTCCTTGAATGGCGTGAACCTGGGAGGCGGAGGTTGCAGTGAGGTGAGATTGTGCCACTATACTCCAGCTTGGGCAGCAGAGCAAGACTCCATCTCAAAAAAATAAAATAAAATAGAATAAAATAAAATAAAATACATTAAAAAAATAAAAAATAAAAATAAAAATAAAGCCCCTCATTCCAGAGAGGGTCCTGCCCCACATCCTAGAGGAAGGAACGCTACACAGAGAGGGCAATCATGCTTATCTAATGAAGCCTCCATTCAAAAAAAAAAAAAAAAGACAGGTTCAGAGAGCTTCCAGATAGCTGAACACATGGAGGTTCCTGGAGGGTGGAAGGCACAGGGAGGGCATGGAAGCTCCACACCCTTTGCCCCAGACTTCACCCTACACATCCCTTCATTTGTATCTTTTGTAATGTCCTTCTTAATAAACCAGTAAATGCAGGTGTTTCCCTGAGTTCCACAAGCTGCTGTCCAGAAAATTAATTGAACCCAAAGAGGGGTCTTAGGAACCCCAACTGGAAGCCAGTCAGCCGGAACTTCTGGATGCCCAGACTTGCAACTGGTGGCTGAAGAGGGGGACAGTCTTAGGGACTGAGCCCACAGCCTCTGGGATCTGACACTATCTCCTGGTAGATAGTGTCAGAATGGAATTGGAGGACACCCAGCTGGTGCCTGCTGCTTGGTATGTAGGCATCAAAACACTCTTTGAGGAGAATTTTCCTGAAACAACAAGTTACACGATTTTGGTCAAAGAGATGGTGATACCCAAGGCCCCCGAAGGAGCTGGTTATCCTAGAAGGTGTGATGTGAAGATGGGAGGTCTTTGAATGCTGCTGCCATTTTGCCCCCTAGAGCTTCTGGGGAGGGATGGAGAGAGGTGAGATACCCGGAAGAACAAGAAGATGATATCCTTCTTGATGAGACCATTTGAACCATGAGCTCAAATCTTGTCTGAAGGCTGTATATCTTGGAGCATTTTATTATGTGAGCCAATAAATCCCCTTCATGGTCTAAATTAGCTAGAGGTGTTTTTCTGTCACTTGCAAAAAGTCTTAATTAATACATAGGATCCTTTTTGCTCTATGCCATGTGGAGTGTTGCCGATGTGCTGACTTGGAAATAAAATCCAACTGAAGTAAATGTCTGAGAATATTTATGATCTTGTAAATGAACTCCTCAAATGTTTTGAAAGATCTTGTTCAGAATAGATTTAGTTGCCAGCCACTGAGTTTCTACCCTGAGGGGTTTTCTGTAAAACCCTACAGAAATTTTGAAGTTTGAGTGGTTCATTACTTAACAAATAACTGCTTAACAAATCACTGGAGACTATATATATTCAGAACTACTCATGGTATTTCACAGTCTTTTATACTACAACAAAATCTAGAGACATCTAGATTTGACTAAGAAATAAAAAACATACATTTAGAGTAATGTTTAATTCTTGAAATTCAAAGGAGGCTCCATAAGTGACTGGAAACAGAAAGTCTTTGTTCTCATAAATAAGATTTTAAATTAAAAGTGTAGAAGAGAATAATTCTCAGCTCTGAAGATTAAAGAGTACAAGCATGAGTACTAAGACAAAAATTAAAACCAGACTTTTTTTTTTAAAGAAAATATATCTAAGAATTCCTACCATGAAGACACAGAAGGTAAAAATTTGGCATTTAAAAATTGGTAGAAAGATGCTAGAGAGGTTTCTGGATTTGTTTGATTTTACTTGATGGAGGTATTAAGTCTGTATTTGATCACAAACTACCAAGGTTTGCTAAGGATGAGGAACATAATCAAATTGTAACCCATCTGCAACAAATTTATATTATTTCTTGTATTTTAGTCAGATAACATAGATTGGATTCATAATTCTCTTCCAAGAAGAGACCCTTTGAAGTTAAATAAGGATTTCAAAAATATACAGAAAGTTGAATTAGGAGAAATATAATATTAAGAGCTATTTCTTGGTTGTGTGTACAATGAAACATGTTTATCAAAGCTGTAGGGGTAGCTCTATTCCTTGTCAATGTGTTGTTCAGTGGTCTTAGAGTTTCCTCATCCAGAAGTAAAGACACTTTACCCGCAAGATTGGAAGGAAGTAAAGTTAACGCAAGAAGAGATTGAGAAATAAACTTATTTTCAAATCTATTGTACTTTGAATATTGTTTTATTGCTTAGTGCTGAATTTAAATTTACTTAGAGAGATTGTCATTTAAATAATGTTGAACACATCTCAGCCTAGATGGCAGCAGCAAATAAATGTTGTCTTGGTTTAGGAAAGCATTGCTTTTTTTAAATTTTTATTTGAAGTTGTCTTAGTTTGTTGTAGTTGTTTTGTTTTTTGGCCTATCAAAGTATGCTCCATCAATACTCCATGGTATGCAGGAGTGGTATGTTTTGGGGAGAATGTGGCCAAATTTGCATGGGGAACTAGAAGCTTTGGGGAAAATGTAGAGATTTATAATTCCTACCCTTTTGGGGTTCAGATTCTGTATATGGGACTGAGATGGTCTGCAAGGAGAATCTGGCCAAGAAGAAAAGGGTGAACTGGCCTAGACTCCTAAGCTCAATATCAAGGTCTAGATTATTGAGAGCTGGTTCCAGCAGAGTGCATGGCTTACTCTGACAAGGAAGATGTGCTTTTGGGAACTGTGGCCAAACAGAGTGGAAACCTGGGCCCATGCACAAAAGCCACAGCCTCAGAAAATGCGAAATCTACCAGTGAACTAGTCAGCTTTCCCAGGCTCCCTTGGCAAGATATTTGGAAGCAGGACTGGCCTGGCTGGACTCTGTAACCTCTTAGTGTTCTTGGGAGAAGCCCTCAAGAGAGAAAGCAGAATTCTGCACATCTGGGCAAGTAGCGCCCCAGTGATTAAGTAACTTGATTATTAAAGGAAGATGTGACCTTATTTGAACTTTGAACATGATCAAGCACATCATACTAATTAAAATAATATCATGCTATGATCTCAGCCAGTGCTGGATATTCTACACGCTAGATCCATTAATGACCAAACAGGCATGTTTGCTTCAATACAAGAATCCTCTCTGCATTCAAGACCAGACTACAACAGAATGCAGTTAACCTTTACTTGCATATACACTCGGTTCAATTTAGTACATCCGTGGAGGCAAAAGTAACTCCATCTTGGATGCTCATCTGCCATGTTATCTTCTGATTAGCCCCAGTTCTGGGAAGGCCTCTAAGCTTTCCAGTTTATCTATTGTTCTTTAGGTAAGAGCATGTATTTACGGTGTATTCCACCCTTGGGTCAAAATAGCCTTGATGTTATCATACTTCAGTTGTCTACACATCCCCTCTGAATCGCATACACCCTTTCCCTGTGATACGTATGCCCTGGATCTGGGGGGGTAATGGTGCCAGGATTCACCATGTGGTCTTGCCGCCACCTAAGACTATATCGTTCTGTTGGTAAGCCCCTATTAAACATTTCTTTTTGAGACACCAGGTATTTCAGCCTCTTTCTTCAGCCTCTCCGCCTCCTCAGACTTTGGGTTTAGGTTTGCATAAGCATGCCCGCCATTGAATAATGTCTTACATTTGTTTATTTTTAGCTCTGAAAAATATGTGATACAGACTGTCTTTATATTGTTATTCATACCTTAATGTTTCTCCCTCCTTAACGTTTTAATATATATATATATTTTTTGAGATGGAGTCGCGCTCTGTCGCCCAGGCTGGAGTGCAGTGGCTCGATCTCAGCTCACTGCAAGCTCCGCCTCCTGGGTTCACACCATTCTCCTGCCTCAGCCTCCCAAGAAGCTGGGACTACAGGCGCCCGCCACCATGCCCGGCTAACTTTTTTTGTATTTTTAGTAGAGACAGGGTTTCACCGTGTTAGCCAGGATGGTCTCGATCTCCTGACCTCGTGATCCGCCTGCCTCAGCCTCCCAAAGTGCTGGGATTACAGGCGTGAGCCACAGCGCCCGGCCTAACGTTTTAATATTTTAACTAAGTTATAAGTTGAAAGTTCTTGATCAGGTAAAACAAACTTTAAAAATAAAACTAGTTCACATTCTACTTCTTTAAGTTGGCTTATTTAACCACTCTTAACTACTTATTTAAGAACTCTCCTTCTTGGGTAAAATCTTTCAGAAATTTCTCCCTGCAATATAAAAAAAATGAATTGGAAAAATAAGTAGTATTAATGTATTTTTAATCACACTGAGTTAAAAATATGATGAAAGGATAAATTAAACTTCGTTAATGTGATATACTGATGGAAAAATCCGTATAGCCAATTTATATAGCAACATATTGTCATCTCTTGGTATCCACAAGGAATTGGTTCCAGGAATTGAATTCCACCCTGTGGATATCAAAATCCATGAATGCTCAAGTCGCTTATTTAAAATGGTATAGTATTTCCTTATAATCTATGTACAGCCTCCTGTATACTTTAAATCATCTCTAGATTACTTATACCTAATGCAATGTAAATGCTATGTATGTAATTATTATACTGTATTGTTTTTTAATTTGTATTATTCTTTGTCGTTTCATTTTCTATGGTTTGTTTTTAAATATATATATATATATAAAATTTTTTTTTTTTGTGATAGAGTCTCCCTCTGTCGCCCAGGCTGGAGTGCAGCGATGCGATCTTGGCTCACTGCAACCTCCGCCTCCCAGGTTCAGTTGATTCTCCTGCCTCAGCCTCCCAAGTAGCTGGGATTACAGGCACACACCACCATGCCCAGCTAAATTTTTTTGTATTTTTAGTAGAGACGGGGTTTCGCCATGTTGGCCAGGTTGGTCTCAAACTCCTGACCTCAGGTGATCTGCCCGCCTTGGCCTCCCAAAGTGCTGGGATATCAGGCATGAGACACTGCACTCAGCCATTTAAAAAAATGTTTTCAATGCACTTTTGGTTGAATTAGTGGATGTAGACCTGCAGATAAAGAAGATCAACTGTAATTATTAACCTAAAAATTAGTTTAATAGTTTTAATCAATTTTCTCACTATTCTACATCTGTTATTCTGAAAGTTGTTACATTGCTAATATTTCCAGAGCAAATTTTTAAAAATTTTAGGCTGAGTGTGGTGGCTCATGCCTGTAATCCTAGCACTTTGGGAGGCCAAGGCAGGAGGATCACTTGAGCTCAGGAGTTCAAGACCAGACTGAACAACATAGTGAGACCTCATTTCTATTTCTTTTTTTTTTCTTTTTCTTGAGGCAGAGTTTCACTGTTGTTGCCCAGGCTGGAGTGCAATGGCACGATCTCAGCTCACCGCAACCTCCGCCTCCCAGGTTCAAGTGATTCTCCTGCCTCAGCCTCCTGAGTAGTTGGGACTACAGGCATGCGCCATCATGCCCAGCTAATTTTGTATTTTTAGTAGAGACGGGGTTTCTCCGTGTTGGTCAGGCTGGTCTCAAACTCCCGACCTCAGGTGATCCGCCCACTTCAGCCTCCCAAAGTGCTGAGATTACAGGCGTCAGCCACCGCACCCAGCTCTATTTCTATATTAAAATGGATATTTAAAAAATTTTTAAACATTCTTAACTTATTAAATGATTGCATTTAATTAATACTTCAGGTAAAATGCTTCACACAATTTTTATCTCCCCCTCGATTTTAAACATTTTGTGAAAATAATGCTGTACTTGATACCATTAGATGATCTGGGTGGCAAATCAATTTTGAATGTTAATTGGGCCTTTCTGTTATAATTTAAGACTTTTTCTTTGTCTGATTACCAGCCATAGTCAAAATATTACTTTTCTTGAAAGGATTAAGTTACAAATTTGATTTCAGAAAAGATGACTCCCTGCAATTATAGCAATAATTGAACTCACTCAACGTCAGTATTTTATTTTCAGTTTATAAAAATCATAATCAACTTATTCAAAGGGCTTTATAACTGAATTCTTATCTCTTTTTTACAGAGAATATGACAGGGTTAGGAAGATATTTAGCCAGATAATAAAAAGATACCATTTCATCAGCAAAATATTGAAGCCATACTTAGCACTTTTTGAGCCAAGCTTGAAATGGGAATGAGTGAGTAAGAAGGACAACTGAAGGAGAGGCAAGATGAAAAAGGAAGATACTCTGCTAAGTGCTGGGGAAATTTCACTTTTGCCAACAACTCAGACTCAGGCCTCACAAACCCAATCAGAACTTAGGATTCGATGCCGGAAAAGAGATGTAATCCACACATTCACTACATGTTTACAGTACCTGCTATGCACCAGGCACTATGTGATATCTTGGCAGTGCCACTTGTGGGCAAAACAAAGTCACAGTTTTCATGACCTTAAGGTCCAGGGAGTGATATAATCACATGCCTAGATGAAGAAGAATAAGGACAGAGGGTCTGGAGAGTCAGGGAAGGCTGCCTGGAGGAGGTGACTTTTAAGATGAGATAGAATGAAGACAACATTCCAAGAAAAGGAAGACCGAGTTCTGGAAAACAAAGCAGGCAGAAGCCTGTGTTCCTTTGCCAGCCTTAGTATCTTCCAGTCCATTCCTCAGGCTTCTTGTTGAGGATCTGCCTCCCACCCATAATCCCGATGCCTTAGCTCCACTGAAAAATGAAAGGGTGAGGCAATTGCAGATATAAATGAGTCATAACTTTTAGCTAGAAGAAAATGAGGTTAAGAACCACTGTGAACTCCATTCAACCTGAAAAAGTAAGACTGTTACATAAGGCTGCAGAAAAAAAACAGGACCCAATTTATCTACCAGGCCAGAATAAGTGAAGGCAAATGTCCCCAAATCCTGCCTATAATGACTCCCATATTATCATTGCAGTGATTTCTTAGTTTCTTTGGTCTCTTTGTTTTCTCCTATTTCTTGAAATTAGCCTAAAAAAATGAGTAAAAACTCATTTTTTACTGGCTTTGCTATTGAGGGAGTTCTGTGTTGAGTTGTGGGAAGTGCTTAATTACTGATTGATCTCATTGATCCATTAATGAGAAAGGTTTCCTAGTAATATACAGTTTCTGTCTGGTTCTAAGTCAGTATTTATTTTTGTCAGAGACTCAGTCTTTTCTCAATAATTGCCCTAGAAGGCGTTTTCACACTTACACTTGAATGATAAATGGATTGTAATTTGTACAACTAACCTAAGAAGCAAAGAGACTTTGCAGAAATACAAAGATTAAGGCAACAAGCCCCATTCTACAGAAACTGAAGCTTCAGATGACAGGCTTTTCTGACTTTCGACATTTTTTTCAACAGCCTTTTACAAATTTCTATCTACTGGGGACAGAAGGTAAGTCTGGTAAAGACATTATTTAAGTGCCTGCCCTGCTATTCCTGTAGGAAATGAAATGACACTGATCATGAAAACCAATTATATAGATAAAGCCAATGTATTGGATTTGAAACATATATATATATATATATATATATATATATATATATATATATATATATATATATATATATAAAAATTTGTTTTTAGACGGAGTCTCACTCTGTCACCCAGGCTGGAGTGCAATAGCATGGTCTCGGCTCACCGCAACCTCCGCCTCCTGGGTTCAAGCAATTCTCCCACCTCAGCCTCCTAAATAGCTGGGATTACAGGTGCATGCCACCACACCCAGCTAATTTTTGTATTTTTAGTAGAGACAGGGTTTCACTATGTTGGCCAGGCTGGTCTCAAACTCCTGACCTCATGATCTGCCTGCCTTGGCCTCTGAAAGTGCTGGGATTACAGGCTTTAGCCACCGCGCCCAGCCGACCCAGCCTATATTAATAATACAAGTAATTTGACATGAGAAGGATAATTCTATACACTTGAGATCTTTCCTTCTTACTTTTTCAGAGGATATTGCTTTGCTAAAAAGAGAGGACAGATAGTGAAAATACTATTTATCCATTTTAGGGAAGGTACTGATTTAAGATACGAAAGATGGGCTGGACGCAGTGGCTCACGCCTGTAATCCCAGCACTTTGGGAGGCCGAAGCGGGTGGATCACGAGGTCAGGAGATTGAGACCATCCTAGCTAACACGGTGAAACCCTGTCTCTACTAAAAATACAAAAAATTAGCTGGGCATGGTGGCAGGCGCCTGTAGTCCCAGCTACTCGGGAGGCTGAGGCAGGAGAATAGCGTGAATCAGGGAGGCAGAGCTTACAGTGAGCCAAAATCTCGCCACTGTACTCCAACCTGGGAGACAGTGAGACTCCATCTCAAAAAAAAAAAAAAAAAGAAAGAAAGATGAATATTAAACATCAAAGATACAGTTAAAATGTTAGATCAGGAGATATATACATGATGTCATAATTTGTGGTTTTGGAGCTGGAACAAACATTAAGCCGGAATAAATTTCATATTAGACTTGGAAATAAGAGTGTTTTCAATGGACCAAAAAAGTTAAAGGATTACTAACAGAGATCCCTAAGGGCTAGCACTATGGATTAATAACCAGAAGAAAACAAGGTTTAATGTTGAGAGCAGTCCTAGGAACACATCCAACTGAGAAGCAATGGTTGAGGAGCAGAATACACAAGGAAAGATGTAGGAGAAATTTGGAAAGCTCAGGGATTAGCTCACAGTTAAGGCCTTGGTTGTGGGCACTGGTGCTATAGAGACAAGATGTGGAAAATTACACATCCCTATGGGCACTGGTAGCTTCCACACTTAAGGAGAAGCTAAAGGTCGCCTCCTCCTGTCAACACAGTTCTCCTGTCCACCCCACCTGCTCCCAGAACGCTAGGTATAACTGGCAGGTGGCCAGAAACTTTCAGTACAAAGATCAAGAGGAAAACAAGTATCACTAAATATTTAGGGAGAAACACTATCATAAAATGGCACCGAATTCAATAAACAGAAGAATAAATGCCTGAGAGAATATAGCTAATTAGACAGGCAAAAGATGTTATGACAAAAATTAATATCCTCAGAAAATTTGAGAGGATATCATAGACATGAAATAACTAATATCTTGAAAGTTTTAAATATAATAGACAAATGTCAGTAGAAGGATTAAACAGCCAAATGGACAAAACTAAAAAGCAAGTTTACCTGTGAGGAAATGAGAATCCAATATTGCAAAAGACTTTAAATGCTATTGAGTCTTTGCATTCAAGGATATGGTACATTATCTCTCTTTATTTACATATTTTCTTTTTTTCTTTCTTTTTTTTTTTTTTTTTTTTTTTTGCACCGCCCTTAATCCATTTAATCCTGAGTGGACACAGCACATGTTTCAGAGAGCACAGGGTTGGGGGTAAGGTCACAGATCAACAGGATCCCAAGAGAGAGGAATTTTTCTTAGTGCAGAACAAAATGAAAAGTCTCCCATGTCTACTTCTTTCTACACAGACACGGCAACCATCCGATTTCTCAATCTTTTCCCCACCTTTCCCGCCTTTCTATTCCACAAAGCCGCCATTGTCATCCTGGCCCGTTCTCAATGAGCTGTTGGGCACACCTCCCAGACGGGGTGGTGGCCGGGCAGAGGGGCTCCTCACTTCCCAGTAGGGGCGGCCGGGCAGAGGCGCCCCTCACCTCCCGGACGGGGCGGCTGGCCGGGCAGGGGGGCTGACCCCCCCCCACCTCCCTCCCGGACGGGGCGGCTGGCCGGGCGGGGGGCTGACCCCCCAACCTCCCTCCCGGACGGGGCGGCTGGCCGGGCAGAGGGGCTCCTCACTTCCCAGTAGGGGCAGCCGGGCAGAGGCGCCCCTCACCTCCCGGACGGGGCGGCTGGCCGGGCGGGGGGCCGACATCCCCACCTCCCTCCCGGACCGGGCGGCTGGCCGGGCAGGGGGCCGACCCCCCCACCTCCCTCCCGGACGGGGCGGCTGGCCGGGCGGGGGGCCGATCCCCCCACCTCCCTCCCGGACAGGGCGGCTGGCCGGGCAGAGGGGCTCCTCACTTCCCAGTAGGGGCGGCCGGGCAGAGGCGCCCCTCACCTCCCAGACGGGGCGGCTGGCCGGGCGGAGGGCTCACCCCCCCACCTCCCTCCCGGACGGGGCGGCTGGCCAGGCGGGGGGCTGACCCCCCCACCTCCCTCCCGGACGGGGCGGCTGGCCGGGCGGGGGGCTGACCCCCCCCCACCTCCCTCCCGGACGGGGTGGCTGCCGGGCGGAGACGCTCCTCACTTCCCAGATGGGGTGGCTGCCGGGCGGAGAGGCTCCTCACTTCTCAGACGGGGCAGCTGCCGGGCGGAGGGGCTCCTCACTTCTCAGACGGGGTGGTTGCCGGGCAGAGGGTCTCCTCGCTTCTCAGACGGGGCGGCCGGGCAGAGACGCTCCTCACCTCCCAGACAGGGTCTCGGCCGGGCAGAGGCGCTCCTCACATCCCAGATGGGGCGGCGGGGCAGAGGCGCTCCCCACATCTCAGAGGATGGGCGGCCGGGCAGAGATGCTCCTCACTTCCTAGATGTGATGGCGGCTGGGAAGAGGCGCTCCTCACTTCCTAGATGGGATGGCGGCCGGGCGGAGACGCTCCTCACTTTCCAGACTGGGCAGCCAGGCAGAGGGGCTCCTCACATCCCAGACGATGGGCGGCCAGGCAGAGACACTCCTCACTTCCCAGACGGGGTGGCGGCCGGGCAGAGGCTGCAATCTTGGCACTTTGGAGGCCAAGGCAGGCGGCTGGGAGGTGTAGGTTGTAGTGAGCCGAGATCACGCCACTGCACTCCAGCCTGGGCACCATTGAGCACTGAGTGAACGAGACTCCGTCTGCAATCCCGGCACCTCGGGAGGCCGAGGTTGGCGGATCACTCGCGGTTAGGGGCTGGAGACCGGCCCATCCGGCAGTACAGTCCAGCTTCGGCTCCGCATGAGAGGGAGACCGTGGGGAGAGGCAGAGGCAGAGGCAGAGGCAGAGGCAGAGGCAGAGGCAGAGGCAGAGGCAGAGGGAGAGCCTTTCTTTTTTTTTTTTGGAGGCAGAGTCTCACTGTATTGCCCAGGTTGGAGTGCAATGGCACGACCTAAACTCACTGCAACCTCTGCCTCCCAGGTTCAAGCAATTCTCGTGCCTTGGCATCCCAAGTAGCTGGGATTACAGGCATGTTCTACCACAGCCAGATAATTTTTGTAGTTTTAGTGGAGAAGGGGTTTCACCATGTTGGCCAGGCTGGTCTCGAACTCCTGACCTCAGGTGATCTGCCCTCCTTGGCCTCCCAAAGTGCTGGGGTTACAGGTGTGAGCAGCCATGCCCAACCTTACGTATTTTCTTTAGTTAAATTTTATAGATTTCTTTTAACAATGAGCTTTCAAAAGTCATCATTATCTCATGGAAGGAGACTTAAGTCCCTTAACCTACTATTGAACATCATCAAATTTTATTTGTTAGAACTGGAAAAGATTTTAAAAGAGGAAGAAGAAAATGGCCACAGCAGTGAAACGGTGCCCATGTTTATTTTTGGAAGAGAATAATTATATAATAGAAACTTTTTAAAATTCTGAGTTATTATTGAAGAGATTGGCAGTGACTTTCAAACATTTTGACCAAAACCCACACAAAAAAGATGTGTGCAACCCAGTGCACACATACACAAATATGTGTATAAGCAAAGGTTTCATAGAACAACGCTTACTTTACCATAGATTCTGGTGTATATATTGTTTAATTGTTTTATTGTGGAGGAAAGGCTCCTCCTACTCCCAGATGGATATGGCCCCCAGTTTGAAAAGTGTGGTACTAAGAAATCTTATTAGAAAGGCACTTGCCCATGCCCTCCAAAATATTCATTTCCTCATAAATGGATTGAGTTCTCATTCCCTGGTTTCTCTCAGTTAGTCCCTAGGTACCTGGAACCCATATTCAGACACCTCTGGTGCATTCTACTATGATCTCCCCATCTCCCTTTCCTCTTGTTGGATAGATACTATGATTTCACTTTTTATGCCTATTAAACTTTAGTTATAATTGGTGGCCAGGCATGGTGGCTCATGCCTGTAATCCCAGAACTTTGGGAGGCCGAATTGGGTGGATCACTTGAGGTCAGGAGTTGGAGACCAGCCTGGCCAAAATGGTGAAACCCCATCTCTACTAAAAATACAAAAAAATTAGCTGGGTGTGGTGGTACACACCTGTAATCCCAGCTATCTGGGAGGCTGAAGCACAAGAATTGCTTGAACCTGGGAGGTGGAGGTGGCAGTGAGCTGAGATCTGACCACTGCACTCCAGCCTGGGCAACAGAGCGAGACTTAGTCTCAGAAAAAGACTTTAGTTATGACTGGTCTTTTATAAATTGTGTGGACTGAATATTTATGTCCCCTCAATATTCATATGTTGAAGCCCTAACCCCCAATATGATGGAATTTGAAAGTGGAGCCTTTGGGAGATGATTTGGTTTAGATAAGGTCATGGGAGTGGGACCCCTCTGATGGGATTAGTGCCTTTATTAGAAGCGGAAGAGATGGGGACTTGTTCTGTCACTACCATGTAAAGACATTGAGAAGGCAGCCATCTGCAAGCCAGAAGGAGAGCTCTCACCAGAACCCAACCATGCTGGCACCCTGATCTCAGACTGGCACCCTGATCTCAGACTTCCAGCCTCAGAACTGTGAGAAATAGATTTCTGTTCTTTAAGCCACTCGGTCTATGGTATTTTGTTCCAGCAGCCCTAGCTGACCAAAACATAAATTTGCAAAGATCATATACTGTAACAGTGTTCATTGATGATATGAGGAAGCTGATCTCTGGCTCCCTCTCCCAATGTCAAGGCAGTGAGCTGGCCTAAGCACTATTAAGCCTGTTCCTTAACATAAGAACAATTTTCCTCTCCCACTCTGTAAGCAACTCTCTGCAACGCTATATGTATGTGCTTCTAGGAAGAGCGGGTAAATGAGATGACACACCCTGCCCACTAGCAATCTGCTACTTTGGCACCTAGGTTTGGGAGGGTGAACAGAATCATTTGTTTGTCTCAGCAACTGCATATATTAGTCATATCCAGAACAGATCATGCAGAAAAGGTCAACGTGGGTATGTTGTCTAATTCTGCAATATAGGGCAGAAGAGATACTCAGATCTGGAGCTGCCTGCCACATGTCAATTTGCATTAAGGGCTGGAGAACTTCGTGGTGAAAAACCTTTTCTCAAGGGAGAGAGAGCCATGCTCAAGAGGCTTGACCCAGGACAAAAGTCTTAGGCCCTGGAGAGGAGGAGAGGAGCGGTCCCTAGAATAGCACCGAGTCTTTCATTCTTATCTATGTCTGGCACCATCTCAATGGAGACTGTCAGTCTTAAAGGGATGGGGAGGAAAGACTGGGGCAAAGAGGGCCTCTAAGTGGAAACCAAAACAAGTATTTCACTAAAACCTTTGTGAGACATAGGGAAAACACAGAGCTAGGCAATTCTGACTTGAAGCCTCCACATCTCAGCTCAAACATTTACTGGCCCTGTAACTTGGGCAAGTTGCTTTAAACGTCCTATGCCTCAGTTTCCACATCTGCCAAAAAGAGCTGATAATTATACCTACTACTTACCCCACTGGGTTGGATGAAAGGAGATAATACAAAACAAGGCATTTAGTGTAGTGCCCGGCAAAGAAAACCCAAAAACATAGTTGGTACCTGTCATGATTAAGCACAGTGCATACTGTCACAGATACAAAGCCAGTGCGACAGAGAAGGACAGGCGCCTTCTCCGCTTTCCAAATGAATACCGATTTGGGGAGCTTTGTCACCTCAAAGGTCCCTGGCTGCAACAGGAAACAAGCAAAGAGAATTCAGAGACGGAGAAGATGGAAGAAGCAGTTTAGATGTCATTAGAATGCAAGATCCCTGAGGGATTTTGTCCAGTTCAAAATTGTTTCTTGGCATTCAGCGCTACACAAAGTGCATCACAGGGACCCAGATAAATAAGTGATAAATAAATGAGTGCTTGGGTGAATGAATTAATGGATGAATGAACGGTCAGAACCAGGTTCAGCTATGAGCACATGCAAAAGCCATTCTGCATAGTTTGGGGGGACACTTTTCAGGCTCTTTGCAGCCCACAATGATTTGAATTAATAAGCAATTCAAACTTTTCTTGAAAAAAATTGTCTTTAGCTTGAGCATTTACTGGGTGGGAGGCACTCTGCTAGGAGCATTGTGAGTGTTTGGTGAATGTTGTACAGGTGCCAGAGCAAGTGAAGTTGACGCTACGTAGGTCCTTCCAGAGCCTGGTAAAATCTGACATTGGTTGAGCATTTCCTATGTGCCGGGTACTATCTAAGCCTTTCATGTAATCCTCCCAATGACCCTCTGAAGGGTCACTGAGCTCTGAGCTCCATTTGCAGATGAGGAAGTCTGACTACAAGTAATATAAAGTAACAGAACGAAGATTACAGCACAGCTGTATTAAAACATCACTGTACTGCTCAGTTTTAAAACCAACCTTCCCCAACTTCTCTTTTCTTTTCCTTCCTTTCTCTCTTTTTCTTCCTTCCTTCCTTTCTTTCTTTCTCTCTCTCTTTTCTTTCTTGCTCTTTCTTTCTTTCTTTCCTTCTTTCTTTCTTTCTCTCTCTCTTTCTTTATTCTTTCCTTCCTTCTCTCTCTCTTTCTTTCTTTATTCTTTCCTTCCTTCTCTCTCTCTTTTCTTTCTTTTTTTTTGAGACAAGCTCTCACTCTGTCACCCAGACTGGAGTGCAGTGGCACTATCAAGGCTCACTGCAGCCTCAACTTCTTGGGCTCAAGCAATCCTCCACCTCAGCCTCCCAAGGAGCTGGGACCACAGGCGCATGCCACCATGCCCGGCTAACTTTATATTTTTTGTAGAGATGGGGTTTCACCATGATACCCAGGCTGGTCTCAAACTCCTGAGCTCAAGCAATCTGCCCACTTCTGCCTCCCAAAGTGCTGGGATTACAGGCATGAGCCACTGTACTCATCCTAGGGCTTCTATTTTTCATCAGCTGCAGGATTGGCCCTCAGGGTTGCTGGAGTGATAGAGAATTGTAAACTCTCAGCGCTAATAGAAAAGTCAGAGATCACCTAATCCTACAACTGGATTTTACTGACTTGGAAACTGAGATCCAAGAGGCACTATGAAGGTCCCAGTGCTGGCTACTGGAACATTCCACATATTCCTCATCTCCTACCAGGAAGTCAGGTTTTGAAATCATTTTGTTATAACAATAACTCAAGTTAGGGTGTATATCTAACTAAAATAATGCTGAAAACGTAATAGTGCAAATGAAATCACAATTCATAAAGGCACTCATTCTTTTTCTTGGGTGGCCTAATCTTTAGCTGTGACTAACGTGTGCACCTATATTTGCTTGTGTATGAACAATAACAGGAATTATAACAACAATGGCATTACATTTTTATACACAGCCTTTCATCTCAGGTGTGTAAGCCAAGTCAGCATCATCAACTCATTAATCGTAAGAACACTTCTTTGAGGTTCCCTCAGTGGGTAATTTTATTACCCTTTTTTATGGGTTGAGAAGCTACAACTAAAGTACAGTGACATTCCCAAAGTTACTCGAGAAATTGACAGAAAATCCAAAACTAAATCTTTCTTTCATGCTTGCAGGCATCTATCCTCCTACTAACTAATATTTGGGATATTCAGGTCATAGAGCATTGTTTATTAGATTAGTACTTATATAGTCTCATAAACTTTTTAGTAAGACAATAAGTTTATTAAGATTAATATTTTAAAAGCCAATTAACTCCTTTTAATATGCATATATAAGGTGCGTTTCTAACATTTCCTTGCATTCTATCCTGAAACTCACTTCATTTTTTAAAATCTTGATTTTTTTCATAGTCTTATTCTTTCTTTAAGACTTTTTTTAAGAGCAGTTTTAGGTTCTCAGCAAAGTTAAGAGAAAGGACAGAGACTTTCCATATGCCCCCTTCACCCACACATGCACGGCCTTCCCATTGTCGATGTCCCCACTAGAGTGGAACGATTAGTAGAATTGCTGAACCTACATTGACACATCATTATCACCAAAGTCCACAGTTTACACTAGGGTTCACTCTTGGTGTTGTATAGTCTGTGAGTTTGGATAAGTATATAATTACACGTATCCATCATTAGAGTATCATGCAAAGGATTTTCAATGTCCTAAAAACGCTCTGTGCTAGGCCTATTCATCTTTGCCTTCCCCCAACCCCTGGAAACCACCGATACTTTTAACTGTCTCCATAATTTTGGCTTTTCCGGAAAGTCAGTACGTAGCCTTTCCTGGTTGTCTTCTTTCACTTAATAATATCCATTGAGGTTTTCTCCATGTCTTTTCATGGCTTGATAGCTCATTTCTTTTTAGTGCTAAACAATAAGCCATTGTCTAGATGTACCACATTTTATCCATTCAAGTCCGTCTCATTTTTAACTGGGTACAGAACGTTGGTTACTAATGATGAATAATTGGGAGTAACTGATGGGATGAACAGACATGTCTGCCTGAAGTTTAAGAACAATTTATTAAAGGGACTTTGGGCTGAGCCACTGGAAGAGGAACTCCCTCCTTGAGCAAGGATCTCCTTTTCCTCCTTCCCTTCCTTCTGTTTTTCCCTCTAGTCATGGAGGAGTTTCTAGGAATTGCTCGCTCTTTCAGTGTGTTTTATTTCAAGAGAAGTGTGGCACGGAAGAAAGAGCCTCAGCTGGGCCAGTCACTTGGGTTCTCTAGGCTCCGGTGTCTCTAACTGTAAGATGACAAGGCTGGAGAGATGATTTCTGGGGTCCCTCTGAGCTCAGCTAACCCAAGATTCTACCTTCTTTGATTTCATCTTTGACATCTGCTTCTGTCTAATGGCTTAAAAGGAAGGCTTACTTTATACATGTCAGCAAAAATAGTTTGCCTGTATATTTATTTGAATGTCCCACAAAACCAAATCCTTGTTTCATGGTCCAGAGTTTATATCATTTTGTTTTCACTTATTTTTCCTTCTTGCTCATGAAATTCCAACAGCCTGAGAATCTGGCAGTCTTCAAGACTCTTCTCAAATGCCTTAAAATGTACCTGGGGGGTACTAAATATTTTCCAAAGCCTATGAATTGACAGAGAAGTCAAAATAGACTGGTTTCCACCAGGGTTACCATCATCAATTTTGCCACGTTCCACACTCAGTTTCCTTCTAAGGATATTCTTACAAATGCCACTACCGAATGTTCATCTTTAGGATCAGGATTAACTGCCTTACTCATATAAGAACTTTTTAGTGATTCTCTCATAGCAGTACAATAACAGATCTTTTTTCCCCACAAAAGAATATATAAAGCATTATCCTCGTAATTAATCTGTGATAAAAATCACGAAGGTCCAACCAAAATCTCATGCATTTGGATAGTTTTAGGAGCAGTCCTTATCTGGATTGTTCTAAATAATGAATCTGGGTGGCAAAAATATTCCATCCACACTGTCAGTTACCCCCAGATCTGCCTGTCACCCCCTTTTTAAAGTAGACTTTATTTTTTTTTTCCAGCCTTGGCATCTTTCTTGCATAAATAAACTTTATTTTTTAGAACAGGTTCAGTTTCACAGCAATTTCAAGTGGAAATTTCAGAAAGTTGCCATATTGCCTGCCCTTTTTTAGTGGCTTAAGCTGGTTTGATTGAATTTCTTTCACTTACAAGCAAAAAAATTCTCATAATACAGAAATTTAAATGACTTGATGATATATATATTACTGGATCTGTGAGTATATTTATCAAGATGATAATACATATTTCATATGTTCATAAGCACTTCCAGTTGGTAAACTTGTTTAAAATTAAAATTTCAAGGCTGGGCATGGTGGCTCATGCCTGTAATTCCAGCGCTTTGGGAGGCTGAGGCAGGTGGATCACCTGAGGTCAGGAGTTCGAGACCAGCCTGGCCAACTTGGTGAAACCCCATCTCTACTAAAAATACAGAAATTGGCCTGGTGTGGTGGCACATGCCTATGGTCCCAGATACACGGGAGGCTGAGGCAGGAGAATCGCTTGAGCCCAGAAGGTGGAGGTTGCAGTGAGCTGAGATCGCGCCACTGCACTCCAGCCTGGGTGATAGAGTGAGACTCTGTATCAAAAAAATAAATAAACTAATTAGTTAAATTAAATTTTTACCCACACCATTTGTGTTAGCTATTAGTTAAGCATGATTCCCTTCAGCTTGTCATCTGCCAACCTCTTTCCTTGGGATCTCTGTTGTTTTTTGTTTGTCTGTTTGAGATGGAGTCTTGCTTTGTCGCCCAGGCTGGGGTGCAGTGGCACCATCTCAGCTCACTGCAACTTCTGCCTCCTGGGTTCATGCAATTCTCCCACCTCAGCCTTCTGAGTAGCTGGGATTATAGGCATGCATCACCAAGCCCGGCTAATTTTTTGTATTTTAGTAGAGACGAGGTTACACCGTGTTGCCCAGGCTAGTCTTGAACTCCCGAGCTCAGGTGATGCACCTGCCTCGGCCTCCCAAAGTGTTGGGATTACAGGTGTGAGCCACCACACTGGCCAGGGATCTCTGTTTTAATGAGCTTTCAGACACCAGACTCTCTGCCTCCCCTGACTTCAAACTGTACCCCTGGCCATTCTCAACCCCTGCTGGTTTCTGCTCCCTCCCGAAGTGGGCTAGCATTTCTAGGTTCCTTTGAAGCAATGTTTTGAAGGATTATTGTGAAACGACAGACTTTTCTATAAAAATTTATGTGGGACACAGTTAATGTTTTAAGTCAAGCTTACACAGCATGTTATTTGTGTAAACAGAATTAACGTTACAACAATGCTTCAGAAAGCATTAATTACTTTATATTTCTTCTTATTAAAAAAAATCATGGCTGGATGCGGTGGCTCGTGTCTGTAATTTCAACACTTTGGGAGACCGAGACAGAAGGATCACTTGAGGCCAGGAGTTTGAGATCAGCCTGGGCAGCATGGTGAAAACCCCATCTCTACAAAAAATGAAACATTTTAGCTGGGCATGGTGGCAGCACCTGTAGTCCCAGCTATTCAGGAGGCTGAGGTTGGAGGATCACTTGAGCCCGAGGTCAAGGCTGCAGTGAGCCATGATCATGCCACTGCACTTCCACCTGGGTGACAGAGCAAGGCCCTGTTTCAAAAAAAAAAAAAAAAAAAAAGAAAAATATCAAGAACAGACAAAAGTCATAACCATGTTGACCATTCCTTATTAATTCTTCAAGGTGGTTCTTTCTTCTGGCATATCTAAAAGTGGTTTTAAATATTTACACAGTGATCTTTTTGCTGACTTTTGCAAGGGGCCTAATTGTCTAGGAATTGATAAGATATATTAGCCAGGTTTGTGTTTTATGTGTAAGCCAGAGAGGAGAGCTGAAGGAGGCTTCACTCTTTAATCTATTTTAGGATCACATTACCTAGCATGGCGTACCAACTATCTCTATCATAAAACATCCCAGCTGTTGAATTACCGTCAGCCACACCATAGGACAGTTTAGATTAGAAAATGAAAAAGAATTGTGTGTCCAGTCGAAATGACAGGGAGGAATCTGATGGCAAGTAAATGCCTGTTTATGGAAGGCAGTGCGCTTTCCAATCAGACAAACCTCCTCTGTCCAAAAGTGCTGAGACAAATGTGTGCTTCTAAACAGTGGGTCGATTTTGTTCCTGGATCCAGCATACAAATGTTACATTTTAAAAACTGCATTACTAGATCTAGGGGAAACTTAGTGCAGGCTTCTCCTTTTAGGAGAGCTGGGCCATACACTGTCCTAGACTCCCACTCCCTGCCCCTTTATATTCTATTACGTGCTGAGAGAAAATAACTTCGCCCTCCTTCCCTTTGTTTTTCTTTCAGAGCAAATGAAGTCAAGGGCAGTTCTGGGGGGCTGGGTGGGGACAGGTGGAGTCTGTGCAGTGCAGGAGACTTTCTTTAATGTTACAAAAGTAGCCCTGAGCTAAATGGCTCTGACAACAAAATTAACTATCCAAACCAGGTGAGACTTGTTTTTCCATTCATGACAGAGCAGGTTGGAATTCATTTCAGTTTACTAACCCTCTGTTTATATTGATTTATTTCAGGAAAATGAAATAATCTTTAACATTTTGACTTTTCCAAGCAGTTTCATAGAAATTTAGGTCATTCTCACGAGTGCTTTTGGCTTTTAAAGATTTTTTTCTGAGTATAAACATAATTCGTATTAGAGATCATTGTGAAAAAAATTTAGAGAGAATCAAAGAAAATAAAAATTACCTTTACTACTATTCCCATACAGAAATAACTTCCCTCGATCCTTAGATTTACATATTTATTTATTTATTTTGCAATTCATTATCTAATTTATTTAGTTCCTCAGAGTTCCTACATTTTAGTTTCAAAACATCCCTTTGAAGAAGGTAGGTCAGGAAGTGTTATATCAGTTTTGCTGACGAGGAAGCTGATGAAACGTTGTGACATGTCCAGAGGCCCACAGAAAATCAGTGTCGGACCTCAAGCTGGCCCCACTGTGGCAGCCCTGGAACACTCAGAGTTGCTCTTCTTTGTAATCAGTTTCCTTGCTCTGTGGCTTCTGCAACCAGGGCTATGTTCCTCAAAGGTGAGGGGGAATTTTCTTTTTTTCTCAATGGTGACAGTATCAGTTACTCCTTGTTAGAACCAGGTTCTATCCTTGCAACTTTACCTACTGGCTAAAATTTCACTTAGTCCCCAGACCAGTCTTCCCTGTGCTCTCTCAGTCATTTGTGGACATGCACAGAGCAGGGAAATATGTGAGCTGAGGTCAAACGCGTTGGCACTCTGTATTAGTATTGTTGCTGTGGTTGCCATTGCCTAATAATAAATGGCATGGCCTCTCAGAGGATTCAGCTTATGCAAGAGATTCCGACTTACAGGAATAAGAACTTCTGCTGCAGACGCTAGGAAGCTGTCTCAGAGTTTTTGATGGCTAACACCTTGGCACCCTCCAGAGCACCTCTGTCCTCCTCTGATTGCAATTACTCACCTGTTCCAGATTCTGACACCTGTTACCTGAGGCTCTCTGTCTCATGCCTGGTTCTCTCGGAAGCATCAGGACAGTCCATGTACAAGTTAGGGCAGGCTTGTTTATGGTTTTACTTTGGGAATGTTTATGTCAGAGTCCTAAGGGGCCTGGCCATCAGCCCTGCTTTCAACATGGTTCCTTTCAGGAGATGTAGGGTAACCCATGCAAGCATGTCTCCTGTCCTGCTTTGACACCCAGGAGTTTCTTAGGTGTGTGTGCAGATTAGACCTCAATGCCTAATAGTATTCTTTGAGAGAAAAATGTTTACCTCTCACGACTTGCTGCTAAGAAAAAATGCAAATAATTTGTGCAGAAGTCCCAGAATTTCAGTACAGTGAGCTTAGATGATTCCAAACATGGATAGATTCGCTTAGTCCTTAAAAAAACTTAGTTTCAAAAGAACACTCACTTGATAAAATATCTAATGAAGGAGGGAGAATATTTAGAGAAAGAGTATTTTTTCTTTTTTCAGGAAATACTAAAGCTTATTTTTTTCTGAGAAATTCCAAATGGGACTGGTGACAGGCATCTAACATATAATAAAGTAGTTCAGTTGGTTATAAATAGAAGTTTTTATTTAATGTGGATTGCAGTTTCATAATAAGGACAGTTATGTTGCCAACCAAAATAACCGTAACTAGTAAAAGATAATTGATTTCCTATTAAATTACTCTAGGAAAATAAGAGCAAAATAACTTAGGAATAAACAAATTATATTCATTTTGATACTTTTGTTATGCAAATAATTATTTATGCTTAAAATATATGTCTTTATTATAACTCTCAGTTCAAAAATACAATATGAAAAAGATGTTAAAAATCAAACACTGTGGAAAACCAAATTATCATAGCTGACAGACTGTAACCACCACTCTGATGAAGCCAAAAAAATGTAGTTCAAACAAGGAACTCCTAAGAATTGTCAATAACTATCTATATCAATCTCAACCATAATAAGAAATATGCAAATGAAAACCACATGGAGATGCTCTATTTTTTCCACCCATAGATTAGCAAAAACCTAGGAGTTTGACAACATGCAATGCTGGCAAGGCTGGAGGAAACAGGCTTCTCATACGTGGCTGGTGAAAGTGTAATACAGTGATTTGGCACTATCAAACGTAATTACAGTTGTAGCTACTATCTACTCCAAAAATCTCAGTTCTGGGTATGTGTTATGCATATGTACCAGCACACATAGGAAAACACATATGTTCAAGGTTATTCACTGCAGTGTTGCTTGAAAGAGCAATGACTGGGAACAACCCATGTGTCTAATAAGGGAATAGTTGGTCAAACAAACTACAGTACTTCTGTATAATAAAATACTATGCATCTATCAAAAAGAACAAGGGGACAACATGAATGAACTTTGAAAGCATTATGTCACCTGAAAGAAGCCAGTTACAAAGGAGCACATATTGTATGATTCCAGTTGCATAAAATGTCCAGAAAGGGAAATCTATGGAGTTAGAAGTAGACTGGTGGTTACCTTGGGCAAACGGATGGGAGTCGGGTGGGGAGGCTGGGGAAAGTGATGGTTAAAAGGTATAGGGCTTCTTTTGGAGGCAATAAAAATGCAATAAAATTGATCATGGTGATGGATGCACAACTCTGTAGATCTAGAAAAAGCCACTGAATTGTACACTTCAAATGGTGATGGTGTGGTATGTGAATTATATCTCAATAAAGTTGTTTAAACTAATAAGGGCCAGGTGTGGTGGGTGGGTCACGCCTGTAATCCCAACACTCTGGGAGGCCAAAGTGGGCCAAAATGAATATAATTCGTTTATTCCCACCTGAGGTCAGGAGTTCGAGACAAGCCTGGCCAATATGGTGAAACCCCATCTCTACTAAAAATACAAAAATTAGCCAGGCGTGGTGGCACTCGCCTGTAGTCCCAGCTACTCGGGAGGCTGAGGCAGGAGAATCACTTGAACCTGGGAGGCAGAGGTTGCAGTGAGCCAAGATCGCACCATTGCACTCCAGCCTGGGTGACAGAGCAAGACTGTGTCTCAAAAATAAATAAATAAATAAATAGAATTTTAAAATAAGGACACTCACTTCATGCTGATATAGAAAGGTCTCTAAGATATATTCAATAAAAGAACAAAATGCAGACTAGTCAGGTTATTGTACAATCTTTTGAGTAGAAAAATTAGAAAATAAAAATGTATCATTTTTTCATATACATAAAGAAACATGGGGATGAGGTTATCCATGAAACTAATTAAAGTGCTCACTTTGGTGAAGAAGAGTGTAGACAGCCAAAGCATCCATGTATTTGTTATTATACTTCTTGGCTATCCATATTAATTTGACATGATTGGTTTAGTCAACGTACATATTTTAGCACTATGTTTCAATCATGGGACAACATTTTAAATTATCCAGACACATAATACATCATTTTTCCCAGCCAGATAGCTTTATTAAAGTGCCCAGAGAGTTCCTATTTGTTCTAATAGAAGTCCTATTTGCACTTGGACTCATCAAAATGGTAGTAAAAGTCACTGCCAGAAAAATGAAAAGATGCATGCTGGATGAATGATGAACTGGCTTCACCAAGCAGGTGTCCCTGAGCTGTAAAGGGTGTCACTCAGCTTCTGTTCTGATTCCTCAGCTTGTGTGCAAGGAACTGTCACACTGCAGCAAGGATCCCTGGCATCCACAAACTGTCACCCACTTGCCGGCCGATGTGACCAGGAAGGGAAATGATGGCAAATAACACGTGGACAGATTCACTTTCAGACAGTGCTTTGAAGATGAAGCAGCAGCTGTCAAGTTCTGCTTCATGCCACACTTATGAAAGAAAATTATAATTCACGGATTTCAAAATATTAATACAATCTCAGCTCTTTCAATGGATTGCAATCCATCTCCACAGTGGAGACAGATCAAAACCTGGCACAGCATACCATCATGTTGTCTAACAGCTGCTGGGAGACAGGGAGTTGCCTCAGACGCACCAGCTAGGGAGAGCAATTCCACAGTTAACAGCACAGTTGGTCTTTAACCATGTCTGGGGGTTTCATTTTTTTCAGTGTGTTTCTCTAGGGGTTCTGTTGGGTTGTCTGTCTTCAAAAATACTAACTTCAGATGTCAAAGCATGTCATTCCTCTTAGGCCACAAGGCAGTAAATTGTCCAGTTACTCCATTATATTAGGGTTAGAAAAAAAATTCAGGAAAAACTATGGTTAATACAAATGAGGGAAAATCCTGTTAAATTAGTGGTGAAGAACTGACAGGAAGTGCATCCTTTCGTACGACAAATTGTTAACAGTAATAACATCCTTTATAACAAATACATCGTAAGTGCAAGAAAACTAAATATGCTGTATATAAAATCAGCCTTCATATAAGTCACTTGTACACTGCTTAACTCCACGAGAGGTGGGGAAGTAGATAGGGAAGATTAAGCCACTCCTAAAACAAAGTCACTGTTGTCATTTTTTATTTATTCATTCTATTTAATCCAAACTGCAGTATACCACAGGGTCTTAAAAAAAAAAAAAGAACAATTCTTAGATTAGGGAAAAATCAGCATTAATTTCTTCACTTACATCATTTTTGTTACTTTGTCCAAAACATCTTTCTGCCTGTGTTTGCTCCAAATGCCCTTAATCTGAGTTTTGCAAAATAACTTATGCAAAATATGGAAAAATGTTATTCCAGACAAGGTTGACTTGGAAATATATTAAATGAAAAAAGAACATTGCAAAAAACAGTATATCTAATACATATGTTACTTTTAAAAGTATGATTTTTATTATGCTTAGAAGAAAACTAGAAGAAAAATATATACCAAACTCTTTTTTTGTTTGTTTTGTTTTTTGTTTTTGAGACAGAGTCTTGCTCTGTCACCCAGGCTGGAGTGCAGAGGCACGACCTCGGCTCACTGCAACCTCTGCCTCCCAGGTTCAAGTGATTCTCCTGCCTCAGTCGCTCGAGTAGCTGGGACTACAGGCATGCACCACTACGCCTGGCTAATTTTTGTATTTTTAGTAGAGACAGGGTTTCACCATGTTGGCCAGGCTGGTCTTGAACTGCTGACCTCAAGTGATCCACCCACTTTGGCTTCCCAAAGTGCTGGGATTGGAGGCATGAGCCACTGTGCCTGGCCTATATCAAACTCTTAACAGTGATTGGGGAGTAAGAATATTTTCACTTTTTAATTTCACTTATCTGCAATTTTTTATAGTTAGAATAATATTTTTCTGTAGTCTTAATAAATGATAAAGTCCTTTTATTTTAGAAAACAGATCTAAAAATGGGAGTGAGAGAACTGATAGATATAGACATCCAATAAGTCAGAAGGCAGCTGGACTGAATCTTAGGTGTTTCCTCTGCTGTGGGCCAAGCTGTGTCCCCTGAAAAATTCATATGCCAAGCTACCTCAGAAGGTGACTATATTTAGGCTGGGCACGGTAGCTCATGCCTGTAATCTCAGCTACTCGGGAGGCTGAGGCAGGAGAATCGCTTGAACCCAGGAGGTGGAGGTTGCAGTGAGCCGAGATCGCACCACTGCACTCCAGCCTGGGCGACAGAGTGAGACTCCTTCTTAAAAAAAAAAAAAAAAAAAAAAAAAAGATAATTGATAGTTGGTCAATTCTTAAAATAAAAACAAACAAAAAAAATCTGAGCACTTTACTTAGTACTTTGTATTCCAAACAATCAACATTCCATTGGAAATACTTAATTGTTTGATTAGGTAAAACAAAATAGGTTTTATGCAAAGATAATTTTTAAATACCAGTAACCCCAATTTTGTCATCTCAATTAATGTGCTTATTCTATATTAACCATCTAGGGTTCTAGAAAAAATAGATTTTTAAAAAGAAATAACTTTTTATGGCTTAAGTGAAAAATGTTTAAAATTAATTTTGGAGTGGCTGTGATTTTTTAAAATGCAGCAAGAATGTATGTCTAATTATGTATGTTTGATTCAACCTACAATAATGCCATGTTTTCCTTGACATAGAGTAAGAATTTCTGTTTGTATTTTATGCATCTAATGGAATCCACTCTGAATTCCTTCTTTCAGGAATCCACTCCATTAGGTGCATAAAATATAAACAGAAACTCTTACTCTATGTCATGCTCCATTCAGTCATTCATTCAGTCAGCCTCTGTTGAGTTTCTACTCAACACTTGGCCCTGGGGACGTAGTAGTGAGCAAAATTCTTCCAGTGTTCCCTGCCCTCTGAATTGTGGATTCTTTGATCCGACTCCTTGTTCTGAAACCGGTAGAGACAAGGACCTGGAATCTCCTTCCTCCATGTGCCCAGGCGCCCAGTGGGGGATAGGGAGACCAGTGAGGGAATCCCTGCTTGGGCTTCCAGGGGCCAAGTGCTGCTTGTGGAAGAAGCTCTGCATTGGGGAGAGGGGGGTCCTCAGTACTTTGGAACTGACTAGCCACTTAATTCCCATTCATTTGAGTGCACGTAGGAAGCCCAAGGAGCAGTTTTGAAGGGGACAGGTATCAAAACCCTACACTGACATCCACGTGACCATCTTCTCTCTTTCTCTCTCTCTCTCTGAGACAGAGTCTTGCTCTGTTGCTCAGGCTGGAGTGCAGTGGCATGATCACAACTCACTGCAGCCTCAATCTCCTGGGCTCAAGAGGTCCCACCTCAGCCTCCCAAGTAGCTGGGACTACAGGTGCACACCATCACGACTGACTAATTTTTGTATTTTTTTGTAGAGATAGGGTTGTGCCATGTTGCCCAGACTGTACTAATGTCTTTAATGGTGTTTAACATCACTCCTGCTAAATCGATGGCTTTAAGACTGTTTCTTATAGTCCCTTGTCTTCCCCTGAAGAGTTTATGTAGCACACATCTTCCACAGAGCAAGGATACAATGAACGTTTGTCTGTATGTCTTGCCTTCTTTCAGGAAGAGAACAGTCACGCCTCATGATCAGCTGAGTGTGTGAGTTAAGCAGCAGAATCATGAAGACATTCCTGTCCTGCTGGAGTTGACTGCCTGTGTGTAGAGTTGCACTTTACCCCTCTACTCCTTTTCCATCACCTCCCCTTCCTATCCACAACTCTCACCATGAAAACAGTGCAGAGGCGAATTTCCAGACTGGACGCTTCCAAGCCAGCTTACCTGTACCCTTAACAGATGTGCCAGTTGGGAAACTATTTCGTGTTTCTCCTTAAACAAACTCCTTAATCCTTCCTTAAGCAATGAAAACAACTGATTTCTCTTAGTCAACACAATAAAAACCTTCAGAAAGTAATTACAAAATTGCTTGCAGGTAACAACCTATAAGACCTATAAGAAATGTCCTCTTTGTGTTAAGAACGCAATCTCTTTGGTATAGTGATATGATCTCCAAAATTACATTTGCAACATCAGGCAATGAAACAAAGGAACATCTTAATAAATTAATCCTAAAATAACTTCGTTATAGCAGAATGTTATCTGAATTTGGAAATGGGAAATCCTGAAGTATATGGCAGAAAAGAATTTGTCTATGAACAGCAATTTGCCAACAAGATCAGGAGGGAACTAAACTCAAAGATATGTTGTCAATGTGCACAGTGTCCATGCCTAGAACTTGGTAAAATTGCTCCCTTTAAGGTACTGGCTACAATTGAATGTGAACCTAGAATGAATGTCAGTAGGTTTCGTTAGGCCATGGGGCCCATCCTGCCTGACACCCAAATCTCACCTCACGCTGAGGTTCCTGGGATTGGGATTGAGTCCAGAAACAATTGTGCATCTCTAAGAGATTCCCACTGTACAACCAAGTGGCTTCCTGCTGAAGTATTCTCCAATCAAGTGGTGGGTCAGTTCTGAAAGGAGCTGACCTGTCATGTTAAGGGGAATGCTGGTTCAAAGAGCTACACCTGGGCTGCACCTCCACCTTCAGAGCTGCAGACACCTGGGCCACACCTACACCTTTACAGCCTCATACTTATCTCAAGGCTCCCCATAACCCAGGAAAAGTAAGCAGAGGTAGCTAAAAGACTGGATCACCTGTCAACACAGTTGGGTCATCTCTCAGTGCATCAACTAAAGGGTATTTTCTGGGCAGTATATAAACTTGGATTTTAGAATACCAATCCACTGCATTCTTTAAATATTGTCTAGAAAATTGGAAAAATAAGACTGGGTGCGGTGGCTCATGCCTATAATCCCAGCACTTTGGGAGGCCGAGGAGGGTGGATCACTTAAGATCAGGAGTTTCAGATTAGCTTGGCCAATATGGTGAAACCTTGTCTCTACCAAAAATACAAAAATTAGCTGGGTGTGGTGGCACATGCCTGTTGTCCCAGCTACTTGGGAGGATGAGGCAGAAGAATCCCTTGAACCTGGAAGGCAGAGGTTACAGTGAGCCAAGATTACGCCACTGCACTCCAGCCTGGGTGACAGACCAAGACTCTGTCTCAAAAAAAGAAAAAGAAAATTAGAATAATAAAAAAGAAAAGGAGGAATTATTTTTCTGAGTGCCACTCAGAAATAGGAAGTTGATTGTGTTTTAGTCACTGGAGTTAAAATAAGTCATTAATCATCCTCTTCCCCTGTCTTTTAAGAATCATCATTACGGTCATGTGTCACCTAATGAGGATACATTCTGAGAAATGTGTCATTAGGCAATTTCGTTGTTATTTGAATGTCATAGATGTACTCATACAAACCTAGATAGTATAGCCTACTACACACTTAGGCTGTATAGTACAGCCTGTTGTTCTATAAATCCTATATAACATGTGACTGGACTGAATACCATGGGCGATTAAAACACAATGGTAAGCATTTGTGTATCTAAACATAGAAAAGGTACAGTAAAAATACAATATAAAATTTTTTTAAATGGAACATCTATTTAGGGCAGCTCCATTATAATCTTACGGGACCACATTGTATATAGATGCAGTTCATCTTTGAGCAAAACATCATGATTTGACACATGATTTACTTTAAAGCAAGTAAATGACTGATATAGTAATAGGCAGAAAGTTGGTCATTGAATGGCTAGAGCTTTTCCTAAAAAAAAAAAAAAAAAAAAATACAAGGCCAAGAACTGGCTTTTAAATTTTTCAAATACTTTCTTTCAGAAACAATAATAGGGCAATTCTTTGCCAAAGGCAGACGGCATCAAGTTCAAAAGGAATAAAGACTTAATGGCTATGCCCCCTAGAGTCAAAGAAGATAAGCTGCAGGAAAGATTATTTTGGGGGAGGAGGAAGTTTAGGGGAAAGATAGTGACCCTTTTACATTTATTATGGTAGCATTATCTTCAGCAAATAAATGTCATCTGCATTTATTTGCTGAGGGTTCAGAGACCCTGGCAGCAGTCACAGAAATCCGTTCTAACAAGATTAAACATTCTCAAAAATAATTTCTCAAGTGTGGAACCTAGGCGGTCTTCCCCTTAACATTAGGTATAGGTTCTGCTTGTCGGGCTCCTGTTTTTCATCTTTTACTGTAGGAAAAAAATTCCAAAATTTCTTTGACACATGAAGAGCAGATTTGAAAAGCTGCAGTTCATCTGAAGTGTTTTAGGTACAGCAGAGGAGGCACCCTGGGGCCTGATTATTGGGTATTGTGGGAGCAGCTCATCGTCTCTCTGGCTCAGCAGGCTCACACCACTGCCTGTCAGTGCCCAGGATGACAACTCACTGCAAAGAGCCAAGGGCCCCCTCCTGGGAACAGTCAGCTCCCGGAGGCTTGGGTCTGTTTCTTCTGCAGCTGGACATTCACATCCAGTACAGTGTTTACAACAGAGATAGCACTCAATAAATATTTGTTGAGTGATGAACAAATGTATGCATGTCAGCTCTTGGGCAGCAGCCTGGAATCACTTCTGAGGTTTTTGGTTCAGGATCTATACTGACTTTTCCAGGATGTCCTTTGATCGCTGGGTGTTGACTTCTGCAGTGCAAATGTGGTAAATGAGTCCTTCCTCAGAGCAATTCTCAGGCATGAGGAGGTACAGCAGGCCGCTGTGAGGAAGTTTTAGCTGTGAACATCATGCCTTTCTGTTCCTGGGACTGGCCACAGTTCCAAGAAACATCTTAGGCAGTTTTCCAACATGGCGAGGTTGATGTCTTCACTGTCATTTCATTTATGGTGCAAAAGAAAAGTAGCCAGGACATCACCCTGAGACTGAGACCTTTGGAGCCACAGAGGGATATTTTCTGGAGACAGGAAGGCTCTCTAGAGTCATTGTCAAAAGGCAGTTTGTTATTATAAGTTCTTGTCAAAGATTGCCTAGAATTTGTACGTTATACATAACCCAGAAAAGAAAACACAACATCCAGTTTGTATCAAACAAAGGGCAGCTAAAAACTGGCTTTTCATTTGTCAGAGTGCTAAGTATCCTGTGGATTTATCCTCAGAACAAAGTTCTGCTTATACTGCAAATATTTATTCTAGTAACAATGAGTACAGCAGGATATAGGGCCGTAGAATAGTTTGCACAGTGGAACTTTATTTGAAGAAGTGGGGCATGTCCAGGTAAAGTTTGCATATGATAGCAGATTTTCCAATCACGTATTTCCCTTTCCCTCTGGACAAGGTGACATTTGGGGGGAAGTGTGGTAAAATTTGGGACAGGCAAGGTTGCCTTTTAATCTTTAATGAAGGTGCCTTGAAAATGGCCTAATTCTGGTTGCTTGTAGGTATCACTGACTGACAGGTTTACAGAATGTCCCACAGATATACTATGCCCCTGACAGCCCAGGAGACAGGGATGTTCCTAAGCCCCAAATATCAAGAGTGAAGGCTGCTCTTTGGATACGTGCTAATGCAATCCTAAAACAGGGGGAAAAGAAAAAGGAAAAGAAGAAAAGGGGGAATGTGGAAGCAAGAAAAAATAAAATTAGCTGGGCGTGGTGGCGTGTGCCTGTAATCCCAGCTACTTGGGAGACTGAGGCAGGAGAATCTCTTGAACCTGGGAGGCAGAGGTTGCAGTGAGATGAGATTGCACCACTGCACTCCAGCCTGGGTGAAAAAGTGAGACTCTGTCTCAAAAAACAAAAACAGACAAAAATAAAAAACATAAGAAAGAGAAAGAATGAGGAGCACTTAGAAAAGGAAGCGGAGTTCATTAGTTCATTGGGGAGGGGAATAAAGGCTTATGGAGGAAAGTGTCAGCAGCTGAGGTCCAAATAGCACAAAAAAAGAATTTGGCAGGGAAAGGGGGCACTCAGACAGCATTGTGTTTGGTGTTTGGGTACTTTGTAATGGAAAAGCAGGCTGTAGCCTGAGGCCCAAGATCAGGTCAGGCTAGGGAACAAAGGCAGCATGTAATGGGTATGGTGAGTCAGCATGAACCCAAATCTAGATTGACAGTAGAGGTCAAATTCAGGGAAGAAGGCAAATGACCCCAAAGACCCAGATATGTCTTCTGGAAAAAGACAGCTTGGTCCAATGCAAAGACCCAGATGCAGAAACATTGCAATAGTGTCAAACGTGAGCCAGCATGGACAGCAAAGACGATCCCCTGCTACCGCAGTCTGAGTCTGTTCAGAGAGGAGACAGTGGCCAAACTGACTTGATCCCAAACCAGCCTCTGTCGTGGCAGGCACAGTCATTGAGTTGTGAATATGATGGAAAACACTCAAAGACTCACCAAAGTAGAGAAATATGGGGATCTCCAGCAGATAACTCCTGGCAAGGTAGAAGAGAGGCAAAATAATGTTGAGTAAGACAGACGTGTCCCTGCTCCACCATATGCCAGCTGCGTGGGCTTGTCCAGTTCCCTTCTCCTCTCCAATCCTCTCCTTCTTTACCTGAAAAACGTGATCATTTGGGGGCTCATCTTTGGCCAGCATGCACTGGAACAACAGCCACCGTGCTTGTTTATAGCTGGTGTTCAATCTGACTAGTCAGTGCTCAAACATACCACTTGTTAAATGTTTCTAGTTTCAATCACTCTGGTGATAATAATGTCCACTTCGTGGAGTTCATTTGAGGACTCTAAGTAATATGCATAAAGCATGCTGCACATTGCCTGACACTTAGATAGTAGCCGTTATTATTTTATTAAAATAGTTATCAATGTTGCTAACTGTTGTGAACTAAATTGTGTCCTTCCCCCACCCCCTGTCAAATTCATATGTTGAAGCCCTAATCCCTGATTTGACTATACAGGTGCTCCTAATTTTTAGATGTGGTTACGCTCTAATAAAACCATTGTAAGTTGAAAATGTAAGTCAAAAGTGCATTTAATACACCTAATCTACTGTACGTCATAGCTTAGCCTAACCAATCTTAAACCTGCTCAGGATACTTTCATTATCCTACTGTTGGGTGAATCATCTAACACAAAGCCTATTTTATAATAGTGTCGAATATCTCATGCAATGTATTAAATACTGTCCTGAAGGTGAAAAACAGAATGGGTGTATGGGCACTCGAAGTATGGTCTCTATTGAATTTGGATCTTTCCCACCACATGAGGTTAAAAAATCATAAGTCAAACCATTGTAAGTTGGAGACCTTCTGTATCTGGAGATAGGGTCTTAAGGAGGTAATTAAGGTTAAATGAGGTCACAAGAGTCAGGCTCTGATCTGATAGAATTAGTGTCCTTATAAAAAGAGACCCCAGCTGGGCATGGTGGCTCATGCCTGTAATCTCAGCACTTTGGGAGGCCAAGGCTGGCGGATCACGAGGTCAGGAGATCAAGACCATCCTGACTAACATGGTGAAACCCCGTCTGTAATAAAAATACAAAAAATTAGCCAGGCGTGGTGGCGGGCGCCTGTAGTCCCAGCTACTCGGGAGGCTGAGGCAGGAAAATGGTGTGAACCTGGGAGGCGGAGCTTGCAGTGAGCCAAGATCGTGCCACTGCACTCCAGCCTGGGCAACAGAGTGAGACTCCGTCTCAAAAAAAAAACAAGAAGAGACCCCAGAGAGCTCTATCTCTATCCTCTCATGCACACAGGAAATGCCAGGTCCACGTGAGGACAGGATGAGAAGGCGGTGGTCTGCAAGCCAGGAGGAAAGGCCTCACCAGAAACCGGCCCTGCTGGCACGTTGATCTCGAACTTCTGGCCTCCAGACCTGTGAGAAAATAAATCTGTTGTTTAAGACATCCAGTCTATGGTATTTTCTCATAGCAGCCCAAGCTGACTAAAACACTGATTGATTTACATTTGTAGACAAAAGACCTTGTAGGTGCTGCTGGCAAAATAATAGACTTTTTTGTGCCCCACAATTTAGACTTGGAAATACTCTGAATAAGATTTTATTTTATTCTGCCTCACTTAAGCAGAGATGGAGTGTGTCTTCTGACCTATGGATAAAAGGCAGGACAATCACATAAAGAATTCTGCAGGGGTCAGAATATCTAGGAGGGAGCCTCGTGACCTTACATAATCCACATCATGACCTCACCTTTCTCCTTGGGAACAACAGGATGGTCTGTCACCAGGTGGCAAATCTTGTTTTGTTTCTGTGGAGCTCAAAATAACATGTCGGAATATACTTATGTACATTAGGTTGGTGCAAAAGTAATTGTGGTTTTTGCAATTACTTTTAATGGCAAAAACCGCAATTACTTTTGCACAACCCAATAACATATCTCTGGAAGTAAACACAAGAAACTGGTAATAAACTGTCTTCAGAGGGAGAATTGAGGATAAACATGGCATTTTTTTTTTACAATGTTTCTGCACTTTATGCTTTAAGGGAAATATTTCTTCATTTAAAAAAAAAACTGGTTTACAGTATTTCTTTTTATACCTCTTGAATTTTGATTGACCATGCTCAGACATAACATTTTAGTGAAGAAGGAGGAGGAGGAGGGTAGAGCATCTTTATTTTGGAAATAAAGAGAAAATGATGGCTTCCAGAAAGTGACATAGCAATTTTTATCACGGGTTTGCGTTTTGGGATTCTTAACCACTAACAGGGAATCTTGTTTTTGGAAGAGCAATAGATTTAAAAGGAAGAGAATAACAGTTACTTCTCTGCACCATGGATGACCTGCTGTCCTGCCCAGACCCCACAAAGCTCCACTGTCCTCCTAATCCTTCAAACATCCTCACGCCATCTTCATTGACTTGACGTGTTCTGTCGAAATACTCATTTCTTTTTTGCATTTGCATGTCTCTGGGGAGACTTGTGCTGAATCCACACATTCTCTGCTCTAAGACAGACAGATCTGGACTGGAAAGGCGAGGAGAGACTGTGACTAGCCGGAAGAATCTTCCGGTCAAAGCCAAGGTCCAGCTTTCCAGCTATTGATTGGTGTGCTGTGAGAGGCCAGTGGGTTAGTCTGCGGGGAAGGAGCAAGAGCTTAGAAACTCCTCTTTTCAGACTAACTTAGGATGGTGTTTGGCCTCGATCCTAATACTTGTCAGACAGGGCCTGTGATGAATTAAATGAATGCCCAAGGAAGCCGTGAACATTAGGAAATTGTGTTTAATCCGCTGCAACTGTTAAAGACTTGGCAAATGTTTCCACGGACACACAGTTGGGAGCACACAGCGTCCAGGCTCCGTGTCCCTGTCAGTGGCAGTGGTTTTGTTCTGTACACTTCAGCTTGAATGAGGCAACCAGCTAAGGCACCGAGTGTCCTACTTACAATGAGGAAGGAAGGGCTTGGGCCTGAAGAAAGACAGAGGACGGCCCCCACCAAGGGCTGGCTGTGTTTGTCTCATTTCCTTCAAATCCTGTCCCTGAGTAGAAGTATTCATGAGGAAATTCCTCATCTCTGTTTTTATATTTAACATATTAAAATAGAAGTATGGACGAGGAACAAAAAAGCAACATACTTTCAAATACCACTTGTAAGGAAATACTTCTGAAGTTAATTTCAGGGGCACTTTTTTTAGTGGGAAAACATGACCTTTCAATTTTACGAAATGGAAGATAGGATGAAACTAGAATTCTCTAAGACTGACTTTGAAATTAAAATATGGTGAACTTCATTAGTTTCGAATAAATTGTGCTAATTTAACTTCTTTAAGAAAACATCAGATTAGAAATGTTAAAGAAATATAGTTTGGGGTTTTTTGCTTTTGAATATATCTAGGGGTAGTAAGTAAACATTTTCTTTCTTCTTCACATGACTAGATAAATGAGAGTAGATTATTTCTAAGTAAAGTTTTTCTTTTAAAGTTCTAAAACATTTGTTTTCCAAATGATTTGAGCAAGGTCAAAAAATATAGCTTCCTTATATTCCTATTAAATGGTTTGATTTTCCTCAAGACCCCACCCTACTGGGGACACTTAGGTGGGGGAAGCTGGAGGTGGAGATGGAGTGTATTTATTCACTGGGGCTGCCACAGCGAAGTACCGCACACTGGGAGTCTTAAACAACAGATTTTTATTTTCTCATAGTTCTGGATGCTAGAAGCCCAAGGTCAATGTATCAACAGGTCTGGTTTCTCCTGAGGCCTCTCACCTTGACTTGCACGTGGCTGCCTTCTCGCTATGTCCCCACACGATCTCTCCTCTGCATCCACACATCCCTGCTATTTCTTTCTGTGGCTGAATTTCCTCTTCTCATAAGGACACCAGTCAGATTGGATAAAAGCCCACCCTAAAGATCTCATTTTCACTTAATCACGTCTTTAAAGGCCCTATCTCTAAATATAGTCACATTCTTTTTTTTTTTTTTTTTTTTTTTTTGGGATGGAGCCTTTCTCTGTGTCCTAGGCTGGAGTGCAATGGCACGATCTCGGCTCACTGCAGCCTCCGCCTCCTGAGTTCAAGTGATTCTCCTACCTCAGCCTCCCGAGTAGTTGCGATTACAGACTTGCACCACCACACCAGGCTAATTTCTGTATTTTTAGTAGAGACGGGGTTTCACCATGTTGACCAGGCTAGTCTCAAACTCCTGACCTCAGGTGATCCTTCCTCCTCGGCCTCCCAAAGTGCTGGGATTACAGGCAGGAGCCACCGCACCTGGCCTAAATATAGTCACCTTCTGAGGTAGCTTGGCATATGAATTTTTCAGAGGACACAGCTTGGGCCACAGCAGGGGAAACAGCTAAGACTCAGACCAGTTTATTCCAATTCTATTATTTAAACAGTTCCTGTAGACAAATGCTGGGTCCCTCAAGGTCTCTTCCTCTTCTCCTTCTGCCTGCTCCTCTCCAACATGGCCTCTGGGGTTACTGGGGTGTATGTGGTTTATACCAGGGGTCCCCAACCCCTGGGCCTTGGACAAGACTGGTCCATGGCCTGTTAGGAACTGGGCTGCACAGCAGAAGGTGAACGATGGGCAAGTGAGCATTACCTTCTGAGCTCTGCTCCTGTCAGATCGGTGCCAGCACTAGATTCTCATAGGAGGCCAACACTATTGTGAACTGTGCACATCAGGGATCTAGGTTGTGTGCTCCTTATGAGAGTCTAATGCCTGATGAACTGGAGCAAGTTTCATCCTGAAGCCATTCCCCTGCCACCGTCTGTGGAAAAATTGTTTTCCATGAAACCAGTCCCTGTTGCCTAAAAGCTGGGGGACCGCTGGTTTACAGGACCGTGGGTTGAATGATGACCCATGCTTGTCTGCTGGATCCACACTGATCTCCACAGAGGGACTGGTCTCCTTCCTGGTCTGCTTGAGAGCTGAGATGTTCCTGATCCCATGGCTTTGAGGAAGATCCGCTGGTTCCTCTAGCTGGCACCTGTGGTGCTGGTATCCCTGGTCTTGGGATCCCCATCTGCTGACCCAGGCCCCTGCTGGTCCACTGCACACTCAGAACGGCCACGACCTCCCTTCCAAGCATACGAGGAGGTCTCATTCCTGTGTGTGCCAGGTTTTGGGGAAAAGGACCACTGCTTCAGGCTTACCTAGCCCCTGGCTTCTCACGGCACCTGCCCACCATCATCTCATGCCGAGTTACACAGTCCCAACTTACAGACCTGCAGCTTCAGTTCTCCTGGGGGCCTGAGATGCTCTGGTTCCCCCAGATCTAGCTGAGTCCTTCTCTCTCTCTTTCTCCTGTCACTCATCACACACATACACACACACACACACACACACACACACACACACACGCATGCACACACAGTGGCCCTCAGGCAGAAGCAGGTAGAAATCTTTGTTTGAACTTCTCTGCTTTCCCTTTTGCTCTCTTCTTCTACTTGCCAGATGTGGGTTTCACTTTCCCTTCATCATATCCTCCTAGCCATAAAAAGTGGAAAACAATGACATATTGGTTTTTAAAAGTTTTAAAAGTGAAAGGACTTCTTTTTTATTTTTAAGAAAGAAACTCCATTGTCCAGGCTTAGTTCTTGATACATAACTTTAATAACTAAGTTAGTAATCCTTGCTCTCACTCCTACACCCTCTCTCGAGTCTGACAGTCAAGCCTATGGTGTTGTTGCATTTGATGCAGTTTTTTTAATTTGAGTCAAATCTGAGAAGTAACTGAGTTGCTCTACTGAATATTTGCCTTTTACCTAAAGTCCTGAAATGTCTTGTTTCAGTGGGTGAGAAGCCCACGGGAAATAAAGTTTCTAGGAGATGAATTCATACTTCACAAGAGTATCTTCCTTACATTCATTTGTGAAGTCCATGTGTATATCCCAACTGGAACAGGATTCTGAGCTCTGACTGGTGCTTTTGCAATTGCATCCCTGCTTTAAAATGCTCCAGTGATGCGGCCTTTGACGGGTTACTTAAACTTTTGAAGCCTAATCTTCATCTGTAACATAGGGAAAATAATACCATACCAATAAAATTATTGCGACGATTACATAAAATAATGCTTGCAAGTCCCAGATACCTTGTCAGCATTCTATAAATATGAATAATTATTATGGAAAACAGCTACTCCACTGAACATGGTGGCTCACGCCTGTAATCCCAACTCTTTGGGAGGCCAAGGCTGGAGGATCACTTGAGCCCGTTGAGCCCAGGGGTTCGAGATCTCACCATGTTGCCTGGGAAACATAAGGAGATCCTGTCTCTACACATTTTGTTTTTTTACGAATTAGCCAGGCATGTGGTTCTTGCCCGTGGTCCCAGCTACTTGGGAGGCTGAGGGTGATATGGGAGGATCTCTTGAGCCCAGGTGATCAAAGCTGCAGTGAGCTGTGATTGTGCCATTGCACTCCAGCCTGGGTAATAGAGTGAGACCCTGTCTCAAAAAAAAAAAAAAAAAAAAAACAAAGAAAAGAAAAGAAAAAAAAAATCCCAGCTACTCAAAGCTCTTGCTTCTTAGGAGAGTTTAGAAGATGCAGCTGCGATTGGTAGCGCCTTGAAACAACTGTTCTGGCTCTCTTCCAGCAGCTTCCTAGAGGCTCAGGAATTGGAATTCTTGGTCACCCAAGCAGAGTTCGCCTCTGTTTACTGAGGTCCCCATGTGAATAAATGGAACAAAGTAATCTAGTCAAGGAACATGAGGGAGTGCCACACTATGAAGCCTGAGGCTAAATAACTGGGATGTGATCCTGTGGGGAAAGAATGTGACGCTGGATGGTGGGAAGTCAGGGGGGTTTCACGTCAGACATCAGGCACCTGATTGAGGCCGAAGGTTAGTGACAGCATGGGTTAGAATCTCCTGCCCACGGCCGGGCGCAGTGGCCCACGCCTGTAATTCCAGCACTTTGGGAGGCCGAGGCGGGCGGATCACCAGGTCAGGAGGTTGAGACCATCCTGACTAACACAGTGAAACCCCGTCTCTACTAAAAATGCAAAAAATTAGCCGGGCGTGGTGGCGGGCGCCTGTAGTCCCAGCTACTTGGCAGGCTGAGGCAGGAGAATGGAATGGGCCCAGGAGGTGGAGCTTGCAGTGAGCCGAGATCATGCCACTGCACTCCAGCCTGGGCCACAGAGCGAGACTCTGTCTCAAAAAAAAAAAAAAAAAGAATCCTAGAATCTCCTGCCCACTTCTGAGTCCTCTTGGCTGAGCCTTGCTGCCGAGCGAGCATTAGGATGTCATACACATCACACAGGGTCAGTGTCCTTCCTTATGAGAAGGTAAAGGGGCTCCTGCCAGCTTCATAGCAGGTTTTCAGCCCCAGCCAGGCCTACTTGTCTGGATTCTAGACATTCTGGATTCATTTCAGAGGATGAGAGAAAGCTCAGCTGAATTTAGGGAATCTCGGGAGCAACAGGGCTAGTGACCCACGTCCATGAATATGATATGAGGAGCATCTTGAACCCCTAGGAGAATTGAAGCTGCAGGTTTGTAAGTTGGGGCAAACACAGCCCCAGCATTAACTTTATTGAGGATTAATTTATAGACATTGCAGTGGGGCTTGACAAATTGATACATCTCTTAATCACCACCACAGTCAAGATATAGAAACTTTCTATCATCCCAAAAAGTCCTGACTCTTGTTTGAGAGCCCATCTGTCTACCTGTGCTCCTTCAAAACCATAGCTTTAATTGCCATACCATATAACTCATCCATTTAAAGTGTGTAATTCTGTGGTTTTTAGTATGTTCACAGAGCTGTGCCACCATCATCACAATCAATTTTAGGACATCTTAATCATCCCCCAGAGAAACCCATTACCAGTCATTCTCCATTTCCAGACAACTCCCTTCTCCTTCTCTCCTCCCCAGCCCCTGGCAACCACTAACCTACTGTTTATCTCTAAAGATTTTGCCTATTCTGGGCATCTCATAAAAATGGAATCTTACAATCTGTGACATTTTGTGTCTGGCTTCTTTCACTTAGCATTATGTTTTAGAAGTTTGTTCATGTTGTAGTATGTATCAGAACTTCATTCCATTTTATGGCTGAATAAGATTCCATGGCATGGATATATCACCATTGTCTATCCATAAATCAGTTGATAAATATCTGAATTGCTTCCATCCTTGAGCTATTATGAATAATGCTGCTGTGAACATTTGTGTACAAGTTTCGTGTAGACATATGTGTTCATTTCTCTTGGGTATATACCTAGGAACGGAATTGCCGGGTCATATGGTAACTTCGTGTTCAACATTTTGAGGACCTACTAGATTATTTTCCGTAATGACTGCACCATTTTTGTTTTCCCAACAGCAGTGTATGAGGTTTCCAATTTCCCCACATTCTGGCTAACACGTCTTTATGATCATAGCCATCCTAGTGGATGTGAAGTGGTATCATATGGAAAGGAGGAATGTTGGAACCAATGACCGAAATTATGAAAATTGAGGTAAACAATGTCCCGGGACATTATTTCACTAACATAACGTTGCTAATAATGAGAAAGAAGGAACTAAGAGCAGCAAAAGAGCAAACAATCCTCTCCCTGAATAAAGGAGAAATATTTGAATGTGCCAAAAGAGCTACAGAAAACCAGAACATGTCATCCTCCTCAAACTAGGAGATATTTGCTTAATTAATTTCAGTCAATGCCCTGGATCACTTTGCTTCCTGTTAGTTTAGTCATAAAATGAAACAGGGTACAAAATGTCCTGAAGACTATGTTATACAAATTAAGTGCTTATCTAAGCAGTAAGAATCCATGGCTTTCAAACATTTTTTACCCTTACTCACAGTAAGAAATATATTTTACATCAAAATCTGGAACAGGCCGGGTGCGGTGGCTCACACCTGTAATCCCAGCACTTTGGGAGGCTGAGGCTGGCAGATCACTGGATGTCAGGAGTTTGAGATCTGCCTGGCCAACATGGTGAAACCCCGTCTCTACTAAAAATACAAAAATTAGCCGACATGGTGGTGCACACCTGTAATCCCAGCTACTTGGGAGGCTGAGGCATGAGAATCGCTTCAGCCCGGGAGGTGGATGTTGCAGTAAGCTGAGATCACACCACTGCACTCCAGTCTGGGCAATGGAGTGAGACTCCATTTAAAAAAAAAAATCTGGAAAACACACACATACACACATACACACACACACATGTACACACATACATACACACAGTAATAGAAGTTTTACATTAATTACCTCTACTACAGGGAATGCACTCTGATTTTTTCTTTCTAACCTATTTTATTTTACTATCTTTCTCATTTTTAAAAAATGCTGTTACAGACCCACTATGTTGATTTCATGACTCATTAATGGGTTGCAGTTCACAGTTTGAAAAATATTTATTAAATGGCCTGATGTGCAATGTCCTAATTTCTGAGGCCACACCTGCCTCTGCTGTTGCTGAGAAATCTCGGACCTTGGTCCAATGGAAGCTTTATTCAGCTCAAGCCTACAATAAAAGCTTCTGGAATGTGAACTGGACTTCCCAGCTATGTTTCCAGAGGTTTTCTCCCATCTCCTAGGGGGATGTGGTTTCTAACCCTCCTCTAAATTGCCTGGGAAACCATGGCTCTTGGCAAATCAGGATGGCGTCCTCAGGATAACTGACACCTCCACTCACCCATGTTCTGTTGGTGTTGTTGCCTTTGGACACTACCAAGGTACCAGGATGGGGTCCACCTCCACTTGTGGTCAGAGTTGGCTTGAGCTCTGTCTCCATTCTACTAGACTGGGCTCCCTTCTGGTTCTACAGCTGACCCTGGCATCCCTGCTTGACTACCTTACCATCTTGCAGAGGTGCTGTGGCAAACCTTTGCTCCTAGGCCACTGTCCACCTTGTCTCTGAGGTTATGTTGGTGTGCAGGACACCGACCCTCAATCTGAGGGCTCCAGACCTTCAGCCAACAAGGATTGTGCTAGGATAATTGCACAGAAAGGAGATGCCAGTGTCAGAGGAAGCTATTCAGTGGAGGCCTCCATCCAAAGTGCTGGGGTTGAGACTTCTCCTGACACTCTTCTCCATGTTCAAAAGCAGGGATATGACCACAGGTTTTCCCCTGGCTTGGGGACACACTCTGCTTCCCCAGGACACTCTCCCAAGTAGTTTCAGAGTATCATTATCTCTCTTACACTGTGTGTGTGTTAGAGGGAAGGGGAGATGTTGACCTAAATGTTGACCTAGATCTTGACCGATTGGAAATCCCCAAAATCCTCTTCATAGGCCCTGGGCTGAAGGACATAAGCTCTTTGAACAAATGGATCTAGGTCTGAAACAATGGTCATCAACTACAAAATTGTATTAGAATTGCTATGCAGAACTCATTCCAAAGTAAAATCATCTTTCCTTACAATGACATCAATATGGGATTGATTCCAGTATACTGTTGACTCTCAACGAAAAGCAAGAGGCTTTGATACTATACACATATAAGGGAGTGTTCAGTACTCTTAGTATACTACCATCTATACAGTAAGTACTTAGAAGGATACTTATGGGATAAATGTAGAACAGTTTAAGAACATTAACTTAGATTGTGGACTAAAAGAATCTCAAGGTTGGAAGGACTCTGGAGTGAATGTAATCTGCTGCCATTGCTCTTTGTATTCCACTTTTCCTGGATACGTTAGGAATGCATTTAGCTGCAAATAACAGAATATCTTTTTTTTTTTGTTTTTTTGAGACAGAGTCTTGTTCTATTGCCCAGGCTGGAATGTAGTGGTACAATCTTAGCTCACTGCAACCTCTGCCTCCCAGGTTCAAGTGATTCTTATGCCTCAGCCACCTGCGTAGCTGGGATTACAGGCATGCACCACCACACCTAGCTAATTTTTGTATTTTTAGTAGAGACAGATTTTCACCATGTTGTCCAGGCTGGTCTTGAACTCTTGGCCTCAAGTGATCTGTCCACCTCGGCCTCCCAAAGTGCTAGGATTACAGGTGTGAACCACCATGCCCGGCCCAAATAACAGAATATCTGACTGCAGTAGCTTAAACAAACAAAAATGTATTTTTCTAACACAGCAAGGTGTCTGTAGGTAAGCACTTGCTGGCTTTGGTTTAGCAGCTCAGTGATATCAGAGCTATTTCTCCTTGATTTTCTTGGTTTTTACTTGTGGTTTTAAGATGGCTTCTGTAACTCTTAGCATCCCATCTGCATTCCAGGCAGAATAAGGGAGAGGGTGGCCACCAGCTATACCTGTCCCTTCTTATCAGGAAATCAAAAGCTTATCCAAATGCCCCAGCGGGGAATTCCTCTAAGATCTAAGATCTAAGATCAAAGGTTAGAACTGGGTTGTCTGTTCACCCTCAAGTAAAATTAGATATAGTTGGAAAGAAGGAAAGTAGAGGATGGATATTGAGTAGACACTGTGAGTGATGGCCAGATTTCCTCAATCAGGGACCTTTCATACTTGCTTGAAAATCTTCATGGAAAGGAGACAGACTATCCCATTTTTGGCAGGTCCAGAAAGATGTTTTTATTTTGAATCCAAATCAGCCTTCCTCTAACTCACCCCTGTGGTTGCTGGTTCTGCCCTGTGGGAGCTACACCAATGGATTTGAATACTTCTTCCTAATGACAGCCATACAAGTATTTGAAGACAGCTGTCATATCTCCTCTAACTCTTTTCTCATCCACATGAAGCATCTCCAGTTGAGTCCTCATGGGACAGAACTTTAAGAGTTCTCATGTTTTAGATGCTCTCCTTTGAGTATGCTCCAGTTTATCCATGTTTCTACTAGACTTCATTGCCCCCGATGACACCACTGGTCAAGGGGTAGCTTGTGAAAAGCCAGAGATGTCAGATTATTATTTCCATTGTCTGGGTTATCTCTAAGGTAATTCAAGTTTGCATTACCTTCTATGTTCTTCCTGCTTGGGATGGAGCCAACTAAAGAACAAGAATCTTTTCCACCCTTTCATCTTCCTTTACTTATGTAATTGGACTGAAGACCTTAGAACAAAATTTATATTCACCATTAGTATATTTTACGGTGTTAGATTTGACTTGTATTTCTAATTCATTGAGTTATTTTCAGATTTCAATTATATTATCCAGGGCATGCTATTCCTCCCAGATGGACATTATCTGCAAATGTGACAAATTTATGCTCTTCATAATTCTAAGGAGGTCAGGATAGAGTCTTTCAACCTGTCCCCAGTGTCCACTTTAGTTAGGGGGCTTCAACATATAATAAATTCACATTGTGATTATTCAGCTCACACTTCAACTTTTGTCCTAAGAATGTTGTGAGATCCTCTTTCAACTGCTTTGCAAAAATTCGATCAAAAGAAGCCGTCTCCTAATCAAACTAGTAAAGTTTATGTAGAGGACGTTTTTTCCCCAGTGAGTCCACACTAGCTTCTAAGAGCACCAGTTCCCCTTCTGAGTTCTTCAAAATTAACCTTTACATATGCTAGTCCAGAACTTTTTATGATTATGTTGTCCTTCTAATACTGGATACTGAAAATCCAGAGCAAAATTCGGAGCTGAATCACAGCAATTGTTATGAAATTGCGCATTAAACCAGCGGTGTGCACAAAGGCAAAAATTATGTGTAATTAAAATAATTTTTGAAAATCCCTTAAATGACTCACAAAGTATAGTATGCATGGTACACCATGTACAATCTTGTACAGTAAGTCAAATCTTGAGAAACACTGAGTTCTCAAGATACTAAAGTATAAAAAGAAGTCCATCACAGAACATTTTAAACATTTTATCAAATCCATCTCTAGGACTACATGAGGGAGGGTGGAGAATTCCAAGGTATCCCTGCTTGTCAGTAAGGTATGTTTGTGTTGTTTTAATATGAATACTTTATTATTTATTTATTTATTTTGAGATAGAGTCTCATTCCGCCACCCAGGCTGGAGTGCAGTGGCACAATGTTGGCTCACTGCAGCCTCTACCTCCTGGGTTCAAGCAGTTCTCCTGCCTCAGCCTCCCGAGTAGCTGGGATTACAAGCGCACACTGCCAGCTAATTTTTGTACTTTTAGTAGGGAGGGGGGGTTTCACCACGTTGTCCAGGCTGGTCTCAAACTCCTGATCTCAAGTGATCCGCCCGCCTAGGCCTCCCAAAGTGCTGGGATTACAGGCACGAGGCACGGCACCTGGCCTAATATGAATACTTTATAATCTTAATACATATTAATAGATTTTTTTGCTGGTATGAGTACTGAACAGTTATTATCTATGAAAGTGCCTACTATAAGATCTGACATGTAGGAGGTCTCACTAGATTTGAACCTAAATCTTTCTTGATTAAATATTTATACACTTATTTATAACTATTCTTTGAAAAGTTAAAGAAAAGGTTTTGGACATTACCATCTTATTTTTTCAAAGCAGCCTGTTCTCTTTCTCACCTTGGGCATTGATTGATCTTGTGATTGTTTCTTAGTGTAAGTTAATGCTTATAATTAGTGCCTTTAATAATGAAATTGCAGATTTGAAAGATGGACTTTATTTTAAGAGGACTGTTAGTTCACATAACTAACTTCATTATTTATCAGTCCTATGATCTTAAGCAAGTTAACATTTTAGAAATTATTTCCCCATCTTCAGAAAAGGTTATTGATAACTACTTCAACAATTTAAGTCATATATGTGAAGCACCCAGCCCAGAGTAGATCCAGGTCCCAAAGTCATATTTCAGGAAAAGATAACTTATTTCAAAACGAGTTATAAAGAAAAATAAAGAATTATAAAGAGTTATAATGGGTATCCAGTAATAATATCACTGGTATGGTTTGGTTCTGTGTCCCCACCCAAATCTCATCTTGAATTGTAACTCCCATGTGTCAAGTGGGGGATCTGATGGGAGGTGATTGGATCATGGTGGCAGTTTCCCCCATGTTGTTTTCTTGATAATGAGGGAGTTCTCATGAGATCTGATGGTTTTATAGTGTTTGGCAGTGCCTCTGTTGCTCTCTCTCTTCTCTTTCTTGCCATCTTGTGAAGAGGTGCCTGCTTCTCCTTTGGCTTCCACCATGATTGTTAGTTTTCTGAGGCTCCCCCAGCCATAAGGAACTGTGAGTCAATCAAACTCCTTTTGTTCATAAATTACCCAGTCTCGGGAAGTATCTTTATAGCAGTGTAAGAATGGACTGATACAATTGCCTTGAACCACATTAAGTAGCAATTTAAGATGAATTACATATACGATAAAACACAATGAAATGTTTTATGTAATCAGTCTTTCCTTTAAAATGTTATGTAATCAGTCTTTCCTTTAAAATGTTGACTATGGATAAATTTGTTTTTTGGGGCTACCATAACAAAGTAACAAAAACAGAATGGCTTAAAAAAAGGAAATTGTTGTCTCATATTTCTGGAGGCTAGAAGTCTGAAATCAGGGTGTTGCCCAAGCCATGCTCTTTCTGATGGCTCCAGGGGAGAATCCTTCCTTGCCTCTTTTAGCTCCTGGTGTTTGCCCATAACCCTTGACATTGCTAGGCTTATAGAGGCATCACTCTAGTCCCATGGTTGTCTTCTGCCTGTGTGTCTTCACATCATCTTCCCTTTGTGTGTATCTGTCTCTGTATCCAAATTTCCCCTCTTTAAAAGGATACCAGTCATGCTGGATTAGGACCCAACTCCGACGACTTCATTTTAAGTTGACTTGACCCTACTTCCAAATAAGGTCACATTCTGAAGTAGTGGGGGTTATGACTTCAATAGGTCTTTTGGAGGTGATATAATTCAACTCATAATACCAGGGTTGTGCAATGTTTCAGGATAGTTAATGGACGTAGAAGCTAACCTCAGGGCGGTAGGGGTTGGGCAGAAGGGGAAGGTGGAAAGGAAGGATTTTCCACACCCACTTCTGTTAACACTGCATTTGTAGAGGCCAGATTCACATGAAGGGTGAAAAGTGGAAGCTTCTTTAAGGCCTTAAAATTTCACCATTTTTAACTAAGAGTAAAGAAAGTTTCAAATATCTATTGCTTTTCACTATGAATCTTAGAGTTCAGAATAACAAGATAAAGACTTTACTTCCTCCTAGCCAAAGTCATAGCGGAACTTAACACGGACTTATAGCAAATATATTTAATGTGTTCAATACAAATTAGCAATGGAATCGGATAATAAAATATAATAGTTTGACATATAATGAGAAGCTACATCTATAGTCAATAAATATTAGTTAGTTCCTCCCTTCTGTTGACTGTCAACTCCCCCAAAACTAATTTTGTTAGACTCACTGTAGCGAAGGAAAACACACCTTGACAGATAGTGTCTCAGAAGGAGGATTTCAAGAAAAGCTATTTATAGAACTTGGGGTCAGGCTCAAGTGGCATTAGGCTGATTTTTCACTACAGGGAACTGATTGATGCCAGGCATAGTTGTTGACATAACAGTGTAGTATTGATGGACCCAGTGAGGGAAGGCTTTTGATGTGATACACAAGCTTTTTTCTCAGGTGAGCAATCTGTTTCTGATAGGAGGGTTGGTTTCCCACATGAGCAAACTGTTTTCCTAGATAAATAAGTTTGCAGGAATCTCCTGAAGCCAATTATTAACAGTTAAATTATTTATTGGTTTACATATATCTTCCTGAGCAATAATTTCCAGAACATATGAACATAGGTGTCATCAGTTCTTACCTTTCTCATATTTTGCCATTGAAAGTATGGCAAAAACCGCAATTACTTTTGCACCAACCTAGTACAACTTGAAATGTTTCTATTTGAGGAATTCACGTTCAGTTATCTTTAATGAGTGAAATAATTCGTATACTTTAAAGCACTATTTTCAGTAGATGAAAGGATCTGTCCCTTGCTGCAATAGAAAGACCACCTTCATATCAATCGTCCTTTTATAAGAGGTATCCCTAAACCTGTGGTCAACACATGGGGCTAATCACATGACTGTCATAGGTTTGGTTTCTGGGCAGGCCAGAGAACCTTTTGCTGTTTTATATTCCTGATTGTAGCTATAACTTCACATTTTCCATTATGTATGCCATTAATCATAAGAGAGAATAAGTTGAGAGACTTTGAATAAATGATAATCGAATGAGGAAACTCTATCTCCATAACCATAAACAGAACTCAAAGCACATAACCCTCAAAGAAGCATTTCTCAAAAAGCTCAGCATATTGGCCAGAAAGCCAACATATTCCTCACCTGCTGTCAAGGTTTATTGTCGACATGTAAGTCAACTGAGTTGGGAAATATTAATATGATAGCATTGAAAGAAATCTGCATTATCAGTACTAGACATCAAAATGGAAGTATGCGGGAAGCAGGGTTAATAGACAGGTGTGAAGCTGCCAACCTATGAGATTTTTCTCTAAATAAATAAACTATGCTAAAATAGCACCCTTTCCCTTAATAGCAGATCAGCATTTCTTCAAATCAGACTGTCATATTTTCTGCAATAGCAATCACTGATTTGATGACATAAGCATCATTTCTGGTTCTCATTTTGAGACAAGTTATATTCCACTGGAAATGTTCAAGCATGGGAATGTATTTTGGTATAATATTTTGTTGCCTTTGACACCAAGAATGAAGACCAGAAAAAACAGTTTCTTGAGAGACTCTAAACGACATGGCTCACAGCGTTTTTTGTTTTTTTTTTTTTGAGACAAGTTCACCATCGCACAGGCTAGAGTGCAGTGGCATGATCACAGCTCACTGCAGCCTCAACCTCAAGGGCTCAAGCAATGTTCTTGCCTCACCCTCTGGAGTAGCTAGGGCTACAAGACTGCACCACCACGCCTGGCTATTTTTGGTTTTTTATAGAGACAGGGTCTCACCATATTGTCCAGTCTAGTCTTGAACTTCTGGGCTCAAGCGGTCCCCCCACCTCGACCTCCCAAAATGCTGGGATTACAGACGTGAACCACTGTGCCCAGCCTTATGGCTCACAGCTTTAAGACAAATCTCTTTTTTTTTTTTGAGGTGGAGTCTCATGCTGTTGCCCAGGCTGGAGTGCAGTGGTGTGATCTTGGGACACTGCAACCTCCACCTCTCAGGTTCAAGTGATTCTCCTGCCTCAGCCTCCTGAGTAGTGGTAATTACAGGCCCACACCACCACGCCTGGCTAATTTTTGTATTTTTAGTAGAGACGAGGTTTCACCATGTTGTCCAGGCTGGTCTTGAACTCGTGACCTCAAATGATCCGCCCACCTCCGCCTCCCAAAGTGCTGGAATTACAGGTGTGAACCACCATGCCCACCCAGAAAAATCTCTGACAGAGCAGCCTGAGAAGGTGAATATTCATGACTGTAACTTTGATAATTATTAGCCAGAGAAGAATAAAGAAGCATATTTGCAACTGCACATGAGATATATCCTCTTACAGAAAACTTAAACAGGTCTTTTGAGAGCTGGTGAGAGATAAGGAAAAAGCAACTGCCCCAACAATAAACATACGCACATCCTCAAGGTCACAAGCCACATGTTTACTTTGAGACAGATTCCTGACTTGCCAGCGGCTTGCTTTCTCCTTGATGACCTCAATAGAGCCAGGACTTGCATTTCTCAGGTCACTTGGCTGATTGTGCACACCTTTGGCACAAGAGTATTATACTTCTTGCTGATAGAATTTTGTTCTCCTTCTAGAATGTTCTTCTCCTTCTGAACATTAGGATGCCACAGGAGGTCGATGGAAGTGGTGGGAAATGGGTTGAGTTCCCCCAACTCTACACTTCTAGTCTGGTTTTAAATTCTGGTCCTCTTCCAAAGTCCATGCTTTTTTTCTAGTGCTAATTTATTCATTCACTCAATAACATTTCAGAACCTCCTATATACCTTTATCAGCCAGAAACCCTAGAGAAAACAAAGGAAGCAGTTAAGAGCTTGAGGAGAGTTTAATAAACAGAGTGTTTAAAAGGTTCAGGAAACTATAGGGAAACCACAAGGAATAATGTAGTGGGCTCTATTGCCATTCCTAAGCCTCAAAGGACAAGAGGATAAAGCAGTTACTAGGACTTGGGCATAGCGGCCTCTCTATGAAGAGGGCGACCTCACAGGAGCTGTGACCTTCGTTGCAGGACTTAGCCAGCTTGCAGCAACCCTACTGGGAGGAAGCCAGGGAAATAAATATCCTACCTTTATCCTCCTCCCTCTCTCTGACCTGCTGTTAATGTTTCCCACTGCTAGAACCAGAGGTGGATTTGCCATGAAGCTAATGACTGTTAACCAGCAGCAACTTTCATGTACACTGGTCCCTTCTAAGACTCTGGGTGGGCCCTAGCAATGTTCGCATGGTCATGGGGTTTTTGTAAAATGTCCAAATGTAACACACCTTTATTCTTTTTTTTTTTTTTTTTTTTTTAAAGACAGGGTTTCACTCCCATCACCCAGGCTGGAGTGCAATGGCGTGATCTCAGCTCACTGCAACCTCCACCTCTCAGGCTCAAGGAATTCACCTGCCTCAGTCTCCCCAGTAGCTGGGAGCACAGGTGCACGCCATTGTAGCCAGCCATTTTTTTTTCTTTTTTTGTATTTTTTGTAGAGATGGGGGTTCACCATGTTGCGCAGGCTGGTCTCAAACTCCTGACTTCAAGTGATCTACCCACCTTGGCCTCCCAAAGTTCTGGGATTACAGGTGTGAGCCACCATGCCCAGCCTCCAAATGTAACACACCTGCAGCTAGTTAAGTTTGCTGTCTCTTCACACTCTCCACTAGACTTCTCCTATATCATGTGGTACTGAAAATGATCATGGGTATTTGAAGGGTCCTGCTGAGGGGAAGTTGACTTGGAGATATGCTTACTTTGCATTTGGGGGGAAATGCATGTGGCTCACAGTCCTATCTGTGTCTTTTCCTTTCCAGTGGAGGAATTTTCAGGAATACTCCTACCATACTCTGTGCAGGATCAGAGTCACACTGTGATGTCACTGTGTCCTGTGGAGTATGTGTGTGCGTGTGTGTGTGTGTGTGTGTGTATGGGGAAGGGGCTAAGGGATCGAGTTGAAAAGATCCAGAAGCCAGTCAGAACATTTCTTCAACCCTTACAACTCATCTAGGGGAAAAACAAAAAAAAAACACATTGCCAATGTATTTCCTGAATTTGACAAAAATACTAGAAATTTAAATGATGTCACCAGTAATAGGCTATGAGATAAAAGAACTTTTAAAAAATAGTACACTGTGCCAGAAGAAAAATTGAATTATCTAGTCTCTTCATTGTACATAATATTACAAAACTGTTGTCACATGAAGAGGCACTCAAGAGAATTCAGACCAAAAATGTAGGGGAAAAATGATTACAGAGGCATATCAGGAAGTTCATTGACAAAAAATATGATGCTATTTTTCAGGATGTATTTTTTTCTTATTGAAAATATTTACTTTTGTACCTTATTTTATATTCATAATTTTATAATCTTTTTATTTAAAAAATATGTTTTATAATAGAGATGGGGTCTCACTATATTGGCCAGGCTGGTCTTGAAACCCTGGCCTCAAGCAATCCTCTCACCTTGGCCTCCCCAAATGCTGAGATTACAGGCATGAACTACCATGCCTGGCCTATAATCTTATTTTCTTAAGGAAAACACCGAAGATGCTGTGAGCTTTAAGCCCCAACAAAACCTACTCCACCCCTGGGCCAAACCCACCTGAAAGCCAGAGGGCAAAGGAGTTGGTTGGTGTCACTGTGGGCCAACTTCCCAGGGCACAGAGCAGAACAGAGGAGGCGGAGAGTGGGTCTGGGTTGCAAATAATAGATCCCAGGACTACACCAGATACTGCCTCAGGTGTTGGATTTATCATGAGAAATAACATGGACATGGTCTCTGCCCTTGAGCAGTTTATTGTTTAGTGAGAAAAAGAAGCTGGCAAACAGGCATTACAATGCAATCTGCTGAGTGCTGTGCTATGGGAGCACTGGGTGACACAAGAGGTGACTTCAAGGGCTGCCTAGCAGAAGATGCATTTCTGCATGACAGGAATTAAATGAATGAGTCATTGAAACATGCCCTGAGGTCCCAAGTGGAAGGGGAGAGAGAGGCAAATGGAGTGCAGTGAAATTTTCAAAAGAGTTGGGAATAAAAGACATTAACAAGTGTATTGTAAAGTTGTGCTATCACAATGGTCAACTTATGTTAGAATGCAGACCTGGGCTACTTAGTTTTTTTTGTTGTTGTTGAGACAGAGTCTCGCTCTGTCTCCCAGGCTGGAGTGCAGTGGGGTGGTCTCGGTTCACTGCAACCTCCGCCTCCCAGGTTCAAGCAATTCTCCTGTGTCAGCCTCCCGAGTAGCTGGGATTACAGGCACCTGCCACCTAACCCAGCTAATTTTTGTATTTTTAGTAGAGATGGGGTTTCGCCATGTTGGCCAGGCTGGTCTCGAATTCCTGACCTCAAGTGATCTGCCTGCCTTGGCCTCCCCAAAGTGCTGGGATTACAGGTGTGGGCCACCGTGCCTGGCCTACTTACTATTGTTATCTATCAGTTATCAGATCGAAATGTATCTGGTAATTTCTGTGATTCCTTTTATCCTTTAATATTAAAAAATTATAATATTTAAATAATTTTTTCCTTTTTTATAAAAGTAATATATGTGGGAAATATAGACTATCTAGAAAATACAGATGAAAATTGAAAAAGGAAACAGTCTCAACACTATTAACAGCCACTGTTAGTATTTGGGGGTATATTCTTCTGACATTTTTTCTAGGCATATGAATCCTTGTGAAAGTTACACTTTATGTAAGAATTTAGGCCAGGCGCAGTGGCCCATGTCTGTAATCCCAGCACTTTGGGAGGCCAAGGCAGGCAGATCACCTGATGTCAGGAGTTCAAGACTAGCCTTGCCCATCTTGGGCAAGGCACTCCAGCCTGGAGTGACAGCCTGGGTGACAAAGCATAATTCCGTCTCAAAAAAAAAAAGAATTTATAACTCTTATGAGTTATAAGACCATGAACCATGTGCCAGGGAGTTGGATTAATGTGGGGTTGCAATTGTGGATTTATAGATGATAGTGCCAAGCAAGCTAGAGTCTGCTATGCTGTGATGGCATGGATATAAACGGAAAGAAGGTTTAACATGTGAGAAGCTGAAGGGGGATTGTCTCAAGCCCTATAACCAAAAGTCTCTTGGTCTAATCAGTCCAAAGGGAATCATCACGCCTAGAATGCAAATGTAACCCAGTTGAATCCGTGATCCAAGTGATCCATCTCAGGACAGTGTTCCCTTCAAAGGAGGATATTCCAGCAATCAAAGTAATTTCAAAAAATCTCAAGCTCTTGGTCTTTTTGAATATCACAAAGGGATATGTACCCATAGAAGTGCTTCTTAAAAATGTTCTTTCCTTTCCCAACAACCTCATTTAAAGATGACAGAGACCTCTGCGCCATTCACCAACCCTCCCTGGGAAAAATACACTTCCCTCAGCTCTAGCCTTTGCGCTTCCTCACTTCTTTTTCCTTCTCCAGTTTTTCCAAGTCTGTGCCAGAAAAAGCCAAAAGGAGTCAATCCTTCAAGGAAAGACCCGGTTGGAGGACTAGGGGAGAAAAGAACTGAGTAAGTGAAGCCAAATTCCTTTTTGGGAGGAGGGGAGAGGGAACCTGGGTTCACTCACATATGATTCATTTTCATCCATCTAATCATATAGAGAAAACCATGATCTAGTCTGGTGGGGAAAGGTATTCTGTGGAGTCTGAAAAGGCAATGTCAGACAGCAGCACTCCATCAGTGTCTGGCCGCATCCTCAACAGCAGTGGGTTCAGCCCCAGCTCAATCAAATCTGAACCTCGTTGTGAGTCCCTCACATCACTGCCCCCCACATTCGATCGGTCACTAAGTCCTGTTCCTTCTGTCCCTGATCAGTTGGGTAACAGGGCTCAGAGCATTTATTGGTACAAGGCTGCTTTATTCAGATGGAAAGACTGAGTTAGAGGCTGTATTAGTTTGTTCTGGCTGCCATAATAAAATGTCACAGATTGAGTGGCTTAAACAACAGGAATTTACCTTCTCACAGTTCTGGAGGCTAGAAGTCCAAGATCAAGATTTTGGCAGTGTTGGTTTCTCCCGAGACCTCTCTCCTTGGCTTGCAGCCGGCCGCCTTCTCCCTGCGTCCCCACATGGCCTTTTCTGTGTGTGATGCAGGCATGCATCCCGGGTGGCTCTTCTTTTGTAAGGACACCAGTCATATTGGATTAGGTCCCCACCCTAAAGGCCTCATTTTGACTTAATCACCTCGTTAAAGATCTTATCTCCAAATATGGTTACATTCAGAGGTACTCAGGATTGATTGTGGGGGACATGGTTCAGCCCCTAATAGAGCCCAAGACAAGATGCGGCAACAGAGTAGACCACTTCATACCTGCAGAGAGAGGAAAAGCCCAAAGTACAGACTGGGAGGTGAGCTTGGTGGCTGAGAGAATCAGGAGAGCCCCAGGCAGGGTCTCAGGACAGAAGAGGTTGAAGAATTCTTGGTTCTGTCTGCTTGTGGGGAGCAAGGGCTGGGATATGACTTGAATATTAGATATCAAAGGTATGCAGAAGGTGCACTCAGCTGCCTGGAGGAATCTCTTGCAATTATTTGCACGTCTGTATCTCTTTCTAGACGGTGAGGCTCTCCGGGCCAAGGAAAGTAATTCATCCATCCTGGCATTGCCAGCATCTAGGAACCTGGAACAGTGAAGGAACACAGCAAAGTTTGCTAAAGAAATTAATGAGGCTCCTAATGAGACTAAGAATGAATTAATGCCTCGTTTTCAAACCATCTGTGAGCTGGGTCACTATGAAGGTGGATGATCCCATCAGTTCCATGTTTATGTTTATCTTGTTCTCAAACTCGGTTTCCTGTTCCCCACCCCTCACTGCATGCTGTCTCTCTCACATACACACACACACACACACACACACACACAATTACACACTCACACAGACCCACTTTCACTCACACTCACACACACTCTCACACTCACACACACATACGCTCTCTCACATACAACCTCACACACACACACATACGCTCTCACACAATCTCACACTTACACACACATATGCTCCCTCACACACACACTCTCATACACACACACAGACCCACTTTCACTCACACTCACACACACTGTCATACACACACATATGCACTCACACACACCCACTCATGCTCACATACACACACACACTCTCACACTCATACTCACACACACATACACACTATAGTCCTCGGGCTATAGCAAGAAAGTGTGGCAGAATCTTCCCAAGGAAAGTACACACCTTGGCCAGGCGTGATGGCTCACACCTGTAATCCCAGCACTCTGGGAGGCAGAGGCGGGCTGGATCACTTGAGGTCAAGAGTTTGAGACCAGCCAGGCCAACATGGTGAAACACTGTCTCTACTAAAAATACAAAAATAAGCCAGGTGTGGTGGCATGCGCCTATAGTCCCACTACTTGGGAGGCTAAGGCAGGAGAATCACTTGAACCTAGGAGGCAGAGGTTGCAGTGAGCCGAGATTGTGCCACTGCACTCCAGCCTGGGTGACAGAGCAAGGCTCCATTTAAAAAAAAGGAAAGAAAAAAAGTACACACCTGTTTGTCTAAAGATAATTTAAATAAAAATTTCATTGTCCCCTGAGCCTTTACTTATAAGAACTGACAGTAACAATAGGTTGGCAAGATGAGGGGATCGCTTGAGCCCAGGAGTTCAAGACCAGCCTGGCAACATAGTGAGAGCATACAAACAAAAAACAATGGATAGATTTTTGCCTAAAAAACAAAGTGCTTATTTTGCTCTTTCCTCTGATGTTCCTTAACTCTGTTTTGCCTCAACGATTTTTGAAGAATGACAACAAATCAGTGAGAAAAAAGCAAATAATCCCATCAAAAAGTGGGCAGAGGACATACATAGACAATTCACAAGAGAAAATATACAAATGGCCAACAAGCAAATGAAAAAATGCTCAACATCACTAACTATCAGAGAAATGCAAATTAAAACCATAATGAGATACCACCTTACTCCTGCAAGAATGTCCATAATGTAAAAATGAAAAAATAATAGATGTTGACGTGGACGTGGTGAAAAGGGAACACTTTTACACTGCTGATGGGAATGTAAACTAGTACAACCACTAGGGAAAACAGTGTGGAGATTCCTTAAAGAACTAAAAGTAGAACTACCATTTGATCCAGCAATCCCACTACTGGGTATCTACCCAGAGGAAAAGAAGTCATTATATGAAAAATACACTTGCCCACACGTCTATAGCAGCAAAACTCATAATTGAAAAAATATGGGACCAGCCTAAATGCCTGATATGGTTTGCCTGTGTCCTCACCCAAATCTCACCTTGAATTGTAATAATCCCCACATGTCAAGGGCAGGGCATGGAGATAATTGAATCGTGGAGGTAGTTTCCCCCATACTGTTCTCATGGTAGTGAGCAAGTCTCATGAGATCTGATGGCTTTACAAACGGGAGTTACCCTGCATAAGCTCTCTTGCCTGCTGCCATGTAAGACGTGACTTTGCTCTTCATTATTATGAGGCCTCCCCAGCCATACGGAACTGTGAGTCAATTAAACTTCTTTCCTTTATAAATTATCCAGTCTCGGGTATGTCTTTATTAGCAGTGTGAGAACAGACTAATACAATGCCCATCAATCAACAAGTGGATAAAGAAAATGTGGCATATATATATATATATGTATATATATATGTATATATACATATATATATATGAGTATATATATATGTATATATACATATATATATATGAGTATATATACTACTCAGCCATTAAAAAGGAATGAAATAATGGCATTTGCAGCAACCTGGATGGAGTTGGAGACCATTATTCTAAGTACAGTAACTCAGGAATGGAAAACCAAATACCGAATGTTATCATATAAGCTTAACTCCCACTTGTAAGTGGGAGTTAAGCTATGAGGACGCAATAGCATAAGAATGAGATAATGGACTTTAGGGACTCAGGGAGAAGGGCTGGAGCAGGGTAAGGAATAAAAGACTACACATTGGGTACAGTGTACACTGCTTAGGTGATGGGTGCACCGAAATCTCAGAAGTCACCACTAAAAAACTTATCCATGTAGCCAAAAACCACCTGTTCCCCCAAAACTATTGAAAAAAAAATTTTTTTTAGAAGCAATTTTTGAAGAGTAAAATGGTGACCTGCAGGTGGTGAAAGTGACAGTCTCAGGTCCTCTCAGGATCTGACCGGCTGCTGTGATACCTCAGTTCTTGTCTTCCTAGTTTAAAATATTTTAAACAGGAGACACACAGCAAAGGAGATGCAGCATAGAACAACTTATCGTAAAGGAGAAAGAATATTTTGAAAGCACAGAATAGACAGTACACCCTAAGAGGGAGAGGATTCAGGGCGGCTGCTCATAAGGATGAGACAGCAGAGGCTGGCACGAAGGAGGCTCCCTTACACGATCATTCATAAGGAGGTGGGAAGAGGTGTTGCTAGTAAGCATGTTCTGGTTGGTCCTCTGGGTGCACATGTGCAGTAGCTGTACATGCTTGTTCATACCTCGAATGTCTCATTAGCTTCTTATATCTCCATCCAGAGGTTTTTTTTTTTTTTTTACTATTGTAATGAGCAAAGGGTCACTGTCTTTGAGAACAGCGAGTGGCTGATCTAAGCCTCCCCAGCCATGTGGAACTATGAATCAATTAAACCTCTTTCCTTTATAAATTATCCAGTCTCGGGTATATCTTTATAGCAGCGTGAAAACAAACTAATACATAACCCAAACAAAGTTAAACACCATTTTTTATTTGACAATGTTTCGCATATGATTTTAATATACCAAATAAGCCTAATATGGATCTCTTAGACTTCTACAGGTCCTAATATTCAAATAATTATTTGAGGTTAAAAAGACTGAATTTAGAATTTGAAATTTGATTTTGGAAAGTTTGTCAATATTAAAGATTTAAAACACTTGATCGAAATAGACTTACAGGTCACTGTAAAATAATAGTCATTCATATAGGCAAATTGATATTCAAAGATTTTAAATTCAAAGATTTTAAAAAAGCAGAAACCTTTACTCTTTGATAGAGAAGAGATTCATTTTTTTCAAACAATCAGAAACCTAATAAAGACAGCATGAAACGAATGGAATCTGTCTCTCTTCTTTTTATTTTATTTTATTTTTTGCAGTTGGCTTAAAAGGTAAACAAAAATATTTACTATCTTTCATTAATGCTACACAAAAATCTTGCTCAAAAGAGAAAACCGAATTTTACCTTTGCCTCAGTATATTTTTAATGCTAAAGATAATTTTAACAAAACCTTATAAACAAATCCATCCAATCTCAATTCAGCTTAGAACACAAAATGTAAGATTTTTATAAACTTTTTATAACCTCTTACAATTTTTCCCATTATTTGTTTTTTTAACTTCTATATCCATTTAGGTTTTTTTGTTTTCTTTTTTTCGAAACAAAGTCTTGTTCTGTTGCCCAGGCTGGAGTACCGTGGCATAATCTCAGCTCATCGTAACTTTTGCCGCTCAAATTCTCCTGCCTCAGCCTCCCGAGGAGGTGGTATTACAGGCACGCACCACCACACCTGGCTAATTTTCGTATTTTTAGTAGAGACAGAGTATCATCATGCTGGCCAGCCTGGTCTGGAACTCCTGACCTCATGTGATCCTCAATGCCTCAGCTTCCCAAAGTGCTGGGATTACAGACATGAGCCACTGCGCCCAGCCTCCAGTTAGTTTTATCTGTCTCTTTTCCTTCCATTTAAAGCAACTTTTAAAAACCTCTAAACTAGACAAAATTACTTTGCCTTTAACAAAAACCACATTTGCATGTGGTTAAGAGGTTATAACCTTTTTTTTTTTTTTAACCAAAAACACATCCTATTGTCCTTATACACACTACTTTTTTTTGAGACAGAGTCTTGCTCTGTCCCCCAGCCTGGAGTGCAGTAGCGCCATCTCAGCTCACTGCAACCTCTGCGTCCTGGGTTCAAGCGATTCTCCTGCCTCAGCCTCCGGAGTAGCTGGGATTACAGGCACACACCACCACGCCTGGCTAATTTTTTGTATTTTTAGTAGAGAGGGAGTTTCACAATGTTGGCCAGGCTGGTCTGGAACTCCTGACCTCAGGTGATCCACCTGCCTCAGCCTCCCAAAGTGCTAGGATTACAAGCGTGAGCCACTGGGCCGAGCCTATACACACTTTTTACATAGAATTGTTTGTCTTACATATAGCAGTTTTCAATATATATACTTATTACAATGTTAACTCTTAGCACTCTAATTTTCAGTGAACACCTAGGAAATAAGCAATTTTTTTTTTCAGAGACAGAGTCTCACTGTGCTGCCCAGGCTGGTCTCAAACTCCCCGGCTCAAGCTATACTCCCACCTCTGCCTCCCGCAGTGCCGGGATTATAGGTGTGGGCCACTGTGCTTGGCTAAAATAAGCAACTTACTTTCAATCACGTACCCACAATCCGTGACTACACATTTTACAAGTCCAGCGACATACGCTTTTCAACAGAACAACTCTTTAATATGGAATAGGAACATTTTTACTAACAGATCCTCAGAACTTTTGTTCTTCTGAAATAAGAAGCCAAAAGTATATGAGTCTAAACTCTTATTCAGCATGTGATTAGTCTCAGCATTACATCTTATCTGGAAAGGATCTAGCCAGTCAATGAACTTCTGTCATTTAATTTAGCTTAGCAAACCCCTAAGGGTATAGCTACTAAAGAGATTTGAGAAATATTTCTAGGTAAACATATTACAAAACATAACCATTATCAGAAGTTCACTTACAAACTGTTATCCCCTTTATATTCATTTACTCTTAGCAATCATATTTGGAAAACTTTATGAAACTCTAGACTAATCTAGCTACCATCCCAAGCTAAATTTTCTATCAACCAAATTTTTTTTTTTTTTTTTTTTTTTGAGATGGAGTCTTGCTCTGTTTTCAGGCTGGAGTGCAGTGGCACGATCTTGGCTCACTGTAACTTCTGCCACCCGGGTTCAAGGGATTCTCCTGCTTCAGCCTCCTGAGTAGCTGGGACTACAGGCGCACGCCAACGTGCCCAGCTAATTTTTGTATTTTTAGTAGAGACAGGGTTTTACCATGTTGGCCGGGATGGTCTCAATCTCTTGACCTCATGATCTGCCCACCTTGGCCTCTCAAAGTGCTGGGATTACAGGCATGAGCCACCATGCCCGGCCTGTCAACCAATTTTACATTACTGTATGCCAGGCAAGTATCATAAAAGCAAGAACTTTAAACTTAATACATGCGCATTTTGCTGATAATTGAGAAGAAACAGTCATTCCCATCAAACCAATAATATTAGACTTGTCCCATCCAACAAAAGATTACTAAGTCATGTGAACTTGAAAAGCATCTGGCTTATTTAATTAATTTATGAATGCTCCTTTATTTATAAGCCAAATTTGTACTATAGACAATACACAAACAGATGTGTGTACACATGTATACACAAAAATATAGACAGACATAAGGATTTTATAGCTTTAGTTTTAAAACTTTAGCCATGAATCAGGTAAAACTCACTAGTTTAAAGGGTCAGTTGGATTCAAACTGTATCTCTACAAATGGAACAGGCTGAAACTTATCTTCTCCACATGGCTGAAACCCTTACCGAATTTTAGAGAAAACGAGGTAGCATATTTACACTCTAGCACACTCGGAGAACTCAAGCCTCTCCAAGAAGCCTGGGCATTTTAAAGGGGAATTGAAACGAATGCCAAGGTAACATAAATCATAGGAATAAATTAAAGCAAGTGGGACTGGTTCCTTGAACAGGAATCGAACTTAGCCTGCAATGGTAAAGGACTAAATCCTAGACAATGTTCTAGAGTGGAGAGCCTTTCTTTTTTCTTTTCTTTTTTTCTTTTTGAGACAGCGTCTTGCCCTGTCACCCAGGATGGAGTGCAGAGGCACAATCACAGCTCACTGCAGCCTTGACCTCCTGGGTTCAGGTGATCCTCCCACCTCAGCCTCCCAAGTGGCTGGGACTACGGGTGTGCACCACCATGCCTGGCTAAGTTTTTGTATTTTTGGTAGAAATGGAGTTTCACCATGTTGCCCAGGCTGGTCTCGAGCTCCTGGGCTCAATCAATTCTCCCACCTTGGCCTCCCAGAATTCTGGGATTACAGACGTGAGCCACTGTGCCCATTCCTTTTTTAAAATCCTACAGGGAATCCAAAGCAGGTAGTTTGAGCATTTAAAGAGTTTTAACTTATTTCAGATCTTATTTCAGCTGGAATGCTGCTTACCTAATTCGCTGGATGTCAGCATTTCAGACAAGATTTACCTTTCCAAGGGACTTCAGGACATTTAAAGAGTATTTTCTGATATTGGGTCAGTAAGTCATTAGTGCCATTAATTAATGCTAGTTTACAAAAAACTTGTTAAATCTGTATTTTTATAACCTCAGTAATTTTATTCTCATTCTGTAGTTGTTTTATTTGTTTCTTCTGTTCTAAATCTTAATACATTTCTTCCTTTTTGACCATCGGTTTTCCAATTAACTGTTTAATTGCCTAAACAATGGTCAGCTAAGCAACCCAAAATCTGCACCCTCAAATGGATGGCTTCTAGGTGAAACAAGGCAGAAAAAATGTATTCATACATCTCATCTCAAAAGCAGAAAGCATGGCCAGGTGCAGTGGCTCACGCCTGTAATCCTAGCACTTTGGGAGGCCGAGGAGGGGGGTTCAACTGAGGTCAGAAGTTCAAGACCAGCCTGGCCAATATGGTAAAACCCTGTCGCTACTAAAATATAAAATTTAGCTGGGAGTCATGGTGGGTGCCTGTAATCCCAGCTACTTGGGAGGCTGAGACGTGAGACGGGAGAATCGCTTGAACCGTAGAGATGGTGGTTGCAGTGAGCTGATATCGCACTACTGCAGTCCAGCCTGGGCAGCTGAGCGAGACTCTGTCTCAAAAAAACAGAAAAACAAACAACAACAATAACAACAAAAAGCAGAAAGCCAGACTTCAGGCCTAAATATTGTACCATAATTTGCCCAAACCTAGAGAGTATAGCTGAAAGCTCAATTTCAAGACACGTTGGCCAGGAAAAGCACCTAAACGAAGGTAAGACTTGTCTCAGCCCTCCCCTTTTTCCAGGTGCACAGAGGCAGACATCCTCACAGAAGGAGATTTCCTTTATGGATATAAATCGTTTTAACAAAAGTCTTTAAAAATAGCCAGTTGAATGCCAGAAAGGTATATTTTGGAGACCCATCTGGTTCAAGGGTGTTTGTTTATTTTTTAAAAATTTAGCTTCTGGCCAGACAGGGTGTCACACCTGTAATCCCAGCACTTTGGGAGGTCGAGGTGGGCGGATCACAAGGTCAAGAGATTGCGACCATCCTGGCCAACATGGTGAAACCCCATCTCTACTAAAAATACAAAAATTAGCTGGGCATGGTGGTATGCGCCTATAGTCCCAGCTACTCAGGAGGCTGAGGCAGGGGAATCGCTTGAACCTGGGAGGTAGAGGTTGCAGTGAGCCGAGATTGCGTCACTGCACTCCAGCCTTGCAACAGAATGAGTCTCCGTCTAAAAAAAAAAAGAAAAAAATATTAGCTTCTGGCCGGGCACAGTGGCTCATGCCTGTAATCCCAGCACTCTGAGAGGCCAAGGCAGGTGGATCACCTGAGGTCAGGAGTTCAAGACCAGCCTGGCCAACATGGTGAAACCCTTTCTCTACTAAACAAAAAAAAATTTAACTCGGTGTGGCGGTACATGCCTGTGATCCCAACTACTTCGGAGGCTGAGGCAGGAGAATCGCTTGAACCTGGGAGGTGGAGGTTGCCATGAGCGGAGATCACACCACTGCACTCCAGCCTAGGCGACAGAGAGAAAGACTCAGTCTCGAAAAAAAAAAAAAAAAAAAAAAGAATGAAAAATGTAGCTTCTATTTCTTAGTTAAAATTACCGAGTTTAGCAGAGAACCAATCAAGCAAGATGGTGAAAAAGGCATTCTGTATGTATGGACTCAGCATGGGCAGATCTGAAAAAGAAACAAACCTACTTAACCTGAGGGCTTACCTTTTATAAACACTTTATATGTACAAATACCCAGGACAGCTTTCTTTAACCTTTAGAACACAACAGTAACTAAGCCAAAAGATTAGCAGATTCAATTTTCCTTATCACTTAAGCTTTTCATTTACCTTTTATAAAGAGTCTTTTAAAAGAGGCAATTTGCCGGCACAGTGGCCTTAACACCTATAATCCCAGCACTTTGGGAGGCCCAGGCAGGAGAATTGCTTGAGACCAGGAGTTCAAGACCCTGTCTCTAATATAATAAATACAACAATTAAATCAAAGAGGCAACACAATATGAAAATATGTTCAGAAGCTTTCGCACATCAATAGGCATCCTTCAGTGAGACAAATTTGGGAGCCCTTATTTAAGAATGCACTTTGTCTTTTTTATTTGTTTTATTTTTTTTCTGAGACAGAGTCTTGCTCTGTCACCCAGGCTGGAGGGTGGTGGTGCGATCTCAGCTCTCTGCAACCTCCGCCTCCCAGGTTCAAGCAATTCTCCTGCCTCAGCCTCCTGAGTAGCTGGGATTACAGGTGTGCATCACCACGCCTGGCTAATTTTTGTATTTTTAGTAGAGATGGGGCTTCACCATGTTGGCCAGGCTGGTCTGGAACTCCTGACCTCCTGATCTGCCTGCCTCGACCTCCCAAAGTGCTGGGATTACAGGCGTGATCCTCCGCACCCAGCCACAGATAACTTTTTAAAATTAAGAACTGTTCTTTATCTTGTTATGATGATCTCAAGATTGTATACTATTACCCAAAGTCATCAAACTTTTCACTTAAAATTGGCCAGTTTTATTGTATGTAAATGATACCTTACAAAACAGGAAAAATGATGCTATAGAATACCTGATGGCCAGAAATTTCAGTGTTTTGGGAGGCCAAGGAGAGAGGATCACTTGAGCCCAGAAGTTGAAGTCTGTAGTGAGCTATAATTGTGCCTCTGTACTCTAGCCTAGGCAACAGAGCAAGACCCTAACTCTGTCTCTTAAAAAAAAAAAGAAAGAAAGAATAGCTGATGGAATGAAAACATGTAATTGACATATAAAGCAACTGAGGAAATTTTAAATTAACTCATATGGTATAATTCTATATATATTACATATGTATAAAGAGAAATAATATAAAATCACATGAAAAGTATACACCAAAATGCTAACAGTTTTCAGTTTTACCTCTGGATGGATGAGACTATAGAGAAGCTATCTTTTTGTATTAAGTTTTTTCTATATTTTACTTTCACAACCTTTTTTTTAAGATTTTTTTTTCTTTTAATTAAAAAAAAAAAAGGTCTCACTATGTTGCCCAGGCTGGTCTCAAACTCCTGAGCTCAAGTGATCCTCCAGCCTCAGCATCCCAAAGTGCTGGAATTCAGGCATGAGCCACTGCACCCAGCCTTAAAAATATTTTAATGTAGGAAAATTTCTTCAATAACACATGTGGTAGTCAATGACTGGGACGGCCACTGTTTTTCAGCCAGAAGTGTTTTGTGAATGTAGGAAACACAATCAGGAAAAAGTCACTGAAAGTGTGTGAGCTAGTGAAGCTTTTGTCATGAGATACAATCCCCGTTCATCTCTGACAGCAGTGGGCTTGCATGGATGGTGAATGTTGACAAAGATTGTTGTCTTTTTCCTTCTATCTTTCCCTTCTTTCACATACTAACCGAATCTCCAGTTTTTAGCTGGGCACATGCCCATCCCAAATCACGATCACATTTCTCAGTATTCTTTGCAGGCAGATGTGGGTGTGTGATTAAGTTCAGGCAATGGAATGAAAATAAGTGTTGGGGTGAACTTTCAAGTTTTGCCCTAAAAGGAAAGGGTTATAGCCTCACTCTGCATTTCCCTCCCCTCCCCATTCCCATTGCTTGGGATTGTGGGAGCTGGAGCAGCCATCTTGGACCAAGAGGTGAAAGTCACACATTACAGACAGAAAAGCAGTAAGATCGGAGGAGCCTAGGGCTCCTGAGGATTGTGGAGCCACCATGCCAGCCCTGGACACTTATGTGACTATTATACGAGAGTGAGATGAAATTTCATCTTGTCTTAGTCACTACTATTTTTTTTAATTTTAGTATTTTTCTTTTCTTTTTATTTGTTTATTTATTTATTTTTTGGAGACAAGGTCTTGCTCTGTTGCCCAGGCTGGAGGGCAGTAGTGTAATCACGGCTCACTGCAGCCTCGACCTCCCAGGTTCAACTGATCTTTCTGCTTCAGCCTTATAAGTAGCTGGGACTACAGGTGTACACCACCACACCTGGCTACTTTTTAAAATTTTTTATAGGGACAAGGTATCCCGTGTTTTTTTTTTTAATATAAAAGATACATATCTCTTTTTTATAGAGACATGTATCCCTATGTTGCCTAGGCTGGTCTCCAATTCCTGGGCTCAAGTGATCCTCCCACCCTGGCCTTCCAAAATGCTGGGATTACAGATGTAAGCTGCCACACTCTGAGTCACTACTATTTTGAGTATCTCCGGTGTAGCATTAGGAATAATATTCCCCATCAAAACCTTCAGTCAATCAGGCTCAACAGAAAACATAGTAAAGTCTTTATTTGGGGTCTTTAAAATTAAAGATTTAGGAGAATTCATTCTAAGTAATCCCAGAATAACACCTAGATTATTAAAGAAGGCTACTGTCTCTGGAGAGTAAAATCCCAAGACTTAGCTCTGGAGAACCAATGAAAAGATTTCTTTAATCTTTTGTTTTCTATCTATTTCTGACTTTCTTTGGAACTCCAAGTCCAGACCTGAAAAAGGAGTCAACCAGGTCTACCTGTGGGCAAGCTCTTAGCTCCTCCAGGGGTTCATGAACTCTGAAAAGGTTCAGACCTGACTCAGGACACCCAGGACATTCATAAATGTATTATGATGGATACAATGTGGAGCTATCATAATTGCCACCATTTACTGAGACCACACACTGCAGACACTGTGCTAAGTGCTTGTATGCCAGATCTCATTCAATCCCAAGATACCCTTGGCATGAGTTTGTATCATTATGCCTTATTTTAACAAAAAACCTGAGGCTCAGAAAGGTGAAATAATTTACCCAAGATCATACTGAAGAGGTCTGTCTGACTCCAAAGCTAGTTTCCTCAAAAGTTCTAGAAACGAACTTGGTCTGGAAGCACCCTTCATCTAGCATAGACGCCAATGGCCGGGCCTAGCAGAACAAACAAGTCAGCATCAGCCCGTGTTCAAATATCAACCTCATTTTGTCCCTTGAAATTTAGCTTGGAGGAAGCTGCAAACAGCAGTGTCCCATTTTTTGTTGAAATGCAATTGAAACGGCTCATTGTTTTTTTTTAATCCCAGTCCCCTATGAGCCAACAAATTGTCAGGACACAATTGCAAGCAGTTCTAACACAATGACTGCAGAGAGTTTTTGTGATACTAAAATGTAATGGAAGCTGTCAGGGAGGATTTAGGGGGCAGTCTTGCTATCTTAATTGTCAATAACGATAATTAGTTTACGTAAGGACATTGCCTTGCTTAGAATTTAGCATTTTTTTCTTTTCTGAAGCTCTGAATTACCTATTGTACTTCCCTGGCATGGTAACATTTGCCTTTTATTTATTTGATTTATTTTTTTAAAGACAGAATCATGGCCAGGCTCAGTGGCTCATGCCTGTAATCCCATCATTTTGGGAAGCCAAGATGGGCAAACTGCTTGAGCTCAGGAGCTTAATACCAGCCTGGGCAATATGGCGAATCCCCTTCTCTATTAAAAATACAAAAAATTAGCTGGGCATGGTGACACATGCTTGTAGTCCCAGCTACTTGGGAGGCTGAGCTGGGAGTATCGTGTGAGCCCAGGAAGTCAAGGCTGCTGTAAGCCTAGACTGTGCCATTGCACTCCAGCCTGGGCAACAGAGCAACAACCTGTCTCAAAAAAAAAAAAAAAAAAAAAAAAAAGAGTCTCACTGGTCTCACTGTGTCACCCAGCAAGACTCTTTTTGTAGAGATAGTGAGACTCTATCTTTAAGATTAGCCAATGTTGGCTAATTTATTTTTATTTATTTATTTATTTATTTATTTATTTATTTATTTATTTATTTATTTATTTATTGAGATGGAGTCTGGCTCTGTAGCCCAGGCTGGAGTGCAGTGGCGCGATCTCCGCTCACTGCAAGCTCCGCCTCCCAGGTTTGTGCCATTCCCCTGCCTCAGCCTCCCGAGTAGCTGAGACCACAGGCGCCTGCCACCACACCCGGCTAATTTTTTGTATTTTTAGTAGAGACAGGGTTTCACCGTGTTAGCCAGGATGGTCTCGATCTCCTGACCTCGTGATCTGCCCGCCTCGGCCTCCCAAAGTGCTGGGAGCCACCATGCCCAGCCAATGTCGGCTAATTTTTATTTGTAGAGATAGTCTCGCTATGTTGCCTGGGCTTGTTTGGACTTCTTGGCCTCAAGCTATCCTCCTGCCTCAGCCTTCCAAAGAGCTGGGATTACAGTTATGAGCCACTATACCTGGCAAGCCTTTTAAGAATGTAAGAATATTAACAATTTAGGTTGATTAAATATTTTATTTCAAATAGTAGATATTTTTCATGTAGAATCTACTGATTTTCACTATTGCTATTTGGGATCTTTATGCCCCAGATAATAAATGGGAAAATGCATATAACTGTGGTAGTTGTGAACAAAGTAACTGATATGATTTGGCTGTGTCCCCACCCAAATCTCATCTTGAATTGTAGTTCCCATAATCCCCATGTATCATGGGAGGTACCTGGTGGGAAGTAATTGAATCACAGGGGCGATTACCTCCATGCTCCTGTTCTCACGAGATCTGATGGTTTTATAAGAGGCTTTTCCCCCTTTGCTCAGCACTTCTTCCTGCCATCACGTGGAGAAGGATGTGTTTGCTTCCCCTTCCACCATGATTGTAAGTTTCCTGAGGCCTCCCCAGCCATGAGGAACTGTAAGTCGATTAAACCTCTTTCCTTTATAAATTACCCAGTCTCAGGCAGTTCTTTATAGCAGCCTGAGAACGGACTAATGCAGTTACTGTTAATGCGAGAGTTCATATGTCCTCCTCTTGTTCCTCTGTGGTGTTTCTGCTGTGAATGTTGGAGCCCCTTTAAGACAGAAGCATACTCTGAGTAAAGCATCATTCCCAGGTAAAGCCAAGTCTATTCAGCACAAAGAGCTCAAAGGTCCCCTCTGGGGCTTGGGAGGGCCCTAGCTGTATGTTCTTGGGGTTTTGGGGAGGCGTTTGTTTGTTTGTTTCTTGAGACAGCGTCTCACTCTGTCACCCAGGCTAGAGTGCAATGGTGTGATCTCAGCTCACTGCAACCTCTGCCTCCCAGGTTCAAGCAATTCTCATGCCTCAGCCTCCTAAGTAGCTGGGATTATAGGCACCTGCCACTACACCCAGCTAATTTTTGTATTTTTAGTAGAGACAGGGTTTCGCCATGTTACCCGGGCTGATCTTAAACTCCTGGCCTCAAGCAATCTGCCTGCCTTGGCCTGCCAAAATGCTGGGATTACAGGCGTGAGCCACTGTGCCTGGCCCTTGTTCTTGTTGTTAAAGGGCAAAGCTGCTGCTCTCATGCCCCCTTAACTCCATCCATCCATCTCTTATATAGCCTAATTCTAAAACACATGAATAAAAGAGAACTCACTATGCCTGTTTGCTATCATTTTGATTTCAATCAAAATAGAATTGTTTAGTAACGCAAAAGCAAAGAACAGTGAATTTTTTTTTTTTGTGGGGGGGAGACAGGGTCTTGCTCTGTCACCCAGGCTGGAATGCAATAGTGCAGTCATAGCCCACTGCAGCCTCGACCACTTGGGGTCAAGCGACCCTCCCATTTCAGCCTCCCAAATAGCTGGGACTACAGGCATGTGTCACCATACCTGGCTAATTAAAAAAAAATTTTTTTAGACATGGGATCTCACTATTTTGACCAGTCTCAAACTCCTAAGCTCAAGCAATCCTCCCACCTCAGCTCCCAAAGTGCTAAAGATCACAGGCATAAGCCACTGTGCCTGGTGAATAATGTTAAGCATAAAAAGGAAGAAAGCCAAATTAAAATATATTTGTAGGCCGGCCGGGCGTGGTGGCTCACGCCTGTAATCCCAGCACTTTGGGAGGCCGAGATGGACGGATCACGAGGTCAGGAGATCAAGACCATCCTGGCTAACACGGTGAAACCCCGTCTCTACTAAAAATACAAAAAAATTAGCTGGGTATGGTGGCGGGCACTTGTGGTCCCAGCTACTCGGGAGGCTGAGGCAAGAGAATGGCATGAACCCAGGAGGCGGAGCTTGTAGTGAGCCGAGATGGCGCCGCTGCACTCCAGCCTGGGCGACAGAGTGAGACTCTGCCTCAAAAAAAGAAAAAATACATATATATATATGGGATTAAAATATATATGCCATAGCAATTGCTGAACTGCCACCCTCTAGAATGGCTTCACCAAGGAGCATATCTTATTCTCTAATTCAATTGCGGAAGCAAATTCAACATTCAATAAACATTGACTACAGCTGTCTTCCAGCCGGGCCCTGTGCTATGCATCAGGGATTAAAATGCAAACCAAAAAGCATGCATGAGAAAAATTCATGAATCCCTACACTCATAGATCTCACAGTCCTGCAGGAGACTTTCAGCTTGTAATCAGCACCAAAATCAAGGTGGATGTACAGTCCTATAGAAACGAAGATATGAGAGAAGACATTCCATCTACCTGAGATTAGTCAGGAAAATACGTTGAAAAAGACGCTTAGAGTGAAGGCATGGAGGACTTTCCAGTAGCTTGCTAAGGGATGGAGGTGGGGGCAGACATTCCAAGGAGGAGTAGTCATATGAAGAGAGGCACATCTGCAGGACAGGGTGTGACTTTATGGATGACTATGCCCCAGGACAGTACTGATAGGAAATACTAAAATATGCCAGTGGTTACCCCTTGGCTCTGGGATTAGTGGTGAATCAATTTCAGCTTCATCATTCCCTGTCTTTTCCAAAATTTAAACAAATAGACTTAAGTTATTAAGGAAAATTATTGCAGTTGTTCTTTTGGTTTTGTGTGTGAATGGAGCATTTGGGAATATGGCTAGGAAGTAAAGAGGTCAAGATGCTGAGGGTGAGAAATGATTCTGAAATAGAGACTCTGGTTAGGGCAGCCTCAGAGTTCCCTGAGTTGAGGAGACTGGCCTCTGTCTGAGAACAATGGTTCTTAACGCTGGCTTAGGTGCTTGAAAATACAAATGCCCAGGCCTCACCCAGCCCAATGAACAGAGACTCTGGAGTGGGATTCAGTCCTGGTAATTCCCCCAGGGTAGGCTCTTAAGCAAAGGGCAGGTACGGACAGACATGGACACCCAGGAATGTGTGTGCAATAGTGAGAGATGCTGGAGGCTGAAAGGGGAGGAATGAGGCCAGGAGGGAAAGGGGCAGTGCTCAGAAGAGCAGCAGCCAGTGACATTTTGGGGCTATAAGAGGTAGAAATATGCCAGATGAAGGAGAGGGGAAAGGACATTCCAGGCAGAGAAAACACTGCACAAAGGCATGGAGGTTTACAGGAAGCAGGAAGCAATGTTTTGACCAGAGCAAGGTGCAGAGAGGACAGGAGGAGACGAGTAGGGTGAGGTTGATGACAGTGGGTTTAGTTTATTTTTAAAAAAATCTTTGCAGCTGGGTGTGATGGCTCATGCCTTTAGTCCCAGCTACTCAGAAGGCTAAGGCAGAAGAATTTCACTTGAGCCCAGGAGTTCAAGTCTGCAGTGAGCTATGATCACACCACTGCACTCCAGCCTGGGAGACAGAGTGAGACCTCATCTCAAAAAAAAAAAAAAAAAAAAAAAAAGAAGAAAGAAAGAAAAAAATCTTTGCTATTAAATCCTTAGCTTCTCAAGATAGATTTTCTTTTTTGCCACTCATCAGTTATGTGCATGGCTATTGAGTTATTACTGATTTTCAAATTATTTCATCTTTCAAGTTTCAGTTTTATGGATACTGCAGTTAGTTCTCATTGGCCAATGCTTATAGTCTATAATTTGCTTAATAGAGATAGGCTGTCACTCTGTTGCCCAGGCTGGAGTGCAATGGAGCGATCTTGGCTTACTGCAGCCTGGAACTACTGGCTCAAGTCATCCTCCCGCGTCAGCCTCTCAAGTAGTCAGGACTACAGGTGTGTGCCACCACACCTAGCTGATTTTTAATTTTTTTGTAGAGACAGGGTCTTGCTATGTTGCCCAGGCTGGTCTCAAATTCTTGGCCTCAAGTGATCCTCCCACTTTGGCCTCCCAAAGTGCTGGGATTACAGACTTGAGCCACTGGGTTTTGCCCATAATGTTAGTATTTAAAACAACAGAGTCTATTGGTCTAGAGCAGGGGTTTTCAGCCTCAGTATGGCCGGCTTTTTATGCTGCGTAATTCTTTTATGGTGGGGGACTGTCTTGTGTATTGCAGGATATTGAGCAGCATCACTGGCCTCTACCTACTAGATGCCAGTAACATCTACCCTCCACCCTCTTTCATGCCCATTCCCAGTTGTGATGATCAAAGGTCTCCAGTCAAGTGTCACTTGGGGACAAAATCGTGCCCCATCTTCAACTGAGAACTACTTGTCCAGAGATCTAGAGTCTAAATCTAGACTGATTCTTCTCAAATGTGCGTGCATATGAATTCCCTTGGGGATCTTGTTAAAGCGCATGTTCTGGCTCAGTAGGCCAGGAGCGTGGTCTCAGAAATTTTGTCTGTGTAAAAGGCTTCAAGGTGATGCTGATGCTGCTGCTCTAGGAAGAACACTTTTGAGTAACCAGGCTCTAAACCCCACATATATTCACCCCATTGAATGGGATGGGGGTCATGTTTATTGTAGCTTTCCATTAATACATTTGAGAATTGGCTGTGGCCTCTGAGTATTCCTAGGGTCCCTTTATGCCATTTTATAGAATTCATGAATATGAGGGCCCACAAATACACTGAAGGCCATCATTGTGTAGCCTGCAGCCCTGGTTAATTTATGTATGTAATATTATTCACCTGGAAAGCTTTCTTTAATTGCCACATTGTTAATTCATCCAACTGCAAGAAGAGCAATTATAATTTGATTTTCACTGGCAGCAAATGTTTCCATTTAGTCACATGGCACTTTCTTATTCCAATCACACTCCATTGTCTAATCAAAGTCCATTTTTGGATCATGATAAAATGTTGTCCCTTTAAATAGCCTAGGAGTTTTTCAGCTGAAGTAAATTCAAATTGTCCACCCAGATGAGCCTCACATGATGGAACAGATGTGATTTGGAAGAGTTGAGCTGGAAAATATGTTTCCCAAAATTAAATAATATTTTCTCCAACTTACATAATAGGAAGTATACTTCCCTTGAAATTATACCCTTAGAAGACAACCATCTAGGAGAATGTCACTATTAAAAATCCATTCAACATTCTTTTATTTCACAAATATTTACTGACCACTACAACAGGCCAGGGACAATTGCAGGAGCTGGCAAGAGAACTGTGACCCTGGCCAACAAGATGTGGTCTAATGGGGAAAGCAGACAACACATGGGATGATGTTGGACAGAGATAAGTGCCCAAAAGAAAAACAGTGATGCTCTGATATGGGAGGTGGTATGGGTGGTCAGGGCACCCTCTCTCAAGAAATGTTGCATGGAAGCCGAGATGCTAATGAGAAGGAGATGCCTCTGCAAAGATCTGAAATAAGGACATATCTGAGGAAGGCAAAGTGATGTCATGTATGAATAGTGAACTGAGGCCAGGCGCAGTGGCTCACGCCTGTAATCCCAGTGCTTTGGGAGGCCAAGGCAGGTGGGTCTCCTGAGGTCAGGAGTTCGAGACCAGCCTGGCCAACATGGTGAAACCCTGTATCTATTAAAAATACAAAAATCAGCTGCGCATGGTGGCAGGTGCCTGTAATCTCAGCTACATGGGAGACTGACGCAGGAGAATCGTTTGAACCTGGGAGGTGGAGGTTGCAGTGAGCCGAGACTACGCCATTGCACTCCAGCCTGGGCGACAAAAGCTAAACTCTGTCTCAAATTAAAAAAATAGTGAACTGAGAAAGCAGAGAAAGGAAAGGACAAAATTGAGAGTCAGAAAAGAAAAGGTTTGTCCCCGCTCAGACACTTACTAGCTCTAGGAACTTGAGCAAAATTCTCTCATCTTCTTTAGGTCCCAGTATCTGCAGAAACAAGGGGAGTGACCTAGATCAGTGGTTCTCAAACTTGGCTGCAATTTGGAATCACCTGGGAAACTTTCCAACCACTGATGACTTCACTGGTCTGGAGGACGGTTTTGGGCATGGGGATTTTAACACTCTCCAGGTGATTCTAATGTACTTAGCAGTTTGAGAGCCCTGAACTAATTATCTGTGAAGCTGTGTCCCAACTCTACCACTTAGAGATATCGGCTACCCCTGTAGTGGAGTTCAGTGACCTCAACTGGCCCAGCCTCCCTGGGCCTCTGTATCTGCAGCTGCTGAATGTGGGGAGTTGACCTGGATTTGTCTCTCCACTTTCATTTTATTATTATTCTATGGCATGATTAGATTGTTTGCTTATTTAACAACAGGGCTGAAATCCCATCTTGGGCCAGCTGTCTTTTTCCCAGCTGGAAGAGGTAATGTGATATTCCCTGCAGGGCTTCTTTCTGTCTCTCAGCCTCTCCAAAGCAAATGTACTTTTCCATCTCTTTCAACTGTAGTATAAAAAGAGAGGACTATGGTCACACAGTCATAGGCATTTCCTTTATAAATGAAGGCAAGCAATGAAATAGCTCTTGGCCTGCCACCCAGGTAAACTCAAGACAAATTTAGAAACATCGAACTTGCACTATCCTTTGACAAAACAGAGTGAGAATATGTTTTGTTTTGTTCTTTGACTATTGCGCACCCACTCCTTTCTTACATTCCTTAAGATACAATCCAAAAAGACAGGTAGTGTTTTCAAAGGCCAAAGCTCGCTAAAGAGCTTAACTCTATTAATGACAGAGGGCACTAAATTCCAGCTCAAGCGGATTAGCCTAGTTAAGTCCTCAGCATTAGGGTCTCGTCTAACACCAGGCCTGCTAAGAAGCTGTCAGCCCTCCTTCTCGCAAATCCTCCCTAAACTCCCAATAATAGCAACTTAATCTATGAAGAAAGCAACAAAGGAGAAGCTCTAAGTACAGCCTGTGCCTTAGAGAAGAGCTATCCTTTGGAATAGAATGTGAGCAGCATGGATTATTTTAAACTTTCTAGTCATTCTATCAAACAAGGAAAAAGGAACAGATGAAATGAATTTGAATTCTTGTTTTATTTTGCCTCATAGAACCATAGTATTATCATTTCAACACATAATCGATATACAAACTTTATGAATGAGATATTTTACGTTCTCTTTTTCTTAGCAAGTTTTTGAAATCCTGTGAGCATTTTACAGCATATCTCAATTCGAGCTACATGCATTTCCAGGGCTCAATAGACCACATGTGGCTTGTGGCTACTGTCTCGACAGAACCTCAGAGGATCCTGTTTACTTTTGCAGTACGGCAGCAGGGGGAGAAACAGGGTTGGCTGCAGGGTAGGGAGATGGAGCCCACTAAACATTTCTTTAAACAAATATAAAACATATTATTCTACATAGGAAAACATGTTAACAAATTTATTTCTTTGTTAAAGAGATCTCGTAGTGAGCTGAAATGAGAAAAGGCTGCCTTTGTCCATCTGGGCTGCTGTCATAAAATACCATAAACTGGGTACCTTTTAAATAACAGAAATTTCTTTCTCACGGTTCTGGAGGTTGAGAAGTCCAAGACCAAAGTGGAGCAGATTCAGTGTCTGGTGAGGGCCTACTTTCAGGCTCGGGGTGGCACCTTCTAGCTGTGTCCTCACATGGTGAAACGTTAAGGGAGCCCACTGAGGCCTCTTTTATAAGGACCCTAATCTCATTAATGAGGACTCTGCCTTCATGCCCTAATCACTTCCCGAAGGCCCCACCACCTAATACTGTCACCCTGGGAATTAGGTTTCAACATAGGAATTTTGCGGGGACCACAAATACTCAGACCCAGACCACGGCGAAGGCTTTGGAGCCAAATAGATCTGGATTTAAATTCTGCCTAAGTCAAAGTCATACCATTTTTAGGCAAACCTAAAAAAGTAAAAACCTTTCTGAGTTTCTGAGCCTCACTTTCCTCAACTGTTAAATGGGTAAAATTCCTCCTCATCAGACTCATCATGACCAGCCACCTTGGCCATACAATTAACCCAAATTAATAACCCACAGTGCAAGGCATGTATAAGAGAATAGACTGTTAAAGCAAACTAAATACGACCTGAGAAGGACTCTGTACTTCCATATTTGAGTCCTTGTAGATGAACTGCAACCTAATGTAATAAGTAGACAAGACTGAAAATCTAACTTAGGAGTATTTGCCTGTAACAATCATTGAGTCTTGACCAATCACAGCAGCCGTGCTCCAACCACTCACACACTGCCTAGTGTTCAAACTGTATTCAAATAAGTCAAACACCTTATTGAGCTGTACTCAATCCCGTTGTTTCTGAACCTCACTTCCGATTTTGCTATGTCACTTCCCTTTTTTTGTCTATAAATCTTCTTCCACCACGTGGCTGTGCTGGAGCCTATCTGAATCTGCTGTGATTCTGGGGGCTGCCTGTTTCGTGAGGTCATTGCTCAGTTAAACGCCTTTAAATTTAATTCTGCTGAAGTTTTTCTTTTAACAAGACAAAGCTAAACCTTAACTGGGCCGTAAATTGCCAAGTTTAGGTGCTATGTCAGTATTGGGGGCTGATTAAAATTAACTTAGTATTTGGCTGGGCACAGTGGCTCACACCTGTAATCCCAGCACTTTGGGAGGCTGAGGCAGGCAGATCACCTGAGGTCAGGAGGTCGAGACCAGTCTGGCCAACATGGTGAAACCCCGTCTCTACTAAAAATACAAAAATTAGCAGGGCATGGTGGCACATGCCTGTAATCCCAGCTACTCGGGAGGCTGAGGCAGGGTAATCGCTTGAACCCAGGAGGTGGAGGTTGTAGTGAGCTGAGATCGTGCCACTGCACTCCAGCCTGGGCAACAGGAGTGAAAGTCTGTCTCAAAATAAAGAAAAAAAAAAAGAAGGAAGAAAACATCCAGCAGAGTGCTGATCACAGTGGCTGGTTGCTGAAGAAATGTGGGCACGCTCTTTGACATATGCATCCCACAGTGCCTTGCATACAGCGGGTAACCAGTAAATTATGAGTTCACTACAAAATTACGGCATTAACAAAAGCAGCAGCTGTGGACCTGATTCTTATCAAAGGAAAGCTCAAGAGCCTTAAGCCATACATATTGAAAGAAACCCAAATGCTATTATTTTATCTGTATTTTCCTCTAACTTCTCTGGCTTTTACAAAGGAACTGCTATTTGCAGCAATTTACCATATCAGCTATTAACATGGCTCCAGAATATAGTTTTAGCTTTAATTTTTCTTATAGGTGACTTTTTTTTTTAACTAAAACGGAAGACTGTGATATGCTCCAATTTTTTGATGAAAATCAACCTTCCTCCATTCTCTGCTTCATAAAACTCCCTGATAATGGTGGCTCATGCCTGTAATCCCAACACTTTGAGAGGCCAAGGCAGGAGGATCGCTTGAAGCCAGGAGTTTGAGACCAGCCTGGGCAACATAGTAAAACCCTTTCTCTACAAAAAATAAAATAAACAGCTAGGTGTAGATGTATGTACCTGTAGTCCCAGCTACTCAAGAGGCTGAGGTGGGAAGGTGGCCTGAATCCACGAATTGCAGGCTGCGGTGAACTACGGTGGTACCACTGTACTCCCTTCAGCCTGGGCCAAAGAGCAACACCCTGTCTCAAAAAAAAAAAAGCTTAAATTTTATTTTAAAAAAATAAAAGAAGGTTATTAAAGGGCTTTCAGTGCAATTTTTATCACAATTCCAATGACATTTTTCACATAAGTAGAAAAAACAATTCTAAAATTAACATGGAAACAAAAAAGACCCTGAATAGCCAAAACAATTTTGAGAAAGAACAAAGCTGGAGACAGTTGCTGATTTCAAACTATGTTACAAAGCTATAGTAGTGAAAACAGGATAGTACGTGCATAAAACTGAACACATAGACCAATGGAACAGAATAATATGCCCATAAATAAACCCATGCAAATAAATAGTCAACTAATTTTTGACAAAAGCACCAAGAACATGCAATGGGGAAAGGAAACTCTCTTTAACAAATGATGTTGGGAAAATTGAATATCTACATGCAAAATAATAAAAGTGGATCCTTGTTTTATAACATATTCAAAAATTAACTTGAAATAAATTTAAGAATTACATATAAGATCTAAGACCATAAAATTCCTAACAGAAAACATGGCCAAAAAGCTCTTTGTATTGGAAGCAATGATTTTTTTTTTTTTTTTTTTTTTTTTTTTTTTTTTTTGGCCATGACACCAAGAGCACAAGCAACAAAAGCAAAAATAAACAAGTGGGACTACATCAAACTAAAAAGCTTCTGCACAACAATCAAAAAAAGGAAGAGGCAGCTAACAATAGAATGGGAGAAAATATTTGAAAACCATATATCCAATAAGGAGTCAATATCCAAAAAATATAAAGAACTCACACAACTCAATAGCAAATAAATGAATAAATAAATAATCTGATTAAAAAATGTGCAAAGGTCCTGAATGGACATTTTCCAAAGAAGACTTACAGTCAATGGATATATGAAAAATGCTCAACATGACTAATCGTTGGAAACATGCAAATCAAAACCACAGTGAGATATAATATCACACCTGTTAGGATGGTTATTTCCAGAAAAGACAAGGGATAAGTGTTGGTGAGGATACGGAGAAAAGAAAGCACCTGTACACTATTGGTGGGAATGTAAATTTGTCCAGCCATTACCAGAAAATAATATAGAGGTTACCCAAAACATTAAAAATAAAACTATGATATGATCCAGCAGTTCTACCTCTGGTTATGTAACTGAAGAAAATGAAATCAGTTAAAGAGATATCTGCATGCTCATGTTCATTGCGGCACTATTCACAATAGCCAAGATATGGACTCAACCTAAGTATTGATCAATGGATGAATGGAGAAAGAAATTGTGGTTCATATATACAATGGAATATAATTCAGCCATAAAAAAGAAGGAAATTCTGCATTTCTGACAACATGGATGGGACCTAGAGAAATTGTGTCACATGAAATAAACCAGACACAGAAAGACAAATGCTGTGTGATCTCACATACAGAATCTAAAAAAGTTGAACTTATAGAAGCGGAGAGTAGAATAATGATTACCAGGGATTAGGGAGTGAGGGAAATGGGAGATATTGGTCAAAGGGTACAAACACTCAGTTATATGATGAATATGTTCTAGGAATCTAATGTAAAGCATGGGTGGTGATGGATGTCTTCATTTTATTGTAGTGATCATTACACAATATATACATATATCAATCATCACATTCTACACTTTGAATATATACAATCTTTATTTGACAATTAAGTATTCTAAAATAAAATTACAAAGAAGGGTAAGGGCTGAGAACGGAAAGAAACAGAATGATCAAAGACAGAGTTGGCAGTGTTAGGAAATCACCACACTGCCCTTGCTAAAATATATGATATTCTAGAATGCTTAAGAGTTTCAAAAAGACAAGAAATATCTAATTTTAAGAGTTTGGTGTTGATAGTGGGGGAGGCTGAGCATGTAGGGGACAGGAGATATATGGGGACACTCTACTTTCTGCTCAGTTTTTCTGTGGGCCTAAAACAAATGTAAGAACATAAAGCAGTCAGGCATGGTGGCTCACACCTGTAATCCCAGTACTTTGGGAAGGCTGAGGCAGCAGGATCATTTGAGCCCAGGAGTTCCAGACCAGCCTGGGCAACATGGTGAGCCCTTGTCTCTGCAACAAATTTAAAAATTAGCCAGCTATAGTGGCTCATGCCTATAGTCTCAGCTACTTGGGAGGCTGAAGTGAGAGGATCACTTGAGCTCAGGAATTTAAGGCATCAGTGAGTTGTGATCAAGCCACTGCACTCCAGCCTGGGAGACAGAACGAGACCTCGTCTCAAAATAAAATAAAATAAAGCCTATTTAAAAGAGGGTGGGAAAAGCAGTTTGGCTCAGGTAGAAAGCCCAATTATAAACATAGAATGCTGCAATGACCACCATGTTATTGTGTGAAACTGATTTTTTTTCTTGTATTTAGTCATAATGAGACTGAGTTGAAAAAAAGGGCGGCTGGGGGCGGTTTCCAGGAAATACAACAGCTTCAAAAGAGATGGACATAGAGGCAAAGCTTAAAGTAAGAATCGCAATTAGCAAGTCAATAAAGGCTTGGAGGTCAGCTTGTGTTGCTGTTGTTTTACCAGACTTAGAGGTTGCAGGATCTGCAGGATCTTTTTTACTTTGGTGGCTGTGAAAAAGTCAATCTGGGTATGATTTCCAGTGCCTGGATTCCTATCTTAGGGTTCTCCAAAGGCACAGAACTAATGGAATAGTTAGTTTATATTTTTAGCAGAGGCAGGGTTTTAGCATGTTGGCCAGGCTGGTCTCAAACTCCTGACCTCGTGATCCGCCCGCCTCGGCCTCCCAAAGTGCTGGGATTACAGGTCTGAGCCACTGCGCCTGGCTGGTAAATCTGTGTTTTAATATGAACATTCTCGAGGTTTAATAGGCCTAAATAAAACATAGCTTCAGGTCTGTGGGCTGCCACTTCGTGACTTCGGCTTAGAATAATTTTAAAATTGTATTGGGCAGTGGAGATAAAAGTGCTGCAGGCTACAAAGGAAACAGACACATATATGCAGGAGTGAAGGTATAAGGTAAAGTGCTATAATAAAGGCAAGTTCAAGGTTGATGGCATAGGGGAACTAGGAATTTGCAGAAGATCAAACTCTTGGTTCCTCTCGTCTTTGCAATATGTATCAGACATTTATTTGAAACTTGAATGTGTATGGGCATGACACATGTCTACAACATTAGTACAAAAGTGTCCCAGTACAATAAGCCTATAGTTACGTCCTGTTTCCTATTATAAAAGCATTCATCTTGGCTGCTGACTGTTGACTTCTTTTTTTAAAAAAAAAAGCAAATTGGACTTTACCAGTGGTTCTCTACCAGGGATGATTTTGGCACATTTGGCAATGTCTGGAGACATTTTTGGTTATCATATCTGTGGGTAGCAGGAAGATGCCACTGGTATCTAGTGGTTAGTGGCCAGGGATGCTGCTATACATCCTAAAGTGCCCAAGACAGCCCCACCATCAAGAGTTACGTGGCCCAAAATGTCAACAGTGCCAGAGATGAAAGACCCTGACCCAGGGGTTTACAATCATACCCTATAGCCAAATACTAGATATTGCAATTCAATCTGCTTTCAGATGTACCATGACCGAGAATTGTTTATCTCTCTCCTTTCTTCAGCAGTGCCAGGCTAGCCAGGTCTCCTCTCTGTGTTATGCAGGGACAATCTGCTTTCGTTGCTATCACTCCCAAACGGGCACACACAAAATCAACTCACAGAGCAGTGGAACAAGTGAGCTCCTGTTTAACAGGATTCAGGCTCCATGTGTTCTCTACTATTCTTCTTATTATTACTTAATCATGTCCTTGAGATCTCACCCTCCCAGCTCAAGTAACTTAGCAAAATATTTCTTTCCAGTAAATAATGAGCTTTCTCAAAAGGAATTCTGGTGTAAAACATTATCGTTAACTGGTTGTTTCAAGTGATTGTGGTAAACTTTGAAGTTGTATTTGTCAGACAAAAATCTAGCACATCAGTGGACCTTTGTAATGAAACTGATATGAAATTCTGATTTTATCATTTAGAAATGTAGGAAGTTTAATACCTCAAAAGTATTGTAAGAATTGAAACGGCAGCACATGCAAATACGTATCAGATTAAAGCTAACAAACGTGCTATTTTTCCCTGTTTCTCAAAAACAATGCAGTGTTTTGTGAAGCTGGCCTAGTTTTTCTTATGGCTCTTTGTCAATTTTAGACTAAGTAGAGTTGTGTTAAAGGGGATGTGGGAGGAAATAGAAGCCGTATGTGTGCACTTGTGTCTGTGTGTTTGTGTGTGTGTGTGGGGAGGGGGGCGGTCCACTGCATGGGTGTATGGATGGTGGTACTAAGAGGAGGTGAATTCTGCTACCTCAATGGCTGACAACACTGAAAACATTGGGAAAACCCCATCTGGATATACAGTTCATATAATATAGCTTTTAAAAAGTATCTACAATTTCAAATTCAAATGAAGGGCGAAGGAATTCAGCTTGGTGTAGGTTCAGTGAACTGGCCTGAAGGACTGTAATTCCCATCTGAATTCTCATCCCAGCTTTATTCCTGATGGTCCTACCATCCCTCCTTATCTTGTGGCTCTCAGCCAATGAATATGTGCTTTTCAAGTCAAGATCAGATTCCCCGCTCCTTACCTATGAGGATGGAAACCCATATAATTTCCTGTGTCTGTGTTAAACAATACTGGGATAGGAAATATTGTCCTGATGTTAAATAATAAGCAAATCCATCTTATCTACTTGCTCCAGGAAGTAAATGCTTGCTCCTGGAGGATAAGATTAGAGATGAGCAGAGGCTGGGAGAGAGGGAGAAATGGGAAATGCCTGCTTAATGGTTACAGAGTTTCTGCTTAGTATAATGAAAAGGTTTTGGATATAGTGATGATGGCTGCACAACAATGTGAATGTAATTAATGCTACTGTATTGTACACTTAAGAATGGTTAAGATGAGGCCAGGCACAATGGCTCTTGCCTGTAATCCCAGCACTTTGGGAGGCCAAGGTGGGAGGATCACAAGGTCAGGAGATCGAGACCATCCTATCCTGGCTAACATGGTGAAACCCCGTCTCTACTAAAAATACAAAAATTAGCTGGGTGTGGTGGCATGCACCTGTAGTCCCAGCTACTTGGGAGGTTGAGGCAAGAGAACCGCCTGAACCCGGGAGGCAGAAGTTGCAGTGAGCCGAGATCATACCACTGCACTCCAGCCTGGGCGACAGAGGGAGACTCCATCTCAAAAAAAAAAAAAAAAAAAAAAGGTTAAGATGGTAAATTTTATGTTCTGTGTATTTCACCACAATTTTTTTTAAAAAAGCCTGGAGACTTTGCTGTTCTACTATCTTTTCTTTCTTCCTCCTACCCCATAGTCCTGCATGACAGAGTTTAGGGAAAGGAGAACACAGATCTCCTGAACCCAAATGTTTTCAGAAAACCAGGCCAGTAACATAAATAAGTGAAACCAGCCAAATGGTCTGCTTTAGGGAATAGGAGGAACTGGGGTAAACGGGAGAGCGTGAGCCCTTTCTAAACAGGCCCACTCACGGATCATCTCCTGACACTTATTGCCATGCAGAAATGCAGGCCCCAGCGTTGCCAGGCCTTCTCGTTTTACTTTAAAAAAAAAAAAATTTTTTTTTTTTTTTTTTTTTTTTTTTTTTTTTTTGAGATGAGTCGCCGAGGCTGAAGTGCAGTGGCGCAATCTCGGCTCACCGCAACCTCCGCCTCCTGGGTTCAAGCAATTCTCCTGCCTCAGCCTCCCAAGTTGCTGGGATTACAGGCGCCTGCCACCCCGCCCAGCTAATTTTTATATTTTTAGTAGAGATGGGGTTTCACCATGTTGGCCAGGCTGGTTTCGAATTCCTGACCTCAAGTGATCTGCCTGCCTCAGCCTCACAAAGTGCTGGGATTACAAGCGTGACCCCCGCACCCGGTCTTAAAAAAACTTATTTTAGATTTGTGAGTACATGTGGGTTTGTTGTACAGATTATTTCATCACCCAGGAATTAAGCCCAGTACCCAATAGTTATGTTTTCTACTCCTGTCCCTCCTCCCACCCTCATTTTTAAATAGACACTAGAAATCAGGATTTTTACGAGAAATTTTTTATTTTAAGCCTGTGTGCCTTCTAGAACTCGGGGCAGATGTAGATGGAGGCCATCTGTTTGCGTTTCCTGGTCTTCTGCTGATCTGCTGACCTGACCCCAAGCTTGCAGCTGGCATTGTTGTCAACACTAGAAGGTGGTCCAAGATAGGAGAGCATATTTTTCTGGACTTAATGTATAATTAGCATAAAGGTTGCTAAACAGGATGATGGGTAACTCCATATATATATTACATATATCTATGGACTATATATGGACTCTACTTAGTAGTCCTCATTTTTATTTTCCCAAAGGCTTTGTTGATACAATTGTCAGATAAGGTCTTGTCTCATGCCCTTCCTGTGATGCCGCGTGGTGTGTGTACGAGAGCAAGAGAGAAAGGAAGTCTGAGGCTGGAGCGAAGAAAAGGAAGTGGCGTGTTTGGTTGGAAGCCGGGAGAATGCCCCCAATCACTGCTTTCAGAGTCTAAATGGCAAAGAAGGATCTTGACTTATTTCCTGTGTTATAACTTCTTAGCCTCTGTGAATAGCCCACCACCAGCTCAGCCGCCCTGATTGTGTGTGTCTTGATGCCAATGGACTCTGCTGCAGGATGGCATCAGCTGCTCTGAGGGCATTCCCCAGGGCAGAGGAATTGCTTTTCCTCTCTTCTACCAAGAGGCATACTAGGAATTGCTGCAATATTGACATGTGACTACATTAGGCACAAAAAGTGAAATTTTAAATCACTGAACGTTAGAAGCTTCAGAACGAAAGGTGGAGGGAGAAAGTGGAAGGGAGGACATGGAGTTGGTCGCTTTTTTTTTTTTTTTTTTTGAGACAGGTTCTCTGTTGCACAGGTTGGAGTGCAGTGACATGATCATGACTCACTGCAGCATCCACCTCCTGGGCTCAAGCAATCCTCCTGCCTCAGCCTCCAGAGTAGCTGGGACCACAGGATTGTGCCACTATGCCCAGCTAATTTTTTCATTATTTGTAGAGACAGGATCTCACTATGTTGCCCAGGCTAGTCTCAAACTCTTGGGCTCAAGTAACCTCCTGCCTTGGTTTCCCAAAGTGCTGTGATTATAGGCATGAGCTACTGCCCCTGGCTGAGCCCAGGAGTTTGAGGTTACAGTGACTTGATTGCACTACTGCACTCCAGTCTGTCTGATAGACTGACACCCTGTTTCAATAATAATAATAATAGGCTGGGCGCAGTGGCTCACACCTGTAATCCCAGCACTTTGGGAGGTCAAGGGGAGTGGATCACTTGAGGTTAGGAGTTCGATACCAGCCTGGATAACATGGTGAAATGCCATCTCCACTAAAAACACAAAAATTAGCCAGGCATGGTGGCCAGTACCTGTAATCCCAGCTACTCGGCAGACTGAGGCAGGAGAATCGCTTGAACCCTGGGGCGGAGGTTGCAGTGAGTAAATATCGCGCCATCGCACTCCAGCCTGGGCGACGGAGTAAGACTCCACCTCAACTAACTAACTAAATAATAATGAAATATTCTGTTGTAGGAGTGGGGTTAGCAAAGATGATGCCTTATTGTAATATCTTTTGTTTCCTTAAAATTAACTTCAAAATAGAATAAAATTGTTTATGAGTTCGCAGCCACGTGTATAAAAGTTGATATATGCCAGGCATGGCATATATCACACCCGTAACCCAGCACTTTGGGAGGCCAAGGTGGGTGGATCACGAGGTCAAGAGTTCATGGCCAAGAGACCAGCATGGTCAACAATGGTGAATCTCCATCTCTACTAAAAATACAAAAATTGGCCAGGTGTGGTGCCACACGCCTGTAATCCCAGCTACTCGGGAGGCTGAGGCAGGACAATTGCTTGAACCTAGGAGGCGGAGGTTGCAGTGAGCCAAGATCATGCCATTGCACTCCAGCCTGGGCAACTGAGTGAGACTCCAACTCAAAAAAAAAAAAAAAAAAAGGTGGTATATGCGCGTGCGTGTGTATGTATGAGTGGTGGCTAAAAGTGGAGGAAAATTTTTCACTACATACTCTTTAATATTTAAATTTTGAATGTTAAAAATATAACATCTACTCCAAATATAAAATAAAATAAATATACAAGTTCAATAAGGCTTGTTATGTTTGATTGTTTATTGGTTACTATTTTGCATTATGATTTCATAAAGAAAATATTCCTACAACATAAATTTCTGGAAATGCAAAAAATAAAAAAATTCAGCCAAAGTTTTTTCTCTTTAATTTTTAACTTTTTATTTTGATATAATTTTAGACTTACAGGAAAGTTGTAATAAAAAGTTCAGAATTCCCACATATCCTTTACCCAGTTTCCCTTATGTCAACATTGTACATAAATAGTACAATTACCAGTACCAGGAAGTAAACACTGGTACCATATTACTACACTAGACAGACTTTTTAGCCAAAGTATTAACCTTGAAGCCCAAGTAAGCATTTAGAAATTTATTTGCTGACTGCTAAAAAAAAAAAAAAAAAAAAAAAAAAAAAGCCCAGAACTAAAAAGTTGGCCAGAAAGTTTCTTTTTATTTTTTTGTTGAGACAGTGTCTAGCTCTGTCACCCAGGCTGGAGTGCAGTGGTGCAATCTTGGCTCACTGCAACTTCCGCCTCCTAGGTTCAAGCAATTCTCCTCCCTCAGCATCCAGAGTAGCTGGGATTACAGGTGCCTGCCACTACGCCCAGCTAATTTTTGTATTTTTAGTAGAGACAGGGTTTCACCGTGTTGGCCAGGCTAGTCTCAAACTCCTGACCTCAGGTGATCTGATCACCTCCGCCTCCCAAAGTGCTGGGATTACAGGCGTGAGCCACTGTGCCCGGCCTGAAAGTTTCTAAGATAGTCTTTGACTGTAGTGCCTAAAGAAAATTCTTCAATTGTCTACAATGGGAGAAGGGATCACTTAAGGTTGTCAGTTGTACCATCTTTCTTGTTTCCCACTTTGCTAAGTAAGTGTTAATTTTCATGATTCCGCATCCATTTCTCACCATATGCACCGCCTTTGATTTAAATCTGCAGTTTGTTTCCATCCAAGCCCAGACCAGGTGGTGATGTACCTTATCTTCACCATCCCCTCCCCCACTCTTCTTTTTGTGACTTTTTAATTTGAGCTTTATCAGGATTTCGGCTTTTTTTTTTTTTTTTGGAGGCAGGGTCTCACTCTGTTGCCCAGGCTGGAGTGCGGTGGCGTGATCACGGCTCACTGCAGCCTGGACATCACAGGCTCAAGTGATCCTCCCACCTCATCCTCCCAGGTAGCTGGGACCACAGCAATTCCACTCCTAGCTATGTACCAAAGAGAATTGAAAAGAAATATTCACAGAAAAATTTGTACATGAATATTCATAGCAACGTTATTCATAATTACCAAAAAGTGGAAGCAGCTCAGATGCCCATCAGCCGATGAATAGGTAAACAAAATGTGGTACATTTACACAATGGAATCTTATTCAGTCATAAAAAGGAATGAGGGACTCATCATGCTGCAACATGGATGAACCTTGAAAACATGAGGAGCCTCAGGACCGATGCTTCTGCTTCCTACCAAGACTCACCTGGTTCTCCAGCTCCCACACAGCCTTCCGAGTCAATACTGCCTGGCCTTAGTCTCTGAAAAATAAATATTTGATAAAATATTGGTACTGGATTCATGTGCTGCTCCTGGAGAAATTTACCTGCAATGTGAAATTCTGTAGGCATCATGGTACAGTGGGATGGTGTGATGGTGAGTCAGGGAGGAAGATAAGGAAACCTGAGTGCAATAGTTTGGATGTTTGATCTCTCCAAATCTCATGTTGAAATTTGATTCCCAGTGTTGGAGGTGGGGTCTAATGGGAGGTGTTTGGGTCATGGGGCAGATCCCTCATGAATAGATGATTGCCCTCCCTGTGTGTGGGCGGGGCAGTGAGTGAGTTCTCACTCTATTCGTTCTCACCAGAGCTGGTTGTTAAAATGAGCCTGGTGCCTGCCCCATCTCTTGCTTCCTCTCTGGCCATGTGGTTTCCACACACACCAGCTCCCCTTCACCTTCCGCTATGAGTGGGGAAGCTCCGTAAAATCCTCACCAGAAGTAGATGCTGGCACCATGCTTCTTATACAGCCTGCAGAACCATCAGCCAAATAAACCTCTTTTCTTTCTTTTTTTTTTCTTATTGTTTTTTGAGACAGATCTTGCTCTGTCACCCAGGCTGGAGTGCAGTGGCACAATCTTGGCTCACTGCAACCTCTGCCTCCTGGGGTTCAAGTGATTCTCATGCCTCAGCCACTCAAGTAGCTGGGATTACAGGCATGTGCCACCATGCCTGGCTAATTTTTGTATTTTTAGTGGAGATGGAGTTTCACCATGTTGGCCAGACTGGTCTTGAACTCCTGGCTTCAAGTGATCCACCTGTCTCGGCCTCCCAAAGTGCTAGGATTACAGGTGTAAGCCACTGTGCCAGGCCAACCTCTTTTCTTTATAAATTACCCAGCCTCAGATATTCCTTTACAGCAACACAAAAACAGACCAAGATACTGAGTATCTGCAGAACTGTCACTACTAAGCTGGGTGGCCTTGGCCAAATCACTCAACTGCTCTAGGTCTCATTTTCCTGAAACACAAGAGAATGAGTCTACATGCACATTTCTTAATATTGTTGGCATCAAGGACAGCTTTGAAAATCTGATGAAATAAATCTATAGACTCATCTGCTCAGAAAAATGCATATTGTGCCTAAATATTGAAACCACCTTTGCAAAATTGTGACTGAGACAGTGAAAGAGGTCCAATTTAAACGACTCCATCTTGCCTCTAACCTCCAAGCTGTCCTTGTTCATTCCTGGACATAAGCTGAACTAATTTTGGGAGGAACTTAGTTTATAGTTTAAAACAAAGAGAGGATAATAGCCCTTTCCCGTAACAAACTTCCTTCTTGCCTGGGGACTAAACTACTAACATTCGCCACAAGATTAGAAATTATGGTTTACTAGTCACATAGCTGGGCACTACAAGATTCTGACCCTCCCTAAACTGCTCCTAAGATCAGTTTAGGGATGTTTTGCAGACTCTACCCTTGATGTATCAACCAGCACCACCCAGATCAAGAAACCAACCCATCTGACCTTGTGACCCCCCCACCCAGGAAATGACTCAGCACAAGAAGACAGGGACGCCCCATGATTTCACCTTTGACCCAACCAATCAGCACTCCCCAACTCACTGCCCCTCCCCTCCCACCAAATTGTCTTTAAAAACTTTGATCCCCAAATGTTGGGGGAGATTGATTTGAGTAATAATAAAACTCCAGTCTCCTGCTCAGCCGGCTCTGCATTAATTATCCTTTCTCTATTGTGATTCCCGTCTTGAGAAATCGGCTCTGTGTAGGCAGTGGGTAAGGTGAACCCATTGGGCGGTATTTTTTGTATATCTGAAAGGGACAAAACTATGAAAATATAGGTGACAAACATTACTCATCTTTTCACATTCTGAAGAAGATACTGTATTTGCTCTACTTTCCTCAGGATCTTTGTTAAACAGATCAGGAACTTGTAGAGAGGAGAACTGGACGTAACAAGAGAGGCTGGATTGATTTACCTAAGAAAGGTCAGGGCGCTGATGTAGAAGGTAAGAATAGATCTGGGGTAGATAAAATGGACTTCATCAAAATTACAAAAGTGAAAAACAACCCATGGAAAGAGAGAAAATATTCACACGTCATTTATCTGACAACGGACTTGTGTCCAGACTATGTGAAGAGCTCTTACTAACTCAACAATTAAAAGACAAATAACTAAATTTAAAAATAGGCAAAGAATTTGAAAAGACATATCCCCAGTGAAGGTAGCCAAAAAGCTCATGAAAAGATATTCAGTCTCATTAGTCTGATTTGCCGTTAGGGAAATGCAAATCAAAACCCACAATGAGATACCACTTTACATCAACTAGGATGGCTAGTATAAAAAAGATAGACAATAACAAGTGTTGGTAAGAATGTAGAGAATTAGAACCCTCACACATTGCTAGTGGGAATGTAAAAGTGATTCAGCTACCCTGGAAAATAATTTGTCAGTTCCTGAAAAAGCTAAACATGACCTAGCAATTCCACTCCTAGCTATGTACCAAAGAGAACTGAAAAGAAATATTCACAGAAACATTTGTACATGAATATTCATAGCAATGTTATTCATAATTACCAAAAAGTGGAAGCAGCTCAGATGCCCATCAGCCGAGGAATGGGTAAACAAAATGTGGTACATTTACACAATGGAATCTTATTCAGTCATAAAAAGGAATGAGGGACTCATATCATGCTGCAACATGGATGAACCTTGAAAACATGATGCTAAAGGAAAGAAGCCAAGCATAAAAGGTTGTATTATTTCATTTATGTAAAATGCCAAGAACAGGGAAATCTATAGAGACAGACAGTAGATTAGTGGTTGCCTGAGGCTGGAAGGATGGAACAATGGGGATGCACTGCTAATGGGCACAGGTTTCTTTATGGGGTGATGAAAACGTTCTGGAATTGGTGATGGTTGCACAGTCTTGTGACTATACTAAAAATCACTGATTTGTAGCCTTTGAAAAGTTAAATTTTAAGGTACATAAATTATATCTCAACAAAAAGAATAGATTTGGGGGCACAGAGGAGAGAGGAAATGAAGATGACAAGGTCCCAGCATAAAGAGTTTTGGGAAGAATGAGAAAAGGCAGCTCAAGATATCTCTGCCTTGATGTGTGAAATGTGGGAGAGATGGGTGGGTAAAGAGGATTTTTAGGAAGCTTGATGTATATTTGGAAGATATTCCCACCTCCTTTCGTTACTTATTCTAGAAACTCCAGAAATTACATAGTTTAAAAAGGATTGTGGAATTGGATGTGTGAGTTTGTGGAATGTGATATTGAACTGGGACTTCCTTGGCTTACACATTCATTCAGTCAGCAAATGTTTATTGAGCATCTACTGAACGTCAGGTCCTGTTCTGTGAACCGTGGGATGCAGCGGTGAATAGGACAGAATGAAGTGTTACCCTCCTGGAACTCATAGTCACGGTGCGGAGCTCTGGCACAGACTTGATGACAAAAGTGAATACATGAGAATTTCAGGTGGTGACAAGTGCTACTAATAAAAAGAAGGTTGAGAAAACCAATAATGAATGACAAGATTCTGAGGGCTACATTTGGGGGAGTTCATGGGTACTTAAAGCCTATAGATTTAGAGACCTTAGATTTAGAATCTTGGATGAGACAATCTCTAAATATCCCTTTTATCTAGAAAAAAAACCCCTGTAACTCATGGATCAGACATGAAAGATGTAAAAGTGACATCTCCAAATTAAAAATAGCTAATATAAAATGTGAGTAATTTGAAAACTGCCAATTTGGAATTTATGCTAATGTAAAGAGGGGCTGGGCTGAGATTTAGTTTTATATTTATCCATAAAAAAGATTTGGCAAAATAAACAATGTTAAAGTCCAACCGCTTAACTAACTCCCTCAGTCAACTCACAGGCATTTCCTGAGGGTCTCCTGTGTCCAAGGAACTGAGATGACACCAAGAGGAGGCACTTGGCAGATGCTAAAACTGGAAGGACCTTGGGTGATGATGTAATAACGACTTCAATCCCTTCACTGTGCAGAGGAGGAAACTGATATTCAGAAGCCCAAGGGATGTGGCCAAGTTTCCACAGTTTGCTAATCACAGAGCTGGGATTACAGTTCAGGTGCCCTAATTCCAGGTTCAGTCAGAAGCATTAATTTGGAAATAATTGTCATGTTAATGGAAGATTGTCTATTTACTAAACCAAGGACCTAGCATCCCCTCTGAAACAGCATATTACTTCTAATTTCTGCTTCTACCCATTAATAATAATGAAACAGTATTTTGTTCATTTTTCCCCCTATTTATTCAGGTTCTTTATGAAACAATACATCACTTCTTAATTCTATTTTATCAGTTAGCAGTAATGATTGGCTGATTTTTTTCTTGCATTCAGCATGATATTCAGAAGCATTAGGAGTAGGAACATCATTTAGATACAGCCCCTGACTTCAAAAAGCTAAAAATCCAGAAGAGAAAATAAGACATGTTCACACATCATTATAATGTAGGGTAGATCTTGATGCCACCATGAGAGAGCCACCATTGACACCAGGTTCCCGAGGAGCCAGGTCACCTCTGCTTGGGTGAAGGGGAAAGCAGGAAAATGTATTCTGACTTTACAAAGCTTTAGAGAAATAAAGTCTGGAGTTCATTAAAAACTGTTCAAATCTTTGGGCAAGGAAAAGCATATAAGCTGCAAGGGAAAAATAAGCAATTTCCTTAAAGCCCCCCAAACAATCATTGTTTAACCACAAGGCACATTTTTTAAATTGGATACTGAGATTTTTAGAAGACTTAAGCAATACTCTGGGCAAATATCTATAACTGCACTCAAGTTGACATCCATTACACCTACACTTAGACTAATGTTAAAACACTTTAAAAAATTCAGTTCCCTCTAAACTGATACCTTTTGCTGTCATGGTTTCAGTTGCAGCTATAATTGTGTAAGGATCTGCTGAAATGACAGCGTTACATGTTTTTAATGAGGCTTGATGGTTTGTGATAGAATAAATACTTCAACATAAAACCAAATTCAATTTTATTAAGTTATAACTTACATACAGTAAAGTGAGGGGGTTTTTTTGGTTTTGATTTTGGTTTTTTGTTTGTTTTAAGACAGGATCTCACTCTGTGACCCAGGCTGGAGTGCAGAGGTATGGTCACAGCTCCCTGCAGCCTCAGGCATCTGGGCTCAAGTGATCCTCCTGCCTCAGCCTCATGAGTAGCTGGAACCACAGACACACACACACACACATGCCTGGCAATTTTTTACAGAGATAGAGTCTATGTTGCCCAGGCTGGTCTTTTTCTTTTTCTACTTCTTTTTCTTTTTTTTTTTTTTTTTTTTTGAGACAGAGTCTCACTCTGTCACCCAGGCTGGAGTGCGGTGGCACGATCTCGGCTCACTGCAACCTCCACCTCCTGGGTTCAAGTGGTTCTCCTGCCTCAGCTTCCTGAGTAGCTGGGATTGCAGGCGCACACCACCATGCCAGGCTAATTTTTGTATTTTTAGTACAGACTGTCTTGAACTCCTTAGACCTGGGCTGAGTAGCTCACACCTATAGTCCCAGCCTCCCAAAGCGCTGGGATTACAGATATGAGTTACTTAGCCCAGCTCTAAGTGTGTTTTGATGAATGGAACACTTTCTGTTGTGATCCTCACAGTTAGCTATTAGCACACTAAAGAGCTGCAAAACTGAACAGAGAGAAGCTGTCTAGGAATCAGTAATAATAGAAACCAAACATTTCAGCACATCCTGTGTGCTCAGGCAGTAGAGTTTGCTATTTACATGAATAACCTCAACTACTTCTTTCATTCCTACAGAAAAGGCACTTTTATAATCCCTACTTTACAGATGGAGAACCTCCAGCTTGGAGAGAAGTTTCTTGGCCAGGGTCACACATCCAGGAAGCGGCTTCCAAACTGGACTCTCCCTGAGCCAGCTCTACTAACTTGGGGGAGAATTTCGTCCCTTTCTTGCCTCTGTCACTAACTGGTTTTGTGATTTGGGGAAATGGATTCATCCTGGAGAAGGCTGGACTAACCCTCTGGTCCCCAGATGCCTCTAGTTCTCTTCCAGATCCCCACCATCCTGGTTCACAAGTGGAAATAAAACATTCTGACCAGTAGTAGCCCCAGGGCTGAAAGTCTCAGACAAACAGCTCTGGAAGTTAAAGAAACAAGCAGAAATGCCACATATGCTGGGACATAGCCCAGATTGCTCCCACGCAAACTCTTCCTTCTTTTTCCCACCCTGAGCAGCTGGCACAGTGGCCAGTACAATGCCATCGAGCAAAGTTCAGGAGGCTAAAGAAACACATGGTGAGGAAGTACATTCGGCCCCAGGCCAGCAGAACAATGTGGCCTCTATCTTCTGTTCTGGCTTCTCTGGTCTTGTCACATCTTCACAAACCATGAACAAAGAGATTTGAGTTGGCTGAGCCACCCTCGTTCTCCTGGCTTACATCACATCACCCCATTCGCTTCCTCCTCCCGCCACCCCCTCTCAGCAATGAAAGTCGACCATTGTCAGGTACGCTCAGAGGAAAGTGTATAATGAGAATGGGGAGCTGGGAATAATAAGGATGCTTATTCTCTGCAGCAGGAGAGTGAGTCTGGAGCCCTAGTTCCAAATTCTGACTCTGCTACCAAATGGCTGTACGGATTGGGGCGCTGAGATTTAAATCTCAATTTCTGCATTTGGAAGATGAGATTAATAATAACTTCAGAATGCTTCTGTGAAAACCAAGAGAGAGAGAATGCACATAAATGCCATAAGTAAATCCCAGAGTATGGCTTCCTGGCATATTTGACTTGACAGCACTGTGAGGAAAGGATTAGATTTGCACAGTGATTTGGGTAAACAGGTAAAGAGGCCCAGAGGGAGTTTTCACTGCTCTGGGACTCTGGTAGCCCTAGAGACTCCTGCTACTCCAGTCCTCTCTTGCTAACCCCCAGGATTGAGGGGTCAAAAATTCATCGCACTTGCAACATCTGTGTGTCAAGGCACACCTCTTCAGGGGCTCCATTATAAACTGTCTTACAAAAGTATGAATTGAATGGAATGATCACATTGATGTGAGTAAATCATTTTACCTCCCTTCACTCAATACTGCCTAATCACTGAGACCACGATATCATTTGTAAAAATAACCCAATGGCATATTCGGACCAATGGTGAGAGTAGGGATGCTTTTGGTTGCAAACATCAGAAAACCAGATTGATCTTGGCTATATTGCTCTTGCATAACAGGGACACCTAAGTTAGTTACTGGTGTTTGTTTGGGATATATCGATGCCAGGGTTTTGGACTGTTGTCTTCATAACTCCTTTGGAATTGCCCTCATGGTTTGCTAAGATGACCACAGACAGCTCCAAAATGATATCATCACACTGTTCAAAAGCAGGATGCAGAATCTTTCTCCTTGTGCACTAACCTCCCATCAGGCAGGAGGAAACATCTAGAAGCCCCTAAGCAGACTCCCTTATATCTCATTGGCCAAAACTAGGTCACATGGGCATTCTTGGCTGAGAGGAAGACAGAGAAAGCAAGTATCCAACTCGTTTAATGGGACACCAGCTGGGGGGATGGGAGGGGGTTTTCTGAGGAGTCAATTACTAGTGTTTGACTAAAGCTATGCAAAGTATTTCTGTTATAACTTAAAAAGAAAAGTCTCATTTCCAGATATTATCCAAACAAACTGACTTCCTATTATTCAAGTATATAAACAAAATTTTAAAAACCAGAGGATCTGCAGTTTCTACAACACCTGCCAACCCTCTACAGACATTTGGCAGCTTGGCCTATAACAGTTTGCTCAGATTTCTTAAAATAGGAATTCCCACTTTCCCCCAGGAAAGTTCCAGGATTCTTTCAAATGTCTCAGGTCTTAAGTCCAAGTTTCCTTTAAATTGCCTTTTCGCCCTAGTGCTTCGACAGTAATCTCACACTGATCACGTCATATAGAGGCTTCTACTACATTTATATCTCAACATCTTCTTGGAAGATAGTCTTTAAAATATGAAGTAGTATTTTTTGTTATTTTAAAGTATAAAATGTCAATATTAAAACCAATAAAAATATTAAAATATATTTTAACATCATCATGGGCATGGATGAATCAATCAAACAGTCCTAGCTTATAATGAAAACCAGCAGTCTTCTGCCTCACCTTCCAATCCTGCTTCCAGCGTCAGTAATTTTCAACTCCTTTTGCTTTTTCTATATGTCTACATTGCATGCTTAAACTGCTGCTTCTTCACTTTTTAATTTTAGACCTCATCTGTTAGCACTCTCCCATGCAACAGGAGGATTTGACTCCCTCGCATTCTTGCACCTATTTTTCTCCTCCACCCATCATCTCCATGTAGTTATGTCACTTTCTTTTTTTAATAAATGTTCCTTTTTACATTACATTCTGTTCTTGTTTTACTGTTGTAAAATTTTATCTTTCCAAAAATATCAATGACCATTTTCTGAAGTTTTCTCCTGCTATCTTCATCTCTCCCATGTTCCTTGTTTGGTATATTCTCTCCTGTTGAAGCCTTTCTTGAAATGTCTGGTGATTCCTGGATGTCCATTACTGTCACTAAAAGCTGAGTGGCAGCTCTGTGTGAAAAGACTGTTGGTGGGCTTCACTATGGTGTGGCAGATGGGGACCTACAGAAATTGGAACCTGGCAGGTCTTCCCTCTTCTGTTGGTCAGTTTCCCCAGAGAGGAACTCACCAGTCTCCCATTGGAGGAATATAAAAGTGGCTGCCTAGGATCATGGGAACCTAGTGTGGGAAGGGGACTAAGGAATTTACCATCTAATAGGAAGTTCCACTGAATCTGCTTTAAGGGCACTTCACCACCCCCATCCCCTTGGTTGAGCCTGGTGTCCCAGAGCTCAGAGGTTCCCTAAAATTTCCAAGAGCAAAGCTCCGGTGCCTATCCAGGTAGAGGGTGACTATGCTCCAGGAACTAGGGCAGGAAATCTGAGAGCCTGACTGCTACTTCAAGGGACTTCCCATTCCTCTCTCTGGATTTTCCCTCCACCCTCAACCTTCAGTTAGGTGGTGCCTTCCATAGCTCAGCTTCTCCCAGGTTCTGCAGTGGGAATCAGCTTACTCCTTACCGGACTTTCCCCTTCAATTCTCTCTGGCATTAAGTTTCTGCCTGTTCTGCTCTGCCAGGTCAGTTTCCACTTGTCCTTCTGTTTTCCATTTTGCAAAATAGTGTTGACATCACTTTCTCCTCTTACTCATCTCCTGTTCTCTTTGGGACTTTCTTACTTTTGACCATTTTTATTCCTTTATTTACGGAGTTTCGGGAAGGAATAAATATTAGTGCAGGCACTCAATTTATGATGTTTAACTGAAAGTAATGAATGTTTAACTTTAGGTGTCTAATTTTAGCTCAGCATATGCCCACCTACCTCTGTGTGTGTGTGTGTGTGTGTGTGTGTGTGTGTGTGTGTATTTAGAGAGTCAAGGCAAAAATTTTTATGTCTTAGGTTAAAGAAAGACTACACTTTCCAGATTTCTTGCAGCTTGCTGCCATGTGGCTAAGTTTAGGCCAATATAATGAAAGTGGAAGTGGTGTGTGCCACTTCTGAGCCTTGGCCTTAACATACAACTCAGTGCTTCTCTGGTCCTTTCCTTCCGTTTTCCCTGTGGGCTGCAATGTGGATGTGGTAGCAGCCAGCTTCAGCTCAACAAAGACAACACCCTAGGGGCTGGTGAACAGCAGGATGGAAAGGACTTGGGTCTCTAAATGAACACGTGAAGCAGAGCCACCCACCATCCTGGACCATTCGCCTCCAGACTATTAGGTAAGAAAGAAATCAGCTTCTTGGTCAGGCCTCTGTAATTTGAGGTTGTTTTGCAGCTGAGCCTGTGCTTTCATGCAACCCTGTTCAATGGCTCCCAAAGTGAGTCTATGGATAAGCTGCATTTCGATTGCCTGGGGCGATTAAAATATTTACCAATCCCAGATGCCACTCTCAGAGATGTTGATTCACTCAGTCTGGGATACAGTGCAGAAATCCTTTCTTTTTTTAACTACCTAGATTTTTCTGATACATTGCCAAGATTATGAAGCACTGACCTTGTCCAATTTACTGAAACATGTGTTCTTTACATTCCCATGTTTTTCTCCCTCCCCATTCATTTTCTCTCCGTTTCCATATTCTCTTCCTGACTCCTTTGCTAAAAGTCAAATGTAAATGTTATTGTAGCAGACAGTTTTGTTTTTCCAGAATCGTTTCACCCTGATTTTCCTTTGGGGAACCCCTTATTTTCTTTTTCTTTTTTTTTTTTTTTTTTTTGAGACGGGGTCTCGCTCTGTCGCCCAGGCTGGAGTGCACTGGCGCAGTCTCAGCTCACTGCAAGCTCCGCCTCCCGGGTTCACGCCATTCTCCTGCCTCAACCTCCAGAGTAGCTGGGACTGCAAGTGCCCACCACCACGCCCGGCTAATTTTTTGTATTGTTGGTAGAGACGGGGTTTCACCGTGTTAGCCAGGATGGTCTCGATCTCCTGACCTTGTGATCCGCCCACCTCGGCCTCCCAAAGTGCTAGGATTGCAGGCATGAGCCACCGCGCCCGGCCGGGGAACCCCTTATTTTCTATACTCAGTCTACATGGTTCAGACAAACCAGCCATCTGCATCGTACCCCTAGCTCTTGAGAGCACACTGAACTGCACAACATAGACCAGGGCAATCAGCATATTCCAACCTCTTGACCGTACTGATGGTTCATAGATGGATAAGTCAGTTTAATGAGACCCAGTCCTAGGGAAAATAAAAGCTATTCTTCCCCAGAGAATGCTGACCCGGTGGGATGTGTGCCTGCAGCTGCTGGTAGCTATCTTACCACCATAAAAGGAGTCTAAGAGTGAAGTCCACACAGTGGAGACAGGAGAGGAGAGACGGTGCAAGACTGCATTCTGATGATAGCATTTGTTTTTTTTTTATTTTTGGTTTTTTGGAGACTGAGTTTTGCTCATCACCCAGGCTGGAGTGCAATGGCATGATCTCAGCTCACTGCAACCTCTGCCTCCTGGGTTCAAGCGATTCTCCTGCCTCAGCCTCCCAAGTAGCTGAGATTACAGGTGTGTGCCACTACACTTGGCTAATTTTTTGTATTTTTAGTAGCGACCAGGTTTCACCATTTTGACCAGACTGGTCTCGAACTCCTGACCTCAGGTGATCCGCCTGCCTCAGCCTCCCAAAGTGCTGGCATTACAGGTGTGAGCCACCGCACCCAGCCCTGATGATAGCATTTGAGTATCTGGATCTGTGCCTAAATCCCTAGACTTTTCAGCATGTAACTCAATTTTTTTTTTAAGGAGGAGAGTGTCCTGACTATTAAGCATATATACATATTAGTATATTTATAATGTTATATTATTTTATTATAATTATATATGCATATATAGCTTATATATAATATAGGTTTATATATACTTATACATCTATACATACACACATTATAATTATAAAATTAACTGTCAAGTTCAAAAACAACACGTTTCTAAGTAAATGAACAGGTAACATTTTAAAGATATTTTCAAAAAGAATAATCATAGATCAACATATCTAATATATCACTCACCTGTTTTAAATAGTATTTAGGCCCAGGTGTGGTGATTCACACCTGTAATCCCAGTCCTTAGGGAAGCCAAGAAGGGAAGATTGCTCGAGGCCAGGAGTTTGAGACCAGCTTGAGCCACATAGCCAGACCCTGTCTCTACAAAAATTTTTAAAAAGTAGGCAGGTGTGGTGGTATGTGTCTGTAGCCTCACCTACTCCAGAGGCTGAAGCAGGAGGATTTCTCGAGCCCAGGGGTTCAAGGTTTCAGTGAGCTATGATCATGCCACTGTACTCCAGCCTGGGCAACACTGTGGGACCCTGTCTCTGAATAAATATATCTAGGGTATTTTCATCTCTGAATTTTCATAAAGCTTATGCAAACAGACCTTTGAACAATTATGCAAATGTCTATGTTACAGTGCCAATTTTCTGGTTACAGTACTAGACTGTATTCTAGAGTTTTCTCAGGTCAGATCTGACCATTTTGCAAGCACTATAAGACAACTTAAAACAAAATATGTAAAATACATTAGGCCTCTTGGCCCAGGAATACAGATTTTCAGTGTTAAAGGTATTTGGTAAACTTTAATTTGCTCATGATAAAGAATATAATTTAGAAGCAGGCTTTTCTTGTGGCTCTCAGGAAAATTAAAGTGGGTCTGATAGATTGAGCTTGTCATCACTTTCCAATATCCCACATTCAAGGCACAGAGGCTGTATGCGGCAGTACTGTGGATGGACCTCCCAAAGCCATTCCTACACTCCTCTCACACATGGGGTCAGGGCTGGCACACCATGGCCCAAATCCAGTAGGCTGCTAACTTTTGTATAGCTGTGACCTAAGAATGGTTTTCATATTTTTAAATGGTTGAAGAGAGATCAAAAGAAGAAGAGTATTTTATGAAAATCATATGAAATTCAAAATTCAGCATCCCTAAATGAAATTTTATTGGAATACAGTCACATTTGTTCATTTATATGTTATCCATGGCTGCTTTTGCACCATAATGTCAGAGATTAGTTGTAACAGAGACCAAAAGGCCTGCAATGCCAAAGTTATCTATTATCTTGGTAGTTACAGTTTGTTGACTCCTACAATACAGAATAGAAAGTCAGATACTTTCTCAGCCCTATTTGTACCTGGGAGTGACCCATGTGACCCAGTTCTGACAATGAGATGTCAAGGAAAGTCTGCAAGAGGGATTTTGGGAAAGAAGAGTGTTTCCTAAATAAAGTAGAAAACGGCCAGGTGTGGTGGCTCAAGACTGTAATCCCAGCACTTAGAGAGGCTAAGGAGGGTAGATCACTTGAGTCCAGGAGTTTGAGATCGGCCTGGGCAAAGTAGTGAAACCCTGTCTCAAAAAATAAATAAAATAATAAATAAATAAAAATAAAAATAATTTTTTTTTTAAATTAGCCAGGTGTGATGGTGCATGCCTGTAGTCCCAGCCACTCAGGAGGCTGAGGTGGGAGGATTGCCTGAGCCTGGGAGGTCGAGGATGCGATGAGCCATGATTGACCAGTGCACTCCAGCCTACGTGACAGAATGAGACCCTGTCTCAAAAATAAATAAATAAAGTAGGAAACTTTAACCTAGATGTGATATCTGGAACTGTGGTGACAATTTTGCCACCATAATGAAACAAGCATGAGGCTGACAGCACTCCTATCCAGGATATTCCTGGGTATGTTGGTCAAAGATCCAGTGTTTCTTGTCTCTAGAGCTGGAGTTGATTTGAAGCCATGTTTAGTTTGTCTAAACCTAGTCTCGACAATGGTCACTGGGGAGAGAATAATTTAGACAGATACTTCTAGTGGGAATCTCCATTTCTTTAGGAATTTAATTGTGGTTAGTAACCACAGATTCCAACTGAGGGGAGTTCAATCTCAGCCCAAATTAAATCTGCCAGGGTACTTGGAGTAGGAGGGACATAAACACAAGTTTAAAAAGCTGTGTTTCAAGATAAAATGTGCTCATTAACTGTGGCAAAGATGTAAACATATCAATCATTGCTAATTCCCACTACTCAGTGAATCTTTTTTTTTTTTTTGCTATTTTATAACTTTATTTGATGTATTTGATGATCAGAGATTAGTTCTTGTCCACATTGACTGTCTGTAGATTTTTGAAAGTGGTAACAGGTACATAGGTAACCAAAGTATAGAGCTTATTTGGTGAATCTTCACCCTCATTACGTTTTCTGGACAACCGCACATGGATTCCCTATAGGACATTCCTTATTCCTTTGGCCCAGACAGCTTTGTTGAGCCTGGTATCAATGCGTACATCTGGAGTTCCCATCTCCTTCATGGCAAATTTCCGAATCTCTTTGAGTGCCCGAGGAGCACGCTTCTTGAAGCCCTCTCCATGGATGCGCTTGTGAATGTTGATGGTATGTTCTTGGGTCACCACCTCGTTGATGGCAGAAGGGCCCTTTTTCTTCTCGCCACCCTTCTTTGCGGGAGACATTCTGCCGGGTCTAAGTTGGAAAGGAAGTTTTGTTTTTTGTTTTTTTGAGATGGAGTCTCGCTCTGTCGCTCTGTCGCCCAGGCTGGAGTGCAATGGTGCAATCTCAGCTCACTGCAACCTCCACCTCCTGGGATCAAGTGATTCTCCTGCCTCAGCCTCCTGAGTAGCTGGGATTACAGGCATGTGCCACCACACCCGGCTAATTTTTGTGTTTTTAATAGAGACGGGGTTTCACCATGTTGGCCAGGTTGGTCTCGAACTCCTGACCTCAGGTGATCCACCCACCTCGGCCTCCCGAAGTGCTGGGTACAGGCATGAGCCACTGTGCCTGGCCTACTCAGTGAATCTTTTGTAGAGGAGAGATAATTTTATTATTGCAAGTGAATACTTAATAGGACTTGATTGTTAAATTTTGTAATAGCAATTTAGATCATGAAATCTCTAGCAGGGCCATTCCATCCATGGTCTTTTCGGGAACAAGACATCAATAAATAAGATATATATATATATATATATATATATTTTTTTTTTTTTTTTTTTTTGAGATGGAGTCACCGTCTGTTGCCTAGGCTGGAGTGCAGTGGCGTGATCTCGGCTCACTGCAACCTCCACCTCCCGGGATCAAGCAACTTTTCTGCCTCAGCCTCCCAAGTAGCTAGGATTATAGGCACACGCCACCACGGCCAGCTAATTTTTGTATTTTTAGTAGAGACAGGATTTCACCATCTTGGCCAGGCTGGTCTCGATCTCTTGACCTCAGGTGATCCGCCTGCCTCGGCCTCCCAAAGTACTGGGATTACAGGCATGAGCCGCTGCACTCAGCCTCAATATGCATATTTTTAACAAGTAAAAGGATGAACAAAATACAGTAAAAACTTAGAGTAAATGCTGTATAAAGATTAGGGCATTTCCTTACATTTCATACCTTTAATTATATCTTGAGTTTCCAAAGCCACAGAGTCTAGGCACGTCTTCATTAAAAATATGTTAGAAATCCATTATAGGAAAAGTTTTCTTCCTGCAGAAAGAGAAACTGAAGCACAGAAAAGATGGTCACAATCACAGAAAAACTCTCTCTGTGGGACTCAGACTTTTATGGAATAGTCAAGTTTTGTGGCCACTCAGACAAGACAGTGCATTAAGGGACACGCAGAACAAAATCCCACCCAAACATATGGAGAACTTCTAGAGCCTTAAGCCATTATTCACACTATATTCCCAGTAAATGGGAAATTTCGAGGTATCATAGGCTATACAGCTAAGTTGGAATTAGTTGCTTTCCAAAAATTAGTTTAAAAGCTGCCCTCTGGAGTGTCAAAAAAAAAAAAAAATGCTTCCTGGCCAGGCACAGTGGCTCACACCTGTAATCCCAGCACTTTGAGAGCTCGTGGCAGGTGGATCACTTGAGCTCAAAACTCCATCTCTACTAAAAATACAAAAATTAGCCAGGCATAGTTTGCATGCCTGTAATCCCAACTACTTGGGAGGTTGAGGTGGGAGGATCACCTGGGCCCAGGAAGCAGAGGTTGTAGTGAGCCATGATGGCACCACTGCCCTCCAGCCTGGGTGACAGAGTGAAACCCTGTCAAAAAAAACAAAAACAAAACACCCCCTACCATCCCTGCCAAAGGTAGAGAGAGCTGCTAGCTGGGCACTGGATACCAGGGTCGTACAGTATTTTTGCCTAGAATGACCAACCATCCTACTTTCCCTGGGACTGAGGTAGGGGAGAAGTAGGACTTGTTTTCTGTGCATCAGTCAGGATCTCACTGATCAAAACAGGATGCAGTAAAGAAACAAGCCAAAACCAGCTAAAATCAAGATGGCAAAGAAAAGCACCTCTAGTTGATCTTACTGCTCATTATACACAATTACAATTCATTAGCATGCTAAAAGACACTCCTACCAGAGCCATGACAGTTTCCAAATGCCATGGCAATGCCCAGAAGTTACCTTATATGGTTGGAAGAACCCTTGGTTCCAGGAACTCCACACCCCTTTTTTGGAAAATTCATGAATATCACACCCCTTCTTTAGTGTATAATTAAGGAGTAGCTGTAAATGTAGCTAGTCAGCAATCCACAAGGGACACTCTGCCTATGGGTAGCCCAGCTCTGTCTCTGGAGCAGCCATTTTACTCTGTTGTCTTGCTCTCAAATTCTTTCCTGTACAAAACTGAGAACCCTCCTGGGCTAAGCCCCAATTTTGGGGTGTGCCTACATCACTAGGACAGGAGCTTTCACTGCTAAAACCAAGAAAGTCTCAGGCAAACAGCGACAAGTTGGTCAGCCCATCTGAATCCTTCACATGAGCTGTCCCTTAGTGCCCACCTAAGTCTTCTTCATCCTTGCACGCCCAGGTCAATTCCATTCCCCCCATAACTCCCTTCCAGATTCCTCAGCCAGAATGAATCTCTCCACATGCCCAAAGCACTGGGTTGGCACTGCTCTTATGACACTGGCTTCACTCTCTCTCCTATGAGATGCTTCTCTAAGTGTGAGCCCAGAGAGGGCGGCACACACGTCCATGCCTTGGCTCTTTTCACTGAATCAGTGCTTGATCACAATTGTCCATCACACACTGGAGGATGCATTGAAGCCCTGGGCCCTGAGCATCTGACCCTGTGCTGCATCCAGGCTTATGATTTATTTTGAGACATGGTCTTGTTCTGTTGCCTAGGCTGGAGTGCAGTGGCATGATCACAGCTCACTGCAGCCTCAATGGCCTGGGCTCAAGTGATTCTCCCACCTCAGCCTCCCAAGTAGCTGGGTCCACAGGCACGCACCACCATGCCTGGCTAATTTTTTAAATTATTTGTAGAGATGGGGGGTCTTGCCATCTTGTTCAGGCTGGTCTCAAACTCCTGTCCTCAAGCAATCCTCTCACCTCGGTCTCCTAAAGTGCTGGGATTATAGGTGTGAGCCACTGCACCTGCCTGGACATCTTAATTTTTTTTTTTTTTTTTGAGATAGGGTCTCGCTCTGTTGCCCAGGATGGAGTGCAGTGGTGTGATCTTAGCTCACCGCAACCTCCACATCAGAGGTTCAAGTGATTCTCGTGCCTCAGCCTCCTGAGCAGGTAGGATTACATGTGCCCACCATGACATCTGGATAATTTTTGTATTTTTAGTAGAGACGGGGTTTCACTATGTTGGTCAGTCTGGTCTCTAACTCCTGACCTCAAGTGATCTGCCCACCTCAGCCTCCTAAAGTGCTGAGATTACAGGTGTGAGCCACCGCACCCGGACTGTACTTTTTTTTTTTTTTTTTTTGAGACAGAATCTCACTCTGTCACTCAGGCTGGAGTGCAGTGGTGCGATCTCGGCTCACTGCAAGCTCTGCCTCCCGTGATCCCGCCATTCTCCTGCCTCAGCCTCCCAAGTAGCTGGGACTACAGGTGCCCACCACCACGCCTAGCTAATTTTTTTTTTTTTTTTGTATTTTTAGTAGAGAGGGGATTTCACCATGTTAGCCAGGATGGTCTCGATCTCTGGACCTCGTAATCTGCCTGCCTCAGCCTCCCAAAGTGCTGGGATTACAGGCATCAGCCACCACACCCGGCCCAGCCTGGACTTCTTTGTTTACTGGCACAAACACGCCTTACAGCCTGGGCCTTAGCCCCTCCATAGAATCTTTGAATCACAGAGAGATGCAGGAAATTCCAATTTAATCTAGTAACCACAAATAAAGCTGAAAGTAATTCTTCAGCAGATTCTTGCCAAATAATTCTGGCAAAGAAATATCCCTGATGGAACTGAGGGAATTAGCAGAAAACACATTACATACCCCAGATAGGGTATCAGACTGAAGTCACTGCATCCACATGTTTTCAAAATCTAGAGCCCAGAGCAAAGAGAAATCACAGGCAAGATGGAAGAGAAATTGCTCCTTTGAAATAATGGTGGCCCTGGGGCAGTTTCTAAGTCTATCAAGATGTGGAAAGGGAAATAACCTCTGCAATAAAGGCAGGCCAAAAGGATGTGGTAAGGGCTTCAGTGAGATTGAAAGGTTCACTATCAATGGTTCCTTATGAAGAGTGTTTTCTCTGGCCACAAATAACCATTTGGGCACACTGCTTTGCATAAGCTTTGTCATCTAAAAATCTAAACTCTGTGACTGCAGTCAAGTCATCCTGATGGTTTGTTTTATAGAACTCTCAAAAATAACAGTGGAAATATATAGCTCTAAAGATCACCTTGCCTATGCAGATCTGAACAAAACAATTTTACTATTCTGTTTTCACTTGACTATTTGATCTTTGGACTCATTGCTATAATATCACCCGTCAACTTACCATAGTATTTGAGGGGGAGGAAATGGACTTTAAAAGTCTCTCATAATTTCAGCTAACATTTTCATCTGTCTAGTTGTCTAGGTAAGAGGTAGTGGACTCATAACAGTAATCAGGTAAATACTAAAAATCTTTATGATAGTAGTCTGATGAGGCTAGGAGAGTTTGAACTTCTGATATGGTTTGGCTGTGTCCCTACCCAAATCTCATCTTGAATTGTAGCTCCCATAATTCCCATGTGTTGTGAGAAGGACCTGGTGGGAAGTAATTGAATCATGGGGCAGGTTTTTCCCATGCTGTTCATGATAATGAGTAAGTCTCATGAGATCTGATGGTTTTATAAAGGGCAGTTCCCCTGCACACGCTCTCTTGCCTGCCGCCATGTAAGCTGTGACTTTGCTCTTCCTTTGACTTCTGTCATGATTGTGAGGTCTCTCCAGCCATGTGAAACTTTGAGTCCATTAAACCTATTTTTCTTTATAAATTACCCAGTCTTGGATATTTCTTCATAGCAGTATGAAAATGGACTAATACAGTAAATTGGTACTGTGTAATGGGGCACTGCTATAAAGATACCTGAAAATGTGGAAGTGATTTTGGAATTGGGTAACAGGCAGGGGTTGGAACAATTTGGAGGGCTCAGAAGAAGATAGGAAAATGTGGGAAAATTTGGAACTTCCTAGAGACTTGTTGAATGGCTTTGACCAAAATGCTGATAGTGATATGGACAATAAAGTTCAGGCTGAGGTGGTCTCAGATAAAGATGAGGAACTTGGGAACTGGAGTAAATGTCACTCTTGCTATGCAAAGAGACTGGCCGCATTTTGCCTCTGCCCTAGAGGTGTGTAGAACTTTGAACTTGAGAGAGATGATTTAGGGCATGTGGTGGAAGAAATCTAAGCAGCAAAGTGTTCAAGAGGAAGCAGGCCATAAAAGCTCAGAAAATTTGCAGCCTAACAATGCGATAGAAAAGAAAAACCCATTTTCTGAGGAGAAATTCAAGCCAGCTGCAGACATTTGCATAAGTAATGAGAAGCCAAATGTTAATCACCAAGACAATGAGGAAAACGTCCCCAGGACATGTCAGAGGTCTTCATGGTAGCCCCTCCCATCACAGGCCTGGAGGCCTAGGAGGAAAAAAATGGTTTCATGGGCCAGGCCCAGGGCCTTGCTGCTTTGTGCGGTCTTGGAACTTGGTGCCCTGTGTCCCAGCCATGGCTAAAAGGGGCCAATTACAGCTCAGGTCATTGCTTCAGAGGGTGCAAGCCCCAGGCCTTGGTGGCTTCCACATGGTGTTGGGCTTGTGGACACACAGAAGTCAAGAATTCAGGTTTAGGAACCTCCACCTAGATTTCAGAGGATGTAGGGAAATGCTTGGATGTCTAGGCAGAAATTTGCTGCAGGCATAGAGCCCTCATGTTAGGGCAGTACAGGGAAATGTGGGGTGGGAGCCCCTACTCACAGTCTTCACTGGGGCACTGCCTAGTGGAACTGTGAGAAGAGGGCCACCATCCTCCAGACCCCAGAATGGTAGATCCACCAACAGCTTGCACCATGCGCCTGGAAAAGCCGCAGACACTCAATGCCAGCCCTTAAAAGCAGCCAGGAGCAGGGACTATACCCTGCAAAGCCACAGAGCCAGAGCTTCCCAAGACCATGGGAACCCACTTCTTACATCAGTGTGACCTGCATGTGAGACATGGAGTCAAAGGAGATAGTTTCGGAGCTGTAAGATCCAGCCAACTGCCCCGCTGGATTTCGGACTTTCATGGGGCCTGTAGTCCCTTTGCTGTGGCCAATTTCTCCCATTTGGAGTGGGTATATTTACCCAATGGCTGTATCCCATTGTATCTGGGAAGTAACCAACTTGCTTTTGATTTTACAGGCTCATAGGCAGAAGGGTCTTGCCTTGTCTCAGATGAGACTTTGGACTGTGGATTTTTGAGTTAATGCTGGAATGAGTTAACATTTTGGGGGACTGTTGGGAAGGCATGATTAGTTTTGAAATGTGAGGACATGAGATTTGGGAGGGGCTGGGGCAGAATGATATGGCTTGGCTGTGTCCCCACCCAAGTCTCATCTTGGAAGGGACCCAATGGGAGGTAATTGAATCATGGGACAGGTCTTTCCTGTGCTGTTCTCATGAGAGTGAATAAGTCTCACAAGACCTAATGGTTTTATAAAGGGGAGTTCCCCTGCACATGCTCTCTTGCCTGCTGCCATGTAAGATATGTCTTGCTTCCCCTTCGCCTTCTGCCATGATTCTGAGGCTTTCCCAGCCATGTGCAACTGTGAGTCAATTAAACCTCTTTCCTTTATAAATTATCCAGCTTTGGATATGTCTTTATTAGAAGCATGAGAATGGACTAATACAACTTATAAAGCAGAAATCACTCCTTCAGACTGCCAGGAAAGGGCTAAGAAGAGGCTATACCTTTCTTCAGAGGGATACCATTTCCAAGATAACATTTCATTCAGGCAGTACCGAATGTGTTCCTACCATCTGTGACTGAAATGGACATCCCCCAGGACAAGAACACACCATGCAATGGGGTGTGAGAGAAACTTTAATAGAAAATGTAAAATGTTTAATATGAAATGTGTAATGATTAGATACCTTCCTCTGCTTGTCTCCTGTCCTTCCTCCTCAATACCATTTCATCTCTTCCTTTTCAACTCTTCCCTACTTTCCTGGTCCTTGACCTTACCTCTGAGAAAAAACAAGTTCTCAGTGCTTCTTGCAATTCAACTTTCCCCTTTCCCCACTTCTCTTCCTTTTATTTTTCTTTATCCTGGATGATGGACAAAGCAGAAGCCAATGTGAAGAGGAAAAAAATAACAGAAGGAGGCAGAAAAGGGAAGGTATGTGGGTTGATGTCTCATCAAAGGCTTCCCTGGCTGGAAAGTTTACCCATTGCCTCCAGAGCTCTCAGTGCCTTTAAGGCACAGGTGTGCTTCTGTCCTGGTTTGAAACAGCAAAATGTGTTACTCTCCATAGAAATGTTGTAAAGCATCCCTAGGTCACATCCCCAGTGCTTCCATGTAATAATGTACTAAGTTCAACTGACCATATCTTATTCAAAACATAAATCAAATTCATCTATTTTTTTTTTTTTTGAGACAGGGTCTTGCTCTGTCACTCAGGCTGGAGTGCAGTGGCCTGATCTCTGCCCACTGCAAACTCCACCTCCTGGGCTCAAACCATCTTCCCACTTCAGCTTCCCAAGTAGCTGGGACTACAGGCGTGCACCACCATACCCAGCTAATTTTTGTATTTTTTGTAGAGACAGGGTTTCTCCATGTTGTCCAAGCTGGTCTCAAACCTCTGAGCTCAAGCAATCCTCCCGCCTCAGCCTTCCAAGGTGCTGGGATTACAAGCATGAGCCACTGCACCCAGCCCAAATTCATCTTTCAAGGTATAGTTTGTGGCTAAATGAAACGCATTTGCTTTTATTAATGATTTTAAATGTCCTTTGTTTGGGTATTATTTCAATAATAGTAATGAATCTACATCTATATCCACATCTATCTCCATCTATATCTATATTATATACAACATATATAATATATAAAGATGTAATGTATTAACACTATATATAATATATAAACCCTTCTATAATCTTGTTACAATTCTTTGAGATGAATGAAAATTCTATATTCATAGATCCAATGTTATTTTTAAATTAAGTCCATTTAAAATTACAAATTGTATGATTCTGCTCTTATATCATCAACCAACCTAAGATAAATTACACCATTCCTTTATTTCAGCAGCCCATAAAATGCCAATGCCAGGTAAAATTAAAGATCAAATTTCCTTTACATCTAGAATTTCTTAAGATGTTGTTGGAGAACTAGAGAAGGCAGTGAAGATTCTTCTTAAATTTGGAATATGTAGCAATCATCTTACAAGAAACATGTGTCAAGGTACTTAGAAACACACACCCTTAGTATGCACATGTAAGAAAATGAATTTAAAGATATAGTTCTGAAAAGCAATCTTTCCTCAGCAAATGATCTATGCACCATAGTAATAGCTACTAAAAATCAAGACTTTTGACCAAAAGGGTGTTCTTTTTATTTATTTATTTATTTATTTTTATTTTTATTTTATTGAGACGCAGTCTCCCTCTGTCACCCAGGCTGGAGTGCAATGATGTGATCTCAGCTCACTGCAAGCTCCACCTCCCAGGTTCAAATGATTCTCCTGCCTCAGCCTCTCGAGTAGCTGGGATTACAGGTGCCTGCTACCATGCCTGGCTAATTTTTGTATTTTTAGTAGAGACAGGGTTTCACCATGTTGGCCAGGCTGGTCTCGAACTCCTGACCTCAGGTGATCTGCCCGCCTTGGCCTCTCAGTGTTGGGATTACAGGCGTGAGCCACTGCGCCCGGCTAGGTGTTCTTTTTAAATGCTTAACTTTGACAACAAATGTTAGTCCATTTATGAAGCTTTTTGGCTTTGTCCCTTTAATGATGGACATACCATTTTGCCATTGCATAAAGAGTCCCCAGGTGTTGTCTTCAGTGCTGAAGATGGCTGCTGTGTCCATTGGATTTTGGAAAAGAGGGCTGTTCAGAAATGGCTTTAGAATAGAATCGCAGCTTAGATAGACCCAAAAAGAACCTTAGCCTTCCTGCCTCATCCTCTCCCTTTTTTTTTTTTTTTTTTGAGACTGAGTCTTACTCTGTCGCTCAGGCTGGAGTGCAGTGGTGGGATCTTAGCTCACTGCAACTTCCGCCTCCTGGGTTGAGGCAATTCTCCTGCCTCAGCCTCCCAGGTAGCTGGGACTACAGGCATGCGCCACCACGCCCCACTAATTTTTTTTTTTTTTTTTGTATTTTTAGTAGAGACAGGGTTTCATCATGTTGGCCAGGATGGTCTCGATCTCTTGACCTTGTAATCCACCCACCTCGGCCTCCCGAAGTGCTGGGAATACAAGCGTGAGCCACCACGCCCAGCCTCTTCCTCTTCTTTGATAGGTAAAGGGTATGCAGTTACTTACCCAGAATCTCACAGCAAGCATCACATACCCTCAAGGCTCTCGGGTCCTACATCTAGAGCATGGGGTCTGGCCAGAGGACCCAGCATTACTGTGCTAAGCCCCACCACTCGCCATCAGGGTTGCTTCAAGCACAGTTTTTAACCCCTTGGAGCCCCAGTCTATAGGATAAAAACAGTACCAACCTCCTAGGGATATTTTAAGAGCTAAATATCACAACATACATAAAATATTTAACCCTGTATCTGGCACCTTTTAGATAATTGATTGGCAAATGTTGACTATTGTTTTATATGTTAACATAATGCATACTTAGTTTTATGCTACAGTATTAATAAAATACTGGGAAAAATTAAAGTCAAGCAGTAGTTTACACTGTAATACAACAGCATGTTCTTTATCCAATAAAATACTTCTTCTTTTTTTTTTTTTTTTTTCAAGATGGCGTCTTGCTCCGTCACCCAGGCTGGAGTGCAGTGGTGCGATCTCGGCTCACTGCAACCTCCGTCTCCTGGGTTCCAGCAGTTCTCCTGTCTTAGGCTCCAGAGTAGCTGGGATTACAGGCACCTGCCACCACGCCTGGCTAATTTTTGTATTTTTAGTAGAGACGGGGTTTCACCTTGTTGGTCAGGCTGGTTTCCAACTGCTGACCTCAGGTGATCCACCCACCTCAGCCTCCCAAAGTGCTGGGATTACAGGAGTGAGCCACTGTATCTGGCTAAAATACTTTAAAAAGAGTATTGAAAACACTGATTTTGATGATGAACACCAGGAACACAAACAGGCCTCACAAATCAAGGTAGAAGCTTCGTCCTACAAGGCGCTGACATCCAAAGGGAGGCAACTTCATTCTTGACCCAGAAAGGAATTTCACTTTTACCTTCTTCCATTGTTTTGGCTAGTGTCTGACTGACTAGATTTTATACCACAGCTTTATTGAGATATAATTCACATACCATCAAATTTACCCACTTAAAAAGGAGAATTTCAGGGGGGTAGTATATTCGCAGCATTGTGCAACCATGACCATGATTAATTTTAGAACATTTTTCATCACCCCAAAAGAAACCCCATGCCCATTAGCAGTGATTGACTTGATTTGTAATTTTCAATCTTTTCTACTAGTTTTTGAATATTTCTGAATCCGAGGAGCCTCTTTGTTTCTCCAGGCACATGAGACCACGGCAGTTGGCGGACTCGTTTCCTCCTGCCAGCCCCAGTTCTTCTTTCATTCCTGTCCACCTGCAGTTGTCAGTTAACCCCGCCCCCGCTTTCTGCTGTATTTTATATTCCATCAAGAGAATTTAAAGTACTGACTCCTCACTCTGACAATTTGCAATTCTCACAGTTTCACACCAGTTTCCTCGCCGATATTCATCCTCAAGTCTAAATTAATTCAGCCTCGCCAAAGTGTGGGAGATGAAAAACATTCTATCCAGGTTGAAAGCCACACTCATACATTATCACTCAGGCATAAAAACACATTTATTGGTCAAAACTTTTACAAATGGAAAGCTTTTAAAAAACATACCACAACGAATCCCATATAGAAAATATACAAATTTCACAGTCTCCTATAAAGATTTTAACAAGTAATAAACAGTGTTATTCCATAGTTTTGAATGATAGAAAGGAGGAAACTTCTGAGATAAATTCCACCTATTTTTATTTAGGGAATTAAATTTTTTCTCAGAAACACATGACTAAATATTATTGTGATCCTAGAGAAATTCCAGTAGCAATTTGTTTCATATATATATATATTTATATAATTTGTTTTATATATATATAAAACGTGTGCATGTGTGTGCATGTATGTGTATATGCACATATACACACATACATACACCAAGAAAGTGAGATAATCATTTCAGCTCACTGCATTTCTTGGAGGAACAGAAATAAGTGACAAAGGCGGAGGAAAAGGCAGAGTTATCAGGTAAACCTACACCTCCAATTAGATGTTATTGCCTTGACAGATAAAAGGCCAGGCAGAGACCATAAGATACAGGCAGAAATGACCTGGAGGATCATTCACTCCCAACTCTATTTACCTAGGAAAGAACAGAGTCCAGGTTACCTAGCCAATTACTAGAAGATCAGAGGCTGAAGGACTATCTAAAACAGAAGGCTGGAGAGTAGAAAAATGTGGCAACCAGGTTCTAGTTCTCTGATTGTCCCCACATCACTGCAAACCCACATTGCAGGGTCTGGAATCCAACCAGAAAGATCTAAGGCTCCAAGTTGGTCTGGAAATGGAGTAGGAGAGAATTAAGCAGGCTTGGGGAACGCCAGCAACATCAGGTTCATGTCTGTTCTCAAGAGAGCCTAAGATGATTCTTAACCAGAATCTAAGAGCTATTAAAAAAAAAAAAAAAAAAGCAGCTGTGATAACTCAGCTGAATGAGGCTGGAGCCAGAATTGAGTCTGGGCTTAGTACCATCAATGAGGTGACAGAAGCTCGGCCTCCACCTCTGTCTGAGTAATAGGATTGCTCTGGCCTGCTCTAATGATCACAACACGACTGATGGAAGATTTTTTTCTGGGTCTGTCAGTTGTCATGGGCATATGACACCTTGCCTTATTCACTGCTCCAATACACAAGGCTCTCGAGGCTAAACTTGTTGTTGAAAACTTGGACTTTTCCCAAGACACAGCACCAAAATAGCTCTTACAAAAGGGAAAAATCAACAACGTGGTGTACCGGCCCCCAAAAAGAAAAATGTTCTCAATGCCAATAAGACAGCTTGATTCTGCACTGTTTAATCCCTTGCTTCAAGTGGATTTTTAATTACGCTCTACTTTTTTTTGACACTTCTGTTTTATAGGAGGATTTTTAGGTTTATTAATCAGCAATCATGGACTAGGAGTACCTCCTGCTCAATCTAGGGAAGAGTAATAGGAACATGGAGTCACTTTTAATCTGCATGAAACTTCACTAGGGTTCAACTGCTTCATCGGCAGAAGGAATAATTAGACAGATGATGAAGTCCCTTCTAGTGCTAAAACTTGGCTTCTTTGACACAATCCACCAGATTTCCAGGTTAGTGCCACAAACATTCCCCAAGAGACTACTAGAGACCTCCTCTGTTGGGGTCAGGATTGAAATGAAAACAAGACACAGATTCTGCTACTGAAGAACTCATTATCCTATGGGTTAACATGGATTGAGATCAACTTTCTCCTTTTGATATAAGATAGTAAGGCACTAAGCTGGAGGTGTTTGGGAAGGATTGACTATAACAAAAAAATATAAGGTACTAGAGAAATCTCTTTGTTTTAAATATAAATAACTGCTTCTGTGTTTGCAATCCTAGAGAAACAGAACAACTGGGTGGTTATTTTAGAAGTCGCCCTGTTTTTCTCCCTTACAAAGATATACAAATTCTACTTGAAGTAACTCCTCCAGCCCTACAAATAGACATTTGGCTACTTAGGTTAAAAAACACAAATATGAGAGCTAGCCATCTTGGGCTATTGACAAAGCAACCAATCAACAAATCTTGCCAATGGTGTCTCTCGTCAGAGGAAAAGAATATGAGCTAATGCACCCCAAAACTGTTTTCATATTTATCACAAACTTTAGTAGCCTGCATCAGTGAGGTAGTTTGAAAGAGACGTAAAGTTACAGATGTGTGGACATGATAACCAGATTCCACCTCCATGTTTCCCATGATAGAAACATACATTCTACCGAAAGCAGGGATGTCACTTTTAATCCTACGCATACAATAAAGGTTCACCCATCATCCCTAACATATACACATTTTGATGTTTTCATAGTAGTTGCAAGGGATTTGCAGCAAAACATCTAGCATCACTTACTGTTCCCCTTTGAAAAGATCAAACTGGGCTGGCCTTCATAAGCACTGAAGCTGCAACCTTCATCGTGAGCATGATAGACGTAGCTGGTCATCAACAATTTCATATGCTTCTAGCTGCAAGACAAAAGCAATGACTCAGGCTGCACCCAGGGTGCAATGGAAACACAGGGAAAAATGTCCAAATCAAACAGCATACATGCACATTTTCCCAAGGAAATGTTTCTCTTACAGTGTTCTACGGTTATTTGCATTATCATTGTTTTGCTTTGCTGTTTAAAAAAAAAAGTTTTGTTTTTTTTTTTTTTTGAGATGGAGTTTCACTCTTGTCACCCAGGCTGGAGTGCAGTGGCACAATCTCACCTCACTGCAACCTCTGCCTCCTGGGTTCAAGCGATTCTCCTGCCTCAGCCTCCTGAGTAGCTGGGATTACAGGCACGCACCACCATGCCCAGCTAATTTTTGTATTTTCAGTAGAGACGGGGTTTCACCATGTTGAAACCCCGCCAGGCTGGTCTCGAACTCCTGACCTCAGGTGATCCACCCACCTCGGCCTCCCAAAGTACCGGGATTGTAGGCATAAGCCACCGCACCCGGCCACTGTTTAAAATTTATGTGCAATTACCTAGTTGATGGGAACCTTTACAATGGAAGATATCTCCATCAAGCCATACTAGTGAATATGGCCAACATTTGTCTGGTAGCAAAAATTCATATGAAAAAATTCATTAGCGATCTACAGGACTGGACTATATGAAACTTACAGGTATACTTTGAATACATAAAAAGACTTCTAGCATGGCCAAATTAAGACCTCTAGAGATTGTAATACGTGAAGAGATAACCCATCCTGCATACCCTCTGCCATGTGTACTGAAAAATAACATTTTATGTATGCCAAAATTAAAGTTGCTTATGTCTAGACTTTTTAATGGCAAAATTCTAGATAATTTCATGCGAGCAAACTTTTTTCACTTTTTAATGCCTCCGATTTACAAGCACGGGCTTTAACTGCCTGCTGGATAACCCAGCGGATGTTGGGTGGTCAGCTTCACCTCCTCACTACTAGCTGTGAGATTAAAACGCATACCTCTGTGAAATTGCAAATGATGACGTGGCATGGGCTTTTAACAAACTTCTCCAAGGGGATACAACTCATGGGTTTTAAAAAATAAGTTAAAGGTCCTGCTTTGACCAAAATTGAAGTAATTTCAAGCCCACAGGTCAGTGGACCCCTGGATTCCTCAACTAGGGTGAAGCCAAAGGGATTCTGGCCCAAAAAACTTCATGTAGAGCAATTGAGAAGTTTCAGGCTTTTTGTAGGTGACATGCCCTCCTTCTTAAGGCATTACCCAGCATGACTGTATTTTGCTGTGACTAAACCCCAATCCAGCCTCTAGCCCAGAGCTGAATATTTAAAAATTGGAAGCCTGAAGACATATTACCAATAAGTTGGGAGGCAGCTCCCTGAAGTTGCCTACGAACACCTGGAGAAGAGGAAGCACAAAAGCAAACATCTAGCAGTGGACATGGGTTGGAAACGAGACATTCTTCTTGTCGAATGACTAGTTACTTAACACTTAGTGACTAATTATCAGAAACCTCTTTCTGACTTGCTCCCTGTGAATTGGCTTACGGTATTGTTGATTACCGGTTCAGAGCAATCAGACACAGCAAATATTCTCCTTCTGCAAGTGGGTCTTACCTTAAAACAGGTCTCATCCTATGGTACAGCTTTAAAAATTCTCTGCTTAATGGAAAAGTTTGTTTGCATGTTTAGCTATAAATGCATTCATCAAACAAGTACTTACTTTTTGCCTACTAAGCGCCATAAGCTGACCTGGGCACTGAGGGGATGTCAGTAAACAGGAAGGACAAGGTCCCTGCTCATGCTGGGTCAGAGAAGAGTCCTAAACCCGGCGAACTGTGAACTGGACGTATCTCACCAGGGAGGACACTTTCTTTCTTTTTTCTTTTCTTGAGATGGATTCTCACCCTGTCGCCCAGGCTGGAGTGCAGTGGTGCAATCTCCGCTCACCGCAACCTCCGCCTCCCAGGTTTAAGCAATTCTCCTGTCTCGGCCTCCCGAGTAGCTGGGACTACAGGTGCCTGCCACCACACCTGGCTAATTTTTGTATTTTTAGTAGAGACGGGGTTTCACCATGTTGGTCAGGCTGGTCTCGAACTCCTGACCTCAGGTGATCCACCCGCCTCAGCCTCCCAAAGTGCTGAGATTACAGGCATGAGCCACCACGCCCAGCCGGCACTTTCTTTTAGAGATTATTTTATAATGAAAAGGCCATTCAGGAAGCAAATTAAAACCATTTCTCTTAGCATGAAAATTTTTTGGAATTTCCTGATATGGAATTTCCAGAATTTCTAGTCCTGAATCATGTGCAAAAGCCTGTCTTCCAAATAGATTTCCCTCTACAGCAAAGGAGCATGATTCTAAGCATGAATAGAAATGAGGAACCATTCTCCTGTCCACATGAGTTTTCGTATGACAGATTCATCCCATTTTGAAAATGGCAAAAAATCCTGCACTAGTATTTAAAAATTTGTTGTTGATATGACCAAAGGCTCAAACTATCTAAGTATTAAAAGTATCTTTATTCACTAACAAATGTCCTGTTCAAGCAGAAAAAAATATTTCCTCTAGCTGTATATGGCGAACTATTTTACACAGTGTCTCCCAAATGGGCTGGCTGTGAACAACAGTTGTCACATTTTGTGAAAACACCACCTTAAGTTATTGTGATGTTTAGTAAGAGGGTCTAATTATTATTATTATTATTATTATTATTATTATTATTTTAAGACAGAGTCTCACTCTGTCTCCCAGGTTGGAGTGCAATGGTGCGATCTCAGCTCATCGCAACCTCCACCTCCCAGGTTCAAGCGATTCTCCTTCCTCAGCCTCCCTTGTAGCCGGGATTACAGGTGCCCACCACAATGCCCAGCTAATTTTTGTATTTTTAGTAGAGTCGGGGTTTCACCATGTTGGCCAGGCTGGTCTCAAACTCCTGACCTCAAGTGACCTACCTGTCTCGGCCTCCCAAAATGCTGGGATTACAGGCGTGAGCCACTGTGCCCGGCCGGGTGTAATTACTTTTTGAAGCTTTCTTTTGTTTTTCAGAGCACATGAATAATTCTAAACTTGTTCATAACCTGTAAAATGATTTTGCCTTCATAGGCAAGGAAAATTATTAGATGTCTTATAGTCATCTCCAACCTTATCCTACAGTCATCTGTGTTTTTATTTACCACAGATACACCAACATTCATCGCCATAAATAATACTTTTCTGTTGCAAATTTGATGCCACAGGCAAAAGAAAAAAAATAAACGTCTTTAAAATATTTATTCTCACAATAGGATGGTCTCTTATCCTTCTTTATGCCTTATTACAGCCAAGTCATTTATTTTTATTTTTTAATTTTTTTTTATAGTCAAGTCATTTTAAAACAAGAGTCTCGTGCTCTGGAATGCCATACTTTCCTTTGTGTTCCTCAAACAATTTCCTAAGTTCCTCCATATAGGTCTGATGTAACTCCTCAATCTGCTCCTGGGTCGGGTTCAGAGTCTGACGAACAGGGATCGGGCGGCCAACTGCAAATCAGGGAATACATCATACGTGAGGAACTAAAACCACTCCACCACAGACCGCCGCCCCTAATGCACAGCTGTGAACACAACTGCCAATCAGAATCCCTCCAGCCTGCTCACTCCAATCCTTGTTTCCTTTCACTGGCTGCCTGCAGTGGTCACACCACTCCATCTGATAACAAATAAAGAACTTTCCTCCTCAGCAGACACTGGATTGTCGGGACCCTGGTGGTTTTGACTTTGAGTCAAATGAGCTACTGTGCTGACTGCAGCTGGGAGGTGAGTGGACATAGCTGTGTGTCCACGTCACCAGCTTCCTCCCTCTGGAACAGTTGACAGCCAGACCATAGTGCCCTGATTATTACTGACTGTGAATCCTCACGTCACGTGGCAGTCCTCTAGTCTGACTCTTCTTTTTGAGACAGAGTCTTACTCTGTCACCCAGGCTGGAGTGCAGTGGCACAGTCTCAGCTCACTGCGAACTCCGCCTCCCGAGTTCAAGCGATTCTCTTGCCTTAACCTCCCACTGAGTAGCTGGGATTACAGGCTCCCACCACCATGCCCGGCTAATTTTTTTTTTGTATTTTCAGTAGAGACGGGGTTTTGCCATGTTGGCCAGGCTGGTCTTGAACTCCTGACCTCAAGCTGGAATTACAAGGGTGAGCGACTGGCCAGGCCCAGTCTGCCTCTTTTGAGTGTCTTTCTAAACAATTAAAAAATACATATCTTCACAGCTAAGTATCTGTATTAGAGAAATACACATAAATGACGTGGATTCCATTGTTTGTAATAGCGGGTAACTGAAAAACAGCTAACGTCTCAATAGAAAAACTGTTAAATAAACCATGTAATAGTCATTCAATAGAATCCTAGGCAGAAATTTTTAAACAATGAAATAATATAAATATGTGTACACATACACAAATACACACAGATGTCTAAAATGTATTAAGTGGAAAAATAATTTGTAAAATAATACAGTATGATCCATTTTTGGAAAAAATGTTTATATTCCTAGAAGTATTATACGTTTTTAGTGCATGGAAAAAAGTCCGGAAAGAGAGAGAAACATAAAAGTTCCTTTTTGGTAAGGACGTAGGGATGGGGAAATTTCACTCTAACTGTGTTATATAAATTTTCTACAAATGAGAATGCATTTGTGTTTTTCCAAATACACTAATTAAAAACAAATCTGGCAACCTCTATACATATTTTAAAAGGTGTTTATATAACATCTCACTTGTCTCTGATTTTTAGAAAATACAAAAATTCCCATGGCTTTGGCTCTTGCACTCGCTGCGCCACCTGCTGGTCGGATGCTGCTACTGATGCCAAGGGTTGAAAATGTACAGGATGGCCGGGCGCAGTGTCTCACGCCTGTAATCCCAACACTTTGGGAGGCTGAGGCGGGTGGATCACCTGAGGTCAGGAGTTCGATACTAGCCTGACCAGCATGGCGAAACACCGTCTCTACTAAAAATACAAAAATTAGCCGGACGTGGTGGCGGGCACCTGTAATCCCAGCTACCCGGGAGGCTGAGGCAGGACAACCTCTAGAACCCAGGAGGCAGAGGTTGCAGTAAGACCGGATTGCGCCACTGCACTTTAGCCTGGGGGACAGAGCAAGACTCCGTCTCAAAACAAACAAGCAAACAAACAACAACAAAAAAAAGAAAATGTACAGGAAGTTCAATGAGGCAGCAAACTGCTGCCTCTGACCTCATTAGCTTGGGCATGAGGTCAGGTGGGCTCTAGGTAATGAATGGGACCCACAGTAGAGCGACCTTTGTCCTATCCTGAGTCATCCCATGTCACATACGAGGTTCTGATTCATGTCAGTAAGAGTAGGTGGTTAGCTAAGCAAAATATGAACAAATGTTAAGTCACAGAGAAGGAAGTGATAAATGACATCAGTATGGGAGCTGAGGGGGCACAGAGGACACACACACATACACACATCCTTACTGCAACATTAATATTCTCAAATTGCTAAGAATTTAACCACACATAGCCTTGAAAAGCTCATGTGGTTTTCTTTGATAGCTTGGATGTCACATTTATACATAGTAGACATAAGTCCTGTTTAACTCAACACAAAGAACTGGAAACAACCATCTCACTGTCAATTGTGGCTGGAAATATGGACTAGCAGAGGCCAATGTAGTGATGAGGTGGAACTGGGAGCGGGAGTTGCACAAAAAGCACAAGGCTGGGCTGGGTCTAGTCCCAGCTCACCAGTAAGTGCCCTGAGCAGGTGACTTTCTCTCTGGCCTTAATTTCCTTTCCCTTTCCCTTTCCCCTTCCTTGCCTCCCTTCCCTCCCTTCCCTCCCTTCCCTCCCTCTTTCTCTTTTCTTTTCTTTCTTTCTCTTTCTTTCTCTTTCTTTCTTTTTCTTTCTTTCTTTTTCTTTCTTTCTCCTTCCTTCCTTCCTCCCTCCTTTCCTTCCTTCCTTCCTTCCCTCCTTCTTTCTCTCTCTCTTTCTTTCTCTTTCTTTCCCCTCCCTTCCTTCCTTCCTTCCTTGTTTTTCTTTCTGTCTCTCTTTCTTTCTGAAATGGAGTCTTGCTCTGTCAACCATGCTAGACTGTAATGGTGTGATCTCGTCTCACTGCAGCCTCCGCCTCCTGGATTCAAGCAATTCTTGTGCCTCAGCCTCCCCAGTAGCTGAGATTACAGGCATGTGCCACCACGCCCAGCCAACTTTTTTGTATTTTTAGTAGAGACAGGGTTCACTATGTTGGCCTTGCTGGCTTCAAACTTCTGGCTCCAAGTGATCTACCAGCCTCAGCCTCTCAAAGTGCTAGGTCGGCGTGAGCCACCACAGCCAGCCTCTCTGGCCTTAATTTTCACATGCATAGGATAAAAGAATTCCAAGATCTTGAAGCATTCTTCCAGCACTGAGCTTTTTTGTTGTTTGAGGAAGATATGGAGAAATCTACATGTAAATCTAAGCAAATTTGTGGCTTTGTTAAAATAGCTTCTGTTTTCTTAGTGAAATTATTCCAGTGAGAGAGGTTAATGTAACTATTCAGGGTAGGGGTAAGGGACCAGTAAAAAGACTCAGTGGTCTAAGAAGATGAAGTGTGTTCTTCTCTGCTTACTTTAGCTAGTACTCGTACATTCTGAATTAGTGAGTCTTCTTTCCTCTGAGCTATCCTACAGCTAATTTCAATCCTGTTCTTTTCTCATTAATTGTTTTACTACATTTCAGATGGTTCTTCCAGAGAGCTTAAGCATGCTCACATATGGAATGAATTTTTTTTTTTTTTTTATACAGAGTTTTTCTCTTTCTCCCAGGCTGGAGTGAAGTGGCATGATCTGAGCTCACTGCAACCTCTGCCCCCCAGGTTCAAGCAATTCTCCTGCCTCAGCCTCCCAAGTAGTTGGAATTACAGGCACGCACCACCATGCCAGGGTAATTTTTGTGTTTTTAGTAGAGACAGAGTTTCGTCATGTTGGTCAGGCTGGTCTCAAACTCCTGACCTTGGGTTATCCACCTGCCTCGGCCTCCCAAAGTGCTGGGATTATAGGCGTGAGCCACCACGCCCAGCCTAGAGTGAATTTATAATCATAAGACTTATCCCTTTAAACTGTGAGATAGACATAATCTTCTTTTCTTTGCCTTAGTTGTAGGAAAAGTGAGGAGCTGAAAGTTCCTAAACTATACTCAAAAAAGCCCAGGAAATTAATACGACTTAAACCCAGCATTCCTGCCCCTGCTTCTTAAACTAACCCCAAACCGGATTAGAGAGTAAGAAATCTTTCTCAATTGCATTTTAGGGATGAAGCCAGAAGCAACAGAACACAGATTATAATCATACCTTTACTAAATAATTCAAAAAAGCCCATCTCAGGGAAATGAGGTTGAAAGCTACCAGCCTATTAGCAGTGGAAAACAACCTGCTATTGTGAGTTCAGTTCCAATATAGCTGCCCTGAAGCTAACTTGTGCCTATATTGGAAATAAAGCTATTATTTATCGAGGGTCTACTAGATGTTATTCAGTCAAATCCCCGGAAAAACCTAGCAAGACAGCCATTATTGTCCCTGTTTTACAAATGAGAACAATGGGCACAAGAAGGCTAATTAATTAGCCAGCCCATGGAAAAACACCACAAACCCGAATGACGGTGTCAGAAATATAAAACTTCAAGGAATGGGCTCCAGCCAAAAGACAGAGAAATGAGGACATTGAGGTATCCATGCACCCTCTTGGCTCTCAGACAGTCACTTCACCTTCTGCAAAAGGGAGGACAGATGGAGAGAATAGCTCATCAGGGCCTTGGCTCTGAGGGCCCCTAGCTTGCTTCAAATCCTAGCCCTATTGTCGGAGGCACTGGAATCAGTGCAACTCCATCTTGAATAGGGGCTGGGTAAAATAAGGCTGAGACCTACTGGGCTGCATTCCCAGATGGTTAAGGCATCCTAAGTCATAGGATGAGATAGGAGGTTGGCACAAGATACAAGTCACAAAGACCTTGCTGATAAAACAGGTTGCAGTAAAGAAGTCGGCCAAAACCCACCAAAACCAAGATGGCAACGTATGACCTCTGGTCATCCTCACTGCTACACTCCCATTAGTTCCATGGCAGTTTACAAATGCCATGGCAACGTCAGAAGTTACCCTCTATGGTCTAAAAAGGGGAAGCATAAGTAATCCACCCTTTGTTTCGCATATAATCAAGAAATAACCAAAAAAATAACCATGCTCTGTTTACGGAGTGGCCATTCTTTTATTCCTTTACTTTCCTAATAAACTTGCTTTCATTTTATGGACTTGCCCTGAATTCTTTCTTGTGTGAGATCCAAGGGCCTTCTCTTGGGGTATGAATCCGGACCCCTCTCCTGTAACACTATCATAACCTACCCCTAATCCCTTAGGCCCAACATTCAATTACTTGGGGTCTCAGCCTGCATCAAAGACCTGATGAATTATAAGCTTTCATCACATTTTACTCTTACTTATCATGAGAGCTCAAGGTCCTCATCTGTGAAACCAGTATAATAAACATCCCTGCCATACCCAACTCCAGTGTTGTGAGGGTCAAATAAAAAGATCTACTTGGAATTGTTCCATAGTGAGTTATTGCAAATTGGGATACTCTTTTTTTTTTTTTCTGGAGACGGAGTCTCGCTTTGTCGCCCAGGCTGGAGTGCAGTGGCGCGATCTCGGCTCACTGCAAGCTCCGCCTCCCGGGTTCACGCCACTCTCCTGCCTCAGCCTCCCGAGTAGCTGGGACTACAGGCGTCCACCACCACGCCCGGCTAATTTTTTGTATTTTTAGTAGAGACGGGGTTTCACCGTGTTAGCCAGGATGGTCTCGATCTCCTGACCTCGTGATCTACCCGCCTCAGCCTCCCAAAGTGCTGGGATTACAAGCGTGAGCCACCGCGCCTGGCCGGGATACTCTTAAAAGGGTCCCTGGAGCCCTAGAAGGCCAGAATTTTCTCTCTCCACAGAAACATCTTTTTAGTACTAAGGAGAAGAAAAAACATTTTCAACATAAGACTAAGTTGAAACTTCTGCAAAACTCCCTTTTTACAAAACAAAGGGGGAAAAACTCGGCTGCATCAGGCTGCTCTTAGAAATAGAATTCCTTGCCCTGGAAAAAAAGCTGCCAACGCCTACTTGTGACAGAGTCAGGAATCATAGCTTTTGTTTATGTTTCACTGCTTTTTATAGCTGGTATGCTCAACTGCTCCATTTTCCAATTCCATCCAACAATTCAAGATTAGTTATGCATGTATTGCCTTACACAGCTATCTTGCTTCAGTTTCTACGGTGCTATGCTGTACCTAAGATGAGGGAGCTTTGTGGGCTTGTGGTATACACAGCTGGAAAAGCATTTAGAAGTGGGCATTATTTTTTTTCTCGTGGAGGCAACCAGTAGATTATTCATAGAAAAAAAAAAATCTTTGTTTTACTATTCTGTAATTGTAAAGATTCTGTAGAGTTGATTGTTCTAATAGTCTCATGCAGGAATTGCTCTCCAACATGCTACATAGCTGTATATTAGAGAAAAAACAGGCAGGGGCTGTGTGGCCGACAAGGGTTAAAAGGAGCAGGAACCTGGGTGTCAGATGAAGCTGGAACGCAAATCAGGGCTCACCCGTGGCTTATGGTGGAGGCTCAAAAGATGCCCAATGTCAGCTTGTGTACATGTGAGTATGTATAGATCCACACACAGACACACTCACTCATGAACATTCATTGAGCACTTGATATGTTGTCCTGGGTACTGAAAGGTGGAAGAACATGCCACCCTAAAATATGCCACTTTGGCACCGAGATTATTTTGAGCTAAAGGCACTAAAAACAAACAAACAAACAAAAAACAAAACAAACAAACAAAAAAACCCTCAGGTACAAGAAGGGCACTCTAACCTCCCCTTTTCTTCCTGAAAGCAGGAAACAAAATTCCTCTGTAGAATATGCCCTCCCTATAGCAGGAAGGAAGGAACGTTATCACCAGAGATGTGGAGACAGGCCAAGAGAAATCTGTTCAGACCTTATTAAAATAACTCTTATCTTCCTTTAGTCTCCCCATTTACTTCAGCTATTTTTCCACAATTGCCTTTCTTTGTTCAACCTCATATATAAACTCAGCCCTTGCCCTTCTCTGGGTCTTCATTTTCTTATGGGGGTTCCCACATACTTGCAAAAATCTGCATGCTTTTCTCCTGTTGGTTGATGTCAACTTCATTCTCAGGCCCAGCCAGTGACCCTAAGAGGCTAGAGGTAAAGTTTTGCCTCCGCTACAACACCATGTTTGTGCCCTTAACATTATTTCCTTTAATCTCTTTAATTTTACAATGAAAAATTAAGTTTCCCTTTCTTTATTTTTTTAAAAATATTTTACGAAATCCCTTACTTAGTCAGTTTTTTGTTTGTTTGTTTGTTTTTTGTGGTTTTTTTTTTTGAGACAAAGTCTTGTTCTGTTGCCCAGGCTGGAGTGCATGGCTGGAGTGACTGCAACCTCCACCTCCCAGATTCAGTCTGCTTTTTTCCCATCAGAATATAAAAGTGACTTGAAACACAGTGGATTACTTTTGTCCTCATGTGGTTTCAAACTAGTTTTATTTAAATAAAATGCATTCCCTTACCTATCTTTTTTATTGAAAAAAAAAGTCAAACCTTCAGAAGGAATACAATAAGCACTTGCCTACCCCCATCTAGATGCAGCAATTTCTAGCATTTTGTGCACGTGTGCACACGTGTGTATATACATGTGCATTATTATTTCTATTTTTGTGGGGCCATTTGAAAGTAAGTTGTGGACATCAATGATTCAATCATGTGAATCATCCCTAAATATTTCTGCAGTATTACTTAAAAACAAGAACAATGTCCTATATAACAACACCATTATTATACTCAAGAAATGTAACCTCTTTACAATATTATTTTGTACTTAATCCAAATTCAAACTTTATCAGTCACCTCAATATCGTTCATAGTTGTTTTCCCATCAATCTACAACAGCTGTTGTGTTGTATGTCTCTGAGGACCCCCTCCCTCTTGTCTCTTATGACACTGATATTTTTAAAGAGTCCAGGCCAGTTGTTCTGTACAATGTCCCACAATCTGGATTTGTCTGATTATTTCCTCATGATTTGATTCAGATTAACATTTTGGCAAGTTACTTACACAGGGAACTAGAAACACATTTGAAAGCTCTCAACAAGCTAGGCAGGAGGCCTTTACTCCATTTGCCAACCTGCATTTGCCTAGCACCTGGAGTCTAGACTGCCTTCCCATGTATCATGACATTTAATCCCCATAATATCCCTGTGAGAAGACAGAATAATTTTAACGGTCTCTTCTTTCATAGTTGTAAACTCTGAGGTTCGGAGAAGATAAATGAAACATTCAAAGTCGCTCAGAGTCAGACCTCAAACCCATACCACTTCCTTCTGTACATCCAGCTGCTGCATAATAAATGCCTCTTAATGACAAGATCAATCTCTATGTGGCCAGCGCTGGAGCATCAGCCACAAGCCATCAGGGCACGCCTATGGATGGAAAGAACCCCCTCCTTTCCCCTCCCCTCCCATGCCCACCCCTCTTTTCTCTTTATCTCTCTCTCTTTCTTCTTTCTCTTTCCTTCCCGACGTCCTTCCTTTCTTCTCTCCCTCCCTCCCTCCCTTTCTTTCTTTCTTTTTCTTTCTTTTCTTTCTTTCTCTTTCTTTCTTTTTTCTTTTTTCTTTCTCTTTCTTTCTTTTCCCTTCCTTCCTTCCATCCCTCCCCACTCTCTCTTTCTTTCTTTCTCTTTCTTTCTTTTTCCTTCCTTCCTTCCTTTCTCTCCTCTCTTTCTTTCTTTCTTTATTTTTCTCTCTCTCTCTCTTTCTTTCTTTCTTTCTCTTTCCTTCCTTCCTCTTTTCCTTTCCTTTCTTTCCCTCTTTAATTCCTTTTATCTCTCTCTCTCTCTCTCTCTCTCTCTCTCCTCCTCCTCCTCTCTCTCTCTCTCTTTTTCTCTCTTTCTTTCAAGACAGTCTCACTCTGTCACCCAGGCTGGAGTGCAGTGGCACGATCTCCGCTCACTTCAACCTCTACCTCCCAGGTTCAAGTGATTCTCATGCCTCTTCCTCCCAACTAGCTGGGATTACAGGCGTGAGCCACCGCGGCCAGCCACGGGAAACTATTAAAGGATGGAGAATCCAGGCTTCTCTGGACACCTGTGAGAGGATTTAGCTAAGGTGATGATTTGGGATGAATCCAACTAATACTGAGTGAGTTGATGTTTATCTTATGACGTAAGGTAGCGCTTACTTAAGTTAATAAAGTAGGAGAGGGAGCAGAGGGACCACAGAATAACTTGCCGCTCTGAGATGTTGCCTGAATCCTTCCTGGGGTAGGACAGGGAGAATTCACGTCAGGGAGTCAGCAATGAAGCCACACTGCATTTCAAGTGCATGATTTAAAATAGAAATGAACACAGTCATTTACATCACTGTTTCAGCCTTATATTGTGTTTTATTCTCTGTGGCATTTGATTGACACATGGCTTTACTTTTTTTATGGAATTGTAAATGTTCTATCCTCCACTTGTGTTTTTTCAAGTAAATAAGTCTTTAAATACAGTCTTGAGGGTCTAGTTCACACAAATCGAGATGCTCTACATTATGGACTCCCATTCTTATACCTTAAGATCATAGCAGGTCAGTCTTTATGAAACATATACAAAACATATTCTTAGCTTGAGTTTTTAAACGTTTGAAACAACAACGGGATATTGAGGATGATACAGACTACTAATCATTGTAACTGTTTGCAGGGTAAGTAGAGGGAGGGACTGAAGCAATTTCCCCCTTTCTGAATGTTTAAGAGAAGCACATTGGACAAGTATGAGTGAAAACAAGTTAATACAGTTGCAGTTTTCCAGTCTTGACAACTAATTCAGATTCAGTAATTCCATTCAACCCTTGACTGATGATTATTTGTCAGTAGAGGTATAACTGGGCGATATCAAATGGCAAACCATTTAAAAAGTAAAAAAGCTTAACCAGGTGACAAGTGCAATCATTTAAGCCTACAGACTACACTTGCTTTCAGCATCAACAGCTTATTTCATGTGAGCATATGGTTACATTTCATTAAACTTTTAGTTCCTATTATCATGCCTTACAATTTCCTTTATATCATCCCCAAAGCTAACAATAGTACTTTGCATATAAGAGATCAAAAATGGTTAATGAATGTTATGCCAAAAAAGTAACCAGCTTATCTTGAACAATACCATTGCAAACTTAAATTTATCTCAAAATTCCCATTACCCTAACTGATCAAGTCTGTTAACATTCCATTTTATTAATTAAACAGCATTTAAGAATAATGTCATATGAAATCCATTTCTGCTCCAGTTTTTCAGTTAATACCAGCTCTCGAATACTCAGCAAGACACCATCTCGTAAAAGGAAGAAATATTAAGAAATATCTCCCAACAGAAGCTGGGCGCGGTGGCTCACGCCTGTAATCCCAGTACTTTGGGAGGCTGAGATGGGCGGATCACAAGGTCAGGAGATCAAGACCATCCTGGCTAACACAGTGAAACTCCGTCTTTACTAAAAATACAAAACAAAGTAGCCGGGCATGGTGGCGGGCAGCTGTAGTCGCAGCTACTCAAGAGGCTGAGGCAGGAGAATGGCCTGAATCCAGGAGGCAGAGCTTGCAGTGAGCAGAGATTGTGCCACTGCACTCCAGCCTGGGTGACATAGTGAGACTCCGTCTCAAAAAAAAAAAAAAAAAAAAAAAAGAAATATCTCCCAACAGGTCAAATCTCCTCCAGCCCAGAACATGAAGTTTGCAGAAAGTCTGAAGCATGTGGCTGAAAAACTCTGTCATGAGCTCTGCAACAAAGCTGGAGTACACAGGTGCAACCTATGTCCAGAAAAATAGGTGTATGGGGACAAATGCTACCAGTTCTATAAAGATAGCAAAAGTTGGCCGGGAGCGGTGGCTCATGCCTGTAATCCCAGTACTTTGGGAGGCTGAGGCAGGCAGATCACGAGGTCAAGAGATCGAGACCATTCTGGCCAACATGATGAAACCCCGTCTGTACTAAAAATACAAAAATTAGCTGGGTGTGGTAGCGCATGCCTGTAGTCCCAGCTACTTGGGAGCCTAAGGCAGGAGAATTGCTTGAACCTGGGAGGCCGAGGTTGCAGTGAGCAGAGATCGTGCCACTGCACTCCAGCCTGGCGACAGAGTGACACTCCGTCTCAAAAAAAAAAAAAAAAAAAAGACAGTGAAAGTTGGCAAAAATGTAAATATATCTGCATTGCTAAGAACTCTACCATCCAAAGATAAACACACAAGAAATGCTGGAGTTTGCTGTGTCTCAAAGCTACTCTGAGTTTTTCTACTCTTATCAGACAGGGCTCTTCCACCCGGGCAATGGCAAGGCCTGGCTATGGAAGGACGGAACTCCTTACTCTTCTGAACTCTTTGATATTATAATAGATGGCACTACCCTAAGAAGCAGAGGCTGTGTGACCATCCTCCATGGAAAGGCTTTCTCAAAGAACTGCTGAGAGTTGAGGTGGTATGTGTGTGAGAGGAGGGTGGCAATGGTGAAGCCGGAGACCCTCCATTAGCCTCCCTGAACCATTAGGTGAAGGTGATTGACTCTCCAGCTGCGACTACCAACAACAGAGTAGGAAAGTGAGGCCAGTGCAAGGGCTACTCGAGACACTGGGAAATTGAACATAAGCAGGAAAGACTATCTCTCTGACTAGTACAAGATGGAATCTCATGTTTCCTGTTCAGGATCACCAGCATTTCCGAGATAGGGTCCATATACATATTTACCAGTCACAAGAAGTCCTGTTTATATGCCACCAACCAGCCTCAGAAATCTATAATGTTGTCTACCTTCTTGGCTTAGAGATAACATTTAGCTTGCTTTCTTCTCAACATCTAATGTCACCTCCCTGTTTCCATGTCACCCTTACACTTGGGGGATTGAGAAACTTTTTGAAGTAAAGGAAATACATGGAAGTAACATCTTTTGTCCTGACGGTCAACTAGTCCATGAGAAGTTAGCAATTACTCCCCAGATTGTACTACCAAATGCACAAGGAATCCTTATTTTATTTCAGTTCATGCTATTCATTTTCCAGTCTCTCACTAAAACCCCATCTGCTATGTCTATGACCTGCTTCCCTACAGGGATGTCTCTTGTCATAAGAATCTCAATGTCTTATAAACATATGTTCCTGTGTCCATTAAGAGTCTGATAATTCGGTCCTTCTGTAGTTCATGAGCGTGAAGATTGGGTGCTCACGGGCACATGTGAAATGTGCCACCCTCTGAACCTTGTTACAACATCGGCACATTACCCATCTGACCTGAAGGAAAAAAAAAAAGATTCTGTACAGGCGGTGGCTCACGCCTGTAATCCCAGCACTTTGGGAGGCTGAGGCAGATGGATCACCTGAGGTCGGGAGTTCGAGACCAGCCTGGCCAACATAGTGAGACTCTGTCTCTACTAAAAATACAAAAAATTAGCTGAGTGTGGTGGTGCATGCCTGTAATCCCAGCTACTTGGGAGGCTGAGGCAGGAGAATTGCTTGAACCCAGGAGGCGGAGGTTGCAGATCATGCCATTGCACTCCGGCCTGGGTGACAAGAGTGCAACTCCATCTCAAAAAAAAAAAAAAAAAAAAAAAGATTCTGATAATTGTCTCCCTTCCACAGGAATTTCTCCCAGGAAAGAAATATATCCCCAACTCAGTTCCATATCAGAATTACTCTCCTCAATATTCCCTTCAGAGAGATTGAAAACCAGAAAAGTCACTCTTCATGTGCGTCTGCAATAGTTTTATTTCAGTTCCTATTTTCTTCCATTTGACCCACATTTATACCTTTCAGATACTTAAGATTTAATAATAATAAACGTAATTACTGTGGGAAAAATAATGTCATGTGATTGCATATTAAATGGAAAGCACTTATAAACTGATGGTAGTAAAATCCTAGCCTAGCAAAACAGACCTAAAACAATATTTGACTATATTTGAATTTTACTTAATGGGCTATCCATGGTGAACATATTACTTCCAGCTTCATAATATGTTTATAGTTTTAGTAATTCTGCTATTAGTGCCTGGCTCAGCACATTCTCATTTTAGCTCTCCAATCCTCTTCCAATCTGAGGGAGCTAAATACTTTGCTCCTGGGTTTTTTGTTTTTGTTTTTGTTTTTCTGAGATAGGGTCTTGATCTGTCACCCAGGCTATAGTGTCATGGCACAATCATAGCTCACTCCAACCTCCAACTCCTGGGCTCAAGTGCTCCTTCTTCCACAGCCTCCCAAAGCACTGGGATTACAAGCACATGCCATGGTGCCCCGCTAATTTTTAAAATTTTTAGTAGAGATGAGGTCCAGCTTTGTTGCCAGTCTGGTCTCGAACTCCTGGGCTCAGGCATTCCTCCTGTCTCAGCCTCCCAAAGTGCTAGGAATACAGGTGTGTGCCACCACACTTGGCCAACTCCTCAGTATTTTTATCAACATGGTCTTCACCCTCCTCCCTCAACTGGATTCTCCCAAACATGCAGCTTTTTAAAATAAAATGAGTCTAATTAAGAGTCAGAATCAACAAGGAATGCAAATAAATCAGCAAGAACAAAACAAACAATCCCATCAAAAAGGGCTAAGGACATGAATAGACAATTCTGAAAAGAAGATATACAAATGGTCAACAAACATATGAAAAAATGCTCAACATCACTAATGATCAGGGAAATGTAAATCAAAATCATAATGCGATACCACCTTACTCCTGCAAAAATGGCCATAATCAAAAATTCAAAAAATAATAGATGTTGGTGTGGATGCAGTGAAAAGGGAACACTTTCACACTGCTGGTAGGAATGTGAACTAGTACAACCGCTAGGGAAAACTGTAGACATTCCTTAAAGAACTAAAAGTAGAACTACCATTTGATCTAGCAATCCCACTACTGGGTATCTACCCTGAGGAAAAGAAGTCATTATACGAAAAATATACTTGCACACACATGTTTATAGCAGAACAATTTGCAATTGCAAAAATATGGAACCAGCCCAAATGCCCATCATTGAGTGGATAAGGAAATTGTGATATATGTATATAAACATCATGGACTACTACTTAGCCATAAGAAGTAATGAAATAATGGCATTTTCAGCAACCTGGATGGAATTGGAAACCATTATTCTAAGTGAAGTAACTCAGGAATGGAAAACCAAACATCGTATGTTCTCACTCATAAGTGGGAGCTAAGCTATGAGGACACAAAGGCATTAAGAATGATGCAATGGACTTTGGGGACTCGGGGGAAAGAGTGGAAGAGGGGTGAGGGATAAAAGACTACATATTGGGTGGAGTATACACTGCTCCAGTGATGGGTGCACCAAAATCTCAGAAATCACAACTAAAGAATTTATTCATGTGACCAAACACCACCTGTTCCCCAAAAACCTACTGAAATAAAAAAAAAATAAGTCTATAGCAGAATAGCAGAATATATATAAAACAGCTAGCTGCAAAAAAAAAGCTTTTGCTATAGAAACTGATGCTTATGTGAACTGAACATAATGAGGACACTTATCATACAGAAATGTTCATCTATCTGTAAACTCTGATATGACTTGTCATCAAAGAATTGCTATGCTATAATTGGCTGGCACAGAGAAATAGATTCATTATAGAGTATTAGAAACTTTATTTTGAAAATTGGATTTTACTTGTAGTGCAATAGCAGTATTCTTGAAAGTAATCAATTCCTATTCTAGTGGAAAATGTAGTCATTTCATAAATAAAAGGAATACCAGAAACAAAACTCAAATAACATCTACAGGATTATTGTTTCAGGAAGTTCTTACTCAAAGCCACTTCCCTTGCATTAGCACCTCAATCAATAACAAGAAACATTGCTTAAAGTAAGCTAATAGTTGTAGTTATTTTATGTACATACCAACAGTGTGGATGGCTTTCCTATAGGTCATTAGGCCAAAATTGTACTGAAAAACTCCCCTGGCATGAAACAGGGGCAAAGCAAACCCCATGATCTTCTGCAGTTTATTCTGAACAGTTCTAATCCATGATCCTTCAGGGTTGTCAGTTTGTTTAAACAGTTCATTTTCACCAAAAGAAACCACTGGGACCAGAGAGGCGCTGCAATAACAAAGGGGACGGGTGAGAATTTTCAATGAAAAGGATTCAAATAATTTATTCTGTTTAGCTGACTCTTGCAACAACTTCTGAAAAATTTTTTAAATGTGCCCAAGCCTTCCTATATTGCTAACTTCACGTTCATTGAAACTGTCTTAAACTTGACATTCTTTAGGGAGGAATTTCAGCAGGCTAGCCATTGACAGGATTTTATTCTATAGAAAATTAGGGTTCCAGGAAACTTCTCTTTTATCTATAGCTTTGGCCACTGTTGATTTGGCTGGAAAATTACACTGTATATATAGAATGTTGGTTTTTGTTGTTGTTCTCGTTGTTTTGCTTTTAGAGTTAAGTTTAATTGCTGAATGTCATGGCATTGAGCTACTGTAGTAAAAAGGTCATATTCCATTCCCCAAGAACATCCACACCTGCTTTTACTGTCAGATCGATTTGGAGGAGGTCTTTAAGGGCTAGAAAATCACCTTACTTCTTCGTGGTTTGTTTAATAATGTCTTAACTTTTCTGACCCCCTACTTTATACAAAAAGCCACTTACCCATGGGTCAAAGCAATTTTAACAAATCCTTTCCGCTGGCGGATGAACAGAGTGAACTTTCCAGGATGAGCATCCAGTGATTCTTTTGCACCCCCAAGGACAATGACAGAGATGTTTCCACCTCCCTCCTTGCTTACCATGTAGGACACACTTTTCTTGGAAACTGAAACCAGCCCTTAGTGAATAAAACAAAAAGTAACTAGTTATCCTTTTCTAACAATATTACAATGTTTTATCATAATATTCCATGACAATAGTAAACATTTAACAAAATTTCCTACACTGCTTACCTTTGGAGCACTTTGTAAGTTTGTAATTTTTCATAGCCAAATCTTTAGTAATGTATTCTATTAATAAGTTAACATCTTGGCAGGTAATGGGCTAGGTCTTTAAAATGTCATTCAGTCATTACTAGGTCTACCACTTGTTTGTTTAGGTAGGTTGTGCACTACTGAACTCTAGAGGACACCATTTATATTGCATTCTAAGTAAAAGGATCCCCTGCCCCTGGAGTTGTTCAGTGCACAACCTGCACAGCTGTATGTGGTGGCCTTGATATTTATCATGGCGAATTTTTACACAGAACCAAAAAGTATATTCTCCAAGAGGCTGCAGTGGATTTTCTGAATATATAATGGCCTGTTTTCAGATATTCTATATGGATCATTATTTTCCAAACCTGGATTTATAATATAAATGTGATATCGTTTGACTGTGCCCCCACCTAAATCTCACCTTGAATTGCAACTCCCACAATTCCTTCATGTCGTGGAAGGGACCAAGTTGGAGGTAACTGACTCGTGGGGGCAGGTCTTTCTCATGCTGTTCTCGTGATAGTGAATAAGTCCCATGAGATCTGATTGTTTCATAAAGAGGAGTTTCCCTGCACAAGCTCTCTCCTTGCCTGCCGCCACCCATGTAAGACGTGACTTGCTTCTCCTTGCCTTCCACCATGATTATGAGGCCTCCCCAGCCATGTAGAACTGTAAGTCTTTCAAACCTCTTTTTCTTCCCAGTCTTGGATATGTCTTTATCAGCAGTGTGAAAATGAACTAATACAAAATGGTTAAAAAAAAAAAAAAAAAAAACAAGACATTTGACAACCTAGATCACTTGCCAGATCTCTACATGTTTCCAATAAGTATAGTCTGACTTTGGTAAATTGTTCATTTAAAACAGTTAGATAATTGTTCGGTCTGTATTTCAGGCTTTCCCATGTAAAAATAACTTAAAAGATTCCTTTTCAGATTTCACATGTTCTACATACTCTTGGAGGAAAATATAGGAAAGAATAAAGACAAACATACAAACCAGTCTTGAACTACATTTCAGAAATAATCACTTTTTAATGTCTTATGTTTCTTTCCATTCTGGGTTTTATCCATTTTTATTTAGTCATAACAGAAAGTGTTAGACAGTCTTTATAAAGACATAGCATATCTCATCACTTGAAGAAAATGATATGCTAATTTTACTCTGGGTTTCTATTATGGGAGGAATTATGACAGGATTCTGAATGACCAACTGCCCTCTTAAGAGGCAGAGGATGCTGGGTTAGAGGTAGAGAGCCTGAGCCTGCCTAGATGGGTTTGAACCTTCACTGAGGTCAAGACATGCCATTCTGCTCTGTGTGAACCTGAGTGAGAGTTGGGTGCATCTCTTCCACCAGGAAGAGGGCCTCTTGGGTTTCCACACCCCTGGCTCTCCTAGCTTGCCTCTGGCCACTCCTCCGTTTTCCCTCAGGCTCCTTGTCTTCAGGCCATCCTTCAATGCTGCTATTTCTTAGGGGTCCTTCCTTATCTCTCTTGTCCTCTAACCTCATCTACACCCATGGATTCAACTACCATTTATGTATGCTGAGTTCTCCCAAATCCATCTGTCAGGAGATCTTCCTCCTGAGGTTCCAGGCCCATATCTCCAAATGCCCAATTGACAGCTCTACAGTGACAGCTCTAAGACACCTCAAACTACACGTCTCCAAACCGAATGCATTAAATTCTCCCTTAAAGTTGTCCCTCTTCCAACATTATTTATCAAGGTGAATGGGACCATCATCTATCTGGTCAAAACACAGCTTCTTCCATATGTAGCCACATTCTCCTTTCTTAGCCACCACATTGACTGATCATTCATTCATTTAAAAGCATTTATTGAGCACCTGCTACTGGCCAGGTACTGGGCTAAGTATTGATAATAATGACAAAATAGTTACTGACTTCATGAGGATGAATCAATCATTAAGTCTTAGAGACTGTATCAAATATTTTTGATATTAATCTCCTCTTCTGTATCTCCAGTGCCATTGCCACTGTTAGCATAGCCCTTATCACCTCTCCCTTCATCACTCAACAGGCCGCTTCCATCATCAGTCTCCAGGCCTACCTGCCTGTAACCACGTTCCAAGCTGCTGCCTGAATTATCTTTCTATCACACCAAATCCATCAGATCCCTCCTTTGCTCAAAATCCCTCCAAGTTCCCCATGGCTTATCTACAAAATAAAATCGAAAGTCCTCTGTATGGTATATAAGGCTGTTGTGATCTGATTCTGTTACCTGTCCAGCCTTAAGGGGTAAACAGAAAGAAGTATGAACCTGAAACGCAGTTGGCTCTGGCTGACACCTGATAGGTATAGATACACCCAAAATGGGACAAGAGGAATGGGTTGGAGGTGGGATTTAAAAGGACTTACAGATGCAGAATCCTATTGGGTAAGAGCAAAACAGACTGCTGTCAACAAAGGCCCTCTGAAGCCCTATGGTTCCTTACTACGTGAGGTCTGGTGCCTATGTCTGTCAGTCTTTCACACCCAGAGAGGCAGCCGCTTGGGCAGGCACAGTGGAGAGGGGCAGCCTTGGACCAAGGGCTGTCCTAGGAAGCTGGTTCTGGGAAGTATAGATAATTCTTTAGACTTAGAAACAAGGATAGTCCAAACCTCCACTGGCTGAAAGTTTGAGTATTTCTATTTACCTTTTAAGGAACTGAAGGTTGTACCACAGAAAACTATTCATGATGTCAGAAACCAGTGATTGCTGGGCGCAGTGGTGCATGCCTGTAATCCCAGCGCTTTGGGAGGCCGAGCTGGGTGGATCACCTGAGGTCAGGAGTTCTTGACCAGCCTGGCTAACATGGTGAAACCCCGTTTCTACTAAAAATACAAAAAATTAGCCTGGCATGGTGGTGCAAGCCTGTAATCCCAGCTGCTTGGGAGGCTGAGGCAGGAGAATCACTTGAACCAGGGAGGCAGAGGTCGCAATGAGCCAAGATCACGCCATTGCACTCCCCAGCCTGGGCAACAAGAGCGAAACTCCGTCTCAAAAAAAATAAAATAAAATAAAATAAAAAATAAATAAATAAAAAGAAACCAGGGATTGCAAACAGCTTTCCTCTCCAAAGCCAACTCTAGTAAACTGCAGTGGCTGTAGGGGCACTATACGGAGAAAGACTCTAAGATGGAGTATATGTGTCTGATAAGGCTATGGAGAAGGGGGTACCTACATCTCTTGTCCATGAATTTGCCAAACCTGCTCTTAACTATACGACTCAAACTCACTGCGGCAATGCTTTGAATAAGCAAACATTACACTTTAAATATGTTTCTGTGCTTTTGTGAAATTTAAACATTTTTCTCTGTAATTGTCTTCCTTTTATAAAACTCTAACACAATGTATACAAAACAAGGAAGAGAAGTAATTCCCCCCCAACCCCACTTTCGGTGGTTAAGAGGGGGATAGTGCACCCTCTGCAGGCCAGATGCCGGATCTTCCGGTAGCTTGGAGGGTTTAGTGCGCCCTCTAGTGTGCCCTCGGGACCAGGCTGGACTTTGAAAACAACCTGAAAACTCAGCGGTGAATTCTGGTACCTGGGTGCTTAGTGATATGCTACCAGGTATATAATGACAGTAGTGACTTGAGAGATTAATAGGACGTAATAAAAGTCTAGAGGACCATGAACAATTCTTTTTTTTCTTTCTTTCTTTTTTGAGACGGAGTATCGCTCTGTCGCCCGGGCTGGAGTGCAGTGGCAAAATGTTGGCTCACTGCAACCTCCACCTCCTGGGTTCAAGCAGTTCCCCCACCTCAGCTTCCTGAGTAGCTGGGATTACAGGCGCCCACTACCATGCCCTAATTTTTGTATTTTTAGTAGAGACGGGGTTTCACTATGTTGGCAAGGCTGGTCTCGAACTCCTGACCTCAAGTGATTCACCCCACCTCGGCCTCCCAAAGTGCTGAGATAACAGGTGTGAGTCACTGCCCTCGTCTCTTTTTATTTATTTTTTTAATTGTGATTGGGTCTCTCTCTGTCACCCAGACTGAAGTGCAGGGGCACCATCTCCGGTCACTGCAGCCTTGACCTCCCAAGCTCAGGTGATCCTTCCACCTCAGCCTCCTGAGTAGTTGGGACTACAGATGTGTGCCACCATGCCCAGCTAATTTTTGCATTTTTTGTAGAGACAGGGTTTTGCCATGTGGCCCAAGCTGGTCTCAACCTCCTGGGCTCAAGAGATCTGCCCGCCTCAGTCTCCTAAAGTGCTGGGATTACAGGCGTGAGCCACCGCGCCCGGCCTGGACTCTTATTTCTGAGCCAAGTTATTTTTCATCTAGGAAGACAGCAAGTTGAATATGCTTAGTTTTATCACTGCTGTTACTTCAAGACACAATGAAAGACATTTTCCATTTCTAGTATTCGTAACAGCATGCATGGTGCCTCTCCAAGGGTGTGATTTGTCACTTACTTGATCCCTGATTTCTTTTTCTACATCTGAATACACAAACTGCATTCATTACTTTATTTGATCATTGTGTTAATATTCATTGAACATTTCTATGTTCCAGGCACCATGCTGGATACTTGGGATGGAACAGAAAAGAAGACACAGTTTGTGTTTCTGCCACTTACAGTCCAGTGGGGGAGGGCAGGAAACACCCAGACACCATAGGAAGTGCCAGATGAGGATAAAACAGGTTTTACTCTAAGAGACCATAAACACACATGGGCCTGGGAGGGAATGTTCTGTGTGCTCCTGCTACCCCAAAGCACTGTGGAAACAGTGATCTGCCATCACTTACCAACACTCATCACATATTCTCGAAAGACAGGACACCAGAACCAAAGTGGCAGCACGTGAAGATATGAAGTAAAGCCAGGAAACAGGTCCTTGAAGTCAGAATAATTTACAGAAAAATTCCCAAAGGCTCCAACTGCCATTATTCCATGGGGGTGAAACCCAAATATATAGTTGTGACTTGGATCCAAATCTTGAGTTTTGATAAGCTACAGCACATTCATATTGAGATTTTAAAAAAAAGAAACTTCCCTTATTATTTTCCAATGAGAAACAAAAGGACTAGTTTTTATGTCAAGAGAAAATGGAGAACATGACTCATTTTTGTTCCCTGGGTTGGAGCTGTTTCCAAATTTCTAAACTATCTTCTGAGCCCAGATCCCTTTATATATAGCCTTCTAGATTTTGTCAAGTCAGCTTACAGTTCATTTAGTAATTGGAACCAAATTGCAGCCTTTCTCCCTGCTATGGTTTGAATGTTTCCCTCAAAAGTAAGTGTTTAAAAACTTAATCCCCAACGCAACGGTGTTGGGAGGTGGGGCCTAATGAGAGGTAATTAGGAATGAAAGCAGAGTGAATGGATTAACGCCATTATCACAGAAGTGGGTTTGTTATCTTGGGAGTGAGTTCCTTATAAAGGAATGAATTCAACCCCCTCTTGCTCTTTTTTGCCCTCTCCTGCCCTTCTACCTTGCGCTATGGGCTGATGCAGCAGGAAGGCTCTTGCCAGATGCCAGCATCTTTGGTATCTTGCCAGATCCCAGCCTCCACAACTGTGAGAAAAAAATTTGTTTTCTTTATAAATTACCTAGTCTTTGGTATTCTGTTACAGCAGCACAAAACAGACTAAGACATCCCCTCTGAAAAAGAAGCTTGAGATATATGTGATGAAAACAAATTTCCACTCTTCTCCTAAATCAAAATAATACTTTATAAAACAACTGTACTCACATGAATTGGAAAATAGTCCTTAAAGTGTTTCCAAAGAGTCCAATTTTTGATCCAGCTGGATCTCCTGCCTCCTCGCTCTGGGGTATGCCAGTCAAAGTAAAGCCACATCAAATAAGGGATGTAAAGGAACAAATAGTTGTGTATGATCAGCATCACAGTGATTCCAATGGACATCGGCCCTGTAAGAAAAGAAAAAGTCTCATGGAATCAGTCTGTTAGTATCTGCTCACTGCAGTGGCCCATGGCAGGGGGATTAATACATATAAGATATGTCAAACTGAGCCTCAGTTCAGGTAAGGTAATATAACAAGACAGTAATGACACAGTATTATTTAACATTTATTGGGTGTTTACTATATGCCAAGCATCGTGTTATGGACCCTGCCAAGGTATTTTTATTTAATCGTCGTATAGCCACATACCAATAAAGTAGCCACAGTACTCTTTATTTTTGAAGGGGGAGGTGGAAGGAATCGGTAGAGGAAACACTGAGCCATAATGTTCTTTTTAAAAAAGAGAGAATGGAAGCTTATCGAAGGGTTAAGTGAGTTGCCCAAGCCACACAGCATATAAGTGGTTGATCTGTCTGATGTTAAGGTCTAACTACTTAGTCATAGCTTTACATTGGCTCCCCTATGTGAACATATGGAAGAATCATCACCGACAGGAGGGATGTAGAGAATTTCCTACTACAGAAAATTCCATCTTCCTACCTTGACCAAGCAGCCATTATTCATGTGCCCACAAAGAGGGCACATTCTAGCAACAAACTTCATTTTCAGGAACTCTACTGTCAGAGACAGAAATAGCAAAGGTGGGACTCTTCAGATCTTAGCATGCATCACTTCTTGCAACATGTGATAATGAGAGAGCAATCCTAATTGTTTATGCACCTAATAACATAGCTTCAAAATACACGGGGCAAAAACTGTCAAAACTTGACTTGGGTTGTAGTGACAAGAATGGTTACCTTCAAGTAACACATGAAGCTCAGCTATACATTTTTTAAATGTCTATGTTATATACTACAATTAAAAAATTATGAAAAGAGAAACATGCTAACAAGAGAATGTTCATGAAGACATAAACCCTGGCACATAGCAAATCTTCACTAAATGTCAGCTACTATGACTTTAAGGAATGCCGTTGCTGCTTTCTCTTCTATAACACACTGCAGTCTCCAATCTAGGGTTCATTTCCACCCCCAAACTCTTATCTACTGCCAATCAACTTTGTTAAAGACAACCCTGTCCCCAAATGATCCACCAAAGTATCTGAGAAATAGCGTTTAATCTGTTATTGAAATATATACATATATACTGACATACATGTTTTACCAAAAACAACATTTATATATATTTTTTCTTTCTTTCTTGTTCTTTCTTTTTTTTTTTTTTTTTTTTTTTTTTGAGATGGAGTCTCACTCTGTTGCCCACACTAGAGTGCATGGGTGCAATCTTGGCTCACTGCAGCCTCTGCCTCCTGGGTTCAAGCGATTCTCCTGCCTCAGCCTTCCAGGTAGCGAGGATTATAGGCGCGCACCACCACGCCCAGCTAATTTTTGTATTTTTTAGTAGAGACAGGGTTTTGCCATGTTGGCCAGGCTGGTCTCAAACTCCTGACCTCAAGTGATCCACCCGCCTCAGCCTCCCAAAGTGTTGGGATTACAGGTGTCAGCCACAGCACCTGGACTATTTATATTTCTTGATACATATAAATCAATAAATTTCTCAGATATATCATTGAACCCAGTCAGGAAACTGACTTGCTGCTCTCTCCAGAGTTGGTTAAAGGTTGAAAGACTGGATGAAAGGTTAAGGTAGCATGTGTCCTCCACACCTCTGTGGGGTATCCTGTTACCTTCTGGACCCACCAGAAAAGCTTCCATGAGTCCAAAGCATGCTGTAAAGAGTGCCCTCTGCCCTCATTCCTACCAGGATCATTCCATTTTGCTTCCTCTGCTTTCTTCTATCCAGATCTGAGTACTGATGATTTGCCACTATTGGTTAGTTTTCTGTTTATTTTGGTAAGATGTGCAAAAAAATGACAGGAAACATGTGGGCCTCATTCTTTTGTACTCAAAGTTTGATCAGATAAGCTACAGTGAAATAGGGCAGGGAAAGAATAGTTATTGAGTGGAGAACGATTATCCTTCACTGTATATAGGGCATCTCATTTATTCCTCTTTGAAACCCCAAGGTACACGTTATTGCCCCATTTTACAGTTGTAGAAACTGAGGCTCAGGGAATTTGAGCGTCCAAAGGATTTGCAGCTGGATCTGCCTAATCCTTAAATCCATGCACTTTTTCACAAAGCCACGCTATCCTCCAGCTAATGGTAATAACACTGTAGACTAACTTATTACAGGTGCTTAAGCAGGTTCGTAAGCATAAAGAAGCAGGCAAGTGGGAGGTTCTGTTTTCCTTTCTACAAAGATGGAAAAACTGACACCAAAAGCAAACTGACCTAATTTTAATCATAGAGTGAGCCAGGAACAGATCCAAAAATAATGTCCCCAAGCTACTAATTCAATATTTCACTAACCGAACCCCGGCTACCTGAATACATGCTGCATATCTCTTTAATGCTCATTACATGTTTTACATCAAAAGAAGAAAACACAGCCGGGCACAGTGGCTCGTGACTGTAATCCCAGCACTTTGGGAGGCTGAGGTGGGTGGATACCTGAGGTCAGGAATTTGAGACCAGCCTGGCCAACATGGAGAAACCCTGTCTCTACTAAAAATACAAAAATTGGTGGGGTGTGGTGGTGGGTGCCTGTAATCCCAGCTATTTCGGAGGTTGAGGCAGGAGAATCGCTTAAACCCAAGAGACGGAGGTTGTAGTGAGCCGAGATCGCACCATTGCACTCCAGGCTGGGCAACAAGAGAGAGACTCCTCTCAAAAAAAAAAAAAAAAAAAAGAAGAAGAAGAAAACACTATAAAAACTAGGTAACTAGATAACGTCTATTTTTTATTTTCTATACATGCTGCATATCTCTTTAATGCTCATTACATGTTTTGCATGTATAATAGTTAAGATGTAGGTCTGGAATGGAACTGCTAATTGGAATTTGCCACTGTCTAGCTTCCTGACCCGGGACAAATTCTATGAGCTCTTGATCTTCAATTCCATTGCCAGTAAAATGGGCTTATGACAGCTCCTGTTTCCAAATGCCACAAAGGGAATAAATAACATGAGGGTGTACAGTTCCTGGCACAGAACTGGTATTCATCAAATGTGAGCCACTGTTATAATAACTTTCTTTACTATTACACATTTGGAGACTGCAAAATGTAGCTGCAGATGGGACATGAGGCAAGTTCCTGTCACTCAACAAAAATTACTCTTAAAATTTTCCTTTTGGCCTTTTTTCCCCTATGAACAGGTTATGTTTCTTTAATATGGCTGACCACACATTTTTAAATATTCTGTATTTTATCACAATTATTTCACATTAGCTGTTTGGTATTACAATGTTATTTTTAACGACTGATCAATATTCTATTGATTACCAGTGCTAATTCAACCATTCTCTTCATTTTAAATATCTGTGATTCTAACAATTTTTCTCTATAAATGTAATCTTGCATAAAGTTTGCCCACATTTTGATTTACTTCCATAAGATAATAAGAAGTAAAATACGGCTGGGCACGGTGGCTCACGCTTGCAATCCCAGCACTTTGGGAGGCCGAGGCAGGTGGATCATGAGGTCAGGCGTTTGAGACCAGCCTGGCCAACATGGTGAAACCCCGTCTCTACTAAAAATACAAAAATTAGCTGGGCGTGGTGGCAGGCACCTGTAATCCCAGCTACTTGGGAGGCTGAGGCAGGAGAATTGTTCGAACCTGGGAGGCGGAGGTTGCAGTGAGCCGAGATTGCACCGTTTCACTTCAGCCCGGGTGACAGGGCAAGACTCTGTCTCAAAAAAAAAGAAGTAAGATACTGGATGGCTAAGCAGAAACATCTTTGTCAGCTGATACACTTTGATATTTTGCTATCCAAAGAAGTTGTTCTAATTTAAATTCCCACTCTAGATACTGCATACATTTTTTGTTTCAAATCATAAAGAGCATCACAATAGTTTTGTAATCCTTTCTTTCTTTTTTTTTTTGAGACAGAGTCTCACTCCATTGCCCAGGCTGGAGTGCGATGACATGATCTCAGCTCACTGCAACCTCCGCCTCTTGGGTTCAAGGGATTCTCCTGCCTCAGCCTCCCGAATATAGCTGGGATTACAGGCATGTGCTACCATGCCCAGCTAATTTTTGTAGTTTTAGTAGAGACAGGGTTTCACCATGATGGCCAGGCTGGTCTTGAACTCCTGACCTCAGGTGATCCACCCACCTAGGCCTCCCAAAGTGTTGGGATTACAGGCATGAGCCACTGCACCTGGCCCTGTAATCCTCTGATTCTAAACGGGATTGAAACAAGAAAACACTATAAAAACTAGGTGACTAGATAACCTCTATTTTCTATTTTTATCTCATTAAGCAATTCAGGGTAATCTGATTCTTCTAAATTGGAGTTCAAAGAGAAGAGGAAGATACAAAGGTCTACGCTGTTACATTGTGCAGCTCTCGAAACTTATGTTGATAACTTTAAAAGTTGTCTAGATTCACAAACCAAGTTGAGTTGAAGGCCTGAATTTTAGCTGGGTTGATTTATCTCTATTCTGGATTAAAAACCACAACTTGGCTTCCTATCAATGGCACTCTGTTTTCACTTAGCTCTCATAGATTCTACTTTCTCCAGATTGTTGAGGAAGCTGTCCCTCACTCACTTTTTTTTTTGAAACGGAGTCTCACTTTGTTGCCCAGACTGGAGTGCAGTGGTGTGATCTCGGCTCACTGAACCTCCACCTCCCGAGTTCAAGTGATTCTCCTGCCTCAGCCTCACAAGTAGCTGGGATTACAGGCACGTGCCACTATGGCTGGCTAATTTTTGTATTTTTAGTAGAGGCGGGGTTTCGCCATGTTTGCCAGGCTGGTCTAGAACTCCTGACCTCAGGTGATCCACCCACCTCAGCCTCCCAAAATGCTGGGATTACAAGCGTGAGCCACTGCGCCTGGTCCTTTTTTTTTTTTTTAATTTAAGTGAAATTCACATAACATAAAAAACCAGCGATTTTAAAGAGAACACTCTGGTGGCATTTAATTCACAATGTTGTACAACTACTACCACCATCTAGTTCCCAAACATCCCCTTATTTCAAAATAAAACCCTTTACCCATTAAGCAGTTACTCCCCATTCCTCCCTCAGCTCCACCACTGGCAATTACCAATCTAAAGTCTGTTTCTTTTTTTTTTTTTTCTGAGACAGGGTCTCACTTTGTCACTCAGGCTGGAGTGCCATGGCATAAACATGGCTCACTGCAGCCTCGACCTCTTGGGCTCAGGTGATCCTACCACCTTAGCCTCCCAAGTAGCTGGGACTAGAGGTGCACACCATGATACCTGGCTAATTTTTGTAGTTTTTGTAAAGATAGGATCTTGCCATGTTGCTCAGGCTAATCTCAAACTCCTGCGCTCCACCGATCCACCTGCCTCGGTCTTCCAAAGTGCTGGGATGACAGGTGTGAGCCACTGTACCTGGCTGTATTCTGTTTCTGTGGATTTACCCACTCTTGATATTCATATGAATGGAATGGTATAATATGTGACCTTTTGTAGACTTTTGTTTAGCATCAAGTTTTTTGTAGACCTTTGTTTAACATCAAGGTTTTGAGGTTCATCCATGTTGTAGCATGCATCAGTACTTCATTCCTTTTTATAGCCGAACAATATTCCCACTTACATATACACTGTAATCTGATAATTCATGCATCTGTTGACAGACATTTGGGTTGCTCCCACCTTTGGCTACTGTGAATGCCACAGTGCCCCCATCACTGGAACCTTACTACATGTTTGAAACAAGTAAGGCTCCAGCAAAGTGTAAGTGTGATCATCGAATTTAGCACCACCAATAAAGGGACAAAATGACATGATGCCTCCTCATAGGATCTAATGGGAAATACATTCCATCACCTTAGTCAAGTCCAGGTTGGGGGGCACTCTACAAGATAACTGGCTTGGGCTGTTTAAAAATAATCAACCTTGTAAAAGCTTTAAAAACAAATTAAAGGTAGAGGAACTGGTCTACTTATAAAGGAAAAGTTGAAGACGATGAGGGAAATTTGAATATAAACCATATATTAAATAAGATTATCATATCCCTGATAAATTTCTTGGGTATGATAGTAGGATTTTGATTATACAGAAAATTCTTGTTTTCAGGCGATACATGCTACAGTATTTAGAGATGAAGTGTTATGATGTTTACAATTTAGTTTCTTCTAAATTGTTCAGCAGCAACAACAAAGTGTGTGTGTGCACACGTATGTGTGTGTGTGTGTGTGGTGAGAGGGAGAGAAAGCAAATGTGGCAGAATGCTAAAAAGTTGCTAAATCTAGATAAAAAGGAATATGTTTTCAAAAATTTTTATTTTATTATGGTAAGAGCAGTTAACATGCAATTACCCTCGTAACAAACATTTGTGTAAATAAGTATATAACGCAGTATTGTTAGTTGTAAGTACCATATCTGTGACATAATAATATTTGGTCTCTGCCTCCAGTTCCTGGCCTAGGGCTCCTAAAACGGTTGTAATTTCCTGATCAACAGGGGTGCTAGGTACATCTTTCCATCTTTTGTTCTTAATATTTGGACCCCAGTCCTGACGCTGAGCTCCCAATCCCTTGGAACTTCCTGAGTGACAGCAATGTCTTTTCTTCTAATGAGACAACTCTTGGTGGGCTCCAGGATGGTGGCTGGTCACTGAAAGACTAAGCAGTCCAAGATGCTTGGAACCTGCAGCCCCACCCCCATCGTCAGGGAGAGGAGAAGGGCTGGAAATTGAGTTAGTGACTGATCATGTTAGTAACTGATCATGCCTAAATGAGGAAGGCTCCATAAAGTCCAGGGTTCAGACAGCTTCTGGGTTGGTGAACACAATCACAAGCTGAGAGATTGGTGTACCCCAACACCATGGGGACAGAAACTCCTGTGCTTTGGAACATTTCAGACCCCTACCTGGGTACCTAATCATCTATATCATTTATCATATCCATTATAATAAACTGCCAAACATAAGTGTTTTCCTGAGTGCTATGAGCCATCATAGCAAATGACAGAGTCCAAGGAGGAGGTCGTGTGAATCCTCAATTTGTAGCCGTCAGAAAGAAGCACAAGTGCCAACCTGGACTTGTGGTTGGCATCTAAAGTTGGGGCAGTCTTGTAGACTGAGCTCTTCACCTGTGAGACCTAGCTCCAGGTAGACAGCATCAGAACTGAACTATAGAATACCTAGTTGGTGTCTGGAGAGTTGGAGAAGGGTTGGTCCAGCAAAACCAGGGACATAAATTTTCAGTTTCCATGAATTGAAGACTTTCGACAAGGAGTGGTGGCCAGGTCTGTGGCTTCTTGAAAGCGCTTAAGTGCTTACACAGACAATTCCCATACATTAATGATTTTCCCTCTCTTGTCGCTACCCTTTCTGACTCCATTCCACTCACCTAGCTATTTACAATAAGTGAAATTGTTCTATAAAATCTCCATGAGCAACCTGCATCAGCCAAAACATTGTGAAAGCCACTGAATGTTTATTTACTTGCATTAAATAATGACCATAATTAAGAAATAATTTAAGACTTTAACTTGTATATGTATTGTTTCTTCCTATTCTCATCCAAAAAATTTTCATTTTTTTCTGCATGAAAACTGTTTCCATACTTATTTTAACCATTTAACGTAGTATGGAGAAAGTAAGTAAAATTCAGAGGCAAGCAAAAATCCATTAGCACCTCTTTTCCTTCTTATTCCCGGAGACACTATATTTTTTAAATACCTATCCGTGCCATCTGTAGAATATAAGAATGTAAGTGTAAATTCTTCTGATTTTAAAAATTTCTATTTTAAGAGAACTTGCCTCCCAGAGTTTTTAAGGATTGTGCTAAAAGACAAATCTCATCAGACCCCTTTGCAGAATTTTGCAGCCTAGTTTTCTTCATATGTGTGTTTATTCTACACTGCTTTTAAAAAGTGTTACATACAGGGAAATACCTTTCTCTTGTTTTATAGCACAGCCAATATTGAACCTACTTCCTTGCCTGATGAAGGCAAATAAATTATAACAAAGATCTGGCTGAAACCAGCCCCATGTTCTAAATCTTTCAGGAAGGTTTCTATAAACACAAATACTTTGTATAGTTCAACCTGAAATCCATGGAGATAATCCATAATAAAAGAGACACACTAGTGTTTATGAAAGCCCAAGAATCCCTTGCGTAATGTTAAAATGTACTTTCTCCAAATTTTCCAGATTGAAGGAACTAAAAAGACAAAATAATGTGAAAAGACAAAATTACAGCAAATTTAGTTATGGAGCTAATTGACTTTTATTCACTATTCATTAATCAGGGCAGCCTCCATTCTGCAAAATAGAAGGAGAGCTTTTACCGAGAAATGGTGGAACAGTGGGTAAGGTAGAAACAAAGAAAACAGAACAAGAGGGAAGAAAAAGTGGATTGGCTATTGTCATGTCACTTCAGGTTGCTTTTTCATAAAGTTAAAGCAAAGCAGACTTCCTTATTACACGGACTCAGGCAGACTGAATCTCCTGTTTTCAGGAAAACTGGTCTGTTTGGAGATCTACCTGCTTCCTTGAAGTTTCAAGTTTGATCATGTGGCACATAGGATGAGTGACTCCACTTTGGTTTGCTCAGGTCTGCTGGAGCCTAGTGCAGGAGCTCAGTCCAAAACAATGACTGCTCATAATTTCTGTTTAACACAACTAAATACAACATGTGGATTCCTTTGCTATACAGGACATTAGTAAGGGAACTTCTGAAATATGAATAATGTCTATAGGTCATAGTATTGTATTGTTATTTTTCTGATTTGGGTAATTGTACTGTGGCTGTGGAAGAGAAATGTTCTTGGTTTTAGGACATATGTACTGTAATCAGTTCAGTTAGTTTTCTACAAATTAAACTATAAGCTAATTCCAATCAAACAGCAATCCCAATCAAAATCCCAGGAGGGTTTTTTGGTGTGGAAATTGTTAACCTGATCCTAAAATGCATATGGAACTGATAAGGACGTGGAATAATCAAAACACCTGTGAAAAACAATACCACCAACAAAGTTTGAAGACTAACAGTATCTGATTTCAAGAATTATTATAAAGCTATAATAATCAAAACAACAGGGTACTGGCATCAAGATAGATGAACAGATCAATGGCACAGACTAGAGAGTCTAGAAATAAACCCATGCATATATGGGCAATTGATATTTGATAAAGGCACAAGGGCAATGCAGTAGAGAGCAGATAGTGATCTACCAAAAAAGAGCTGGAACCATTGGATTATATATATGCAGAAAAATGGATTTAGACACTGTACCACACACAAAAATTAACCCTAAATAGATCATAGATCTATATGGAAAACCTAAAACTATTAACACTGGTAGGAGAAAATATAGAAGAAAATTTTTGTGACCTTGGATTAAGCAAAGAACTTTTTTTTTTGAGACGGAGTTTTTTGATCTTGTCACCCAGGTGCTGGAGTGCAATGGCACGATCTCAGCTCACTGCAACCTCCACCTCCCGGGTTCAAGCAATTCTCCTGCCTCAGCCTCCCAAGTAGCTGAGACTACAGGCACCCGCCACCATGCCTAGCTAATTTTTATATTTTTAGTAGAGGCAGGGTGTCCCCATGTTGGCCAGGCTGGTGTTGAACTCCTGACCTCAGGTGATTCACCTGCCTCGGCCTCTCAAAGTGCTGGGATTACAGGCATGAGCCAGCACACCCAGCCAGATTAAGCAAAGATTTTAAAGATACGACACCCAACACAATCTATTAAAAAAATGGATACAATTAACTTCATCAAAATTAAAACTTCTGCTCTTCAAAAGACATTGTTAAGAGATTGAAAGGATAATCCATAGACTGAAAGAAAAATCTATACAAAGCTCATCGCTGATAAATGACTTTATATCTAGAATACACAAGAACTCTCAAAACTCAGCAATAGGAAAACAAGCAATCCAATAAAAACCAGGCAAAAGATTTAAACAGATACTTCAACAAGGAATAGAGATGGCAACTAAGCACATGAAAAGATGCTCACGGTCATTAGTCACTGAGGAAATGCAAATTAAAGCCACATCGAGACACCACTACACACTTATTAAAACTGCAAAAATTGGGACTCAGCAACATTCTCTTGGCTCCTGGTGGTCAGTGGGGGAAGTATGTGGGCAAGTCGGCACTCATCATCCAGTTAATCCAGTCCTTTTTTCTAATGGGTTATGACCCAATCACTTAAGATTCCTATGCAAAGCAGTGTGTGACAGATAACACAGCAGGCTGGCTAGATATTTTAGATAAAGCAGAACAAGAAGAGTTTGGTTGGAGCCATGAGACAACAGAATATCAAAACTGGTGAGGGCTTCCTGTTGGTCTTTTGAGTCACAGGTCAAGGCAGTTTTGGAAAAAATCTATACATTTCAAAGACAGATTCTCAGAGTAAAGGATTATGATGAGTTTCCAATGATTTTATTTGGCAATAAAGCAGATCTGGATCATTAAAGACAAGAAACACAGGAAGGACACAGTTAGTACGGCAACTTAAGGCAGCATACCCAGAAGGCATTAGCAAAGATTAGAATGAATGTAGATTAAGCTTTCCATTAACTTGTCCAAGTTATAAGGAAATTTCAAGAGCAGTAACTTCCTTCTTCACCAGAATCGACACGGAAAGAAAAAGACAAGAAAGGCTGCTACTGTGTCATTTTCTAGAATCCTTTGAGTTTTAGCTATCAGCCTCCAGGAAAAGCCCTCATCTTCTTTTTCTCTCCTTATAGTTTACATCTCATTAGTACCTTTCTAGCCTTAGACAAATGATCATCACGTTAGCCTTAGACCTAGAAGCTGGTAAGTCCTTCCCATGAAGCTAATATAACAGTCATTTCCAGACAAATTTAAAGGAAATGCCAAGGCTGCTTCAAAATTTCTGATTTCATTAAAATATATATGCCAGGCGTGGTAGCTTTTTAGTAGAGTCAGGGTTTCACCGTGTTAGCCAGGATGGTCTTGATCTCCTGATCTCGTGATCCACCCACCTCGGCCTCCCAAAGTGCTGGGATTACAGGTGTGAGCCATTGTGCCCAGCCAATAAGTATTTTTATATGTTTATGAGCAAATATACTTCACAACATACCTTGTAAATATGTAAAGATAAGTATTTAATTCTCATTGTTCACTTTTAACTGACAAAACATAAAAAGTGGAAACTATAGAAGCTGTGGTAGAACTTTTACTTGCTGGTCTGGTTTTGGTTGTACCCACCTTTGGCCAGTCACATATCTGCTCAAGAAACCTTCCCAATAGAGTACAACAGGATGAGACTCTGAAATCATTTTCAGTATTCCCTACTAGATATTGACTGTTATATCTCAAGTATGAAGTGTAAAACTTTAGTTGACAATTAGTATAATTGTGGATGGCTTCTGACTTTGTTTTTTAATTCTGTGGATTGTGTTTAAACAATTCAAAAGCATGTTCCTGATTTTTAGATACTAAAGTACAAAGTTGTCACTTTATTGAATGTGTACAAAAATCCCATGAAGTTTATAGAGCATACCCTTATATAGCTTCAAGTGCTAGAATTAAAATTGATCAGTATCACAAGAAAAAAATTGCAAAAATTAAAAAGACTACATCAAGTGATGGTAAGGACATGGAGCAATTAGAGCTCTCATGCCCTGCCAGTGAGAATGTAAAATGATATAATACTTTGGAAGAAACTTTGGTGGTTTCTGGAAAAGTTAAACCTGCAACTGTCATATAATCAAGGCATTACATTCTTGGTTTACCTATGAATAAAGAAAGTATATGTTCATACAAATATCTGTAGGTGAAAGTTCACAGTGGTATTATTCATAATAGCTATGAGCCAAATATTCATCAATAGATGGCTGGACAATTTGCAATATATCCATGCAAGAGGATGCTGCTTAGAAACAAAAAGCAATGAACTATTGATATATATGAGAAACCGTCTCAAAATAATTACACTGAGTGAAAGAAGCCAGACAAAAAGAGAGTATATATGATGTGATTCCATTTATACAAAACTCTAGAAAATGCAAACTAATCTGTGGTGACAGATCAGATCAGATCAGATCAGGCACAGTGTGGCTCACACCTGTAATCCCAGCATTTTAAGAGGTCAAGGTGGGAGGATCCCTTGAGCCAAGGGGTTCAAGACCAACCTAGACAACATAGAGAGACCCCGTCTGTATTTAAAAAAAAAAAAAAAGGAGATCAGTGGTTGCTTGGGAAGGGGGGTTGGGGGCCAGAGAAGGAGGGCTTACTGTTTGATTTTATTACTAAATGAAACATTTTGCTACTTTAAAATATATTCCAAGTACTAATAGCTTAAACTCACTTTCCTGGTGATGGGAAGAAAAATGCATTCTGGGATTTTGATTTAGAGATCTTAAAACATCATTAATAAAACATCTCTCGTCACCACTGGAAGTAACTATTGTATCAACTCCTTACTTGAAACTTGATAATTAAATGGAAAGAAGAGTATTTATCCTTTATTTCCTGTAAGAATTGAATTGTAGGGTAGTCAAATGGTGCTACATGATGAGACAAAATTTTTAACTGCAGAAATTCTAGCTAATAAATGAAGAATAAATGATAGAATAAGAAAATTACCCTTTGGGAGGCCGAGGCAGGCAGATCACAAGGTCAGGAGACCGAGACCATCCTGGCTAACACGGTGAAACCCCGTCTCTACTAAAAATACAAAAAATCAGCCGGGCGTGGTGGTGGGCGCCTGTAGTCCCAGATACTCAGGAGGCTGAGGCAGGAGAATGGCATGAACCCGGGAGGCGGAGCTTGCAGTGAGCCGAGATCGCGCCACTGCACTCCAGCCTGGGCGACAGAGTGAGACTCCGTCTCAAAAAAAAAAAAAAAAGAAAAAGAAAATTACCATTTTGCAGTTTCAAATAAAACAGGTAATTCGGGCAAGCATCATGACTTAAATCACTAGATGAAAGATTGCAGCATGCCAGTCATCACCTCGGATTACTTCCTTCCTAGACCCACTGACCAATTGTAGACACAAATAATGAGACAAGCAGACACTCTGTGCATCCTGATGTGATGTAACATGAAGTGCACAGCAACACCTGGGAAGAAGTCTTGCCCAGAAGGTTTCATCTAAATCTAATCAAGCATTTAGCTCTAACTTCCATCTTTTAAAAGAAATACAAGGGATAGAGGAACAAGTTAACCCTGCAAAGAAGCAGACAAACTCACAAAGTGAGACATCCTGCAGGACCCATGTCAAATGGTTTCATCAAGGTTTCACTGACAAGAAAACAAAGGGGAGACACTGTTCTACCTGAAAGACATAAAAACCAAATATAATGCATGGGTCTTATTTGGATTTGGGCTCAAAGAAATTGCTAGTAAAAGTGTATTTTGTCTGGGTGCAGTGGCTAGCGCCTGTAATCCCGTTACTTTGGGAGGCTGAGGCAGGAGGATCACTTGAGCCTGGGAGTTTGAGACCAGCCAGGGCAACATAAGGAGGCCCCATTTCTACCAAAAAGAAAAAAGAACAAGAAAAAAGGTGTAGTTTTGGTACAATTTAGGATATCTGAACTTGTTTTACATGATTTTAAGTAATTTTTGTTAACTATGCTAGGTATGACAAGAGTACTATGGTTACACACAAAATACTTATTTTTAAAATATGCAAACTAAAGTATTTAGTATTAAAATATCTTAATGTGTGAATTCACTAGACACGAAGGAAACAACAGACACTGTGGCCTACATGAGGGTGGAGGGTGGAGGATGAGGAGGAAAAGCTACCTACTGGGTACTATGCCAATTATTGTGGTGATGAAATAATCTGTACAATCCCCATGATGATCAATTTACCTACATAACAAACCTGCACATGTACTCCTGAACCTAAAACTTAAAAAAAAATTATACAAAAAAAGTGATTTGTTTTAAAATATTTTTGCAAAATAATGGATAAAACATATATGGCAAATTATTAAATAATTATAAACCTAGGTCATGGGTATATGGGAATTCATACTCTTCTCTCTAGTTTCTGTATGTTTGAAATTTCCCACAATATAATTTCCAAGATATATAATACAAAATATGCTCCTGCTAACACTAATGTCAAATGTGTGAAACAAAAACATTGAGGTGAATTGGATCTAGAACCACTGTAGTTTGATTCAAATTAGACACAGGTCATTGAGCATCTGCCATGTCCTCGTCACTAATCCACTCACATGCGGTCACATGTGTCTCGACTTTCCACTACTGGGCCATGTGATCTTGAGTAACTCACTTTATCTCCTAGTTCCTTCATTGGTAAAATGAGGGTAACGGGTAGTCCTCCCTCACCAGGTTGCTGTGAGGATTACATGAGTTAATACTCTAGGGATCTGGTGGGTGCATAATTCCTATTCTGGGTGATAGACCAGAAACAGCCATTCAACAAGTATTTGTGTATATCTCAAGTATTTGTGTATATCTCAAGTATTCGTGTATATCTTCCATGGGCCAGACATATACTGTGTGTTTCCTCACTAAGCTTGTAGACTAAGACAGCCATAGAGAACTTTCTGAAGTCACCACAGCCATACACAGATACAAGCAATGATAAGTGCCATGAAAGAAAAGAACAGTGGCTATCAGAGATGTGTTGAATGATCGGTTAGGAAGTCGGACTCCAAGTTCAGGCCATTTAAGAGAGCAGTTTAGTGGTTAAAGCAGACACTTTGGGCAGAATACTTGGGTTTGAAACCAGCTCTACCACGTCCTGCTAGCTGCATCGCCTTGAGCAATTTACTTCATCTCTTAGTTCCCTCATCTGTACCAGGAGTGTAGGAATAGTCCTTACCTCACAGGGATGTTGTGAAGATTGCTAGTTAATCGTGGATGTTGCTTAGAACAGCACCTGGCACATACCAAGCGCTAGATAAGGTCGTGTGTTGTTATCTCCATGGTGCTTTGATCCAGAGCAACCCTGCCTCACGGTGTAGTCTGTGAGGACTTAATGAGTTAACACTTTGAATTACATTTTTTTTTTTTTTTGGTAAATTCTACCTAGCAGCACAGGAGAGTCACTCGGAGAGTTCTTAAGAGGAAAAAGGAAAAAAAAAAAGGTGTACAGACTTCATTCTGAAACAAATGACTTAGAAATTCCAGGGATGAGCCGGGCGCGGTGGCTCACGCCTGTAATCCCAGCACTTTGGGAGGCTGAGACAGGCGGATCACCTGAGATTGGGAGTTCGAGACCACCCTGACCAACATGGAGAAACCCCGTCTCTACTAAAAAGACAAAATTAGCCAGATGTGGTGGCACATGCCTGTAACCCCAGCTACTCGGCAGGCTGAGGCAGAAGAATTACTTGAACCCGGGAGGCGGAGGTTGTGGTGAGCCGAGATGGCGCCACTGCACTCCAGCGTGGGCAACAAGAGTGAAACTCCGTCTCAAAGATAATAATAATAATAATAATAATAATAATAATAATAAACAAATTCCAGGATGGAGCCTGGGCATCTGCACTTTTTAGAAGCTTCTCCAGTGATTCTCATCTAGAGCCAGGGTTGAGAACCACTGATTCAGGCTTTCGAAATGTAAAAGCAGTTTTAAAAGTGTAAAACTCTCCAATGCAATGGGCTTATTACTATTATTACCACCCCAACGCTGTACAATCCATGATCTTACAGCATACACATGATCTTAGTCTTCAGAAGAGTTTATGTTTCAATAGAAGGGTCTCCCCCAAATTCCTCCCTCCTCCCACATCACCCCTATTTACTTCAAGAGCAGAACAAATATGAAGGAAAAAACAAAAAACAAAAAGAAAAACCACCCACGTTTTTGCCCCATCTAATGATTCGGCTCGTGTATGTTTCATGGGCTCAACTTGGGAACCAACTGGAACACACACGCTACTGAGTCAAACTATTTCCAGAGAGAAACCGCTCAACCAAATGCAATGAGTGGTGCAGCCTTCTTTACAGAAAGGTACTGCTATGCATCCAGGAAATCTCCAAAACGGGAAAGGGAACACTGCTCTTTGTCAGGAGGGTGGGGAGACAAAGAGGGAGAAGGAACAAGGTTTTAACTACTGAGGCATTACTTTGCCATCTATGAATCAACAGTTCGAGAAACGAGTTTGCCAACTTTTGAGGGGTTAAAGTGCTCATGCGTTCGATGGGGTCATGGTTACATTTTGGTAGATACAGTCGCCAAAAGTCATCGAGCTGTATCCGTATAACTGCGCCTTTTATTGTAGGCAAGGTGCACCTCAATTTAAAAAAGTAACGCAGGAGAAAATAAAATTAAACAGTCGTTAGCGATGAGGTTCTCGTGAGGAAACCAGAGTCCACGTTAGCTCCAAATGCCCTCTTTGACCTGCCTGCTCTGGCCGACAGGGGAACGAGGGTTGGAAGGTTCTATGCAGGTCCTGGAATCCGGACCGTCCCGAGGGAGGATATGGAGCCCAAGCCCCGCGGCCCGGGGGGCGGGGTCCTTACCGAGCAGCAGGTATTTCAGGACCCACTGCAGCACGGCCACCGTCTGCAGCCGCCGCGCCAGCTGGATGTTGAGCGGTGCAAACTCTACCTTCATGGCCTGGCCGGGCGAGGACGGCGCCAGCCACTGCAGCCTGCACCCACGCTGCTCTGCGGCGCCTGTGGGAAGTGCCCGGCCGGATCCGGGCCCCGCGCTGGGCACTGGCTGGGCGGAGAGGAAAAGGCAGAGGCTAGGCAGCGAGCGGGGACCCAACTGCGCCCTGGGTGGGAGGGCGCGCTGGGCTGAGGCTGGGGGCAGCCAATCACAAGCGCCGGGCGCCAGAGCTGGCCCAGCGCCCTGGCCCCGGAGCAGCTACAGCGGCCCGGGCGCATTGGCTGGCGCGCCGGGCGTTGGCGAGAGTGCGCCGCGTGGGACACGAGGGACGGGGAGAGGGGTCAACTGGCAGCCAGCCCGAGCCGGGCAGCGCGGGCTCCTGCCGCCTGGCTGAGGACCTGGGATCTCCACCAGGATCTGACCATTGTTCAGCTGATCGATCACCCAGCGCTTGCCTTCAGCATCCCACCCCTTCATTCGAACCCTCGGTGATTGGGGAAGGGTTAGTTTGAGGAATCGCACACCAGCTGGAGAGATGAGCGAGACTTGTTTCTTAGTTTATTGATCTGTGTCCCCCCGCAACCTCCAATTTCCCCGCGGATGGGGAAGGGGACCTGGCTTCCTCACTCTTGGGTCCTCAGTTCCCTACAGGAGCTCCGGGAATCTTTCACCCATTCATTCATTCAACCCACATTTATTGAGCACTTGCCACTTGCTGAGCACCATCCGGGCGCTTGGATAACCAAGCTGTCAAGCGCATCCGTGTGAAGAGACCACCAACAGGCATTGTGTGAGCAACAAGGCTGTTTATTCACTTAGGTGCAAGTCAGCTGAGTCCGAAAAAGAGTCAGCGAAGGGAGATGGGGAAGGGGTTGCTTTATAGGAGTTGTCTAGGTAATGGAAAATTACAGTAGAAGGTGGTTATCTATTGTTAGCAGAGGAAGGGGTCACAAGGTACAGGGTGGGGAGATCATAAGACTCATTGTCCAGAAGAAGAATGTCACAAAGTCGATTGATCGGCTAAGGTAGGGCAGGGACAAGTCACAATGGTAAAATGTTGTAATGTTGGTTAATCAGTTAAGGCAGGAACTGGCTGTTTTACTTCTTTGCGTTTTTTTTGGCTGCTCCAGGCTTCTTGGCTCCTGCAGGCCACCTGGATGTGTACATGCAGGTCACAGAGGTTATAATGGCTGAGCTTTGGCTCAGAGGCCTGACACAAGCTATTCATTGTCTTGTTCTCAGAGTACAGGGGGAAACAGACATAAGCAAAACAACTACACAATTTGGTGTATAATTACAAGTAAGACCCTACTGTGAATGACTAGAAGATTCCAAAACCAAGACTGCTGCACGGTCAGGGAAGTGTCTGAAGAAGTGCCCTTACTTGAGCTGTAGCCAAATCTAGTTAACCCAGGAGTCATCCGGGCAAAGGGAAGCACATATGCAAAGGTCCTGTGGCTGAACTCCAAGAAGAGCTCAAAGAGTGAGAGCTTGGGGGACAAGGGTGAGATTGGGGTGACATCAGGCAAAAATGGTGGGCAAGGTCCAGACCCTTGCAGACTGAGTTAGGGTTCAAGTTTGAACCCCAAGAGCAGTACAAGACACTGAAGGGTTTCAATTACGATGTGCTAAATGGATGGCTAGATTCTAAATAGTGCCTAGTCCTTGGGAGCAACCACTGCACTTTATTTATAAATATTAATTACCACATAGTTGAAAAACTCAAAATGATGAGCAGCTGTCAAGTCATTGCTGAAGAGGACTTGGAACAGGGCAAAACAATATAGTTGGCCCTCCTTTCTCCCCCATCCTATGCCCTTTTCTCCTTCAACATTTTAATACAAAGGGAGTTGGATTAAAACAAATACCAGGGCCACTTGGAGGAGTTGTTTGTGATTTTTTGTATGCAAAACTTGTTTGGGTTTCTTTTTCCTCCTACTTAAGGAGTCACTTTCTTCTTTCCTTTTAGATTTCTTCCTTGAATCTTCCCCCAGTGCTAGGTGGGGACACTACGAACACACCCTATGTCAGGCACTCTGCAGAGACCTCACAGGCGTAATCTCAAAAACCCTACAAAGTACGCATTCACTTCAACTTTGCAGCTGAGGAAATTAGGGCTTAAAGTCACACAGCTGGTAAATGGCAGAATAGAGAAGATTCAAATTTCTATAAAACCTGGAGAGGCGAGTCATCCCTTCATCAACTGAACCAAACATAGAACAAACATTTATGGAGTGCCTGCATTGCCTTGGGCATTGTCCTTGGTACTGATGACACAAACGTGAATTAAGATGAGGTCTCTGTGCCTTTGAGAATTTACACACATTTACTTATTGACTATTTGTGGAAAGCTTTCTATGTATTAGGCACTGGGTAGGGAAAGGAGATGAGTTACAATGGTGAATAAGAAAAGTCTTTGTCCTGCTGCAGCTCACAGTCTAGTGGGAGAAACAGAAAATACCTACCTATGTAGACAACCAAATGTGTGACAGTGCCCTGAAGGAAACACATAGGCTGATACAGAATAATGGGCACCTATTTAGAACAGATTGGAGGTAGCAAGAGTGGAAGTAGGCATATCCCCTAAGAAGGCTATTGTAGGATGATTGTAGAGGATGTGGAAGCTTGGGAAAATATAGACTTGAGATATGCATGGGACATATAAATGGTAGGACTCTTTGATTCATTGGATTTCGAATCTGTCGGTAAAGAAGAGCAAAACACCGAGAACTCCTGATCCTGATCACTTGGAGTTTGCTTGCTTAGTAATGTATTTGTTACTTTCCCAGAACACTAAGCTGATAGATAAGAACTGTCATATCCTGTCACAGCCATCACAGCCAACTGAAACAAAGCATGGACTCACCAGCACTCAGTCAATGCAACAGTCCATCACCATTTTAATCAACAATTAAATTATTTGCTCATCCTTTTGACATTCAACATGTATTTATTTGTTTACATATTGTGTGCCAAGTTACTTGAGTTAAGTGATCACTGGATTTACATAGTGGGAAAGTTTTAATTCATCAAGCTATTCAAAACAATTCTAAATGAACCTAAGATTCCAGAGCCTAACTGCTATACTAGGCTGTTTCTCAAATAATATAAGGAAGAAAGGGAGTGTTGTCACAACAGAGGAACAAGTCATTGAAGGGTAAGTAGAAGAGTGCTGATGACTGAACCTGTCATTTGGGTTGAGGTGTAGTTATCCATTCAGTCAACAAATATTTTAGCAAATGATTAAAGAAAAATACATTTGGCAGAAGTGTCAGCTTTGTTCCTATGGGCCTGGAATTGGCTAAATATGAGTGAATAATACATATATATGTTTACAATAATTCAATGAAAATGTACCAAGCACCACAGCTGTGGCAAGTCCTGGGGAAGGAACCAACACAGTCCCTTTGAAGATCTGGGATTCCACTGATGGGTATGGTTCCTCTTTCTACTTCTCAACTCTGATGAAGAAATAAGGTCACAGGCCAGATTGTCTCAACAATTATGAAAGGCTACTCTTGGAATTGAGAAATAAGAAATCATTTCCTTGTTCTAATTATTTCTTCCTGTGCACTTTACTATAACTAACATCTACTAGTAGAAAGGTGACAATGTCTTTCTATAACATGACGTTTTACTGTAACTTAAGTAAAAATGTTCTCATTGTTAGGTTAAAAAGGAAATAGTATTCTGTTAGTATTCTGTCTAGACAGAGTCCTTACAGGGGATAGTTTAGGGCAAAGGTCATGGTTCTGATTTTCATAAGATGCATTAATCATAAAAGTAAGTATTCTCTCTCTCTCTCACGCGTGCGCGCACAGACACACACACACACACACACACACACACACACACACAAACACACAACACTGAGAGCGGCCAGCTCTGGTTAAAGTAAAATAGAAGGCCATCACTATGGTAGTTTCAATGGAATGTGCTTTAAGAAGTTCTATTTTCAAGGCTCTTTTGAACAAAGTTTAAGAAATTTGCTGTGGTCCCTCTACATTCTTATTGTCTTCTCAATTAACTATTTGATCAATCTGACAAGGCTCGGGTATGTTTGCTCTGGGGAAAGTTGCAGGAACCTTGCCTGAGAAGGTGAGGCTTTGTAGCCCCACGGTTACCATCCAAGGTTTCCTTTCCTCCATATTTTCTTATTGCTACAAGTACACACAAGGTCTCAGACCCCATGTACCATTCCTGCCTTCCTTCCTTTCACATTTTCCTTCGAAAACTCCATTCATAGAAGTTCAAGTGTTGTCTCTCCGTTAGTTAATTTATGTTAATATGTGACATTTTCTCTACAAAATATGTGCTTCTCTAATTGCTCCTTTTGTGTGTTTGTCTGTTTTTTGAGACAGTCTTGCTCTGCTGCCCAGGCTGGAGTGCAGTGGGGCGATCTTGGTTCACTGCAACCTCTGCCTCCCAGGTTCAAGCGATTCTCATGCCTCAGCCTCCCAGAGAAGCTGGGACTACAGGTGCGCACCACCATGCCCGGCTAATTTTTTGTATTTTTAGTAGAGATGGGGTTTCACCATGTTGTTGCCCAGTCTGGTCTGAAACTCCTGAGCTCAGGCAATCCACCTGCCTCAGCCTCCCAAAGTGCTAAGATTACATGCGTAAACCACTGTGCCCAGCCCCTAATTGCTCTTTTAAATTGTTGTAACACTATGACTGATTACTGTTAGAAATTATGAGGATAATGACTAGTATTTATTAAATATCCTTTCTCTTCCCATGACCCTCACCCACACCTTCATTTGCATTTGCCCTGGGACAGTAATTGGAGGTCCAGCAACACACTCAAGGTAGGAACAAGAAGAAAGGGATTCGGAAGGTTTACTGCAACTGTCCTGAACCCAAGGCAATCTTATAAAAGAGGCAGTCAGCAACTCCAACAACAGTGCCCTTGGGGACACGACAAAGCAGTTTCCATTACTTAGCTCCAGTTTCCAAGAAGATCCAGGCTATGGTCTGAATGTTTGTTTTTTCCCCAAGTCCCCCAAAATTTACATTAGGTGAAATCCTAACCACCAAGGTAATGGTATTAAGAGGTGTGGCCTTTGGGGAGTGATTATATCATGACAGCTCCTCCCTCATGAATGGACTTAGTGCCCTTATAAAAGATGTTGAAGGGAGCTCTTTTGCTCCTTCTGCCATAGGAGGACCCAGCAACAAGTCAGCTGTTGCAACTCAAAAGAGGGCCCTCACCAGAACCTGACCATGCCAGCACCCTGATCTTGAACTTCCCAGCCTCTAGAACTGTGAGAAATAAATTGTGGTTGTTTATAAGCCACCCAGTATATGATATGTTGCTATAGTAGCCTGAATGGACAAAGACAGTCCAATCCAGTGGATGTTTTGTTTTGCTTCAACACATGCCATCTTCCCAGTCCTGACTGCTATCATTTCTCCTCTGCATTATTGCAACCTCCTAACTGATCTTCTTGCTGTGAGTTTTACCCTCCAAACCACTACTCCTTATCCCCTTTCCACAACGTGCCCAGTGTGATCTTTTCCATTACTTTTCAAACATCGTTTAAAATCTTTGAATTTCTTCACAATTGCTGTCAAGATAAAGTCCAAATTCTTTAATATGGTTTTGGACTCTGCATTATAGGTCATCTACATCTCACTTCTTGAGTCTCAGCTATAACTTTCCAATACTCGCAAGCTAAGCTTTAATAATTCTGAACTTAATTTGTTGTTGAACAGTCAAGTTTCAGGAGGAAGAGACACATGGGTCTCAAGAACAACCAGTCAGTTTGATGTGTCTAGGCCCTCTCTCTCTCTGTCTTCTCTCTTGCTGTGAGAGTCATTTTACCTTGCTGGAGATTAATTTTCTCCATGGGGTGGGAAACATGGCCACTAATGGCCCTACACTTGTACATTACAGCTTCCGCCTTTAAATCAAATGGACTTAAGTTCCCTATGGTCCCAAGTCCAAAATCCAGCTGGCATCAGGCGTCAACTTCTGTATCAATTCATTCAAATGAGATACAGGGTCCCATTGCTGTAACATGGTGGCTGTCAAATTTGCCCTTGTAGCAGAGAAAGAAAATTCTGGGCAGATGATGCCAAGCTTCTGCAATCAAAACCAATCAGAAGGGAGAAATGAGTGAGGAGGAGTTAAGTTGACTTCAGTATTTCCAATTTGGATAACTCAGTGGATGGTGGTGACATTGAAAAGGAAAGGCAGACATGGGAAAAAATGAATCTTGGGGAAACTTCAGTTTTTGACATGTTGAGTATGAGATGCCAGCATGTTGGACAGCCAGGTGCAGATGTTCAGAAGCTGGTAAGAAATATGTACAGAAGAGGCCAGGCACGGTGGCTCACGCCTGTAATCCCAGCACTTTGGGAGGCTGAGGCAGGCGGATCACGAGGTCAGGAGATCGAGACCATCCTGGCTAACACGGTGAAACTCTGTCTCTACTAAAAATACAAAAAAAAATTAGCTGGGCGTGGTGGCAGGCACCTGTAGTCCCAGCTACTTGGGAGGCTGAGGTAGGAGAGTGGCGTGAACCCGGGAGGTGGAGGTTGCAGTGAGCCAAGATAGCGCCACTGCACTCCAGCCCAGGAGACAGAGTGATACTCCATCCCCAAAAAAAAAAAAAAAAAAAAAAAAGAAATATGTACAAAAGAGAGATAAAGGCTGAAGATAGGAAGGGAGCCGTCTGTGTTTAGGTGGTAGTGGAGGCTGCAGACCTCACTCCAGGAGAAGATTTCTAAGCACGTAACTCTGGATAGCACCCCACATAGAAGGAAGGGAAAGTGCAGTGTAGGAGGTAGAGGAGGCCGCAACAGAGTTAATATTTATTCAGTGTTCATGATAGGCCAAACCCTACACGAACTATTTCTCTTAAAATTCTCACAACCATCACATGGTATACCTACAAGGTAGGTATTGTTGTTATCTTCACATTACAGATGAGGAACTGAGGCTCATCAGTATTGTGTCATTGGTCCAAGGTCTCAGTGAACAGTAGATCCAGGATTTAAATCTGTGACTGATAGAACTCAATACTATGTTGTATTGCTTTTGCCTATCGCATAGTGACAGTAGAAAAATCCAAGGAGCTAATCAGGAGCCTGGAGTCAGGAAAACTAAGGAAGGAGAATATCAGGAACGAGGGAATTGTCAATACTATAAAATGTGTAATGAGTTTATTTGAAAAATCCAATTTAGGCCGGGTGCGGTGGCTCACGCCTGTAATCCCAGGACTTTGGGAGGCCGAGGTGGGTGGATCACGAGGCCAGGAGATCGACACCATCCTGGCTAACATGGTGAAACCCTGTCTCTACTAAAAATACAAAAAACATTACTTGGGCATGGTGGCGAGCGCCTATAGTTCCAGCTACTCAGGAGGCTGAGGCAGGAGAATGGCTTGAACCTGGGAGGCGGAGCTTGCAGTGAGCCGAGATCGCACCACTGCACTCCAGCCTGGGCAACAAAGCGAGACTCCATCTCCAAAAAAAAAAAAAAAAAAAAAAAAAAATCCAATTTAAAATGACCATCGTTTTGACAAATTCCTTAGTGCTGATCAAACTGATTCTTGTGAGGTCTTTCAGACCTTCTTGATTCTAGATGGATCTAGCAATAGAAACCCAAAAAGATGTACGGACTTTGGTTATGTCCTAAAAGTTTCAGAGTAATCTACAGAGAGATTGGAGTGCACCCAGGAAATTTATAGGAAAGGCATATAAGATTATGGATAGAACAGAACCAGTTTTGGATATGCAGCAAGTAAAAGCAAGGCCAGTTACAGTAAACTGTATCATCCATTACCTGTATTGAAAGCCCTGCCTCACCCTCTGGGAGATAGCAGCTCAAGTTTTACTAAACTTCACACCAGAAAGAGGTCATAGTCTCAGATCACTTGGGTAATTTATACTGAAGGTAATATACTGGGTAATTACTTTCAGTATAAATATCTACTAATCAAATAGCACTTTGCAGGTTTCAAATTGTCTCCACATACTTTATCCTCACAACCATCAGATGGAATACTATCACCATTTTGTGAATGAAGAAACTGAGGCTGCAAGCGGAGCCTGTTTGCTTTTGGACAGGAAAGCACTACACAGTATCAGCATGCCCCTTTAAGCTATCAGTAGCTCTAGTGTAAAATGTCATCTGACCCCGTACTGCAATTTAGGACCTGTGTGAGAAGAACTTCAGACCTGACAGCATAGCTTTCACAGTTACTGGCCAACCCACAAGCATTACAGGAAAGTGACACAATCATTTCAGAAATTTTCTCTGAGCTTATTACATATTTTATAGGCAAAAACAATCCACGGGTGCAGGCTCTGATTCCAGGTGATAATGAGAGAGCTGGACAATCTACCAATGTCTGATTAGTCAGGGAAAAGGAGTGAGCATGATTGTGTTTTATGATAGCCTTGGTTTTATTTTCTCATAATAAAATAATACTTGCTAGTTACAATTCTGTAAAATATAAGATACAATTTTAAAAAATCTCACCAATCCAAGAATAGCGACTGCTAACATTTTGTTGTATATCATGGTAGCCATTTTATTTTGTTCACACTCATACATACGTGCATTTTTTTTTCTTTTTTTGAGAGGGAGCCTCACTCTTATTGCCCAGGCTGGAGTGCAATGGCGTGATCTCAGCTCACTGCAACCTCCACCTCCCAGGTTCACGTGATTCTCATGCCTCAGCCTCCTGAGGAGCTATGATTACAGGTGCCCACCACCATGCCTGGCTAATTTTTTAAATATTTTTAGTACAGATGGGTTTTCACCATGTTGGCCAGGTTGGTTTTGAACTCCTGACCTCAAGTGATCTGCCCACCTCAGCCTCCCAAAGTGCTAGGATTATAAGCATGAACCACTGTGCCCAGCTATATATGCATTTTTAAAACAAAATATTGGTCATTTAAAGTATATTGTTCAGCCCGGGCAACATAATGAGACCCTGTCTCTACAAAAAAGTTAAAAAATTTGCCAGGTGTGGTGGTGTGTGCCTGTGGTTCCAGCTATTTGGGAGGCTGAGGTGGCAGAATCACTGGAGCCCAGGAGATCAAGGCTGCGGTGAGCTATGATCATGCCACTGTGCTTCAGCTTGGGTGAAAAAGTACGACCCTGTCTCTAAAATGAAACAAAATTAAATAAATAAAAATAAAGTATATTGCTTAGTAACTGTACTTTCATATCATAAAGTTCACTTGTTATGAAGTTTGTACCATGTTAAAAAATGTAGATGGCTGAGCTGGGTGTGGTGGCTCACACCTGTAACCCCAGCACTTGGGGAGGCCGAGGTGGGCGGATCACGAGGTCAAGAGATGGAGACCATCCTGGCCAACATGGTGAAACCCTGTCTCTACTAAAAATACAAAAATTAGCCGGGCGTGGTGGCGTGTGCCTGTAGTCCCAGCTATTTGGGAGGCTGAGGCAGGAGAATTGCTTGAGCCTGGGAGGCGGAGGTTGCAGTGAGCCAAGATCACACCACTGCAATCCAGCCTGGATGACAGAGGGAGACTCCATCTAAAAAAAAAAAAAAAAAAAAGGTAGATAGCTAACATCATTTTTAATGTTTGCATAGTATTTTACTGCATAAAGGTATCCTACTCTATTTAATCGAGCTCATATTGTTGAATGTTTAGGTTGTTTCAACATTTTCTACATTGCAAAGACTTGTTTCATTATTTCCTTAGAATAATTATAGGAGTGGAATTTTAGGATCAAAGAGAAAAAATCTTTAATATGTTGATTTATATTGTCAAACTGCTACTTATATTCCCAACAGGAGTTAAAGTGCCAGCTTCCTAAATTTTTGCCAATACAGGGTCGGTATGATTTGTTTCTTTAATGCCTGCCGGTCTCCCTGGAGAAAATATCCATAACTTGTATTGTTGTTTTAATTTACATTCTCTTCTCTTCTTGTTTTTTTTGTTTGTATTTAATTGGTGCTCACTTCCTTTGCTCATTTTTTTAGTACTGAAGTATGTATTTGTAAAAAGAAAAGGTAATATAGCAAGTATTCCTAACATTAAAACTTCAAATATTTATTGATGGTCTGCCCTCTGCCAGGCACTGTTTGAGGTTCTTGGCATGTGTTAGTGAACAAAACACAAAAATCTCTGCCTTTACAGGCTCATGTTTTAGCAGAGAGAGACGTATATATCTAATAACCATAACTAATAGTATAGTCAGGGATAGGCTTTTCTGGGAAGACTTCAAAGAGCCAAGGGATCTAGCTCTATGGGAATCTATGGGCAAGAACATTCAAGCAGAAGGCCTAAGGTGAGCCACTGCCTGGCACACTTAAGAACTTACATGGAGCCTGTGGTTCTTGGATGGAAAGATTCCTAAATTAATCCATAAATTATGTTTGATTCCAAATACATGATAAAAGAATGTTTTCCAGAACTTGAAAAAATCTTAAAGTTCATCTAGAAAAATCAACATGAGATAAAAGTCATGGAAGTTTTGAAAAAGAAGGCATTGAAGGTACACTAACTTACTAACTTTTCCAACTATTAAAATGTATTATAGTACTATAGTAATTGAAAAAGCTTCGTACAGGCAATGGAACACACAGTTCAGGAATAAACCTAAATATATAGATATATATATGGAAATTTAATAAAGAATGTATTTCAAATCCATGAGTAAAAAGAAGCTTATTTAATAAATAATGTATTAACTGAATTGTTTAAAAACAAACATAAAGCTGGTTCATTCACTCACTCCAAAACCAAAACAAATTTCAGAAAGATCTGAGATTTAAATGCAAAAGAAAAATAAAAACCCATTCAAGTACTCTGAGAAACATACTTAAAAAAAAAAATCTTGGGATTAAGAAAGACCTTTTAAAACATAACCTAAACCCCATAATCTATAAAGGAAAAGAATAATAAATTAGACTAAAGTTTTTAAAAAGCCCTTTATCCAGGCCGGGTGCGGTGGCTCACACCTGTAATCCTAGCACTTTGGGAGGCCAAGACAGGTGATTCACCTGAGGTCAGGAGTTCGAGACCAGCCTGGCCAACCCCATCTCCACTAAAAATACAAAAATTAGCTGGGCGTGGTGGCAGGTGCCTGTAATCCCAGCTACTCAGGAGGCTGAGGCAGGAGAATCACTTGAACCCAGGAGGTAGAGGTTGCAGTGAGCCAAGATGGGCCATTGCACTCCAGCCTGGGCTACGAGTGAAACTCCATCTCAAAAGGAAAAAAAAAAAAGCCCTTTATGAAGAAAAAGAACACCTTAAAGCGAAATCAACTGTCAAGTATTCCTATTGTGTTTCTGCTCAGCCATCTGCCACCCAGCATTCGTCTCCCCACCCCTGAAATAGAGTGCCACACTCAACTGTTGTTTCCCACCTTCATCTTTTCTTTCTTAAAATACATCCACAAAGGTATACCAGATAAAATAGAACACTACCAATACTTTTGAAACCCTTTGGGTAGTGTGTTGGTTAATTTTATGTACCAACTTGACTGGGCTAATGGGTACCCAGGTAGCTGGTTAAACATTATGTCTGGGTGTGTGAGGGCATTCCTGGAAGAGATTAGCATTTGTTTTTATTTTTTTGAGATGGAGTCTTGCTCTGTTGCCCAGGCTGGAGTGCAGTGGTGCAACCTTGGCTCACTGCAACCTCCGCCTCCTGGGTTCAAGCAATTCCTCTACCTCAGCCTCCCAAGCTGGGACTACAGGCGTGCACCACCATGCCCAGCTAATTTTTGTATTTTTAGTAGAGACGGGGTTTTGCTATGTTAGCCAGGTTGGTCTCAAACTTCTGACCTCAAGTGATCTGCCTGCCTCAGTCTCCCAAAGTGCTAGGATTACAGGCGTGAGCCACCACACCCAGCCAAGATTAGCATTTGAATGGATAGACTGAGTAAAGCAAATGGCCCTCCCCAATGTGGGTAGGTATTATCCAATCCATGGTGGGCCTGAAGAGAATAAAAAGGGGGAGGAAGGCTGCATTCACTCTCTGTCTGAATACTTGAGCTGGGCCATAGATCTTTCCCTGCTCTCAGTTCTCCCTGCTTTCAGGCCTTGAGACAGCATCTGTACCACCACCTCTTCAGCTCTCAGGGCTTCAAACTACTTCACTCATTTTCATGGGTCTCCAGCTTGCAGATGGTAGATTGTGGGACTTCTCAGTTTCCATAATGATGTGAGACAATACTTTATAATAAATATCTGTCTACTTGTTTCCTATTTATTTATCTGGAGGACTCTGAGTAATACAGGTATTCCAACACTCCAGGCTGCAGCCCTGCCAACTCACTCAGAACTCACTGGTCTCATATTTTGTGTTTGTCATCCTCTGCTTTTACTACAGGCTTACCATTCTATTTATGTATGCCTAACAATATACTCTTTAGGTTAGCCTGGTTTTTAGTGTTTATATTAATGGCATCAAGGATACATATTCTTCTGTGATTTACATTTTTCCCTCAAAATTACAACGTAAGATTTATCCAAGTTGATACATGCAGGTGTAGTTCATTTGTTTACATAACTGTATGGTGTTTCACTGTATACATTTATCATAACTGTCTACCCATTCTAGTACTGACAAACATTGGGTTGTTCCTAGATTTCTGTTATAATGAACAATGTAACCATGAAAATTCTTATTTGAGTCTTCTGGTGCACATGGGTAAGAGTTTCTCTGGGGGAATATTCCTAGCAGTGCAATTGCTGGGTAGTAGGATATGGACATGCCCCATTTTTCTAGGTAAGGCCATATTTTCCAAAGAGGTTATATCAATTTATACTCCCAAATTCTTGCCAAGATCTGATTTTTTTCAGACTTTAAGACTTCTAGCAGTCTCCTAGGTATAAACATGTATGTCCTTATAATTTTTATTTGCATCTCCTTAATTTCTGCTGAGCTGAGAGTTTTTCCATGCCTTTTGTCCAGCTCGTCTTTCCTTCCTAGGAAATGCTGCCACCTCATTCCTGCTTTCAGTCTGGCCCCAAAGTTAGATGAAAGAAGCATGTACCTACATTTTGTGATATACGATCTCATCATTTTCCATGTACCTTTCCTTTCAGTTAGCTAATGCCATTTGTGATGAGCCCTAGTGGCCTAGTTTCCTCTTTTCCATTAGAATCTTCTAACAGTTTAGCTTCTCACAGAGAAGGGACAGAGTACCTGTAACATGTGCAATGATAAAAAGTAGGATAGGTCAGTTGGGGGATGTGAGAGATGGGAACAAAATGCCCCTTGGTGGTCTGAGACTAGCAGAAAACTAACTAGGAGGATTAAAAAAAATGACAGTTGCCCCATTTCCAGGACCTCTGACATGATAAGAACTATACTAGTTATTTATGAGTATTATTTCAAATTCTTACAATAATTCTTTTTTAGTTTTTAAGACAAGGTCTCACTTTGTCACCCAGGCTGGAGTGCTGTGGCGCGATCACAGCTCACCACAGCCTCAACCTCCCGGGCTCAAGTGATCCGCGTAGATGGGATCATAGGTGTGTTGCCGCCATGCCTGGCTAATTTTTCTTTTTGTTTAGAGATGGGGTCCAACTCTGTTGCCCACGCTGGTTTTGAAATCCTGGGCTCAAGTAATCCTCCCACCTCGGCCTCCCAAAGTGCTGGAATTACAGATATGGGACACAATAATTCTTTAAGGTGTATATTATTATCCCTATTTTATGGATGAGGAAACTGAGGTTCAGAGGCCACAGAACACTTTGGAGTGCCCAAAGCAGAGCAGGTCAGCAGGAAGTCCTTTGGTTATTTATTATTACTATTTTGTTGTTGTTGTTGTTATTGCTTTTAAGACAGAGTCTTGCTCTGTCACCCAGGCTGGAGTGCAGTGGCGTGATCTTGGCTCACTGCAACCTCTGCCTCCTGGGTTAAAGTGATTCTCAGTCCTCAGCCTCCCCAGTAGCTGGGATTACAAGTGCCCACCACCACACCCAGCTAATTTTTGTAATTTTAGTAGAGATGGGGTTTTATCATGTTGGCCAGGCTGGTTTCCAACTCTTGACCTCAAGTGATCTGCCCACTTCAGCCTCCCAAAGTGTTGGTATTACAAGTGTGAGCCATCATGCCTGGCACTAGTCCTTTGCTTATTAATTGAGCAGAAAGCACCAATTTTAGGTGGAAAGCTGTATTTTGCATTGGGGATGTTTGCCATTTATGGGGTGTTGCCAATCTGTTATGTTGGTCACTGGGAAGGGACTGCCTTCCCATGGAGGGGAGCTAATACTGTATAGTGAAAAACTGCTTGATTAATAGTTAGGGTGGCTTACATCTGGCTCAGCTTTTCTCCCCTCATGTGAAGGACTTTGGAAGAAGCCCTCACTCACTGTACAGTAGAAAGGATTAGGGCAAGGCTCCCCCTGGAACTGCCAGTTTGTGCCTTAGTTTCATTACCTGTAAAACAGGGATAATGGTACCTATCTTGATGTATTAGTTTCCCTTGGCTGCTGAAACAAATTACCACGAACTTGCTGACTTAAACCATAAATTTATGCTCTCACAGTTCTGGAGGCCAGAAACCCAAAATCAGTTTCACTGGGCCCAAATCAGCATGCATTATAGGGCTGCCCCATGGGCTGGGCGTGAATCTGTCCTTGTCTCTGTTTATTTCAGGGATACATGTGCAGGATGTGAAGGTTTGTTACATAGGTAAATGTATGCCATGGTGGTTTGCTGCCCAGATCATCCCATCACCTAAGTATTAAGCCCAGCATCTATTAGCTATTCTTGATGCTCCCCGCTCCTCCACCCCCTCACCCCCAGTGTGTGCTTGTCTCTTTGTTTCTGGTGGCTGCTGGCATCCTTGGGTTGTGGCTGCCATACTCCAATCTCTGCCACCGTGGCTAAATCGTCTCTCTCAACCTCCCTTTTATGATTTGATGAGGATACTGTGATTCCATTTAGTGTTCGTCTTTCGAATCCAGGATAATCTTCATCTCAAAATCCTTAACTTAACCTGCAAAGACGCTGTTTCCATATAAAGTTACATTTAGAGGTTGCAGGGATTAGGGTCTGATATTATTGGGGGCCGTTATTCAGCCTATTACACTCAGGGTTGTTTTAAGGAGGAAATTTAATGCTGGCAGAGGGCTGAGCACAGCCCACTGACAGCAGAGAGCACTGAGCAAATAGACAAAAAAAGAGGTCTCTTACAATGCCTCCCTTATAGGGCTGCCGTAAAGTTCAAACAAAGCACAGGTATATCACTTATACGAGTAGAGGAGAGATTAAAGAATGAAGTAAAAACTGAGGTCTGTTAACAGCCCCTCTCCCGCCGCCAGGATTTGCACACCTTTCTCTGCAGGAAGCCTTGAACCCTCTCCACTCGCATTTCCACCACCTCCAGGCAAGATCTCCCACGTGGAGGCCCCACCCCCTCCCTGACGCGCCCCACTCTCGCCCCGCCCACCTGGTGGGCGTCCCCGGCCGTTAGCGCCCTGGAAGCATCCGGGACTTCAGGGTCAGTACATTACAATGCCTGACAAATCCTAGCCAGTTCTATCAAATTATATCTTTCTTACAGGCTTTTAAGCTATTAGTCTCATAAAGATACATTTAATCAGCGAGGTAATGGCATGATGAGTGTTTTTAGGTTAAAAAGAGAACAGGAACTGTTGCCAGCAGAATGGCGATATTCAAGACAACACGCACAAGAAGAGGCGGGTCCTACGCGCTTCGCTAGGGAAGCCCGGGTCAGCTCGCTGCGCAGGCGCAGTGAGTTCGACACACCATGCCGACTGTCAGCGTGAAGCGTGATCTGCTCTTCCAAGCCCTGGGCCGCACCTACAGTGAGTGGCGGCCCTATACGTTGGGCCCTACGCCTCTTCTCGGAGGCAGGGCCTCCCTCCAAAAGGGCAATGTGGCGACATTCATGCCTTCCTGAAGGTTTTGGCTCCGGGAGGCCGGGGTTTACGCGGGAAGGCCGATGATGGTGGCGGTCCGGCTGGGCTGTGGTAGCCTCGGAACCGGCATCGCAGCGGTGCCACTGCTTGTGCCCGGCTTGCCGTGTCATTCATTCAGCGATCTGCCATCGAGTGCCTACAGCGTGCCTGGCACCGACATCCAAGCCAGGGGATAGAACAGGAAGGAAACCCGGGGTTGCATCCCGAGCGTAGCCAGTTAATTGCAATAGCAGCGCTGTGGGAACTCAGTTTATAAGGGGGTAGGAGGAGAGATTTGTGCAGCGGGGTGGAGAACGGCATTCCACCTGTCTTCGTTTTATTAATGTTTCCTGAGCGCCTGTTATGTGTCAGGCACTGTTCTAAGAGCTTAGGACTAGAGCTGTGCACACGACACGTCAGGTCCACGTTCTGTCTGATGGAGGCAGACAATTAACCAGCACGTTAATAAAATGATTTCGGATAATGTTAAATGCCATCAAGGAAAGAAAAGGTGTTGTGCCAAGAACAACTTTAGATAGGGTGGTAACATTTGATCTGAGACCTGAATGGGGAGTATTAAATGGGTGTAGACTTCATTCTACATTTCATCTTTTAATCAGTTCTAAAAACACAACCATTGAAAAAAAGGAGGGAGATATTAAATGCAGTTATCAGTTACCTCACAGCCGTAGCAGCTGCCCCACCCTATTTTTTTTTTTATTTTTATTTTTTGAGACGGAGTCTGCACTCCCAGGCTGGAGTGCAGTGGCGCGATCTCGGCTGACAGCAACCTCCGTCTCCCTGTTCAAGCAATTTTCTGCCTCAGCCTCCCGAGTAGCTGGGATTACAGGCGTCCGCCATCGCGCCCGAGTAATTTTTTTGTATTTTTAGAGAGACCAGGTTTCACCATCTTGGCCAGGCTGGTCTTAAACTCCTGACCTCGTGATCCACCTGCCGCGGCCTCCCAAAATGCTGGGATTACAGGCGTGAGCCACCGCGCCCGGCCCCCACCCCATAATTTTTAGCTTGTATAAAGGCTGGACCAACTGGTTCGTGAGAGCTGTTTTTTTTGTTTTTAGGGCTCAGTGTGTTAACAAAGGCCTAATTGGTTTAATGACAGCCACCGCTTCCCAGAATAAGATTACTGTTACAGTGAAAATAAAGCTGGCTTTTAAGAATCTTTCCTAAGTGTGTACTTTTAGATAGTACCTATTCTCTATGTGATATTCTTCGTAAGTTCTGCCATAAGTCCCTGAAAGTAAAGGAAATACAAGGGTATTGTATTACTCTTACCCTTTGTACTTGGCTCTAATCGCCTAATCGCTTTATTTTATAATGAGCTTATTTATATTTCTTACCTGCCCTTCTAAACCATATTCTCACTAATGGGATGTGGTACAGGTTAATAATTCCTTATCCAAAATGCTTGAGACCAGAAGCGTCTTGGATTTTGGATTTTGGGATATTTGCATATACATAATGAGATATTTTGGGGGTGGGACCAAGTCTAAACATGAAATTGATTTATATTTCACATATACCTTATATGCATAGCCTGAAGTTAATTTTATGGAATACTTTAAATAATTTTTTTTTGCATGAAACAAGGTTTTGACTGTGTTTTTGACAAGTCACATGGAGTCAGGTGTGGAATTTTCCACTTGTGACATCATGTCTGCACTTTAAGGTTTTGGGTTTTGGAGCATGTCAGATTTCAGATTTTTGGATTGGGAATGCTCAGTCTGTATACCTGAATTGCCTAAGATGGTAGGTGGCAAATATTTGTTCAAAACATCTATAATCAGTTCCCATCCCAGTCTCCATTTCTAGGGAGGTAAGAAATAATCCAGATTTTTAAAAATGGTGAGATTTATAACCTATTTACTATCATCTGATGTTTTAACATATTCTGTCTGCTTCCCTTTTTTTTTCATATTGTCAGTGATCAATTAAGATTGATTTTTTCACAAATATGTGTTTGTTAGCTACTGAATCTTTTAAGGTCCAGGTACATGGCTGATGCTTGTAATCACAGCACTTTGGGAGGACGAGGTGGGCAGATTGCTTGAGCTCAGGAGTTGGAGACCAGACTGGGCAACACAGCAAAACCCTGTCTCTACAAAAAGTAGCTGGGTGTGGTGGTGTATACGTGTAGTCCCAGCTACTTGGGAGGCTGTGGCCGGAGGATCGCTTAAACCAAGGCGGTCAAGGCTGTAGTGAGCGGTGATCAAGCCACTGCACTCCAGCCCTGGCCACAAAGTGAGACCCTGTCTCAGAAAAAAAAAAAAAAAATTCAGTCAGAAGGATTGATGTTATTTATTGAGATGTACTTTCAAGAGGTCAGAAATGATTCTCCTCATTAGTTTACCTTTATTGTGTTCTTGCTTGAAACTGTTAACTGGGTTGAGGTCAGAATTGAAAAAGCATGTTCAGCAAACATGTGGTTTCCAAGTAGTATGGATACATCTTGTTTCTTACCTTTTTTTTTTTTCCCCAGTCTTCCTCTTTTTTTCTTGTTTTCAGATAATGTCTCATTCACACTTTTAAAATCCACATTCTCTCTCTTTAGTCCCTCCAAGGGTTGCTTTCTATTTGAAATTCCATTGTTTCTACCAGTCCCCACCTTCCTTTTTACCACCTCTTTGCTTAGCAAGGATATTTCTCTTTCAAGCTGTTTGCCATTTTGGTTATTTTGCTCTTCTGACTCCTTTGGAGCAGTTTTGTCTCCTTAGTCTACCTTTTCAACGGACTTTCTGTGCAGATGGTTTCCTCTTGCCACTCCTTTTCTTGTTAACTGATTTATTATCACTGCTCTTCAATTATAGTCCTGTTCTGGCGTGGTGTAATAGCTGGCAGTAGTGGCAGAACCTTCTGTGTATATCATATACACCCCTAAGGTGTGGTTACTTGATGTGTCATTTCGTTAGAGGAAATTAGTAATCACGATTTTATTGTTGATTTTTCTTTGTATAGAAACCCATGAAATAACAGCTGAAAGGAATAAAACATATGATAATTAGGATTCAGCGTATTTTAATAGTTCTGTACCACTTAGTTATCTATTACTGCATACTAAATTATCCCAAAGTTTAGCATCTTAAAGCAGCTATCATTTGTTATATAGTTTCTGAGGGTCAGGAATTGGGGACTGGCTTAGCTGGGTGGTTTTTGCTCTGGATCTGTTACCAGATTGCAGTCAAGGTGTTTGCCAGATCCGTAGTCATCTCAAGGCCTAACTGGGTCTGGAGAAACTGCTTTCAGGTTCATTCAAGTGGTTGTTGGCAAACCTCAGTTCCTTGCTGATTTTTGGCCATAGGCTTTAGTTCCTCCCACCTTATCCTCTCCATAGGACTACTTAGCACATGTTAGCTTGTTTGCCCCAGATGGAGAGGTCCGAGAGAGTAGGTAAGTAAGAGAGTGCCGAGGATAGACGCCTGTTTTCAATAACAGCTCAGAAGTGATACACTAGCCCTTCTCATATTCTCTTGATCACAGACCAATCCTAGCACAATGTGGAAGGGAACAGTACAAGGGTGTGAATACCAGGAGGCCGGTATTATTGGAGCCCATCTTGGAGGCTGACTACCACCGTTTCCCCTCTAACCTCCACTGATTCAGTTCCTCCCATATGCAAAATATACTCACCCCCTCCCAAGGCCCTCAGAAGTGTCATCCCATTACAGCAGCAGCTCAGAATCTAGAATCTCATCATCTAAATCAGGACCAGATGTGGATGTGGCTCCTTGGGTGTAGTTCCTTCAGTATAGCTTCTTTAGTACACTGTTGGCCTGAGAGACTCGAGAGACCATTTATCTGCCCCACATATACCTAACATACAGTGGTGGGATGGGCATAGGATAACTCCTGTAGCCCTTCCACTTCAAAGGGGCGGAAATGGGAGACACAAAGGAGTCATTGGTCCATGGCAATTCTGGAATCAAGTGGCAAATGTTGGATGTTCTTGATTAGGTCTGAAGGCCTGGAATAATTCTCCATGGCTGTCTGCCCTGCCCTCTAGGCTCTTGGTTTCCACCCCTCTGAGTGATCCCTAGAAAGCATGTGCTTTACAGCTGGTTGGTTTTCTCAGTCTACTTACTGCTAATAGAATTTTGAGAGTTCAAAGACTTTATTTTATCCTATTTCTATCCCTTTCAATTCTAGCTGGCAATGCTTCTGCATATGTATTTCTTCTAAAAACTTGGAAGGTCTTTGGTGCATGTTACTGGCTTCCATTTTATTAGTCAAAAGCCACACCACCTACACATCTCTGAAATATATTGAGTTTCTGCTGATAACAGTGCTCTTAATTAAGCCCTATTGTGTGATTAATTGGATTTATGAGGTGCATTCTTTATAATTTTTAATAGCACCCTTTGTTGGAATGATTAGTGCCTTTGATCTTTCTGGGTCTTAAGATTTTATGGTCATATCCTTGATTTTATCTTTGGACCATGTTTTCCTGGCAGTGCCTTGGATTTGGTCTTTGCTCAGAAGTTATTTCTTAATTTTAGCATTGTTTCACATCTGGAGAAGATGAGAATTTTTTAAATCCCCAACATCCTGGCTCATTTTTGTTTAACAGCCTTTCCTTTAGCTTATCTCTTTTTTTCACATAAGCACAAGAAAAACCCAGGTGGCACTGTGAACACTGGTTGGAAATCTTAGTTACATCACCCCATTGATTTTTTACAGTCCACATTACTGCAAGGAATGGTGTTGCTAAGCCTTCCGCCTCTTCTTAACCAGGATTCCTCTTCTTCTGCTTTCTGATAACATTACCTCACTTTCCTCCATGTCCTCACCTGCATCCTTACCAAAGACTATGAGGCTTCTTTCTTGAGGTTTTCATTTACACGCCTCAAAGCCCACTGCTTGGTTCCAAAGCCATTCCCATGTTTTTCATTTTTGTTACAGCAGTACACCACTTCCAGGGACTAAAGTCTGTATTAGTAATCTATTGCTATGTAACAAATTATTCCAAAGTATTAGTAGTCTGTTGCTACGTAACAAATTACTCTGGTACTTAGGAGTGTAAAACAAGCCTTTATTATTTTACAAAATTTCTGAGAGACAGGAATCGGGGAGTAGCTTAGGAAGGTGGTTCTGGCTTTGGGTCTCACCATGTTGCAGTCTAGCTGTCAGCTGGGGTTGCTGTCATTTCAAGGCTTGGCTGGGCTGGAGAATCTGCTTCCAGACTCACTCAGGTGATTGCTGCAGACCTCAGTTCACACAGGAGCATGAATACAAGGAGGCAGGGATCATGGAACAGGCCGTCTTGGAGGCTGGGTACCTATTACTACCTGCCCTAGTTAATGATATCCCCACCCATTTTTTCCCCCAAACCAGAGATCGGGGAGTCATCTTAGACTCCTTCTACACACTCCCTATTCCTACCTCCCATCATTCGGCCATCGAGCCTTATACATTCCACCTCTTTAACGTTTTTCATATTAATCCCTTCTTCCTCATTCTTGCTGGTGCTGCTTTAAATGAAGTCTTCACTATCGCATCTGTACTATTGCAGTAGACTCCCTGCTCCAATCCATCCTCTACTCTGCGAGCAGTCTTTAGAATGCAGATCTAATCATGTTTTTGCCCAGCCGAAGAATCCCTTCAGTATAATTCTCCATTGCCTGCCTGTAAGAAAGAGGGCAAATTGTTAGTTGACCCCTTTCTCCTTGTTCCATCATATCTTCTGATATGAACTTTATGTTTCATCCATGTTGAACTACTTAAGAGTTTCCAAATTTGCCATGCTGTTTCACGCCCCACAATCTCTGCCTAACGAACTCATCCTTTCTGTGAAGGTTTAGCTGACCATAAGAGAAACTGATTACTTCTTTTGTGCCAGCCCTGTACCTTGTACTTAACACAGTCATATTTATTTACACATCTGGCTTCTTTACTAGATGAGGAAGTAGTTAAGGCAGGAATTGTGTTTTATTTATCTTTGTAACCCTGGTACCTAGTACAGTGCCTGGTATAAGGTGGGTACTCAGTACATAGATGTTAAATTGAAATTTAGTGTCTGAATCAGGAATCTTAAGACCAGTTTTCGCTAGAATATACTGCTAATGATGTTTTGTGTTCAATTTTTGGTAATGTGAGAACCCTGAAAAGCTAAACAGTAGGATATAATATTAAAATAAGGAAGAGAACTTATTTTATTAATTGCTAATAAACTATTAATTATTGTAGACTCACTGTGTCTCAGGGTACTATGCCAGGTCCATTTTATGCATTAGCATTTAAATCTTTCCAATAGTACCATGCCATAATGGCTGTGAAATACCATTTTATAGATGAGGCAGCTGTAATGTTGACACAAGATACCAAGAAAGTTTACATAAGGTGCCAAACTCTCAGATCTAATAAGTGGGATAGAATTCAAACTCTGATTGACTTGGCTTCAAAGCCAAAAGTGTCAGGCCACCTCAGACCATTTTACCTGATAGGACTTATGTGACATTCTGTTGTGTGAGATCTGTGATTTGGAGCCTACTTTATATCTGATCTCTACTTAACAGGTGAACAGGTGTTTTTCTTCTGTGTACATGCAAACTTCCCAGTGCAGGTAACCTAAACTACAGTTGATATTAGTGTAGATTAATCAAGCCTTTAATAGTTTTTTCTTTTTTTTATCTTAAATTTTTTTGGCCCAGCTTTTTTTTTTTTTTTTTTTTTTTTTAATTTTTTGAGACGGAGTCTCGCTCTTGTCAGCCAGGCTGGAGTGCAATGTCATGATCTCGGCTCACTGCAACCTCTGCCTCCCAGGTTCAAGCAATTCTCCTGCCTCAGCCTCCCAAGTAGCTGGGATTACAGGCATGCGCCACCATGCCTGGCTAATTTTGTATTTTTAGTAGAGACAGGGTTTCACCGTGTTGGCCAGGCTGGTTTCAAACTCCTGACCTCAGATGATCCACACACATTGGCCTCCCAAAGTGCTGGGATTACAGGCATGAGCCACCATGCCTGGCCTGTTTGTTTTTAAATGATAATATGTGATGCCTGATATTTAGTAGTATGATTGGTGTAAGGCAATTAGTAATAAGAAAATGCAGTTTGTATGTAGTTTTCACTTATACTGAACAGAGTGAAATTAACCATCTCCTTTTTTATTTTCCTAGCTGACGAAGAATTTGATGAACTATGTTTTGAATTTGGTCTGGAGCTTGATGAAATTGTATGTATTGGATATTTGTCTATTTTTCAAAGATTGTGTGCATAAGCTTATTTTTCAGGGTTATACTGTATTTCATCTTTGTTACCTTATAGTTAGACTAAGGTGATAATGTTTGTGGGCCATGATTTCTGTGTTCAGAGGGCTAAGCTCCATGTCTGTCTGTTGCCTTGACTAAAATCTCAAAAGGAGTTCATGCCTTATTCCATCTACAATCACCTTGTTACCAGGCTCATGCTGTGGAAATGGATAGAATGTGTTAGATAACCCCAGTATGAAAGTAAGCTCCCTCCTTTGGCAAATTAATCACAGAAAGGGACCAAGAAGCAGTAGAAATGTTGCTTCAACCAGAGTTACCCTGCCTCCTTCACTTCCAGCGCCTCCTCCTTCAGCTCCTCTGCCCCCATAACCTTCCTCCGTGCCTCTTCAACCAGTACTAATGCATTACTATATTCATTGGTCTTGTAAAATGAACTAATATTTTTTAAGGACTTGCTTATAAAAATGAGGAAGCATTTTCTTTGACTTTTGATTGTATAATGATTACAATATTTAAAAAAATCAAGTCGGCTATACATTTTAATATTGTTAATAATGATTATCTATTAAAGACATACTTTAATTTGGTGGGGTTGGGGGTCTGAGTCCTTCCTCGCGGGGGCTTGATGGGTCCTGAGCATCCTCTGGCCGGGGTTTCTGATCCATCTGCTCCAGCATAAGTTCACAAAGTACAGTCCGCAGGCCAGCAGCATCATCTGGGAACTTAGGAAAAAACCAGCCCTACTGAACCAGAAACTGGGGATGTGGCCCAAGCAACCTTTTACCAAGCCCTCCAGGTGATTATAATGCAAGGAGAGACGAGGTTTTACCATGTTGGCCAGGCTGGTTCTCGAACTGCTGACCTCAAGTGATCCACTGCTTTGGCCTCCCAAAGTGCTGAGATTACAGGTGTGAGCCACCATGCCTGGCCCAATGTGCTTTATATAGTTTCACTCTGTTGCCCAGGCTGGAGTGCGACAGCGCGATCTTGGCTCACCACAACCTCCTCCTCTTGGGTTCAGGCGATTCTCCTGCCTCAGCCTCCTGAGTAGCTGGGATTACAGGAAGGAGTCCTTATCTTGGACCTGAGGCTGCTTTCTTGAAGAAAACTTGACTTTATTTCATTTAGTGGGAAGAGCAGCAGCCCAGCTAATAAGTTCTAATATGCAATAGGCTGCAGGCTGTGAAGTCTGAAGCTAAGGAGCTGAGGGCTTAACAAGTTTCTAGAAGCTGCCATCAACATGCCAAGTCAGTAAAACTGAAAGCTGGTCAGATTTCAAGGTCTGGGGAGGAATCCACTGCATAGTGGGTCTTGAGCTCTAGAGAGCTAGGCCTTGCTAAAATAAAAGAATTACCTTACCTACCATCTTTGTTCCAGGCTCCGTAGAATTTGTGACAGCCCTGGCTGACCTCCGAGCAGAGGCTAGCTGTCCCATCTGTCTGGACTACTTGAAAGACCCAGTGACCATCAGCTGTGGGCATAACTTCTGTCTCTCCTGCATCATTATGTCCTGGAAGGATCTAGATGATAGTTTCCCCTGCCCCTTTTGCCACTTGTGCTGTCCAGAAAGGAAATTTATAAGCAATCCCCAGCTGGGTAGTTTGACTGAAATTGCTAAGCAACTCCAGCTAAGAAGCAAGAGGAAGAGGCAGGAAGAGAAGCATGTGTGTAAGAAGCATAATCAGGTTTTGACTTTCTTCTCTCAGAAAGACCTAGAGCTTTTATGTCCAAGGTGCAGTTTGTCCACTGATCACCAGCATCGCTGTGTTTGGCCCATAAAGAAGGCTGCCTCCTATCAGGAAAAAACTGGAGCAATACAATGCACCGTGGAAGGAGAGAGTGGAACTAATTGAAAAAGTCATAACTATACAAACCAGAAAATCACTGGAACTGAAGAAAAAGGTAAAACATACGGCAGAAGAAGTCAAGTCTGAATTTGAGCAACTTAGGTTATTTCTGCAAAATGAGCAAGAGACTGTTTTTGGGCAATTACAAGATGACGAGATGGATATTTTAGCACAACTAAATGAAAGCCTAACAAAATTTTCAGATTATACCTCCTCATTAAAATATCTACTAAAGAAGATAGAGAGCATATATGTGAAGTCAGAACTGGAATTACTGGCTGATGTTAAGGATATCTATCACAGACATAAGAATTTAAAATTCCCTAAACCTTTTTTATTCAAATTAAAAGAATATGGTTACCATCTGTCTCCACAATATTGTGGCCAAAACAAAATTATCAAGCGATTTCAAGTAGATGTAATTCTAGATCCTGAAGCAGCACATCGTAAACTTATAGTCTCAGAAGATAGAAAAACTGTGCGATATGGAAATACAACACAAAACTTACCTCATAACCCAAGAAGATTTTATCTGCTCCCAGCTGTTCTGGGTTCTAAGGGATAAAATTGTGGCAGGCAGTACCGGGAAGTAGAAGTTAAAGACATGCCTGAATGGATTCTTGGTGTCTGTAGTGACTCTCCTCCCACAAGGAGGAAGAGTCAACCAATTTTAGTACAGGATGGATTATGGAGAATTTGGTAATCTAGTCGGAATAATTATATTGTATTGGGCCATAAGGAAATTATTCTGCTGCCAAAAGTAACACCTAGTAAGATTGGCATTTTTTTAGACTGTGAAATGAATGAGGTTTCCTTTTATAATTTGAATGATAGATCTCTTCTCTGTACTTTTAATGATGATTTTACAGGAGAACTTTGGCCTTATTTTTATACTGGAACTGACTCAAAACCTCTTAAAATTTCTACAGTAACAGATTCTGTATTTTCTTTCACCTAGTAGACATAACTGAGCCAGTTAATCTAGTTTTGGCCATTCTGTATTTTGTCCAGTTTTTCTCATAAAAAAACAATATTTTTTATCTCAATTTCAGCAACTTCCAAAAAATGTGATTATGGGACCTACTTTATAATAAATTATGGGGTCAATGACAAAGTACTTTAGAAATTCTATGGTAAAATACTTGAAAAATATATTACTGAAGGAACGTATTATGTAAGAAAATCTATTACTTTTGTAATTGCCAATAAAAGCCCAATTTTTTTCTCAAAAAAAAAAAAAGACATACTTTAATTTAAAAGATAATTTTCTGATAGTTAGTATTATTTTTTTCCTAAGCCTTCTATCTTCACCTATTCAGTGCTTTTATAACACTACCTTAGGTGTAAAGTTAAAAAATGTTCAGGCTAAAAAATTGTACATTATCTTACCTTATTTTTCCTGCTGCCTTACTAATGTTACAGAAAGATCATCTTTGTACTAATCTATTTGTATACTTGAGAAATTGGCTGAGATTTCTGTAGTTTATAAGTTGCTATTCGTAATTTTACTACACCTCAGAATTATGTTTGAAATTATGTGATATCTAAGAGTGTTGGACTGGATGTTAGATTATTTGAGTTCTAGTTCTAACATTTACTAGCTGTGTAACTATGGACAATTACTTTGCCTGTCTGAACTCTATAGTCCAGACGAGTCTCTCTGGGCCTCCTTTTCATTTGTGAAATAAGGGGTTTGGATTATATGATCTTTATGGTTTTCTTTTTTGACTCTGAAATTTATGTGATTTTAAATTTCTGTAAGATTATTGTCAGGTAGCACTGACAAATTCAGTCTTTACATATGGTCATTGTATGAGCTGAGATGCTGAAACTGAAAGAAGATGTAAGCTTCTGTGTCTTTTTTTTTTTTTGCAAAGGAATTAGATCTTTTTTTACAGTAGTTCCTCCTTATCCACAGTTTTTTGCCTCCACAGTTTTGGTTACCTGCAGCAAACTGTGGTTTGAAAATAGGTGAGTATAGTACAATAAGAAATTCTGAGACAGAAAGAGACTACATTCACATTACTCTTATTATAGTATATTATTTTAATTGTTCTATTTTATTATTAGTTGTTAATCTCTTACTGTGCCTAATTTATAAATTAAACTTTTTCATAGGTATGTATGTATAGGAAGAAACATGGTATATGTAACATTTAGTCCTATCCAATGTTTCAGGCATCCACTGGGGAGCTTGAAACATATCCCCTGTGGATAAGGGGGTGCTGCTGAAAAATGAATGCAGATGCCTTCATTTCTCCGGTTATTATATTATCTTCTCTGTATATAGGTCCCTCCTGAGATCTGCCATCTCCTGGGAGGTGACTCAGCTTTCTTCACTATTGAAACAGTAATTTTATTAACCCCTTTGATTGAACATTGTTTAAACTCGAATTCTTCCTCTTCTCTTTTTGCCTCTCCCCATTCCCCTTCTTTTCTTTTCCCCCTTTTTACTCCTTCCTCCTCCTCTTCATTCTCTTGTTTTTCATTTTTCATTTTCCCTAATTATAAAAATTTGCCTCCTAAGTTTGAGATGCCCAAGGTAGAGGTTTTTTGGAGCCCAGCACCACCTTGTACAGCCCCAGCATTGCATAGACTCCTGTGGTTCCTCAGGTGGGACTTTGGCACATAATACTCGTGGCCAGAAGTGAATTTCTCTGCATATTGTGCAAATGTGGATATAATTCTTAATTTGGACAAAAATTTGAACTACTTATATTGTGGCAGTGGGAGGGCATCATGTAAAACAAAAATCATTACATATTTTGATAGAAATCCATCAGTTATTTTAGCAGGTTGTTGGTGGTGGAAATAGTAGGAATTCTGGTTAAGTGGAGTTTCCACATAATTAAAGCGTAACATTAACAGTTGGAATACAACTTGTAATCATTTCAAGTGAAAATTTCTTAAATATATTTACAGTTCCCTGCTGTAGTAAACATAAGGAATAGAGTGTAACTTCTCTGCAGTGGTTATGTTTAAGAAAATCTGTTACTCTGCTGTAGTGTGGTGCTTGAGATATTCTAAACTCTTTGCCACTGCATTAAACGTGATTCTAGTGGTGTTTCTTCTGTCATCTCCCTCTTGGCTGCCTTCATTCTGCTGCACTATCCCTTTGCTATCACTAGTTTGCTTCCCATTGTACCTATTATCCCTTCTAATTTTTACCAGTGTCTGATGGTCTCTGACTGTTTTTAGTTTTTATACTACCCCTCTCATTCTCATGTGGACTTGGGTGCCCACAGGATTTAGGTTTTAGAGTCATCCTATAAGAAGTTGTGTTTCTTTTATTTAGTGAATCATCTTTCTTTTACCCCTTTGACACTTTTGTTGTTGTTACTTTATGTTCTTGGTGATGTTTTAATTTTCTTTTAGCTTGAGATGGGAAAACTTTTTCTGTAAAGGGCCAGATAGTAAATATTTAGGCTTTTTGGCTCTATAGTCTCTGTTACAACTCAGCTATTGCAGTGTGTAAGTAGCAGTAGATAATATGTAAATGAATGGGTCTGTCTGTGTTCCAATAAATCTTTATTTACAAAAACAAGTATCAGGTATGATTTGGCCAGGGGGCTATTGCTTGCTGACCCTTGTTTAGATGGATTTGTGCTTTTCTGGGGTGATTGAGGTTGCCAGATATCTGAACTCAGTTAAAGCTGAAGTATTTTTCTGTCTGCTATGATTATAACACTTAATATTTTCATGTTGTTTTTGTCGTGGATATAATAATCCCATGTTCTTGTTATAGAAAATATGTATAATGTAGTTACTGCCTTATAGGGCTGACAACTTTTACTTTTTAAAGAGAGTTTAAATTATTTAATTTTTATCATTACTTTTTGGCTTGTTTTAGACATCTGAGAAGGAAATAATAAGTAAAGAACAAGGTAATGTAAAGGCAGCAGGAGCCTCTGATGTTGTTCTTTACAAAATTGACGTCCCTGCCAATAGATATGATCTCCTGTGTCTGGAAGGATTGGTTCGAGGACTTCAGGTCTTCAAAGAAAGGTAAGGAAATATGTTCCTTAAAGACTTTGCTAAGTTGGGTTTTCTTTTCTTTCCTTGTCATTATCAGCAGCCATGTTTAAATTTCTAGGAAAAAGCTTGTAGAGGAACGTAGCTTTAGCTCTCAATAGAGGGTTGATTTGAGGAATTAGATTCATGCAGATTGTAGCCATTTGAAAATTTCCATGAAAATTTTAGTCATAGCCATTCATCTTTGAGAACATATTTTAAAACTGGTGTTTAATGCTTTTATGGCGTCTTAAAAAATTATTTAGCAGGTGTGTGTGATTCCCCTCCGTGATCTAATTGGAATGAGTAGTTCACTGGATGTGTTAAAAGTTGAGAGGAAATGGAGAGCTAGCAATAAATACCCTTACATTATGAGTTCTAAGGAAGCTCAGGAGTGAAGCCTCCTAACTGGAAAAACCAAAGATCTTATGACGGCTCTGTGATCTTGAGCAAGTTAGTTGGCCTCTCTAGTTTCAATTTCCTAATCTATAATGAAGAAGATTTATAAGGCCCCTTCCAGCTTTTCATTTAATGAAGATAGAGGGGCTGGACATGGTGGCTCATGCCCATAATCCCAGCACTTCGGGAGGCCGAGGCTGGTGGATCACTTGAGGTCAGGAGTTCAAGACCAGCCTGGCCAACATGGTGAAACCCCGTCTCTACTAAAAATATGAAAATTAGCCAGGCATAGTGGCGTGCACCTGTAATCCCAGCTACTCAGGAGGCTGAGGCACAGAATCGTTTGAACCTGGGAGGTGGAGGTTGCAGTGAGTCGAGATTTGCACCACTGCACTCCAGCCTGGGCAGCAGAGGGAGACTCTGTTTCAAAAAAAAAAAAAAAGATAGAGGATAACAAATATATACAGTGAAAAAAATGAACAGCTATTAAAAATTGTTTTTATTTTTGATTACTTCTTCATTATCTGGTCAGCTGCAAAAGAATAAGAGTTCTAACTGATGGGCTAGATTCTGAAATTGTGAGGGTTTAGGTGAGTGATGGGTATTGGTGAAATGGTGATAATTAGGCATTAGGTTAAGGATGGTTAAAATTTTAGAGTTGACTCAGTTGGTTTCCTATGGGACAATCAGATGCTTTTATTTTAGGATCAAGGATAACTCCTGAGAGTTCGTTTCCCAAACCTGCCCAGTGAGAATCTGTATTTTTACCAGTCACCTTGTGATTTTTATGATCAGACAGAATTAGGAAAGCAACTTAAAATGTTTTCTACTTAAAGTGAGTCCATGGACCAGCAGCATCTGAATCACATGAGAACTTACTAGAAATGCAGTCTTAGTCGCCACCCAACACCTATTAATCAGAATCTGTGGTTTAACAAACTCCCCAATTGATTGTAAGCACATTGAAATTTGAGAAGCACTGCCTTAAAACAGTAGTTCCCAACTTCTCCCTATGATAAGAGTTCCCTAGAGATGCCTTCAAAATGCACCATTTACCAAATCTTTGTCTTCACTTATTTTATTCAGTAGGGCCAGATGGAACCAGGGAATCTGTATTTTCCATAAGCTCTGTTTCTTCCTAGAAGCTCAGAATCTCATGGTTAGAATAACTATCATAACTTAAAGGTTATCTAATCCAGTCCCTCAGCTGATGTTGAAATGCTCCTTAAACGGTTGCTCAGTTAATGGTTTGTAGCCTCTGCTGGGATGCTAGTGATAGGAAATACATTACTATGAGGCATCTTATGTCATTTTTGGACAACTTTAAATGTTAAAAAGTTTGTTAGTTTTTTTTTTTGTTTTTTTTTTTTAGTGTTCAGCCAAAATTTGACTTGCTGTAACTCAACCCATTGCCCTAATTCATTTTGTATACTTCCTATATACAGCATAGAATGTAATTATTTTATATAATGTCTTGATTAATTATGAGTAAATTCATTTAAATATTATTTTAGGATAAAGGCTCCAGTGTATAAACGGGTAATGCCTGATGGAAAAATCCAGAAATTGATTATCACAGAAGAGGTAATAAGGACAAATTCTTATTTTTCTTTTAAAAATTTTCTTTTGTACATGTCTGTATAAAGTGGGGAGGAAAGAGAAACAAAGCTTACTCTTTTTTTTTTGTTTTGAGACAGGGTCTGGCTCTTTTGCCCAGACTGGAATGCAGTGGTGCAGTCTTGGCTCACTGCAACCTCTGCTTCCCAGGCTCAAGTGATCCTCCCACCTCAGCCTCCTGAGTATTTGGGAGTACAGGCACACGCCACCACACCCGGCTAGTTTTTTGTATTTTTTAGAAATGGGGTTTCACCATGTTGCCCAGGCTGGTCTCATTCCTGAGCTCAAAGGATACTTCCCCTGCAGCTTCTTGAGTATTTGGGAGTACAGACACACGCCACCACACCTGGCTAATTTTTTGTATTTTTTAGAAATGGGTTTTCACCATGTTGCCCAGGCTAGTCTCAAATTCCTGAGCTCAAAGGATCCTTCCCCTGCAGCTTCTTGAGTATTTGGGAGTACAGGCACACGCCACCACACCCAGCTAATTTTTTGTATTGTTTAGAAATGGGGTTTCACTATGTTGCCCAGGCTGCTCTCAAATTCCTGAGCTCAAAGGATCCTTCCCCTACAGCCTCCTAAAGTGCTGGGATTATAGCTGTGAGCCTCTGTGCCTGGTCCAAAGCTTACCCTTCTAAAAAATGTGATTTTCTTTGATCATTTGCTAAAATGATTATATACTTAGCCCCTAGCCCTTAAAAAAACATTTTTTTTTAACCTAGGAATGAAAAAGAACAAAGCCTTTGCTTTCCATAAATAATTTTGGATAATAATATCCAATGCATGTTTAAAACACATTTGAGATATAATTGTTTAAATTGTGGAACATTAATGAAATTTTAAAAGATTTTAAACTTTTCAGAGGGGTTGTTTGGTAAATATATGAATTATGAGCAAACTTTTTCTCAATTATTTAATACATTTTCAGAAATCTTACTGAAATATAAATTCTGTGAAGGTAGTGACTTTTTCTCTTGTTTACCACTTTATTACTTGTTGACTGAATAAATTAATATATACTTGTTTGAATGAAAATGTATGCCAGTGGCAAGAATGCAGCTACCTTCCTATTACAAGATATTACAAAGAAAAGCCTTACTGTTTGCTATCTCTAATGATATTATGAATTTCAGACAGCTAAGATACGTCCTTTTGCGGTAGCAGCAGTTCTCCGTAATATAAAGTTTACTAAAGATCGATATGACAGCTTCATTGAACTTCAGGAGAAATTACATCAGAATATTTGCAGGTTTGTGGTTGCATTTTCTTTCTTCCTTGCCTTCCCCTTTCCCTTTGTCTCCCTATCTCCTTTCCATCCTGATCCCTCTCCCTCTTCTCTCTTGCCACTTCTGCCTTCTTTCTCTCTCTCTCCTTCCTTTCTTCCTCTGCAGATTTTTTACAAATCATTTCTAAATTAATAGTATGTGACAGAATATGAGAATTTCACTTTGCTTTACCAGATACCTTTTACTGCTTGTAAATGCCATATGCATGGAGAAACAGGAGGTATATTTTGAATACTGTATAGAGAAGAATTATCTAGTCCTAGAGACTTCCCTGCTTTTTGTTGTTGTTGTTTTGGTTCAGATCAGTCGTGGATTATGCTACTAAGTATAAACCGTGTTAATGAAGTATGATATATCATTTTTAAAATGGAAATAACATTTTGGCTTATTCTCACTTTTTGAGTGAGAGTAATTATAAATTGACAGAACTTGAGTTTAAATGACTAAATTTTACTTATTCAGTCTTTACATTACTATGCATAATTTCCTGCACAGCTCCTTTAGGGCAATAATCTTCACACCTGTATAATTTCTGAACTCTTAAAGGTCAGTGAAGGTAACAACGGGAATCCTTGAACAAATTTAAGTATTTCAAAATCCTAATGGAAACTGTATACTTACTGATGATGAGAAACCTCAGACTTTAGCCTAACATATTAAGCTTATTTGTGTTGGTTCTGAAATAGATCAGCATAAGTTACTGCATGTTGATCCAAAGGTATGATTGATAGTTATATATGTCTCAAATAAAAATAGAAAAAGAATTTTTATTTATTTTTTTGTGTGAGATCTGCTGCAGCTATTTGCTAATAATTGTAGTTTAGTAAACTGTAGAGCCTAGGAGGGGTTTATGTGTATGGGATGGGCTAGGGACAGGATAGAGGGAGAACCGTAGACATTTTCTGCTGTGGTGAAAAACATCTTTGTCCATGTGGTAGTAGCAACATTTTTTTCAGATTCCAAATAGCATTTATTCCCAGTCCTTGTATATAAAAGAGTTTATATGTCAGCTTGCTAATATGTCATTATTAAGCAAAACAATAACAATTTAAATATAATTTCAAAATTAAGAACAAAATACAAGATTTCTGACAAGTATAGGTATAACTTAAGTGGTTGAGCCAGATTATCTGCTCTGGCTCTATTATCTGTTTATTTTAAGAAGTTATTTTAATCTAAACAGACATTTTCTTACTTAATTTAACTTTAAGCTCTGTTTTATTTGGTATTTCTGGAAATCATGAGCTTTTTCTAAGGGGAAGAATTGAACACATCCTAATACTTTGGTGTGCCAGAGTTCTTTTCTGTCAGTAAATCCTAATTAACCTCTTTAATGAGCTTTGGAAGTTTACGTATTTCAAGGGATATATCGATATTGTCTAAGTTATTAAATTTATTGACAAAGTTGTTCATAATGTTTCTTTATTATCCTTTTAATATCTGTGGTATCTGTAGTGATGTCACCTCTTTCATTCCTCTGTCTTCTCTCTTTTTTTTCCTTTGATCAGTGTGGCTAGAGGTTTATCAGTTTTATTGATCTTTTTGTTTGTTTGTTTGTTTTGAGACAGGGTTTTTCTCTGTTGTCCAGGCTGGAGTCCAGTGGCATGATCATCTCATTGTAACTCCAGAACTCCTGTGCTCAAGTGATCCTCCTGCCTCAGCCTCCTAAGTAGCTGGGACTACAAGCATGAGTCACCACACCTGGCTAATTTTTAAATTTTTTTGTAGAGACAGGGGTCTTGCTTTATTGTCCAGGCTGGCCTTATAGGCTTTAAGTGATCCTCCTGTTTCAGCCTCCTAAAGTGCTGGGGTTACAGTTATGAACCACTCATTTTATTGATCTTTCAAAGAATGAACTTTTGGTTTCATTGATTCTTCTCTTATTTTTTCCTCTATTTTTATTGATTAAGCCTCTTTTTTAGGCTAATTAGTCCCTACTGCTGAGGCAAGACCCTTTGCCTACTATATCCATTGCTACATGAGCAGTGAAGTTTTAGTCTGTGTGAGCATGGAGCACTGTTTCCTCTAATTCCGTTGAGTAATTCTTTCCTGGCCTTGGGTAGTTTTCTCAGCTGCATGTTCTGATCAATACTGAGCTCACCAGTATTCCAGTGGGACCCTCTGCATATCTTCAGAGTTCTCTCTCTGTGTAGCTCTCTGGTTTTCTCTGGGACTCTGCCCACCTTGGCCTCCCCAAACTCTCAGCTATGTCTCTTGCTCTCAGGGAGTCTCCTGGACTCCACTGGGCCTGCTTTCCTGCCCTATAGTCAGGGCTCACCTCACTTGTTTCCTGTGTCTCAGGGATTGCTGCCCTTTATTGCCTGCTGTTAGTTGCCATAAAAACTATTGCTCCATATATTTTGCTCTTCGGTTGTTTCAGGCAAGAGTAAATCTAGTGTGTTATTCTGTCTTGGCTTGAAGTGCCTAGTGAGTCTTTTACTTCAGTTATTTTACTTTTCATCTCTGCAATCCACTGCCTTTTAAAAAAAATAGTTCCTTCTTTTCTGCAGATATTTCCTCGTCTATTTATTATGTGTATGTTCTTCCATAATTCTTGAACATTTTTTAGTAGCAGCTTTAAAATCTATGTGGCAGTATCAGAATCTGGGGCATCTTAGCGTTGGTTTCTATGGACTAGTTTTGTCTGGAGTAAGAGTCATGTCTTCCATATTTCTTCTCATGTCCATTGCCTTTTGATGCATATAGAATATCATATTAGGGAAGAGTCTTGACTTTGCTATGTTTCTCTGAAGAGTGGTTTTTGTTCTTTCAGGCAAAGACTTGAATACTTAGCTAGATTCAGACTCAGCAGTGGTTCAGTTTTCTGCTCAGTTCTTTCAGCTTTCAGTTGCTGCTCTATTATAGCAAGACTTTGAAATTTTTACCATTATGTTAGATAAAACCTTGATTTCTGAATATTTTTAGTTTTTTCATATCTTACTATATTTGGAATGTTAATCTTTTTACTGTATATATGTTGTAAACCTTTTTTTGTGTTTTTTGACTTTTAGTTTCTTTTGGACATGTAAGGTTTTTAATTTGGGTATAGTTATCAGTCTTCCTGTTTGACTTTTAGATTTTATGACCTACTTAAGAAGTGGTGTCCTGGAAGTTGACTCTACAGTTTTAAGCATATTCTTTTTTTTTTTTTTTTTTTGAGATAGAGTCTCGCACTCTCGCCCAGGCTGGAGTGCGCCAAGCTCTGCCTCCTGGGTTCATGCCATTCTCATGCCTCAGCCTCCTGGGTAGCTGGGACTACAGGCGCCCGCCAACCACATCTGGCTAATTTTTTGTATTTTTAGTAGAGACGGGGTTTCACCATGTTAGCCAGGATGGTCTTGATCACCTGACCTTGTGATCCACCTGCCTCGGCCTCCCAAAGTGCTGGGATTACAGGCATGAGCCACCGCGTGCGGCCTAAGCATATTCTTCTATATTTTCTTATCTTTTTTTTTTTTTTTTTGAGACAGAGTCTCACCTTGTTGCCCAGGCTGGACTACAGTGGTGCAATCACAGCTCACTATAGCCTTGACCTTCCTGGCTCAAGTGATCCTCCTACTTCAGCCTCCCAAGTAGCTGAGACCACAAGTGTGTGGCACCACAGCCAGCTAATTTTTACATTTTTTGTGGAGATGGGGTCTCACCATGTTGCCCAGGCTGGTCTTGAACTCTTGGGCTCAAGCAGTCTTGCTGCCTTGGCCTCCCAAAGTGTTGAGATTTCAGGCGTGAGCCACCTCACCTGGCCTCTGTATTTTCTTTGAATAATTTTTATGGTGTCTTTTGTATGTGTGCCTGTGTGTTTGTCTTTTGCTTTTCAAAATGCTTAGGTCTTTGATTCATCTGGAGTTACGTTTTTTTGTTGCTGATTTGAAGTTGAAATTTTGGTGATGTTTTGAGGTACTGTTTTAGGATTAAGGGACCAATGTTAATATCTAAGAAGACAGACTTTCTTACCTGTGCATTTGTCAATTATTAATTTACCTGCATTTATCAAACCATGCATATTTTATCCTATGATAGTTCTGGGTTTATTATCTTCTGTAAGCATATGACTAATTGAGTAAAGTAACACTCCCTTATTGCCTGTTAGCAATTCTTTTTAACCCTATTTATTAAAGTTGTAGTTCACCAGTCCTGCAGTCCTAGAAGTTGACCAAAATTTAATATTAAGCATTTTAAACTAATTTAGTGCACATACACTTTAAACTAAAGAATGTTAAGAACACAAATTTTGACCAAGTTCCTCCTTTCAAATTGACTGTTAGAAAGCCAAACTTGTGTCCTTTCCTGGTAAGACTTAGGCTTTTAGATTCTAATTCAGAATTAACATTTCCTGGCTCGGTTTTACATCCCTACTTCTATTTCTTTCTCTCCTATTTTGTTGCTTGCTGTAATTTCCTAAAATTACCTTAAATCCTTTGTGGATAAACTGTAGAACAAGTGAAATGAATACCTTTTGAACTTTCCTTATACATTAAAGTAAACTTGAACTGTAATTCAGAGCTGTTGAAATTAAAATTAAATTTTTTCCATGACTAAGGTAATGCAGCTATGTGATAAAATTTAGGAAAACATAGAAAAGCCAAAAAACCCACAATTCGATAGTTCGTTCTAATTTATTAAAACATGTTTACTTGAGTATATCAAGAAGAAATAGGTTAAAAGAGGTAAAGGAAATGCTAACTTTGAAGATATCCTAGAAACAATATTTGGGAAAAGATAATGGCAAGGAATTTTCTTCAGCTCCTGAAATCATGTATTTCAGGTAGTTTTGTGATTTCTCAGTACTCTTAATGGTTGTGAGAATTTGTTCATTATATGCCACTAATGATGCCATGTAGTAGCAATATGCTGTTTCAGGGAAGTATCTGAAATAATTAAAAAAAATATGTAGTCTATATTTATGTTATCTTTAGAATTTCGGCTTTAGAATATTCAAATCTGTCTCATTCTCCTCCTTTCCTTTCCTCCCTCCTTCTCCCTCAACCTCTCAACAATTAGGAAAAGAGCACTGGTTGCCATTGGTACCCATGATTTGGACACTTTGTCGGGCCCATTTACTTATACTGCAAAGCGTCCTTCAGATATCAAATTCAAGCCTCTAAATAAGACCAAGGAGTATACAGCCTGTGAACTGATGAACATATACAAGGTAAATATTCTTTTTGATTATGCAGCAGCTTTGCAAAAATCATGAAATTCCATCAAAGTCAAGCCTTGCAACTAGGGAAATGTAATCAATACTTTTAAAAAATAGCAGTGTCTGGACTCCAACCTAGAGACAGTGATTCATCTGATCTAGAGTGGGACCTGAACATAGTTTTATTTTATTTATTATTAAATTTTTAACCTCTGATATGATTTCAGTGTACTGCTAGGATTGAGAACCACTGAAGTAGACCATACCACATTGTAATCTTCAATTGAAACTCATGCAAGTATAAAGAACAGTAAAACTTAGCTAGTGTTTTTTGTGGGAAATACTGTTACAAGCTGTCTATCTCCCATTATTTAAAAGTCCAGCAGCGAAAATGAATTCAGTAGTCACTTTGAATTGTATTTAATAAGTAGAAAAAATAGGTGTCGTTTAGAAAAAGCAGGGTCATCCTTGCCCTGATTTGCAAGTGACTTCTTCGTATTTATCTAAATAGTTTTGTCATGGTTTATGTTTCCTTTGAAATGATTCAGGCATACCAGTGCAAATCTGTTTTCACTCTTGAGAAATGATTCAATTGTGTTCATTGAATACTGGAATATTAATTTATATTAGAAAATCTTATAAATTTAGAGCTTTCTTTAATTTGGGTCTGTTTTAATGTTTTTCTAACTTTTCCCCTCCTTTTTTTTTTTTTTTTTTTTTGAGACGGAGTTTCGCTCTTGTTGCCCAGGCTGGAGTGCAATGGCACAATCTCAGCTCACCGCAACCTCTGCCTCCCGGGTTCAAGTGATCCTCCTGCCTCAGCCTCCCGAGTAGCTGGGATTACAGGCATGTGCCACCACGCCTGGCTAATTTTGTATTTTTAGTTGAGATGGGGTTTCTCCATGTTGGTCAGGCTGGTCTTGAACTCCCAACCTCAGGTGATCCACCGGCCTCAGCCTCCCAAAGTGCTGGGATTACAGGCATGAGCCACCACACCTGGCGTTCTCTTCTTTTTTAATATTAGGTCAGTATGTGAACTATAGTGATAGAAATTAAAAAAAAAAACTAATTTTATTTGACTTAATTTGTTTTCAGACTGACAATCACCTGAAACATTATTTACATATCATTGAAAACAAACCCCTGTATCCAGTTATCTATGATAGCAATGGTGTCGTCCTTTCAATGCCTCCCATCATCAATGGTGAGTTATTTTATAAGCATCACAGATCTTTGCTGTTTCCTTTTAATCTTCAGCATTTCTGTAGAATTCTCAATAGACTTGGCTGAATCAAATTCAAATAACTCATAATCTGAGTATCTCAGGTCTTTTGTAGATTCTAATCATTCTTTTCATTCATTTATTCAACAACATTTTATTGGTGATTCTTATGTAACTTATGCTCATACATTTATAAATATTTTCTGATGCTAGGTTTTGGGTTCTATTATGTTTCTTCAAAGGTTATTGATGTTTTGGTTTTAGCAAGTAATTCACTTGGTTAAACTCAAAGTCAAACTCTGTCATGTCTGTAGTTTTTTTTCTTTTGTTTTTTTTTTTTGTTGTTGTTGTTTTTTGTTTTGTTTTTGAGACAGGCTCTTGCTCTGTCGCCCAGGCTGGAGTGCAGTGGTGCAGTCATGGCTTACTGCAACCTTAAACTCCTGGGCTCAAGCGATTCTCCCACCTTGGCCTCCCAAAGCCCTGGGATTATAGATGTGAGCTGCCGTGCCTGGCCTTGCCTAGTTATATAGTTAAACAAAAACTTTTAATTTAAATTTTGCCCTCTTAATTCCTTTCTGAAGGCTATTTTTATGAGGCAGTTTGAATGTATTTACAAAACTTAATGATGTCTGAGACATAGATGTTTGCGTTTCTGGAGGTAAGAAGGAGGCTTAGCTGATTTGCTATGAGAAGGAGAAGCTTCTTCTCAAGATCTTGGACCCTAGTAGTTACAGTGGTTAAGAACATGGGCCCCAGAGTTAACCAGTTCTAGACCCAAATCCTAGCCTTGCTGCTCATGATCATGGTCAAATAGTTTAATCTCTCTGAATTTAGTTTCTTGCCAGCAATTACATCATAGGATTGTGGTAAAGATTAGAGGAGACAACCTATGTTAAGTGCTTGGCATAGCACCTGACACATTGTATGCATTCAGTAAAGGCCTGTTAATTATTTTATTTTTATTCTTCAACTTGCAGTAGGAGCTTTAAATATAAGTTGTTTATCCCTTTGCTCTTAAGATGTTAGGTTTTTTTTTTATTATTTTTATTTTTTTGAGACAGAGATTTGCTTTTGTTGCCCAGGCTGGAGTGCAATGGCACACTCTCGTGCCATTGCACCATGTCGTGCCATTGCACCATGTCGTGCCATTGCACCATCTCGGCTCACCACAACCTGCACCTCCCGGGTTCAAGCAATTCTCCTGCCTGAGCCTCCCAAGTAAGTGGGATTACAGGCATGCGCCACCACGCCTGGCTAATTTTGTATTTTTAGTAGAGAAGGGGTTTCTCTGTGTTAGTTAGGCTGGTCTTGAACTCCTGACCTCAGGTGATCCGCCCACTTTGGCCTCCCAGAGTGCTGGTGGGTGTGAGCCACCATCCCTGGCCAAGGTGTTAGTTTTTAATATGTTTTACATTTAAAATGTAGTTTCTGTTTTGTTGAGCTTAATAGTGCACTTCTATTTCTGAAATTAGTTATTTTAATGTTATTGTTTTGTGTTCATTGCAGGGGATCATTCCAGAATAACAGTAAATACTAGAAATATTTTTATTGAATGCACGGGAACTGACTTTACTAAGGTAAGTAAAACTTTTACTCAATTTTTGTATGATCAGCTGGGATAGATTTTATTTCCGGACCAAGACTAAGTGGCTAAAATTTAAAATATGTGCATTTTGTAGGTGGGAACATATTTTAGAAATTTAGACAATTAAAAAGATAGAGATATTCTACACTTTGGTTATGGTGCTTTCATTAATTCGACAAATGTTTAGTGAGCACCAAATGTCTTTCCAGTGCCAAGAATTTAATAATGAGTTACATGTCTCTTCACTTCAAAGAACTCCTAGGGGGAGAGTTAGTCATATACGTAACTATAAAACACAAAATGGAATGAGTACTATAGCGAAATCCATATAAATTGTTTATCTAGTTGACTTAATTTATATGCGGAGTAATTTGGTACCTTTGTGTACTTGTTAAAATCTTAAAAAAAAAAAAGGAACTGGCGATGAAGAAGCTTTATTTAGTAAATTGATAGATGGTTGGTTTATGCACACAAAATTATCTAGAATATAATTCTTCACCCACTTTGAGTCAGTTCATCTATTGGAATGGATTGCTATGAAAGCTTTTTCTATGACATATGACTTCTTTACATATGTTAAATGAGGTGGCAGTTAAACAATTTAAAAAAGGTAACCTCAAATGGCAGGAGAAGGCTGGAGTATAGAAATAGGGCAAATAAATGGTATTCATGTACATCTTATAGGATTAGAGACCATTGTAAGGTATTTCCTTTATAACTTTTAGGTACTCCTTGCCTTCAGAAATATTGTCAGGGTAGTACAGCTTTTAATATTAATTTTTTAAAAAATTTAATTCGTGCATTTACAGACCTTGAATGTCTTTCCTGAAGCCTGTATATATAGGAGTGAAATATTTATATAAGAGTAAAGCATATATTCCAATAAGGTCACGGTATTTTTTTTCTAAGAATTTTTTTTGAAATAGAAAAATTATTTAACAAATCTATATGGTGTTTACTACATGCCAATTATTTAATCTTTGTAAGTACCAGACAAGATAGGAATTTTCATTATCTCCTTAACAGGTAAGAAAAGTGGTTTGCCTAGTGTCATACTGTTAATAAGTGCTTGAGCCAGGATTCAAGCAGCCTGGCCTCAGAGACTTAGGAGATTGTTAAGATTTATTCCAGTAATTAGCCATTTGTCTCTGTTGAAGCCCAGTGAACCTGAGGTTGGGGGTTGGGGAACGAAACGATTTGTCTCAGTCATGGATTATAACTGTCAGAGAACTGCGTAAATGCAGAACACCTGAAGATAAGGCTAGGCCTACTCATGTTTTTATTCCACTTCCTTTCTTAAAATGTATACGTAAAGGTCCATTAGATGTGAGGACACAATTATATTAAATATTAATTCATTTCCATCTGAGTGAAGAGAATATATTTATAGATTACTATATTTGTTTTTCTTTTCTTTGCAGGCAAAAATAGTTCTTGATATTATTGTCACCATGTTCAGTGAATATTGTGAGAATCAATTTACGTAAGTTCATCCAGCACCTTTATTGATGGCCCATTGTTCTGAAGGCGAGGCTTTGTGCTAAATGTAAAGATAGGCCAGGTGCGGTGGCTCACACCTATAATCCCAGCACTTTGGGAGGCTGAGGCGGGAGGATTGCTTGAGCCCAGGAGTTCAAGACCAGCCTGGGCAACACAAGAAGATGCCATATCTACAAAAAATTAAAAAATTACTTGGGTTTGGTGGCCTGCGCCTGTAGTCCTAGCTATTGGGGAGACTGAGGCAGGAGGATTGCTTGAGTCTGGGAGGTCGAGGCTGCTGTGAGCTATGTTTGTGCCACTGCACTTGAGACTGGGTCACAGAATGAGACACTGGCTTTAAAAAAATGAATGAATAAACAAATATAAAGATTAAAAATGTGGTTCCTATAACTAGAACATATAATCTGTTCAGGGAGATAAGACATACGCATAAATATTGGATAAAGTCATAAGCATTAAGTACTTTAAAAAGTTTTGGTGATATTCCGGCTGTTTGTAAGGGCAAGTTACTGCCAGCTGATACAATCTGAGAAGGCTTCATGGAGGCAATGAAATTTAAGCTGTGTTTGGGGATCATTGGATTTGAGAATATATAGATGGAGGAACAGCAAAAGAGCAGCTAAACAGAGGTAGAGAAGCATATATAAGAGCAAAGCATGTATCCCATGTCGGTAAGATTACTGTATTTTTTCCAAAGCATATTTTTAGTTTAAAAAACTATTTAACACATCTATGTGGTCCTTGGTACTAGCATCATAGTTTATTCTAGAATATTAATATAATTGAAAATAAATATATAACTGTAGAAAGCATGATTGAAATTATATGGGCAGTATCAGTTTTTTTTCAACTGATTTTCATTTCAGTGATTCTTTCAGTTTTATTATGTAACACACTGCCCTGGTAAAGCCTAGAATGTGTGTGTCAGTATTGGCAAGGAGTCCCTGTCGGATGCATGCTTTGCAGTACTGGAAAATAAACCTTTCAAGTAGGTGGTGCCTGAAAAGGACATCGGAGCCCTAGGAGATGAAACAGTAGAGTATTATTGTTTATAGCAAGATCAATCCAAACAGTGCTGGAATGCGATAGATGGAGTATGTTGAGGCTGTAGTTGTAGCCCAAATGAAAGATTTGATAACCATACTCATGTCTGTAATTTATGGCACATTTTTTTCTTAAGTATTTTATTTCTGGCTTTTGTTTTCAGGGTCGAAGCTGCTGAAGTGGTTTTTCCTAATGGAAAATCACATACCTTTCCAGTAAGTGCTTAAGAAATGACTTCATGATTATGACAACAATGCTAATAATAATGGCTATAGAGCACTCATGTTCTGTCTGTCTATCCATCCCCTACCTACCCACCCGTGTGCCAGGCGCTACACTATGTGCATTACATGGATTTAGTCTTCACCATAATCCTGTGAGGGTAGGTGCTCTTATTAAGCTTTTTCCAGATGGAGTCCCTGAGACCTTGAGATGTTAAATACCTTGCTTATTATTTTTAAGTGGTAGAGCTAGGATCTAAATTCAGACAGTTTGACAGCAGCTGTAAACACAACATTATACAACAACATTGTGTGGTCATAATTCCTATGATTTATTCTATTAACTAGTTAACTGAGTAGTTTTTTAAAAAATGTTTTTATTCTTTAATTGGCACATAATAATTGTACATATTTATGGGGTACAGTGTGATGTTTCTATACATGTATATAATATGTAATGATCAAATCATGGTAGTTGGCATATCCATCATATCAGACATTTATTATTTTGTTGTGTTGGGAACATTCGTAGTCTGCTCCTCTATATTTGAAAATATACAATAAATTGTCGTTAATTATTTTGTAGCATCCTACAGTGCTGTAGAACAATAGAACTTATTAAATAAGTAATTTATAGTCTCACTCCTTTTAAGATTACTCAGCCCTCCGAACATAGTCTGTTCACGCTTGAATTAACAGTTGCTGAAGGCATCACTGTAACTAATAAATAATTTCAAATGTATTATTAAGACTAATTTAGTAGTAACCACATAGTTATTTTCAAGCGTAAGATCTTGGTAAAAAATCTAAACCAGTATTATTCTTGGGTGGTTTTGTCCCCAAGGGACTTGACATAAAGATGACTGTTCTAAAACATAACAGTATCACAGTCACTTCGTGGTTCTCATTCAGTGAGAGCATTCTTTGATGAGCTTTTCCTTCCCCTTTGAATCTTTCACTATTCCCTTGCCATTTATGAAGTAAATCACAGCCTGAAATAGTTTCTGCTATTTAAATAGCTTTTACAGTAGATGAAACCTGCTAAGATCAAAACCTCCCCATTCCGGAAGACATTAACATTTAGCATCATATTTTATTCTAGAGTGTTAATTATACTTCAAAAGAAACATAACTGTATGAAGCATAACTGAAATTATATAGGCAATATTAGTTTTTAAAAGTTGATTTGGATTAAATATCTATTGTCAGTTAGCTTTTGTTATTTAACAAACTACCCCCAAGACTTAGTGGCTTAAAACAACAACCATTTATTTATCTCATGATTCTTTTGGTCAATAGGGTGGTTTTCCTGGTCTGAGCAAGTTTGGCTAATCTCTGCTGGGCTTACCCATATGTAGTCAGTTGACTGGTTGGCTAGCAACTGGATGATCTGGGATGGCCTCACTCACGTCTGCTTCTTGGCAGTGGGGTCAACAACTCACATGTCCCTCATCATATAGCAGGCTAGCTTGGGCTTTTTGACTTGGGGTTGGTTGCAGGGTTCCTAGCAGCAAGAGAGCATGCCCAGTGCCCAGGCATTTTTCAAACATTATTCTGTTGGCCAAAGCCAGTCATTTGGCTAGATTTGACAGGTGGAGAAATAGATGTCATCTCCTGATTGGAAGATTGGCAGTGTCACATTGCAAGGCCATGGATACAGAGAGGGGAGAAATTTGTGGCCATTTTTGCAGTTTATGACAGTAGCAATTGGGATTAGCTGGACATAGCTTTTTAGATGGTTTTAAAATAATGCCAGAGAAAAGTTTCTTTTTCTTCTTCTTCTTTTTTCTTTTTTGAGATGGAGTCTCCCTCTGTCGCCAAGGCTGGAGTGCAGTGGCGCGATCTCGGCTCACTGCAAGCTCTGCCTCCTGGGTTCACGCCATTCTCCTGCGTTAGCCTCCCGAGTAGCTGGGACTACAGGCGCCCGTCACCACGCCCGGCTAATTTTTTTTTGTATTTTTAGTAGAGATGGGGTTTCACCATGTTAGAGAAGATGGTCTTGATCTCCTGACCTTGTGATCCGCCCGCTTTGGCCTCCCAAAATGCTGGGATTACAGGTGTGAGCCACCGCATCCAGCCTCTTTTCAATATGATGATTTGTCAAGTGTTAATAAAAGTGATTATATATTTTTGGGAAGAAAAGGAGAAATATATTTTAATATTTGGTTCACTCTTCTCCTCATATGGATAAACCCTTAAAATCATTTATTTGTAATATAGAGACCTTTTGTAAATTTGAAATGGTGGGCTTTCTGAAAAGGAGTACTGCATGAGTGTTTTGGCATTTGTTCATTTATTTCCTCCTAAACTTAAATTAGAACAGCTTTTCTTAGGGAAGGATCCTCTGGGGGAAACTGATTCTTTCTCACATGAAATAGCATATTTTCTCAAACTCTGAAAATTTTTTTTCTTGTGTTTTGTTATTTCATAGAAAAAAATAAAGTTTTAAAATAAGAGAACTAGGGGAGATAAGTTGTCAGTAGTCAGACTAATGGTTAATGGTGTGTACTTTGGAATTAGGTTGTCCTAATTTATTAATTCATTAATTTGTTCATTAGTTACTTCTTTTTTTTTTTTTTTTTTTTTTGAGATGGAGTCTCGCTCTGTTACCCAAGCTGGAGTGCAGTAGCATCAGCTCACTGCAACCTCCACCTCCTGGGTTCAAGCGATTCTCCTGCCTCAGCCTCCCGAGTAGCTGGGATTACAGGCTTGTGCCACCATGCCCAGCCAACTTTTTTGTATTTTTAGTAGAGATGGGGTTTCACTACATTGGCCAGGCTGGTCTCGAACTCCTGACCTCAGGTGATCCACCCACCTCGGCCTCCCAAAGTGTTGGGATTACAGGCGTGAGCCACCACGCCCAGCCATTTGTTACTTCTTGTATGCATACATTCACTTATTAAATACATATACCAAACGCTTATTATCTGATAATCAGATAATAAGCACTGGGCATATAGCAGCACTTGGACTTGGCAGTTTACTATTCTGACCTGGAACTAGTTATTCAGCTAAAATTCAAATTCCTTACCTGTCAAATGAGAATACTAATAGCATCTGTTGTGAGGATTAAGTAAGATTATCTTTAAAATGCATCTCGTACTGTTCAGCTCATAATAACTGTTTAGGTCATAGTAACTATTGAGAAAAGTTATTATTACTTTGCAATCTTCACCTTGTGCCTCCCAAACCCTGCAGTGCATTCTCATCACCTGGGGATCTTGAAAACGTGCAGATTGGGCTTCAGTAGCTCTGGTGTCACTGCCACTAGCTATCAAGACCTGCAGTCAGCCTTTCTCACGAGCACTCAGGTGATGCTAGTGCTTCTGCTCTGAGGACCGCATTTTGAGTAGCAAGGTTCCAGACCATTGCCTTACTTGAATCAAAACAGGTTTTAAAATCTATGGCCTTTTTGCTAGTGGCATGTTATACTTTTGAGAGTGAATGAGTGATAAGAAATATTCATAAGGACATTTCCAAAGGTGTTGAAAAGCCTGGGATTTATGTGTGTGTGTTCTCACCTCACTAATACGGTGGAGTTATATACTGTTTGAAGGAGACTGAGTACCAAATTCATCATTGCATTTCTCCACCTGGAAATGGTAAGAAAGGAATATCTTCATCATGCTCTTAGACTTAGTATGATGGACACTGTGATATTGGAATTACTCTTTCTTGGTCATATCCATCTGCTTGCATAGGACGAGACTGAAAATCTTTAGCAGGATTTATAAACGTCTTTGGAATGATGTAGCACAACAGTGTTTTACTGTGGGGAATGGGGAATGACTATCTGAAAGGGAAAATTGTTTGGCATTTTATATTATTTCCAGGCAGTGCAAACTGTCTAGCAAGTAGAATGTTCATATATGAATCTAATATAGCAAATTTATCCCTCATAATACTGTTTTTGAAACATCAAGTTTATTCTCAATGTGTGGCTCTAATGACAATTTCTTGGGAACGTAATAGAACTGCAATAATGACTAATGGAAAAGACTCTAAAGCTGTATCTGATGGGAAATGATTTACTTTTTAAACTCTTTCTATTTAAGGAATTAGCTTACCGAAAGGAGATGGTGAGAGCTGACCTAATTAACAAAAAAGTTGGAATCAGGTATGCTCTGAAAACTTCACTTAATTCAAGAACAAAGTACACGTATGACTAATTTTTTTTTTGCGATCCTTCAGAGTCTGTTAAGGAATGATAAAACATCAGTTAAGATATCTGGTTTCTGATAGAACTCAAAAAGAAAGGTTACTGTTTCAGCTAGTAGCATATGTTGAAACACAATGTAAACATTAAAAAAATAATCCAATGAAGTTTATGGTTTGTTCATTCCTTTTTCAGAGAAACTCCAGAAAATCTTGCCAAACTTCTGACCAGGATGTATTTAAAATCAGAAGTCATAGGTGATGGGAATCAGATTGAGATTGAAATCCCTCCAACCAGAGCTGACATTATCCATGCATGTGATATTGTAGAAGATGCAGCTATTGCTTATGGATATAACAACATTCAGATGACTCTCCCGAAAACTTACACCATAGCTAATCAAGTAAGATTGCACCCTTAAATAAACACTCCTTATTGTTAGAAACTGATTATTTAATGCCAGGAAGGCTTCGAGAAAACAGAACGTAGGAATCAAGCAGTATTTGGACATGCTCTGCAATGAGAGGCATTTGCTGTGGAGAGGATACAAAACAGATGCCCAAATGATTAGAGTAAGTTGAAAACCTGTGATGACTAGTTCTTTGAAGAAAGACAAGTTTTGAGTTTGGAGCCCTTGTTGAATCTCTCAGAGATTCATTTTCTCAACTTGGGCCTGAAGGCAGAAGCTGTGTGTGGGAGAGATGGAAGTGGGGGTGGTTTGTACATCTGTGTAGGAGCAGAGGGGTGGCAGAGCGGTGGGGAGGGAGGAGGTAATATTGATAGGGAAATAGTGGCATTAGCAGTACGTTAGTAAGGGTGAAAAGGTTTTTAATCTTTTAAACATTTTTATTTAAAAAAGTTTTAATGGCATGTTCTGTATAAATCTCCCTTTTAAAAAACAAGAAATAATTGCGGTGAAATCAAGTGGATGCTTTTTTTTTCAGTTTCCTCTTAATAAGCTCACTGAACTTCTCCGACATGACATGGCAGCCGCTGGCTTCACTGAAGCACTTACCTTTGCCCTGGTATGTCTTACATGCTTTTTCTGCCCAGATGATTATTTACTTAGACTCTCTGAATTATTTATTCTATGATGCTTTATAAGAATTTATAAAATCTAGACTGTTAGAACTTCCAGATTCTGGAAGAATAACTTTGTTACTTGAGATTATACAATTCCTGGTAAAGTAATGTTGAAGCTTTTGTTTTTACAGCCACAAAAGAAAATGAAGGCCTAGAAAAAAATACCTCAAATGAGAGATGACAAAGTATTTTATAGTTTCATGTGAGTGTTGAGAGTTCACAATGTATTTCATAACCAAATTTATTAAGTTAGAATATTTGGTCTTAATTTGGTTATGGCTGTGCCCACTAGATGCCGTCCTGGGTAAAGGCTTGTGGACTGTTCCACATTAAATTAATTTCTTTGTCTTTGAACATGTTCACAAACATTTGCTTTGAGTTGAAAAGCTGACATAAAAGGCCTAAATCAGGAAATGACTTTTATTACAAAATCAGAAGGAAATTTCCCTCCCCCACCAGATTGACCATTTGAAAGAATAAAATGTGTATGCAATTTGTAGTTCCGTTTTTCCCTCTTGCTGAGCATTTCTGTGGTGCCTGCAATGTAGTTCTTGAGCATTCAAGTATGTTTAATCTATGAGGGGAAAGGAAGCTTCTTCTTTTTCTCCCCTGCAACTTAGCCCTACCTCTGAAATTCTCAATATTTTAGAGTATTTAAGGGACTCTACTTCTAGTTTGCTTAATAAATATTAAGCATTAAGATTTTTCTGATTCAGGAGTCATTCATTCAACATTTGTTGAGCATTTATTATATGTCAGGCACTGCACCAATGAGGAAGCCTGAGGCTGAGAGAGGATAAGTACGTAGCACATTTTACACGGACAGCAGGAGAACTGCTGTGTTCCAGGCCACCATACCTGCATGATCTCATTATATCATGAGCAGGGTCCTGACCTTTAGCCTCCTAGAACAGTGCTTTTCCATGGTCTCATACCGTGTACACTAGGTCTGTAATGCCATGTCATTCATCTTTGCACATATATATACACACATTTGTAGTTGTGAGCATCCAGGATTTCATATAAAATGAAGTACCAAAAATAACATTGAAAAATATATTTTTATTTTTTAAAACATATGAGTGTCACAGGAATACATCTTATTTTAAAGGACTCATACTTTAACCATGTAGATTAAACCATAACAGTTCTTTTCCCCACTTCGAATCCTCTTTTCCTCCCCAGAAACAACTGCTGTTAAAACTTGGGTATGCATTTTTCCCTGCCCTTTTATATTAGTGGTGCCAGTTTGAAAAAAGTTACTTATTACTTTATCCTTTTTATACTTATACTTTATACTTATTACAATATCCATTGCCAGTTTGATTTTGTGACCTTAGAGCCTCATGTGTCTTCGAAGGAGCACAGAGGCCGAGTCTTGACTAGTGGCTGCTCTGCAGGGAATGTTTACCCTGTGCCAAGGGCTTTGTGTACATGATTCCATTTCTTCTCAGTATACTCCTGTGAAGTGGGCATTCCTGTCTTTCACAGCAGTTAATTTAAGTAACTTGTCCTACGCCATGGCTGTGGATCAGGGATTCCCGCCCATGCCTGTCTGCATCCAAGGCCTGTGACTGAACTGTCACACCAGGGATGTTAGAAACAGTCTGTTTAGCTGTCCAAAGTCACTTTAATACATTCAATGTTTATCACTGGGGGGAAGAGAAAGGAGTGAGCTCCTAGAGGGTTTCAGATTTGTACTAAATTTTCCTGTAGGAATTTCAACATTAAAGATGTTTATAAAGATGTTTATAGGCAAGCCTAAGCATCGCTGAGCAAAGATGGTCTATGTTGTTAAATCCAGTTTTGCACAAGAGTAACAGCCATTTTTTTAAGCCTAGTCTCTGACTTTCTAAGTGTAAATAATTCACACTTCATCATATTGATTTTTGCTATATCTGCATAGTAGTTGTAATATTTTCTTTTAAATTGGCTCACTTTTAAGTTGGCTTATGTACTTCAGCCTTGTTATAGGAATAATATCTGTAAAAACTATAAGGTTCATTTACTTGTTGTATTTTTCTAACACATTAAAATAAACACATAAATATTAACATTAAAAAAGTTCCTGGCAGGCATGGTGGCTCATGCCTGTAATCCCAGCACTTTGGGAGGCCGAGGCGGGCGGATCACTTGAGGCTACAAGTTCGAGACCAGTGTGGCCAACATGGCAAAACCCCATCTCTACTAAAAATACAAAAATTAGTCGGGTGTGGTGGAGGTTGCAGCAAGCCGAGATTGCACCACTGAACTCCAGTGTGGGCGACAGGGTGAGACTCTGTCTCAAACAAAAAAAAGTTTCTTACTGTGTACTAACTACTGCCACTTCAGGGTAGCTTAATTTAAATTGCCTCTTGTCACTATCCCTTATTATCCATTGCCATGATAAAATACAAGTTCACTCAGATACACAGCTGCGTTGCCATGTGTCTGCAGAGTGTTTTTCTTTTACACAGAGAGGACTAGTTTCATTTGAGAATAGATTGCTTCATGTCAGTTGCATTTCATAATTAATCAGTCACATTATACCTAAGTCTTGCTGTAAAACTTCTTTATGCTGTGGGGAAAACGCTTATCCCCAGTGTGCATGTCACCATTCTCCATCTCAGCAGCTGTAGCAGATCCGGGAGCTGTTTTCTGCTATGGCTGGATGTGGCTTCAGGATCTTTCTCAAGAAAGCATGGCAAGAATCACTAGAACTGACATTGACATGAAATGAATTCTTTTTACCATTTCAGTTGATGTGTATCATTTTGTTTTAATAAGTGAAATACAGGCCAACTAGCCTTTGAAAACTAGTTGTAGAACAGCATAATGAACAATATTGCCTAACATTGGACAATAGTACAATAATCTGATGGTACATCAGTTTTTGTGTTACGTTTTAAATGCTTTTTCAAAAAGCTAGCATTAATATACATGATAATAATTTATCCTTAGTAATGATTTGTCAGTTATCATCATTGTTGGTATTTTTTGAGTGCTTACTCTGTGCCAGGCACCATACTTGCATTATCTCATTATATCATTTATTATTAGACTTGATGTATCTAATCGTCAGTGAGTTTTTAATTTCATAACTTCTGCCTACAATGCTGGTTTCTGAGGGTGGCAAGCATCTTTCTCTTCGATTGGTGGGTACTCAGCAGTTTATTTGTTATGAGTTTCAGGCATGTGCACAGAAGTTAAGTGATACAGTAAAGAACACTGGGCAGAGTTCCAGTCACTTGAATTCTGTTGTCAGTCCTACTGTTCTGCCACAAGTCAGTATGGATTTAGCAAGGGTTATAATGGTAGTCAAAATGGAAAGTCATGAAATACCAAGGAGGGAGAGAAAGTTTCTGACTAGAGTCATTAGGAATATTATGGAAGAGAGGTCATTTAAGTCAGCCTTAGGGAATGGTAGCAGGTGAGGCTGGGAGGACATTTCAGGTAAGGTAGGGAAACATAAGGTTTAGGGAATGGCTAGGGCATCATGGGAGATTAGATTGGAAAGGTAAATGGGAAACTAGCTTAGGAAGGGCCCGAGTACAGTTTATACCATCTCCATGTGAAAAATTTACTTTAGCTCTGTATGATGGCTAGGACTCATTGTGAAAGAAGTATTAATGTTAAATTCCATCTGCTATGGGCCTGAGATTGATGTGTATTTATTGTTAGCTTATTCTTTTTTTGTTTGTTTTTTATTATTATTATTATTACATTTACTTCAGCTCACACCAGGCCTATTCTTAACTTGCTGATATGTGTAGAGAATATAAATTGCTCTTAGAAGTTGACTTACAGCATTACTTTTTATTTTAAACTTAAGTAATTGCTTTTCCATATTAATCTGTTTTGTGTGTACTTCACAGTGCTCCCAAGAAGATATTGCTGATAAACTAGGTGTGGATATCTCTGCAACAAAGGCAGTCCACATAAGTAATCCTAAAACAGCTGAATTTCAGGTAAGAATTTTAAGTAGGTGAGAATTCATGTAAAAACCTAGAGGTAGTACATGAGTTAGGAAAAGTCTCTTCAGTTATTATACCTGAGATGGTGAAATCTTAGAGCTTTTTAATAATATCTTCTTGGGTAAGTTTATAGTTGGTTATTACGTGCTTTGCTGCCAAAAATTCTTTACACTTTTAAAAATAATATCTTCTTGATTAACTTCATACTGGGTTCTTACTTGCTTTGTATTATCTGGCCCAATCTCTCTTGTCTGAACTTTCCATTTCATAATTGATTTTTTAATACTATTTTCAGATTTCATTTTTTTTTTTTTTTTTTAATTTTTATTTTTTGGGACAGAGTCTTGCCCTGTTGCTCAGGCTGGAGTGCAGTGGCACGATCTCGGCTCACTGCAACCTCTGCCTCCTGGGTTCAAGCGATTCTGCTGCCTCAGCCTCCCAAGTAGTTGGGATTACAGGTGCATGCCACGATGCTTGGCTAAATTTTTTTTTTTTTTGAGACAGAGTCTCGCTCTGTCGCCCAGGCTGGAGTGCAGTGGCGGGATCTCGGCTCACTGCAAGCTCCGCCTCCCGGGTTCACGCCATTCTCCTGCCTCAGCCTCCCAAGTAGCTGGGACTACAGGCGCCCGCCACTACGCCCGGCTAATTTTTTGTATTTTTAGTAGAGACGGGGTTTCACCATGTTGGCGAGGCTGGTTCTGAACTCCTGATCTCAAGTGATCCGCAAAGTGACCTCAGCCTCCCAAAGTGCTGGGATTACAGGCATGAGCACCTAGCCAGGTTTCATCTCTTTTCCATTCATTTGTAATAAATGAATCAAAACCTGTTCCCAGTTCCTTCGTAAGTCATTCACTTTGAAATTGCCCATTATATCAGTTCTTGACTGTGCTGCTTATGTCTTTTATTGTAATTGTCTAAGTTTATTGGCAGTTTCATTTAGAGGTTAGGAATATTTAAATGAGAATGATACTGCTTTAATATTGAGTATTAAGTGATTTGTGTTATAGACTAGGATATTAACTATAAAGGGAGGGCATTTTAAGATTATAACATCTTTGCTTATTAATAACTTTAAATAGTTCTCTTTTATACTGATAAGCTCTTGTGCTGTTTCTCTTGCATATGCAAGTCTGTATGTTTTTTAACCTAGATTTTAGAGAAAATCATGTCTTCTTCTAGAATCAAGGGGAATCTTAGAACTGGAAGGTTATATTTTAAAGAAGGTTAATGCTATTATAAATAATATCTGAATTCTGATTTGAAATAGTTTCTTTGGATTTTGGTTTTTACTTCTACAAAAATAAGGGACTGGGTTAGTTCTAAAAAGAATTCTAAAAGTTCTAAAAGTGTTTAAAACTAAATTTAAAAATTCTAAAGTTTATCTATAGAACCACCTGCTAATGTTGTAGATTAGAGCTAGACTAATTAAAGAACTAATTGGTAATATATATCAAGTATATGAATTCTTTATCTATACTTAGGGTCAGAACTTTGAAGAATCCTTATACTAATTTTGGAAGGATTGTAGTAATGAGTTGTTATATTTTATTTTCTGAGGTCTAGTTTCCTATTGCTTTTAAAGTTTGCCCATGGTGTTCCTTTTAATAAGAGGTATTCAAATTCATTTGCATAGAATGATTTTTCAGTAAATCTTAATGGATTTTTGCTTATTCGAAATGTACCTTTTTCTCCCAGTTTTACTTATCTAGCTTGATTACTTTTTTAAAAAACTTTATTTTATTTTTATTTATTTTTTGAGACAGAGCTTCGCTCTCTTGCCCAGGCTGAAGTGCAGTGTCCTGATCTTGGCTCACTGCAACCTCCGCCTCTTGGGTTCAAGCGATTCTTGTGCCCCAGCCTCCCGAGTAGCTGGGATTACAGGTGTGTGCTACCATACCTTGCTAATTTTTGTACTTTAATAGAGATGGGGTTTTACCATGTTGGACAGGCTGGTCTCGAACTCCCGGCCTCAAGTGATCCACCCACCATGGCCTCCCAGAGTGCTGGGATGACAAGTGTGAGCCACCTCGCTTGGCCTTTTGTCAACTTTTATTTTAGATTCAGTTAGTACATGCGTGGGTCTAATTACAAAGGTATATTGCATGATGTTGAGGTTTGGAGTGTGACTGAACCCGTCACCCAGTAGTGAGCATAGTACCCAATAGGTAGTTTTTCAGCTCTTGCTCCCCACCTCTCTCTTCGCCTTGTATTCCCCTAGTGAAGCTTGATAGATTTCTTAAGATGTGGTAACTGTTATGTTCTTCAGGATTTACATCCTGTCTTTTCTATTTTATATAAGTGGAAGGAAAATAATCAGAAATGCATTAAATGTCACTATAAATAGCTGTGGCTTAGCACACTTAAGAATCAATCTTTCTTGGGAGGCCGAGGCGGGTGGATCATGAGGTCAGGAGATCGAGACCATCCTGGCTAACAAGGTGAAACCCCGTCTCTACTAAAAATACAAAAAATTAGCCGGGCGCGGTGGCGGGCGCCTGTAGTCCCAGCTACTCGGGAGGCTGAGGCAGGAGAATGGCGTGAACCCGGGAAGCGGAGCTTGCAGTGAGCCGAGATTGCGCCACTGCAGTCCGCAGTCCGACCTGGGCGACAGAGCGAGACTCCGTCTCAAAAAAAAAAAAAAAAAAAAAAAAAAGAATCAATCTTTCTGCATAAAGTACCTTAAAGATCAAAGAGAGTGCCTGTCTTTTGACCTAACAGATTCTATATTTTACCTTGCTTTACCAACAGGTGAGTCCTACCATCATTAATTTGGCTAAGAGGTTTATATTTATGGTTAAGTTAAATGTAAAGTTCTTCATGGGCCTATAACTCAGTTTCTTGTCTAAATCCTTTCCTTCTCCTGCATAATTCTTAACTTTGGGCTCTTTTTTGATAGTAAATATGTTGGAGAATGGGCAAGATAAAAATGTAACTTGGCTAAAATATGTAAAATTTTATTATAGTGACAATAAACAAACTTACAGAATATTACCACACCCCTTCCAAATTAACAATAATATTCCTTAATCACCTCACATATCCAGTCATTGTTTTAGTTTTCCCAATTGTCATTTTTTTTTTTTTTTTTTTTTTGAGATGGAGTCTCACTCTGTTGCCAGGCTGGAGTGCAGTGGTGCAATCTTGGCTCACTGCAACTTCCGCCTTCTGGGTTCAAGCAATTCTCCTGCCTCAGCCTCCCGAGTAGCTGGGACTACAGGCACGCGCTGCCGCGCCCAGCTAATTTTTGTATTTTTAGTAGAGACGGGGTTTCACCGTGTTGGCCAGGATGGTCTCAATCTCCTGACCTCGTGATCCGCCCATCTTGGCCTCCCATCAATTTTTTTTTTTAACAGTTTGAGTTCGGATTCAAATGTGGTTCATACATTGACATTGATTTATATGCTTTTCATGTCTCTGTTAATCTACAACTTGCACCTCTCATCCTTCCGTCTTTCTTTTCCTTTCAGTTTGTTGAAGAAACTGAGTCATTTGTCCTATAGAATTCTTACATTTAGGATTTTGCTGAATATGTTCCAATGGCCCCCTAAATTTCCAGTAAATTGGTAGTTGGATATAGAAGCTTGATCAGATTCAGGTTTAATTTTTTGTATTTCTGTAGGTTTTTAAATATGCAAATAAGGCATATCTATAAAATACACTGATAAAATTAAGAAAAGTTTTCTATAACAGTAGTTTGTTTATTATATTTCAATAAGTTAAATTTCCTTTTAACTTTTAACATTGTAGTTTTGTTTTTGTGAATGGTTTGGGCACTTGCCCTCCAATGGGGAAAATGAATAATATTTAAGAAGCACCAAGTTGAAGGCGAGTAGCAGCTTGTTGGTATAGTGAGTGTGATGGGAAAGACGTTCTCTTTTTCATTCAAAACACAATCTAACAATTCCATTTAGGGTCTTATGGTTACTTGTGCAGGATCTAAGAGTGTCTGTGTTTTAGCTTGGGTGTTCAGGGCAAACCTCTGTAGGAGAGAACATTTGAGCAGACACTTGAAGGAAGGAAGGAAGCCACATGTGAACCTAGAGGAAGAATGTAGGAGCAGAGTAAGCATGGAGGCCCCAGGATGGAAATCTTGCTGACCAGTGTGGCCTCCAGTGTGGCTGGAGTGCAGTAAGCCTGCGGAAGCAGCAGGGGTTGAGGGTAGAGAGGGAGTCAGGGCACATCACATAGGGCCCCAGGTAGGCCATGGATTTTATTCAAAATTTAATGGAAACCTCTTGCAGATTTTTGACCAGGGGAGTTGCATGGTCTGATTTCCATCTTAAAGGACCACTCCGTATGGAGAATAGGCCACAGGTTGGCAGGAATGGAAGCACAGAAGCCAGCTTAAGAATGTTATGCAGTAGTCTGGGGAAAAGATAATAGTGCTTGTGGTCTGAATGCAGAGCCCAGACTCTCACAATAATGTTACACCACTGCTTATAAAACTCTTCTGGTAACATGTGTTGGAAGCTAATATATTCCGTATAGCTTACAGGGAGAAATATGTTTTACAGACAAAGCAGGAAATTTTTGCTTTTTTTTAATGTACCAGGGTATGCATTTCTTAGGAATAGGAAGAATGAAATGACTGTACATGCTTTCTTTCACATTTGCTTTAGTTAATAAAAAGTTTAGAACTGTAGTTACAGCCTACCCATAGCAGCTGTATATATTTTTTAGCACCTACATATTTGTATTCTGTTTTCCTCATTGTGATATTTTAATTGCATTTACATTTTTCCTGGTCCTAATTCTGATTAATTCATATTTAATTTATTTATGGTTTTATTTATTTATTTGTTTAGAGACAGGTTCTCTGTTGCCTAGGCTGGAGAGCAGTGGTATGATTATAGCTTATTGTAACCTTGAACTCCTGGGCTCAGGCAATTCTCCACCTCAGCCTCCCGAGTAGCTGAAACTAAAGGCATGTATCCATACCTAGCTAATTTTTAAATCTGTGGAGGTGGTGTTTTGCTATGTTGCCCGTGCTGGTCTTGAACTACTAGCCTCAAGTGTTCCTCCTACCTCGGCTTCCCAAAGCTTTGGGATTACAGGCATGAGCCACTGTGCCTGACCTATATTTAATCTATTTAAACATTTGTATTTCTTGTAGTCTATTTCAATTACTTTGTGAAATGAGGCAGGATATGAAAACTTGCAAACATGCATTTGAAATCTTGAAAGCAAACTTTAGTTTTTAAAATGATAATCAATTAGCTGGGTGCAGTGGTGTGTACCTGTAGTTCCAGCTACTTGGGAGGCTGAGGCAGGAGATCACTAGAGCCATTTGAGGCATTTGAGGCTGCAGTGAGCTATGATTGTGCCCATTGCACTCCATCCTGTGCAAAACAGTGAGACTGTGTCTCTAAAAAAAGAAAAAATAAAATAATGAATGATAATGAATAAAATAACCAAGGCTTAGATATAAGCAAACATATTTAGGTTGTATTTGTTTCTCGTTTATTTTTTAATCAAATTTATGATTTTTCATTTTGTAAATTTGGAAGCCAGAATGTTTTCAGTTCTTTTCAGTTCAATTTCAGTGTCCTGGAATTGAAAATTGAAAGTGACTTGGATATTTTAGGGCAATGCATTTTCCAGAAGTGTCTTCCTATGAAGCCATAGTCTTTCTGCCATGGTCTTTGTCTTTAACCAAGTGTCTTTGTTTGGGTCCTATTTGGTCAGTGCAATTTCATGTCTTTTCCTGTAGGTGGCACGCACTACCCTTCTTCCTGGCCTCCTGAAGACCATAGCAGCAAATCGTAAGATGCCCCTTCCACTGAAACTGTTTGAAATCTCTGACATTGTAATAAAAGATTCTAATACAGGTAAGAATAAGTCACCTTTGATTTGATTTGTGTATTTAAAACATTTTTTTCATTATGAAAACCTTAACTATACATAAAAGCAGAAAAAATAGTATAATTAGCCCCTATGTACCCAGCACCCACCTTCAACAGTTACCAACACATGGACAGGCTTCTTTCATCTATACCACTATCAACTTCCCATATTATTTTAATATGAATCATAGACATTGTATCATTTCATCAGCAAACACTTTAGTATGTATTTATTTATTTATTTTTTTCCTGGAGGCAGAGTTTCACTCTTCACCCAGGCTGGAGTGCAGTGGCCTGATATCAGCTCACTGCAACCTCTGCCTCCTGGGTTCAAGTGATACTTGTGCCTCAGCCTCCTAAGCAGCAGGGATTAAAGGCATGTGCCACCACACCCGGCTAATTTTTGTGTTTTTAGTAGAGACGGTGTTTCACCATGTTGGCCAGGCTGGACTCGAACTTCTGACCACCCGCCTCAGCCTCCCAAAGTGCTGGGATTACAGGCATGAGCCACTGGCGCCCAACTACTTTAGTATGTATTTCTAAAAGATAAGCACTACCACTTCAGTTTTGTTTTATAAATTTAATTTTCATGATTAATTTATTTGAATCAGAATTTAAGGTCCAGCTATTTGGTTGCTATGTCTCTCATTTCTTTTAATGGAAAGCATTTTTCAACAAAGAATTTAATAATTAAGAAGATTACTGTTAAAACCTCAACTTGACAAGCACTGTGGAACATTTTCTTATATGGCGTGATTTATATGCATATTGTCTTAACATACTTGATATCATGTCATTCTAGTTTAGCAGTGACTGTCCACCATTACCATTGTACCAGTGACTGCGAATGTGTTTTACCAGTTTTTGTTACTTTTGAGTAAGCCCTGGGCTTGTTAGTACAGTGGGTTGCTTGGTCCAACACTTGGAATGTGGTGGTTGGTGGTTATTTAATGAGTATATATTTAGTAAGTACCTCCACTTGATTGCCAAGGAATTCAGTCTTGTTCAAACTCCACATCTCCAGTCTCTGATACAAATCTGACTGTTCGAAGCTGTATGTGCATTGGTCCCTTGGTGAGCAATACCTTAAGTGACTCAATTGCTGTGTTTCCTTGGTTTCTGGATTTAACAGATCAATTACTAGCAGTGTTTATGCAGCGATGCTTACTCTAGACTCTGCAGAATTCAGAGTGTGTTCTTTTGAATCAGTTGACAAAAGCAGAGACCTTATTCTCAATTTCTCCAGAAGAGGATAAACATATCATTCTTAACTTTCCAAAGTAGTCACAACTATTGACTGTAAATCGACCTATCTTAGGAATTATAGAGGTATGACCAGAGCTACTACTGTCCATGGCAAACTCTCCAGCCAAGGCTGGATTCCATCTGTTCCCCAATATTGTCCCATTTAATGGATTGGCAAATTAAGACAGAAAGTGGTAATTTGCCCAGGGCTGCATAAAATATTGAACTTGGAGCTGGAGCCATAGTACAGATCTCAGTCACACATCCTTAGAGAATGAAAGTTCGTGTTTAATATCACTATGTAGAATTTTCTTTAGGTGGTAAATTTACTATAATAGAAATCAGAAAACATGTTTAGTGCCAGCTGCAAATAGTTTTGAGTGTTCTTGTGCCTTAAATCCTCCACTGGTAGAGATAACTGAGAATTTGATATAATTCCATTGTCAAATTTTTCTGTTAGCCTTGAGTTGTTTCCATTCATCTTATTTCTTTGGGTTTTGTATTGTTTTGATCCTTGATGATCTGTTCATGTTTATAAATATATGGTTACATTTATAAATCAGGGTTAGGTTAATTACACTAGGTTTCCTCAAAAGTTTTGTAATACTGTTTCAGCAGTAGGCCTCTTCCCTAATTGCTAGGGCTCGCTGAGGGCCATGCACGGTTCTGTGGGGCTGGGCATGCTCACAACCAGGCAGAGGGTGCGGGTGAGGAAGCTGGGGCTGTTGTAGGGATGGGGCACTTGGCAGTATTTTAGTCCTGGGTAGTGGTGCCTTTGCTATTTTTGTTTTAATTTGTGTTTGTTGGAAAGGCCCAGGTGTAGACTGTACTCTGCTTCTCTTTCTGGCCCGAAGGCTTATGCTTAGGATGACTTCCTATTGAGAGAGCTGTTCTTAAGTGCTAGTGCTATAGGCCATCTTCTAACAAATCACCTAGGTGGCCAGGTGTGTTGGTTCATGCCTGTAATCCCAGCACTTTGGGAGGCCAAGGTGGGAGAACCTTTTGAGCCCAGAAGGTTGAGTCTACAGTAAGCTATGTTTACACTAACTACACTCCAGCCTGGGCAACAGAGTAAGACCCTGTCTCCCCCACGCGCCCCCCCGCCCCCCCAAAAAGAAGAAAGAAAGGAAAGAAAGAAAGAACAAATTACTTAGGTGATTATCCCAGAAACTCAGTTCATATATCTTTTAGATTTGCGTTTCTGCAGTACTTTGTTTCGTTGGGAAGGATAGTTCTATTTCTGTAGGAAACCTCTTCTATATCTGTCTTTTGTTATAATTACACCACTCTATTTTCTCCATTGATTCATTTCTGGTATTACTTTTGCCTGTTGTCTTGTACCATTCTTCTTTATTCTTTTTTTAAAAAGTTTTCCATCATCAATGGGATTTGAGAAATGAAGGGAGGTAAATGTGCTTGGTAAGTCTACCATCTTGAAAACATAGGTTTGCTTTAGTTTATTTGGAGTATGTTTTCTGTTTAGGTAGGCCTGGATTTTGTTTCATAACAAAATGAGCTTCTCTGATGGAGTATTCTAAAAATGTACATATGGATTCCCTACTTGTCATCTGCTGTACATAGAGGACAACAGGGGAGGCAGCAAAGCACCACAGTTCCATAGAGAGACTCTGCAGCCAGAGTGCTTGGCTTTGAGTCATGGTTCTGCCTTTACCAGCTGCTTAAATTCGGACAATTTGTTTATTCTCTCTGTGGCTCAGCTTTCTCATCTGTACAGTGGGAATAATGATAGCACTTATTTCATTGATATGTTATAAGGATTAAATGAAATTGCAGTTTGAAAAGTTCTAGCCACGTAATAAGAACTGTTGGTGTTTGGTCTTGTTGTTAAGATATTTACAATTCCTAAGCTCAGATAATTTAGCATCCTGGTTTATGGGAATTTTTTACTAGAATGACTTGAAAGCCTTAGCTGTCCATTAAAGGGCTAATGTCACCTTGCTGAGGCACTTGGGGCCAATTCTTATCCTAACTTTTGACTTAATTGGTTCTGTTATGCTTTTTTTTTAATTTTTATTTTCTATTTTTTCTATTTTTTATTTTTAGAATAAGAAAACTAAAACAGACGAATGTGGGAATTTATTTATGGAAACAGGAATGTTGTTTTTTGAGTAATTCGTCACCTACTTTTTTTGAGTGAATTAACATGTTTTTACTGTTTCTCAAACCAGTAACCATTTTTCTCTGTTGGATTCACATTAGCAATTTCCTTCTAAATAATGAAACTTTTTTGAAGAAAAAAGTCTAAACCATAGTTTTCCAGTTGATGTGAAAATTCCTCAGATTTTCATTGGTGGGAGCAGTACCTAAACTACTGGTTCAAAAGAGTAGAGATAGAGTGGCAAGAATGAGCAAGGCAGTCTCATTCAGCACAGCACATTGGTGGAAAAGATTTTTAAGTTCTTTTTCATTGCTAGAGACTGCTTTAGAATATCAGAGAAAGAGTTGCCAGTCTTAAGGGAGACAAACCTGTGAGCAGATTCTTACAGATAATGCTGAGAGAATGTACCAGTTGCCCCTTGGTAGCTCAGAAGGGAGCAACAGTTGCCATTAACTTGTTTTCTAATATTAAGGAAAAACCCAACCTTCCCAGCCTTGTATCAATTTGGGGTGGGCAAGCATGTCTTCCAAAATGAAAATAGAATCCATACTGGATTTCGATATGCCTCCCACACATTTTATGTGACCAGTATTCCTGTAAGAGTAGATGAAAGACTCCTAGCCCTATTTTCATGCTTGACCTCGTTGGACAGTTTCTTATTCTAATGTAGACTTTTTTGACTGACCATCCGTGTTGTATGAGGCCGTCAGGCTGCCAGTTTAGAGACTGCATCAGGCACACTTTTTGAGCATTAAGACTTCCACTCTAAATCAGACACATTCAGGTTCTTTGAGGCTGAGCCAACCACTGCATTTATTGAGACTCTAGATATGAAGTTGCTGCAACATTTTAAAAAATTAGTCATGACTCAAGGGACTCAGCTGATTTATGCATTTTGTTGGGCAGAGTGGCATATGCTTTTGGAATGAGAAGTTGAATGCAGACTCTGCTGTGGGGTAAATTTTTCAGTTGATAACAAGGAAGTCAGCAGACGCAGCATTGAAGCTGCCATATCAGGCTGCTGTGTGAGCTATTGGTTGGTGATTGGTTTAAATCCTTAACATTTTAATTTTTTCTGTTAAATGTCAGGAACAACTAAACTATAAACAAAATAGTTTAAAAGAAAAATGACTTCTGGGGAACAAAGGACCTAATTGTGAATTCTTAATCCTTATGCCCAGAAAAGCAACTGTATTTTGCAAAATCCAATATTCAGGCTTTTTCTTAAACACAGATTGACTTCTGTGATTGCAGTTTATTCCTTTATGGTCACTGAAGCTGCCAATGTATATAGATAGAATCTCTCTGAAATGGCAAGAGAAAACATATCACTGGGTTGAGTGAGTTTAAGTGTAAAAGGAACAAGAGCCAAAGAAAGATTGGTTTGGCTTTGCAATGTAAGAGGGTGATTTAGATTTAGTAAGATACAATCCTCCAATTGTCAATTTGACATATATCTGTGGAGAACCCTGAAAATCAAATTGCCATGCATTTTGTTTATAACTACTACATTTACAAAATGTTGGATTTTAATAAACATAGATGGAATAGGATAGGTTAAAGCCTCTTGACCGTTCATAGGGCTCCAGTTAGTGTCACTTTCTTCATGAAGCAGGCTAAGCCTTCACTTTTTGCTCAGAGCATTATTAACTTTCTCTAAAGCATTGCTGTAGTCCTGGTGCAAGCTACATTTCCTCTACCCCTCAAATCACTGACAAAATAGTTTTTAAAATTTCACATTTTCCCTGAAACTTTTCTAAATGAGCGAATGATCTACTTCTTCTTACCTGCTTAGTTTGGATGTAGAAATACAGAATTTTTTTTTAAACTTTAGTCACAATATATGTTTAAGATTCTTGTTCCTTTCTCCTCCCTTGACCACCAAGGCCATCACAGAACAAACCTAATTCACTGTTCTTTTATGATTTGGTTTGTTCTTTCAATTTGCTATTGGTTTGTATCATATATGTATGTTGGTGTTTGTGTATCTGTCTTATAAGTTACGAAAATATAGCGGTCAGATCTTTAAAGGTTTTTGTGTAACTCTATGCTTAAAAATAACTCAATAAAAGCATTTTCATTGTGGGCTTGTGAAATACTTCAGTTCTGAGAAATTATCCAGTAATTCTGGAGCCCTCAAATAATGGAGGATTATCTAGCGTCCACATGTGGAATGTGGTTTTCCAAAGAGAGCTTATGTCATCAGTCTGGATTAATTTAATTTCACCATTTCATATTTTTGGCATGTAGAATTTCCAATTATTAATTCAAAAAATATGGGTGTAAGGAGCATCGACATTAACAATTTTTGAAGTAACACATTTGCATACATGATGGCATCTTAACTGTGTAAATACATCATTTTTAATATAGAAAGTTATTTTAGTACATTTGGTTCCACATAGTTAAGATCTGCTAACGTGAGTATAATGTGTCCTGTCATGCATTGAATATTGTGTTTTTTTTTTAATAGGTAAAAAATCCATTCCAGGTTTACATTAACTAAATAAAAGCCAACCCACAAGGACGTACTTTTTCCTTCATGCGTTGAGAAGGTCATAGATTTTTCCTCATATTTGTTTCTTGGCTTTTCAGCACTATTTTAAAAAGGAAGTTCTGTACTTTGGTGCTATAATATAGGAGGGCATTTTAAGGAAAATTGTTCTTAAGCTTTATTTCTTTTTAAAAAAATTGAAAATATATTTGTGATGTTTTAAGACCTTTCATGAATATGTATTTTTAATTTAAAAGCAATTCTAATCTTTTCTTATTTTTTTTTTTTTAATATCCAACTTCTCCTTAGTCCTACTCTTAGAATTAGTTGCCGGCCCTTTTCTGTGCTCATACAAGCATATGTTATGCTTTTATTTACAGCCATAGATAATGGATAAATACTTTTTAATGTTTATACAAATGGGATATACTTTACCTGTCTTGTTCTGCACCTTGTTTCTCCTCTGAGCACATTCTATCAACTTCATTTCTTTTTAATGGCTGGATAATCTTCCATCATATCAATGTACTATAATTTATTTGCTTAGATTGTTATGAATGTTTAGATTTTTACCAAACTTTTGCTAAACTATGTCTGTTGCAAGAAATGTCCTTGTACCTTTATACAAATAGGTATTTTTAGAACTAGAATTGATCATTCCATAGGTGTAAACATCTAAATGTGTGATAATTTGTTGAATTCTCTTCATAAAAGGATTTTTTACAAACTTAGCATCCTACCAAGAGAAAGGTTCCTGTTTACCCACATTTGATATGATTTTTGGAGGCATTATGTCTTCACAAGATTCTTGTTGCATTTGTGAATCATTTAGGCCTGCACTGAAATTCTTCAGGAGATGTATAAAATTTGCAATATAAATTATAGTCTTGTGGGTTCCAATGTGAGATAAATTTGTTGGATGGAATAGAAGAATCAAGTTGCTTTGTTTTATTTTCTGAATTTGGCCAGACTATTAACCTCAAGCTCCACATCAGCCTCTGATTATTCTAGAAGCTGTTTTGGTCTCCCAATAGGTTTTCTCCTAGCATCTTTCTTTGGGCTTTTAGGTGAATGTGAGAATAGGAGTGGAAAGTTTCTCTGGAAGACTCTGCTCTTTTCCAGTCTGTGCCATGTATGATAACATAACCAAACACCTTAGTTTTTAATCATTGGTACTTTGGTGGAAGAGGATCTATACCAAACAGGAGCCTATTTGAAAAATTTGAGTTATATGTAATAGTCATTTACAAGGGGACATCATGTACCACTCCTTTTTCTTTTCTGTTAAAAAATCATTTGGCGTGTTCTTTCATCTTATAGAATTGTAGCTAGCCGCCCCTCCTTTGCGCAGCTTAGATCAGCCCTCTCCAGGCAGTACTTTGAAGTCTGTGAAATACATAGATAATTTAGGCTGACATACTTGCCAGGCCCATTTAAAAAGCAGAATTGTTTGATGGCATGACACAAGCAGTCTGTTAACTGAGTTATAAAAGAACTGAGGCATTTCCAACAAACCCCAGCTTTGGCATGACTTTTAAATAGTTCTTATTTTGTGGTGTGTAGTCAGTGGACTTTCTATGATGTAGTATGGTCTCTTAGTGCAACATACTAGGAAATGGGAATGTTACTATACCCAGCAATTTCAAGGAGGAATGGGTGGAAATAAGTTTGTGGTTATTTTCTCCTTTGATTCAGTTCAGCTACAGTAGAGGGAGTATCTTAGCAAGATATAAGGAAGTAAGTCCGGAGAGAGCAATAACCCTTGGGAAACGTAAAAAGCCAGCCAATCAGTGTGGAGTTGGGAGGGGGCGCCTAAATAATGAGGTTAATCTAATTATTACGGTGGGCTTAATACAAAGCCCTAGAAATCAGGCTTTTCTTAAAAATATTGCAAAATTAAATCTAAAAATATATAGTTCATTATTGTATGTGTATGCTATAAACATCCTGAAACCTTTCTTGAATGAAATAGAGTATAAATTTTTTAAGTTCTCTTTTGTTTTTGTTTTTGTTTTGAGGCAGGGTCTCACTCTGTCACTCAGGCATGATCATAGCTCACTGCAATCTCGAACTCCTGTGCTCAAGGGATCCTCCCACTTCAGCCTCCCAAGGAGCTGGGACTACAGGCATATGACACCACCAGTGTGCCTGGCTAATCTTTACATTTTTTTAAATAATTTATTGTAGAGATGGAGTCTCACTTTGTTGCCCAGGCTGGTCTGAAACTCCTGGGCTCAAGTGATCCTTCTGCCTCGGCCTTCTAAAGTACTGGGATTACAGGCCTGAGCCACTGTGCCTGGCCTACATTCTATATTTTTTAATTGTGATTTTATTATTCTCATCACAAGTTTACTTAATTTGTTTTTTAAAATTCTAAATTTTTAATCCAGATATTGCTGCTCATATCAGAAATATAAAAGCTTTACATAATTTAGAAATCAGGAAAAAAGTACTTGGAATTTGGCAAAGATTACCAAAATAAAGCTTCCAGTTTAGTTGCTAAGCTCTCTCTTAATGGTAGTATTACTGTTGGGCTCTTCTCTCACAGCAAAAATGGAACTCCAAAGTTGTTTCAATACGTGCCTGTGTGTTAAAGTGGAAGCATGTGACATCCACACCAACAAATGGGTACCACATGGCAAAAATACCCAGAAGCAAGTCAGTAGTATGAAAGGGATAATTTAGTTCTGTTTCGTTTCATTTTTTTCCCTTCAGAGGGAGAGAATGAAAGAAAGGGAGACACAGAGAGAGAGAGAGAGAGAGAGAGAGAGAGAGAAAGTTTGTATTCCTACAGTGGAATCAGGCTCTTCAATTTAGTTTATGAATATGGTTGGTTTAGTGAGGTTTTGTGCCTGTCTGATTTTAATGTCGACTTATAGCTTTTAGATACCAAATTTCTTTATCTTTAAAAATGGAAATGATGGAGGTGACAGTGGTATGCTCCTCGCTTATCTCAGCTGGCATAGATATGGCCCACTGTCTGCTCCTGGCCCTGTTTAATAGCTATTTGTGTGTGCTTATCTTCTTTTTAGGCTGTAGGCATTTACTCAGAAAATAATTATTGAGGTCTGGCATGGTGGCTCATGCCTGTAGCCTTAGCACTTTGGGAGGCTGAGGCAGGCAGATTGCCTGAGCCCAGGAGTTCGAGACCAGCCTGGGCAACATGGTAAAACCCTGTCTCTACTGAAAATACAAAAAAAAAAAAAAAAAAAAAATTCAGTGGGCATGGTGATGTGTGCTTGTACTCCCAGCTACTCAGGAGGCTGAGTTGGGAGGATCGCCTGAGCCTGGGAAGTCAAGGCTGCAATGAGCCAAGATCATGCTGCTGCACTCCAGCCTGGGCTACTGGAGTGAGACCCTGTCTCAAAGAAACAAAGAAGAATTACTGACGGTTTAGGTTGTAGATGTCTTGTACTGGCTTTGACCTCTATCATCAAAGAATATCTAGAATAGAGCGCCTTGAATATAGTGTGTACTGAGAAATGTTAAATGGCAAGGGCAGTTATTTCTTTGTATCTGTTCAGTCCGAAGTTCAACTCAGAATATACTTTCCATAAGTAACAATACTTTCATGGCTAGAAACTTCACTGACTCTTAAAAATAATTTATTTCAGTTGCTTAAATGGAATTCTTAAGTTTCACAAAAACTTTTGAAAATAAAACATCTGTTTATCATATAAAAAACATTTCAACAATGCATATCTTTTTTTTTTTTTTTTTAAGACGGAGTCTCGCTCTGTTGCTCAGGCTGGAGTGCAGTGGCGTGATCTCGGTTCACTGCAAACTCTGCCTCCCGGGTTCACGCCATTCTCCTGCCTCAGCCTCCTGAGTAGCTGGGACTACAGGTGCCTGCCACCATGCCTGGCCAATTTTTTTTGTATTTTTAGTAGAGACGGAGTTTCACCATGTTAGCCAGGATGGTCTCGATCTCCTGACCTTGTGATCCGCCTGCCTTGGCCTCCCAAAGTGCGGGGATTACAGGCGTGAGCCACCGCGCCTGGCCTCAACAATGCACATCTTTGACCATATTAAGTGGATATATAGCCATACATAAGCTTGCCCTTATATTGTTTGTTTTCATTTAAATGTTTTTGGGTGTACCCTATAGTGGAAAGAGCATGGGTTTTACAGTCAGTTAATTCTGGTCAAATCCTGGTTTTGACCAGATAATTAATCGTATTAGCAATATAATTAATTAATATATATAATTAATATTATATTTATTATTATTATCTAATATATATAATAATATATAATATAATATTAATTATATTAATAATAATATAATTAATCGTATTAGCTCCAGCCAATTAGTTTGACTTTGGCCAAGTTACTTAATCATTCTGAGCTTTGTTTCTCCATCTGTTTTATAGGAATAATAATACTTACTTTGCATGGTTGTCTTGAGAATTAAATAAGATTATAGATAAATTGACAGATAGTTAATACCTAGCATGTGCCAGATAATCGATACCACAGATTAACAGTTAATGTTAGTTTTCGTTTTCCTCCATTTATGTGCTTACTTTTATATTATTTTAATATTAGAGTACAGTGTCTTAAAATATTCATGTTTTACTTGGATATCTAGAAGATAAAAGGCATTCTGTATTTTATGTCAACTATTGCTAGTAGCTTTTACCTATGGGAGTAAATCCGTGGAAGAAGTTTTGCTCAATGTATGCTAACATGAAGCAGCTTTCTGTTTTCAGTTTATTCCCTCAGATATTAGTTTGTTTTTTCTCTTTTTAATTTGGAAAGCAAAATGAGGCCAGCATTCGTTCTATGTTTGTGTTAGAGCAGCGGTCTCCAGAATGTATTGAAGGGCCACAAGTGTTATAAAGTTAAATGATGACTGCTGACTTTCAGTCTTCCTCTCTATACTTAGGTACTTCTTTTTAAAAATGAGTTTTGTTACAGGTTTAGATGATTTTTTTTTTTACAAAATAAAAATTTAATAAATTAATTTTCAGAAATCAATAGCTTTTATAGATACAATATGTCTAATTTCAAGCTCTAAGGGAAGAAAAGACCCATGTTATAATAGCACAAAACATAAATGATAACATACTTAGGAATAAACACAAGAAATATTATTTGTAGAAAATGTTAAAGTGCTAATGAGAGATGAAATAAGACCCAAACAAATGGGAAGATACACCACGTTCTTTCATAGAAATACGCAGCATCATAAAGATATCACTTCTCTCATTAATGGGTGCAGCACACCAACATGGCACACGTATACATATGTAACAAACCTGCACGTTGTGCACATGTACCCTAAAACTTAAAGTATAATAATAATAAAATTAAAAAAAAAAGAAGTAGAATTACTGGATAATATGGTATAAAAAAAAAAAGAAAAGCCACCTTTATCATATTCTCAATTCTTGTAAGTATTTAGATCTGTTTCTGAACTGTTCTGTTCCACTCATCTGTATGACTACTCACAAATTATTGCCACTCTGTTTTAATTGCTGTAGATGTATAAATTTTAATATCTAGTAGTCTCCCTCTATCACTATTGTTTTTTTATATGAACTTTAGAATCCATTTATGTAATTTTTTTCAATTCTATTGGTATTTTTTTTAAGATCACATTAGATTTGTAAATTGAGAGAGGTTTAGATGATTATAATTATCACTACAAGATCAAAAAGTTCCATCACCCTAAAAACGCCTTATTTTAGTTGCATTTTTTTCCCATACCTAATCCCAGACAACTACTATCTGTTCTCTGTTCCCATAAGTTTGGCCTTTTCCAGAATGTCATATAAATGGACTCATACTGTCTGTAGCCTTTTGAGAGCCTTCTTTCTTTCAGCGTAATGCCTTTGAGAGTCATCCAGGTTGTCAAGTCTATCTACAGTTTGTTCCTTTTTGTTGCTGAGTGGTATCCTACTGTATGGATGTACCAGTTTGTTATCAGTGTTCATTTGGACTGTTGGAATTCTTTTTTAAAATATTGCCTTTAGCTGGGCACAGTGGCTCACACCTTAATTCCAGCACTTTGGGAGGCTGAGGCAGGAGGATCACTTGAGCCCAGAGTTTGAGACCAGCCTGGGCAACAGAGTGAGACTTTGTCTCTGCAAAAAATTAAAAAATTAGCTGAGTGTGGTGGCGTGTGCCTATGGTCCCAGCTACCCTGGAGGCTAAGGTGGGAGGATTGCTTGAGCCCAGGAAGTTGAGGCTGCAGTGCACTTTTATATTATTTGTGGTTGCGCCAGGGTGGGCAACAGAGCGAGACCCTATCTCAAAAAATAAAGTGAAATAAAATGAAATATTGAGTTTGTAAGTTTGTTTTAGTTTTCAAAGTAGAATAATATATACTAATCATGGAAAAACTGGGAAGTAAATAAAAGTTGGAAAAAATTATCCTTGCCCAAACATAACCTCTGTTAACATTTAGGTATATTTCTTTTCAGTCTTTTTCTCTGTTCATGGGGTTTTTTGGCTTATGGCTATATTTATGTAGTTGTGATTCTGTTTTTCATCTTTTTATTATTATTATTATTATTATTGTAGAGATGGGGTATTGCTATGTTGCCCAGGTTGGTCTCAAACTCTTGCCTTGGCCTTCCAAAGCGCTGGGATTACAGGCATGAGCTGTTTTGCCTGGCCCTATTCTTCATATACTTTAAAAAATTATTATTATTGTGGTAAAAAACATATGAGAGCTACCCTTTTAGTAAACTTTTAGAGGTGCACAGTTACAGTAGTGTTAACTATGTGCACGTTGTTGTGGGTCTCTAGAACTTTTCATCTTGCATGGCTAAACTTTTATACTCATTCAATATCAATTCCCCATTCCCTTTCCCTCCAACCCCTGGCAGCTACCTTTCTACTTTCTGTTTCTCCGAGTTTCATGACTTAGATACTTCATATAAATGGAATCATGCAGTATTTGTCTTACTGTGAGTGGCTTATTTAATTTAGCATAATGTCCTCAAGATTCACCCATGTGGTAGCATAGCTTCATAAACTTTAGTATTCTGCTTTTTTTATGCTTTGTGAAGAATGTATTCAACATAGGTAGTTTTTAAAATATTACAAAGTACACACTAGTGTAACCATCAGCCACATTAAGAATGGAACATTGCCAGTATCCTAAGCTTCTTATATGACCCCTCCCCATCACAGATTCTTCATTTTAACCTAGGGTAATTGTTAGCCTAACTTTGGTCATAGTCATTACCTTACTTGCTTCATAGTTTTCCAATCTATGTTTGTTCTTTAAACAATGTAATTTAGTTTTGCCTCTTTTTGAACCTTGTGGTCTCTTTTTAATTTTCATTTACTATGATAAGTATTTGCTGTTGCTGTGTTATGATAAACCATCATAAAGATGCTTTCTAATAGCCGCTTAGTATCCTGATGAGTGATTGCACTGTACTTTATGTAGCCATCCCTAATATAGGTTGTTTATAATTTTACTATTGGAAATAATGTTGTAGTAAATGTCTTTCTACATAAAGCCTTTTTGAATTTAGGATTATTTCCTTTGGGTAGTATTAATATTATGAATAAGAGAGTATGAAGCTTTAAGGCTCTGATATATTGGTAAATTGTTTACAAAGAATTTTACCAACTTATACCTCAGTGAAGCCTTATTTTCCCTGGTCAGCATTGAGGGTTTTTCACTCTTTCCCCCAAATAAAACACCTTAGGGAATTTGATGAGCTGAAAAAAGACTATTTTATCTTATTTTGCATTTGTGAGGTTGAATCCTTCTCTGAATGTTTAATATTTGGTTTTCTTTTTTGTTGACTTTTTCTAAGTTTGTACTGGGGTAAATCAGTTTCTTAAGCAATGGTTAATACAGCGTTGTGACCAGTTCCTTTATTTTTCTAGATGTAGGTGCAAAAAACTACAGACATCTCTGTGCTGTTTATTACAACAAGAATCCTGGGTTTGAGATCATTCATGGGCTGCTGGACAGAATTATGCAGTTGCTCGATGTGCCTCCTGGTGAAGACAAGGGGGGATATGTGATCAAAGCATCAGAAGGTAAGACAGATGAGCCGAATCCAGAGTTAGTGACAGTGTCAGGAAGAGGCTACACCTTGTTTTTGATGAAGTTGGTAGTTTTGATTTGGGATTTTAGAAAGAAAGGGAGAGTTTTATTTCAATTAATTGTCAATATTATCCAGAAAATATCCCCTTTCCCTCCAGCATTTTAAGAAAACACTTTTCAGAACTCTCGTAAGTGCTGCACAGTATACTTTCGTTCCAACTGAGCTGTAACCCCTAGTTACTGGCACCTTTAAGCCATCAAAATGGCTAAATCACTGGCACCTTTAAGCCATCAGCACATGGTGAACCCAGAAGTTTTAACTGGAAGCTGGTAAGACCTAAAGTGATGGTTTGCACTCAAAAGCTGCCTGTCTGATGGCTTTAAGACAAAAGAAAAAAGAAAACAAAAACAAAAACCTCAGAAGTTATTCTGAAAGATTTCACACATGTTAATCAAGTCATAAAGTTTGCAGAGCAAGGGTGGGAATCCTCGTGTATAAAATCCCAAGTACAGTAAAATCTTTGTTGGAGAGTTTAAGCTAGGCTAACTAAATGGTATATATGTGCTCCTAATATTCTATTAATAGTTTCTCATTATCCAAGGAACTCTGAAATTTTTGCTTTTCATATTTCTGCAGCTTCAATCTAAATTTATTTTGTTAGATGAAAGGTCCAGAAACAACTTGAGAGAAATATTTCACCACTTATTCCTACCGTTTACCTCACTGTGCTTTATAACTCTATTTGGCATCTTAAATTTCTAACAGAACATTTACTTTTAAAGTGTTATTTAACAGTTAGTAATGAGATTTGGTGGGGTAATATGTTTTTTTCTTTTATTTATTAGTCCTCAGGGATTGTTTTTGTTGGTGGTTGTTTAATTTTTGTTTTTGTTTTCATTTTGAGACTCCTTTGAAAATAACCCTGAAATCTATGGGTTTTTTTAGATTGAAGATGTGTGTGGTTCTTTTTTTTTTTTTAAATAAATGAGAGATTAAATAAGCAGGAAGTTGTTTCTTACCCACTTTCCATGAGAAATAATAAAATGCAGACATTGTTATGCTTGTGGAGTTCTAGATGTTAGAACTGGATTTTGGAGTTCATCCAGCCCACGAGCCCGGTTTTATGAGTGAGGGAACTGGGGTTAGGCAAGTTAAAGAAGCCGGAGCCGGGTCATGCATGTTGACCCCACAGCTTCTGCCTCCCAGTATCCTTGCCAGTGTTGTCTGCCTTTTTAGTGCCTGTATATACTCATTCACCAGTTTACCATCCTAGAATTTTGCTTTAAGACCAGGTCATCCAGGCTTATGGCAACCTGTAAGCTGATGTGAAGCATTTCTTTTCCTTCCATGCACAATCTTCTCAGAAATCTTATTTCTTAAACAGTTTAGCTAGATAAAAATTTGATGCAGATTGCGTCCTGAACGTGAGGTCCAATTTCTTTCATACTTGAAAGGTTGCAAAGAGCTGAAATGGTAAATGAGAGCATAGCTTGTGGTGGATGTGATGCTTTGTGTAACCTTTAGATGGATAATATTTCTGTAAACTGGTATCTTAATATTGTGACTTCTCCTGCTTCAATCAGTTCCTTAGATATTTATTTATCAGAAGAGTGTGAGTTCCTAGTTATAAGGCAGACTTCAGAAAAGACAATGATAAGTAGGACACAGGTGCTGCTGTCAAGCAACCAGCCAGGGAAAAGACCACCACATACCGACCCTCAAACCAAGATGTTAAAATGATTGTCTTGATGTTTCCGAAGAGGAAGAAAGTGCAACTTCTTCAGGGCATCCAGAAAAACAATAGGGAGTTTCTGCAAAGTGAGATGGGCCTTTGGAAGAATAGGTGGAGACAGGGGAAGCAAGGCAAACTAATGATAGGAAACACAGGCTGTATGTTTGGAAACACAGCAGACAGTGTAGTGTGGTTTGGCTATAGGGTGAGGAAGGAGCTTGAAACTATATTTGGAGTCTTGAATGCTAGGGAAAGGCTGCAGCTAGTTAGGAGAAAAGCATTAAAGCTTCTTTTTTTTCTTCTTTTAAAGCAGGTAGGTGATATTAGATCTGTACTTTAAAAGGATTAATTTAGCAGCAATATGTAGGTTGGGTGGGATGGAGAGCAGAGGTGAAGAGAATGGTGGGAAGGGATTTTAGCACATTGTAGAGGAGTGATAATGAGGACTTGGCCTGGATCGTGCTCATAGGATCCAAGGAAAGGACTGATTTAAGAAACCTTAAGAAGATAGAAGCCACAGCATTCATCATTTGGAAAATTTTGTGATAGTGCCACTTGGAACTTTTTGTGATACAGCTAATTTGTGTTGATCTTCTGCTTAAAAGTCAGGTTTTTCTAATTCTAAACTTATGATGTTATAATTTGAATTCCATATAATTTAGCACCCATACAGAATATAATACTTAGTATCTAGTTTCCTAACATGTAGATGTCTGCTGTTTTTGTTTAGAATTTTTTTTTTTTAATTAGGAAATACACATTCCTAAACTGTCACTACTTCTGATGTGGTTGTAGGTCTTTATGTTCAATTTTGTTAGGCCAGGTTGTTATTTTGGTTTTTGATTTAGCATGAATATTTACAGACTCAGACTTGTGGTTCCTTTTGAATCTACATTGGCTGTCATAGTAGAACATTGTAATCTTTTGAAGTTTTTCCATGTATGAAATGTCCAAGATTTATGAACATGAAAAGCTTTTTACACATGGGCAGCCTGAATCAGTATGTATTTCAGTATATCTAACGGGCTTTCTTTGGAAAAGGGCAGGAGATTTACTTTCACCCCCTATCACCATCATTGGCCGCATTAGTCTCTTGGAGTCCTGGGCACACATCTAGCTCTGAGTGCTTTTTTTCTCAGGGTGCTTTCTGCAAGAACCATCAAGCCACAGAGAATTGGTATCATTACAAATAATGGTTCCTCATTTCTCATAGGGATTTCTGTTTTGATTATCTAATGGCAAGTATGATTATCCTTTTTTGTTTATGGTTGAAGAAAACAATGTATAAAGAAGTGGCTTGTCAAAATAAGTCAGTAATAAAGTTGGTATTAAGTTTTTCATCTAATATATATGTATGTGTTTGTGTGTGTGTATATAAAATACACACACACGTACACACATACATACCACAACTAAGGAACAAAATTGTTTTTCAGACTCCTAAGCAAATCAGTAAACACAGGAATTTTGTTACTGGGGCATGTTTAGCTGCATCATTTCCTCCAGTTTATTGTTATTTTACATACAGCTTTTTCAACTAAGAAAAGGTCTTCAGAGTATTAAAAAGTAGAGTGGAAGCAGATTAAGAACTACTGTTCCCTGCCATTCTTGATTACTGAGTTGTCTGATATTACTCTGGCATATGGCTTACTTTTTAATAATTAAAAATCTCTAGTGGCTTTGCAGTTATAATTGAGCTAAGTCTGTTCTCCAGAGATTCCTGCATATGTCAGTTACGTCGGCACTTATACCTATTTCTTCCTGTCCTTTTAATGTACACTACTAAGCTTTCTTTTGTACTGCTTTGTTTGGTGGTAGGGATGAATGGAACAGAACTCGATTCACCTTTGAGAAACCTGGCTCCGTGCGTTATAAGAAATCTGGAAATTCATCTGATTGATCTTCGCATTAACCTATGGAGTTTTGTTGACATTGGAGCGTAACCTTGCTTGTTATGCAGGGGGCAGTCCTCTGCAGCATGTGGAGTATCTGCAAAAGCACCCAGAAAGCCCGTAGTTGTAGCTAGAGTGAAAAGCCGTGGTCCCCTGGTCTTACATATTTCTTATTTGCTGAGCATCCTTGCAGTTAACAACTTGAGATAGAATGTCAAGTTGATGACAGAATAAGATCAATGTTGAGTGGGAAAAAAAGAAGAACCTTTAACTTTTTAGCAGACTGCAGAGCATTTTAAGAGTTTCAAAAGGGTTCAACTCCAAATATTTTAGTGGCTTTGGATCAGATTATTATGGCATATATATATATATATGCTTTTTCTTTTTTTCAGGCTTCTTCCCCTTCATTTTTTGTGGTTTGTTGCAAACTTAATTATGTATGTTAAGAGGCATCTATCCTTTTCAAAAACCACTTCTGGGCAAGGAAAATTCTCCACATTTTTGTATTTGGAACAGTTATGTGGTTGCCGGGCAGATCAGTGGCAAAAATTATTTCTTGTAGAATGTATGGGCTTTGTGTGTGATTGGCTGCGTTGACTTGAGCCTGTGATTTTTTTTCCCCTTTAGCTTGTTACCTATTTCAGTTTTGATTATTTACAGTTCTACAGAAAACTTGAATTTAACTTGTGACAAGATCCCTGTTGGAGAGACAAAAGGTTTAGAACTTTAGTTTTGACAATTCTAGTTTTCATGCTGCTCAGAATACATTTTGTGAAATGAAAAATAACCTTGTAAGTAATATGCACATTTAATCCTGTACCATCTGTATACACAGTGGGTAGTACCTTCTGCTACAGTAATACCTAATGACCTGGAGTTCATGACCTTTTTCCCCTTTCAGGACACCTGTGAAAGATTTCAGATGCTAAAAAATATGGGTGAAATTGTGATGTTTCCCTGGTCATCACACTGGTTTTTAGTGTAACATGAGCTTGGAAATATATGAGAAAAATATCTATTGAACAACTTGTTGAAGTAAAAGTGTTCAATTTATGGTTTGATTTATACAAAACATTCTGGACTATAATAAAGGGAGATCTTTCTAGCATGCCCACATTTAGTTACCATCAACAAATAAATTGTGAAGACAACAGGTTGAAAAAAATTGGAAGTTTTTAAGCTTCTGACCTTTGGTTAGTCTGTATGGAAACAGTTTTGATTCCTCTGGATGTCTGCTTTTTTGTGTTTGAGGCAAGCTTTCAAATACTATCATTTTTCTTAGCTTCTTTGAAGGAATTAAAAGACAAAGCAATATTAAACAAATAAGCAGTGATTCCTACACAGTTGGAATAGTGGTATAACACAGGCACTGTTTTTATAGAAGCTTCAGCAATCATCACATGAGTCACTTAGCCCTGCCTTGTTTTTACTGCTCTTGCCTCACTCTCTTGTATGCACAAGGCAAAGTTCTCTCCACTCATGTTCACTTAACTCTTTTTGAGGGGTAGGTATTTTGATGTTTTCGTGATACTTTAGTACTTGTAGCAAATTGGAATAAAGTCCCAAGATGAATGGCTTGGTCAGCTTGGTATTCCCTCTGATAGATATTGTAGTAATAGTGTTTCTTAACCTTTTTAAAATTAATCTCTCCACTAAGGGCCTTTTTTAGATATTTTCTTTTTCCTTAATTGCTCCTTCATGAAATTTTAATACCACAGATTCACTATATATATACTGTATATATGTATTATTATGTACTGTACGTATAGCTGTGCTGTATACATAAAAATAGTAAGTGTAAAGCTTACTTTTAAAAATTTCGATGCAGGGTTATCAATAACTAAGCAAAATTTTTAAGTTAAATTTAAAAATGATTAACATTTCACTTTATATCTGCTGGGTAACTCTTAATGTTATTTATTTACTTACATAAACTGTAGTGTATCAAATTATATTTGCCAATCAGCAATGTATACATATAGTAATAGTAATAAAAAATTATAAAAATCATTCAAAACTTATTTTAGCAAAAGTAAAACAGTTGTTATTTTTTGAGACAGGGTCTTGCTGTGTTGCCCAGGCTAGAGTGTAGTGGCATGATCATGGCTCACTGTGATTCTCCCGCTTCAGCTACCCAAGTAGCTGGGACTACAGGGCATGCCACCATGCTCAGCTCTTTTTTTTTTTTTTTTTTTTTTTTTTGTAGAGGCGGGTTTTTGCCTTGTCACCCAGGCTGGTCTTAAGCTCCCGGTATCAAACAATCCACCTGCCTTGGCCTCCCGAAGTGTTGAGATTATAGGTGTGAGCCACCACGCCCAGCTAAAATAATTTTTAGTGAATTAACTTTTAACTTTTCCTTGATATAAGAAAATAACTTTTATCTAGTTGATAGATATTGTCAGCATTTTTTTCTTTTGAGTACTTTTTGTTGTTGTTGAGACAGGGTCTCACTCTGTCACCCAGACTGGAGTGCAGTAGCGCCATCACCACTTGACCTCCCAGGCTCAAGTGATCCTCTCACCTCAGCCATCAGTGTAGCCGGGACTACAGGCACGTACCACCATGCCTGGCTAATTTTTGTTTTGTTTTGTTTTGTTTTCTTTAGAGACAGTTTCTCTGTGTTGCTTAGGCTGATCTTGAACTCCTGGCCTCAAGTGATCTTCCTGCCTTGGCCTCAGGTGTGAGCCACCACGCCTAGTCTTTTGAGTACTTACCATAACTAATGATGTGTTAAATAACCTTTTGAATTAAATAGTAACATATAAACTATTTTTGTTTAATTATCAGAGCCTAAGCTACACACAAAAGCTCTAAAGATCAGCCACAAGGCAGTCAAATGGCCTCCCATTCAATGTGACTTGGAGATCTAGCAATGGATAGAGTCTTCCAATCACAGCCATCTGCTGCCATAGTTTTATAGCAGTGTTCTTGCACACATTTACTGTATCTTCCATATTAATGTTGCTTGTGGGATACCCAAGAAAACACAATGAGAGGAATTAAATACTGAGGAGTAAGGTTTTTGTCAAGTAGGGCTCAGCTTTGGAGCAATGCAAACCATTTTAATATGGAAGATTTTTTTCATACCCCCCTGCCCCGCCCCTTTTCCTCTAAGAACCAGTTCCGCCCCTGTGGAAAATGCGTGCTATAACATAATGAATACTTTGGAATTATAGTAGTCTCCTCTTATCTGCAGGGTATACATTCCAAGACCCCCGATGGATGCTTGAAACTGCAAATAGTATTGAACACTATATATATGATACGTTTTTAGTCTGTTAACCAAGACAGCTACTAAGTGACTAACGGGCAGGTAGTGTATACACTGTGGACACACCGGACGAAAGGAAGATTCATGTCCTGGGGAGGTCAGAGAGGGACAACTCTACTCAGTTTTTCATCATGCTACTCAGAAGAGTGCACAAGTTAAAACTTAGGAATGATTTATTTCCCTAATTTCCCACTTAATATTTTCAGACCTCAGTTAACCACGGAAAGTGAAAAACTGCATATAAATGGAGACTACTGTATTTACATCCAGCTGTATATACTGGGCAAAAAAAGAGGAAGATATTTTCATTTACCTCATGGTCCTCTCTTCTCTTCTGCATCCATACTAGATCTTGGCCTCCACTATTCTATAGAAAACGATGTTGTGGCCCAAATACAAAGAATTATAAAAGAAGTTCATTTTTAGCTTGTGATCTTTCAAGGGCCCGGGTCCTGAAAGTTCAAAGGATTTTTAGGATGATTCTGATTACTCAGTTTTTATCTTATACATGTGAGACAGATTTACTTTCCTCAGGTATCAGCAGTTTTATGCATTGGCCAAAATGGGGCAGCACTCGGTTTTGGCACATTTGTGTGCTGCAGCATATTGGTTAAGAGTCACTGTCCTGGGAATTCCTAGAACATGATGTATTCTGATAAACTGTCAACGCTCTAAGTGGCCAGTTCCAGCTCTACTCCAGAAGGATTAAGAGAATGGATGGATGGGTGGCTGGAAAGAAGGAAAACACATTGAATAAATCCCTAGGTAGGGATGGTAATGTGGAGTGATCTCCTGAGCACATGACCACAAAAAATAAAGGCCTTTTTCCCCTGGAGCACTTACTATGGCTTTAACAAGAGAGAGAAATAAAACTTCCATCTTGTTTAAACCATTGCCATTTGGGAGTTTCTTTCTTAAAGCTGAAACTAATCCTCACTTACAAATCATATTTTAATTCCTACTTGCCGGAACCCCTTGGCAGTATTAAGATGCCATCCAGCTCTAAACTGAATCAAGTTTCAAGCTAACTTCTAAGTTATTTTAAAATTCTTAGTGAAATTGTTCATTCTCATTCATTGCCTGTCCCCACTATAACCCTTTATTTTGAACACATTTAGATGGCTCATTCTTGTATCTACATGTAAAGTGTTTTCCTGGACACACTTTAAATTATTGCCTTTAAGGTTATTACTGGTAACCATTGGCATTTATTTCCAGTTTGCATTTGCATTTGCTAATGAAGGCATTGGCCACTCCCAGGAAATATGTTTTAGAGGACTGGCTTTTAAAATGTCTTCTTGGCTCCCACTGATAAGCCACTTAAAAAAAAATTGTATATATGCTTCCAAGTAAGATTTGAACAAAGGGTTACCTGTCTTACAAAAGTTTGAAGCCCACCCTTGTAGAAAATGAAGAAGTTTATGAATGCTACAGCAAAGATGATTAGGCATTTTTATTCTTCTCTTTCTACCTTACTTTCACTTGCTTTTCTTTTGTGTGCTGTGATTATGAGTACTAAGATTGTAGCAATACCAACTCATCATATCACATAGAGGTGGTACATTGTGAGTGTGAAAAGTGATTGATATCTGTCTAGCTATTCATAAATCAATTAAATTTCAGGCTTTGGGTGTTCTCTAGTTCCGGTTGCACAGGAACTCTAGGTGCTTGAAGGTTTTTGACATTTCTGGATACTGGAAAATTAAGAGTAATTATTTTTCATTAACACCGACTTAAAAAGGAATGTCTGCCAGAACATTGATGGTTCAGCTCGTATTTCTTTCTTTTTCTTTCTTTCCTTTTTTTTTTTTTTAAGAGACAGGGTCTCACTCTGTTACCAAGGCTGGAGCACCCTGGCTTGATGATCATAGCTCGCTGTAGCCTCCAACTCCTAGGCAAAAGTGATCCTCCCATCTCAGCCTCCCCAGGTAGCCAGGACTATAGGTACACACTACCACACCCAGCTAATTCTTTTATTTTTTAAGTAGATATGTCCAGTGTCCAAGCAAATGAGTTTATTGAGTTTATCTATGTTCCAAAAGTCCCATCTCCATTGATGTGTTCACATTTAGTTATTTCCTTTTCTATCAAGGTGTAGGACTAGGGCAATAATTTTTTTAAACTTTGTTATTATAAAAAATTAAAAACATACATAAAAATAAAGAGACTAGCATAATAAGTCCCGATGTCCCCATTGTCTAATTTCAACAATGATCAGTACAGAGTCAATTTTGTTTCATTGGTACCCTCACCCACTTTCCACACTACTAAATTATTTTGAAGCAAATCTAAGACATTGCATTATTCCCAGTTGTAAATACAACAAGATGCATCTCTACAATACAGGAACTCCTCTTTTAAAAAGCATAACTGCAATATCATCACACAAAATTAACAATAATTTCTGAATATCAACAAGTATCCAAGTATCCAGTCAATGTCCCCCTTTCCCAATTGTCTTTTTTTTTTTTTTTTTGGCCTAAAAGGGTAGGATATCTTTTTTTTTTTTTTAATACTGTTAAGTTCTAGGGTACATATGCACAATGTGCAGGTTTGTTACATATGTATACATGTGCCATGTTGGTGTGCTGCAACCATTAACTTGTCATTTACATTAGGTTATTTCTCCTAATGCTTTCCCTCCCCCTTCCCCCACCCCATGACAGGCCCCGGTATGTGATGTTCCACTTCCTGTGTCCAACTGTTCTCATTGTACAATTCCTACCTATGAGTGAGAACATGCGGTGTTTGGTTTTTTGTCCTTGCAATAGTTTGCTGAGAATGATGGTTTCCAGTTTCATCCATGTCCCTACAAAGGACATGAACTCGTCCTTTTTTATGGCTGCATAGTATTCCGTGGTGTATATGTGCCACATTTTCTTAATCCAGTCTATCATTGATGGACATTTGGGTTGGTTCCAAGTCTTTGCTATTGTGAATAGTGCCGCAATAAACATACGTGTGCATGTGTCTTTATAGCAGCATGATTTATAATCCTTTGGGTATATACCCAGTAATGGGATTGCTGGGTCAAATGGTATTTCTAGTTCTAGATCCCTCAGGAATCGCCACACTGTCTTCCACAATGGTTGAACTAGTTTACAGTCCCACTAACAGGGTGAAAGTGTTCCTATTTCTCCACATCCTCTCCAGCACCTGTTGTTTCCTGACTTTTTAATGATTGCCATTCTAACTGGTGTGAGATGGTATCTCATTGTGGTTTTGATTTGCATTTCTCTGATGGCCAGTGATGATGAGCATTTTTTTCATGTGTCTGTTGGCTGCATAAATGTCTTCTTTTGAGAAGTACATGTTGATATCCTTCGCCTACTTTTTGATGGGGTTGTTTGATTTTTTCTTGTAAATTTGTTTAAGTTCTTTGTAGATTCTGGATATTAGCCCTTTGTCAGATGGGTAGATTGCAAAAATTTTCTCCCATTCTGTAGGTTGCCTGTTCACTCTGATGGTAGTTTCTTTTGCTGTGCAGAAGCTCTTTAGTTTAATTAGATACCATTTGTCTATTTTGGCTTTTGTTGCCATTGCTTTTGGTGTTTTAGTCATGAAGTCCTTGCCCATGCCTATGTCCTGAATGGTATTGCCTAGGTTTTATTCTAGGATTTTTATGGTTTTAGGTCTAACATTTAAGTCTTTAATCCATCTTGAATTAATTTTTGTATAAGGTGTAAGGAAGGGATCCAGTTTCAGCTTTCTACATATGGCTAGCCAGTTTTCCCAGCGCCATTTGTTAAATAGGGAATCCTTTCCCCATTTTTTGTTTTTGTCAGGTTTGTCAAAGATCAGATGGTTGTAGATGTGTGGTATTATTTCTGAGGGCTCTGTTCTGTTCCATTGGTCTATATCTCTGTTTTGGTAACAGTACCATGCTGTTTTGGTTACTGTAGCCTTGTAGTATAGTTTGAAGTTTGAGGTAGCATGATGCCTCTAGCTTTGTTCTTTTTGCTTAGGATTGTCTTGGCAAGGCAGGCTCTTTTTTGGTGCCATATGAACTTTAAAGTAGTTTTTTCCAAATCCGTGAAGAAAGTCATTGGTAGCTTGATGGGGATGGCATTGAATCTATAAATTACCTTGGGCAGTATGGCCATTTTCACGATATTGATTCTTCCTATCCATGAGCATGGAATATTCTTCCATTTGTTTGTGTCCTCTTTTATTTCCTTGAACAGTGGTTTGTAGTTCTCCTTGAAGAAGTTTTTCACATCCCTTGTAAGTTGGATTCCTAGGTATTTTATTTTCTTTGTAGCAATTGTGAATGGGAGTTCACTCACGATCTGGCTCTCCGTTTGTCTGTTAATGGTGTACAGGAATGCTTGTGATTTTTGCACATTGATTTTATATCCTGAGACTTTGCTGAAGTTGCTTATCAGCTTAAGGAGGTTTTGGGCTGAGACGATGGGGTTTTCTAAATATACAATCATGTCATCTGCAAACAGGGACAATTTGACTTCAGTTTTCCTAATTGAATACCCTTTATTTCTTTCTCCTGCCTAATTGCCCTGGCCAGAACTTCCAACACTATGTTGAATAGGAGTGGTGAGAGAGGGCATCCCTGTCTTGTGCCAGTTTTCAAAGGGAATGCTTCCAGTTTTTGCCTATTCAGTATGATATTGGCTGTGAGTTTGTCATAAATAGCTCTTATTATTTTGAGATATGTTCCATCAATACCTAGTTTATTGAGAGTTTTTAGCATGAAGCGCTGTTAAATTTTGTCAAAGGCCTTTTCTGCATCTATTGAGATAATCATGTGGTTTTTGTCTTTGGTTCTGTTTATATGCTGGATTACGTTTATTGATTTGCATATGTTGAACCAGCCTTGCATCCCAGGGATGAAGCCAACTTGATCATGGTGGATAAGCTTTTTGATATGCTGCTGGATTCGTTTTGCCAGTATTTTATTGAGGATTTTTGCATCGATGTTCATCAGGGATATTGGTCTAAAATTCTCTTTTTTTTTGTTGTGTCTCTGCCAGGCTTTGGTATCAGGATGATGCTGGCCCCATAAAATGAGTTAGGGAGGATTTCCTCTTTTTATATTGATTGGAATAGTTTCAGCAGGAATGGTACCAGCACCTCTTTGTACCTCTGATAGAATTTGGCTGTGAATCCATCTGGTCCTGGACTTTTTTTGGTTGGTAGGCTCTTAATTATTGCCTCAATTTCAGAGCCTGTTATGGATCTATTCAGGGATTCAAATTCTTCCTGGTTTAGTCTTGGGAGGGTGTATGTGTCAAGGAATTTATCCATTTCTTCTAGATTTTCTAGTTTATTTTCATAGAGGTATTTATAGTATTCTCTGATGGTAGTTTGTATTTCTGTGGGATCGGTGGTGATATCCCCTTTATCATTTTTTTAGTGCGTCTATTTGATTCTTCTCTCTTTTCTTCTTTATTAGTCTGCTAGTGGTCTATCAATTTTGTTGATCTTTTCAAAAAACCAGCTCCTGGATTCATTGATTTTTTGAAGGGTTTTTTGTGTCTCTAGCTCCTTCAGTTCTGCTCTGATCTTAGTTATTTCTTGCCTTCTGCTAGCTTTTGAATGTGTTTGCTCTTGCTTCTCTAGTTCTTTTAATTGTGATGTTAGGATGTTGATTTTAGATCTTTCCTGCTTTCTCTTGTGGGCATTCAGTTCTATAAATTTCCCTCTACACACTGCTTTAAATGTGTCCCAGAGATTCTGGTATGTTGTGTCTTTGTTCTCATTGGTTTCAAAGAACATCTTTATTAATGACTTCATTTCGTTAGGTACCCAGTAGTCATTCAGGAGCACGTTGTCCAGTTTCCATGTAGTTGTGTGGTTTTGAGTAAGTTTCTTAATACTGAGTTCTAATTTGATTACACTGTGGTCTGAGAGACAGTTTGCTATAATTTCTGTTCTTTTACATTTGCTGAGGAGTGCTTTACTTCCAACTATGTGGTCAGTTTTGGAATAAGTGCGATGTGGTGCTGAGAAGAATGTATATTCTGTTGATTTGGGATGGAGAGTTCTGCAGATGTCTATTAGGTCCACTTGGTGCAGAGCTGAGTTCAAGTCCTGGATATCCTTGTTAACTTTCTGTCTCATTGATCTGTCTAATGTTGACAGTGGGTTGTTAAAGCCTCCCATTATTATTGTGTGGGAGTCTAAGTCTCTTTGTAGGTCTCTAAGGACTTGCTTTATGAATCTGGGTGCTCCTGTATTGGGTGCATATATATTTAGGATAGTTAGCTCTTCTTGTTGAATTGATCCCTTTACCATTATATAATGGCCTTCTTTGTCTCTTTTGATCTTTTGGTTTAAAGTCTGTTTTATCAGAGACTAGGATTGCAAAACCTGCTTTTTTTTGTTTTCCATTTGCTTGGTAGATCTTCCTCCATCCCTTTATTTTGAGCCTGTGTGTATCTCTGCATGTGAGATGAGTCTCCTGAATACAGCACACTGATGGGTCTTGATTCTATCCAATTTGCCAGTCTGTGTCTTTTAATTGGGGCATTTAGTCCGTTTACATTTAAGGTTAATATTATTATGTGTGAATTTGATCCTGTCATTATGATGTCAGCTGGTTATTTTGCTCATTAGTTGATGCAGTTTATTCCTAACATCAATGGTCTTTACAATTTGGTATGTTTTTGCAGTGGCTGGTACCGGTTGTTCCTTTCCATGTTTAGTGCTTCCTTCAGGAGCTCTTGTAAGGTAGGCCTGGTGGTGACAAAATCTCTCAGCATTTGCTTGTCTGTAAAGGATTTTATTTCTCCTTCACTTATGGAGCTTAGTTTGGCTGGATATGAAATTCTGGGTAGAAAATTCTTTTCTTTAAGAATGTTGAATATTTGCCCCCACTCTCTTCTGGTTTGTAGAGTTTCTCCTGAGAGATCCGCTGTTAGTCTGATGGGGTTCCCTTTGTGGGTAACTGGACCTTTCTGGCTGCCCTTAACATTTTTTTCCTTCATTTCACCCTTGGTGAATCTGACAATTATATGTCTTGGAGTTGCTCTTCTTGAGGAGTACCTTTGTGGGGTTCTCTGTATTTCCTGAATTGAATGGTGGCCTGCCTTGCTAGGTTGGGGAAGTTCTCCTGGATAATATCCTGTAGAGTGTTTTCCAACTTGGTTCCATTCTCCCCGTCACTTTCAGGTACACCAATCAAACGTAGATTTGGTCTTTTCACATAGTCCCATATTTCTTGGAGGCTTTGTTCATTTCTTTTTACTCTTTTTTCTCTAAACTTCTCTTCTGGCTTCATTTCATTCATTTGATCTTCAGTCACCTTTCTTCCCCTTGATCCAATCAGCTACTGAAGCTTGTGCATGCGTCACATAGTTCTCTTGCCATGGTTTTCAGCTCCATCAGGTCATTTAAGGTCTTCTCTATGCTGTTTATTCTACTTAGCCATTCTAATCTTTTTTCAAGGTTTTTAGCTTCTTTGCGATGTGTTCGAGCATCCTCCTTTAGCTCAGAGAAGTTTGTTATTACCGATCTTCTGAAGCCTACTTCTGTCAACTTGTCAAAGTCATTCTCTGTTCAGCCTTGTTCCATTGCTGGCGAAGAGCTGCATTCCTTTGGAAGAGAAGAGGTGCTCTGATTTTTAGAATTTTCAGCTTTTCTGCTCTGGTTTCTCCCCATCTTTGTGGTTTTATCTAATTTTGGTCTTTGATGATGGTGACCTACAGATGAGGTTTTGGTGTGGATGTCCTTTTTGTTGATGTTGATGCTATTCCTTTCTGTTCGTTAGTTTTCCTTCTAACATTCAGGACCCTCAGCTGCAGGTCTGTTGGAGTTTGCTGGAGGTCCACTCCAGACCCTGTTTGCCTGGGTATCACCAGCGGAGGCTGCAGAACAGCAAATATTGTAGAACGGCAAATGTTGCTGCCTGATCCTTCCTCTGGAAGCTTTGTCTCAGAGGGCCACCCGGCTGTATGAGGTGTCAGTCGGCCCCTACTGGGAGGTATCTCCTAGTTAGGTTACTCGGGGGTCAGGGACCCACTTGAGGAGGCAGTCTGTCGGTTCTCAGATCTCAAACTCTGTGCTGGGAGAACCACTACTCTCTTCAAAGCTGTCAGACAGGGAAGTTTAAGTCTGCAGAAGTTTCTGCTGCCTTTTGTTCAGCTATGCCCTGTCCCCAGATGTGGAGTCTACAGAGGCAGGCAGGCCTTGTTGAGCTGAGGTGGGCTCCACGCAGTTTGAGCTTCCCAGCTGCTTTGTTTACCTACTCAAGCCTCAGCAGTGGCGGATGCCCCTCCCCCAGCCTTGCTGCAGCCTTGCAGTTCGATCTGGGACTGCTGTGCTAGCAGTGAGCGAGGCTCCGTGGGCGTGGGACCCTCTGAGCCAGGCATGGGATATAATCTCCTGGTGTGCTGTTTGCTAAGACTGTTGGAAAAGGGCAGTACTAGGGTGGGAGTGGCCTGATTTTCCAGGTACCGTCTGTCACGGCATCCCTTGGCTAGGAAAGGGAATTCCCCGACCCCTTGTGCTTACTGGGTGAGGAGATGCCCTGCCCTGCTTTGGCTCACACTCCATGGGCTGCACCTAGTTTCCAGCAAGTTCCAGTGAGATGAACCTGGTACCTCAGTTGGAAATGCAGAAATCACCTGTCTTCTGCATTGCTCACGCTGGGAGCTGTAGACTGGAGCTGTTCCTATTCGGTTATCTTGGACCCCAAATTCAGGGCAATAATTTTTAAAACTTTTTTGGGGGGAATTGGATGGAAACTCCCTTTAAGCAACTTCTATAACTGAAGTCCCCATTTTGTTAATTTTTTATTTTGAAATAGTCAAAATTTATTTTAAAAATGCAAGTGGTATGCAAAATTTTTTTTTTCTGAACTGTTTGAGAGCTAATCTGATATCGTGTTACCCCTGAATACTTTGGTGTATATTTCCTATAAACAAGGACATCATTCTCTATAACCATAATAATAATCATCAAAATCAGATGAACATTGAAGTTTATGTTAACCACCATTTAACCCTCAGGCCCTATGCAAGTTTTATCAATTGTCCTTTATAGCTGTATTAGTCCGTTCTCATGCTGCTATGAAGAAATATCCAAGACTGAGTAATTTATAAAGAAAAGAGGTTTAATTGACTCACAGTTCTGCATGGCTTGGGAGGCCTCAGGAAACTTAAAATCATGGTGAAAGGCATTTCATCACAGGGCGGCAGGAAAGTGAGTAAAGGGGGTGAGAGTGAGTAAAGGGGGAAATGCCTCTTAAAAAACCATCAGATCTTGTGAGAACTCCCTTAATATCACAAGAACAGCATGGGGATAACTGCCTCTATGTCTCAATTACCTCCCACCCAGACCCTCCCATGGGGATTATGGGAACTACATTTCAAGATGAGATTTGGGTAGGGACACAGCCAAACCATATCAATAGCAAAGAGTCACTTGTTTTCTTCAGCCATCATGTCTCATTAGTCTCCTGGTGACTTCTAGAATAGTCTTTTCTTCACTTTCATGACCTTGACACTTGAAGATTACAGGCCAGTTATTTTGTAGCATGTTCCTCAATTTTGGTTTGTCTGATGTTTCTTCACTAATTAAATTCCTGTTAGGCATCTTTGGAGGAATGGTAGAGAAGTAATGCTAACTTCCCAATGCATGCTATGAAGTGGCACGCAATTTTCATTTATCCAATAACTGATAATGTTCACTGTAATCACTTAATTAAGGTTGTAGCTACCAGTCATCTGTACTGTAAAGTTATTCTTTTCTCCATTATAATTAATAAATGTCTTGTGGGGGAAGAGCTTTGAAATTATGTAAATATACTGTTTCTAATCAGTTTTCCTATATACTTAGTTATGTCAGTATGGACTCATTGCTGCTGATTTTAGTCAGTGTATTTAGATCCATTACAGTCATTTATTTTGATGCTCAAATTGTCCCCAGTTTGGCCAGCAGGAGTCCCTTGAAGCTGGCTTCAGTTTGCTTTTAACATGTTCCCCTCCCTGTGTCCATGTGTTCTTGTTGTTCAACTCCCTCTTATGAGTGAGAACATGCAGTGTTTGGTTTTCTGTTCCTGTGTTAGTTTATCTCTTTTTCTTTAGTGAGAATCTTGGTTCCTAGTGAATTTACATTATTGCTCTTTTTTTTTTTTTCTTTTGGAGACATAGTCTTGCTCTGTCTGCCAGGCTGGAGTGCAGTGGCGTGATCTCGGCTCACTGCAACCTCTGCCTCCTGAGTTCAAGCAATTCTCCTGCCTCAGCCTCCCGAGTAGCTGGGATTACAGGTGCCTGCCACCACACCCGACTAATTTTTTGTATTTTTAGTAGAGATGGGGTTTCGTCATGTTGGCCAGGCTGGTCTTGACTCCTGACCTCAAGTGATCTGCCTTCCTCGGCCTCCCAAAGTGCTGGGGTTACAGGCGTGAGCCACTGCGCCCGAATTTACATTATTGCTTGTTTGCTCATTCTGTTTATCTATTTATCTATCATAGTTTCAAAATAAAAATACTATTATCAACAATATGATTATTGAAAGCAGCTTAAAATTTATCCTTATTACTTTTTGTACTTAGAATATAGGCTATAAATAAGGGACGTAGAGAGAACTCTGGCTTCCACACCGTTCCCTCCCTGCCTCTATAGGTTATGATTTTTATTAGTTTTCAGTTTATCCTTCTGATGTATGTGTGCACACACCTGTGTGTGTGTGTTCATATTCTCTTCTACTCTTTCAGCTGAGGGGCTGATACTTTACACACTGTTCTGTACCTTTCTTTGTTTTACCTGACAGCCTACATTGGAGATGATTCTGTAGCAGCATATAGAGATCTTCCTCCTTTCTTTTGACTTCTCTGGGGTACTTCATTTTATGGAGTTCCACAGTGTAATCAACTAATTTCCTGTTGATTAACATTGAGTTGTTTCCAATCTTTTGCTATTACAGATTGTGTTACAGAGAATAGTCTTGTGCATATGTTATTTGGTAATGCCACTGTATCTCTGGGACAGATTCCTAGAAGTATGGGATCACTGGGACAAAGTAAATAAATTCATATTTTCACTAGACACTGCCAAACACCCCTCCATAGGATTTCTAGTTCCAACGTTGTACAAACGCTGCAGCAACACTTGAGAGGACTTATTTCTCCACAGCCATGGTCACCAGACTTCTTGTCTTTGCCAGTCTTTCAGATGGGAAATGGTGTCTCACTGTAGTTTTAATTGAATTTCCCTTGCCGTGAGCAAATGTAACATATTTACATGTTTACAAGGACATTTTTATTTCCTTTTCTGTGATCCACCTGTCTTCTTCCTTATTTCTTTAGGTTTGTCAATCTTCTCTAGTTTTAGGAACCTTCTATGTAGTGTGGCTGTCAACCCTTCGTGATATACATATGCTGTTTTTTCAGTTTGTCAACTGTCTTTTGACTCCAACTGCTCAGAAGCTAATAGCATATCTATTATGGTTTATCTAGGAAATTAGAAAATTGTTGAAAAACCACTTTTTTGACATTTCCTGTATTTATTTCTAACAAGCAAGATTCTAGAAACCTTTAATAACTAAATGCTTGCTCTGATTTTTAAAAATATGTTAATCCATAGTCTGCTTTGTTTAAAAATTGGAAATGTTTCTTTTACTATGGACTTTTGGGGCAGTGGGGATGCAGAAACATAACAGAACATCCATTAGAGATCTGTCTTCTCCAGTTTCATTCATCTGTCAGCACATTTCTTCTCTCCCATATTATTCCTTTTTTGAGAGACTCCTTTCTGCTTTTTAGCTTAAATTACTCTTCTATATATATATTACATCATTGCAGAAATCCAACAGATTGACATTCATTTAAAGTATTCCCAATACCTTCATAAAAATGACAGGAGGCCCGTTAACTTTACTGAAGTCTCAGTTGTGGTTTTTACTTTGACCAATTATTTTGTTTTACACTGGGGTTGAATAGCTGTGGCCTAACCTTGGGCTTTTTGAGAAATGAATGCTGTCATTCATTTGGGTGACTTGGGCAACCTTGGAAATACATCTGAGCACCTGTTGGCTCATGTGGGCTGTGGGTCAGGAATGTGATCTTCTTGCTGAGGGTCTTATGAGGCCAAGTAAAATGTCTCAAGACCCCCTGGCCCTTCCTGTCTTGTAGGGTTTTTTGTGTTATAGTTGTACTTTCCTCTACTTCTCCCCTTCCAAGAACCAGAACCCTCATTTTCCCCCTTCCGAGTCACTATATTTTGTCGCTCACCTTTCAGGAGATAAAGGTTTCTAGTCACTCTCATAATCCCTAAAGTCCCTTAGTTTGTGAATTGCATTCTCTGAAAAAAGGTTTCCTCTTGGAATTATTTTCCTAGGTTGATTTGGGGCATTTTTTTTTCCTACCAGTGGAATTTTTTTTTAAAGGCAGTAGTTGTGTTATGCAGGAGAAAGTTTTTTATTGGTGTTGTACAAGATGAGATCAATATAATCTATTTGTGGTTTGTTGCTAGTACCACTACTAGAAGTGCATTGTTTAACATTTTGCTATATAAGGAGCTATACAATGATTCATTTTCTTTTTACCTATGTAGCACTATTTTTTTTTTTTTGAGATGTTGTCTCACTATGTTGCCCAGGCTAGTTTTGAACACCTGGTCTCAAGCCACCTTCCTGCCTCAGCCTCCCAAAGCACTAGGATTGCAGGTGTACAACCACTATGCCTCACCTTTAGTACTACTTTTAGAAAAGGGAAGTAATCCAAGAAAGACTCTATGCTTACAGAAGCCTTATTTATACTAATGAATAATAGGAAACAACTTCAGGATTAAATACTTAAAGAATAAGTTGACAAGCTATGACATATAAATATAGTGGAATGTGATTAAAATGTCTTTAGACACGTGAATACAAACTCACTTGAAAAAGCAGTTCCCAAGATGGAATAGACATTAATTCATTATATATAATATTTATTATGTATAATATTCATGTATATAATATTTACTTATATGTAATGAATATGTTGTTTGTAAAACCTTAGGATGCATGCTAATCAACTGTGATAGAGTCCATTTAACACTGAGTGTTGTGGCAAGTCGTTCTGTCACTAATCCATGTTATTAAAGACTTAATTCCTTCACGCCAGTTTCTTCATCTGTAAAATGGCAATGACGATATCTGTCCCATCAACACCCTAGAGTTGTCAGGGGAGGCAGTTGCAAGAATTTGTGAAAGCATTTTGGAATGTGTAAATCTCCTCAGAGTAAACTTGGAGTAGATCTTAGGTCTATCTGTCTTCAGAAAAGCAACGTTGGATGAGCTACAGACTGGGTTTCAGGAAAACCTGAGTTCTGATCTCAATTCTGCTCCTACCTGTTTTCTTAACCTGTCTAGTATCTATTTTTTTCATATATTAAGTGAAGGAAATGGACAGGATTGCTTCCAAGGTCATTTCTAGTTTTAAGAGTTTGCAGGAGTTTAAATTCAGAAGGAGTTTCTGCCACAAGTTCTAACATTTCAGCTCTTTTTCTTTGCCTTTGTAGATGGTGTCCCTGTGGTACTTGTCTGCTGAAATAATTCCAGCTTTGTTTCAAGAATCTGAAATTTATTCATACAAGTACCTGTGTTATATGGGATTTAAAAAATAAATAGTTCTGTTTTCCATGGAAGGCTCTAGGTTTTGTCAGTATTGTGCTGTATTAATATTACAGACCCTACTTGGGTATGTCCTAAGGTGGAAGATGATGAACTGTCAGTCTTTCTTATTTTCTCTTAAGTTTTGTTTGTTTATTTAATTGTAAACCAGAAGAAGTTTGTAAACACGAAATGGACAGCTTGACCAAAAGCTTAAAAACATTCTGCTTTAGGCCTTATGTGCCTGTGGGCCACACACAGAAGAGCTGATTCCACGGCCCTTATTCACCTTTTGCTTACTCTCCAGCCTCTACTATTGCTTGCCTAGGGCAAGCCTCCTAATCTCCTTGTGCTTCACTTTTTCCCATCTGTAACTTGTCTGTCCCACAAAGGGCTTGGCCAGGGCTGCACTGGGAATGAGTGAATAGAAGGCGAGGTGCCATGTTTTTGCAATTTCATTATTCTTTCATTTTTCTTTTCTTTGTTTTTGAGATGGAGTCTCACTCTATCACCCAGGCTGGAGTGCAGTGGTGAGATCTCAGCTTACTGCAACCTCCCCCTCCCGAGTTCAAGCAATTCTCTTGTCTTAGCCTCCTGAGTAGCTGGGACTACAGGCGCCCACCGTCACGCCTGGCTAATTTTTTTTGTATTTTTTAGTAGAGATGGGGTTTCACCATGTTAGCCAGGATGGTCTCGATCTCCTGACCTCATGATCCACCTGCCTTGGCCTCCCAAAGTGCTGGGATTACAGGCATGAGCTACTGTGCCCGGCCCCAGCTAATTTTTTTGTATTTTTAGTAGAGATGGGGTTTCACCATGTTGGCCAGGATGGTCTCGATCTCCTGACCTCGTGATCTTCCCGCGTTGGCCCCCAAAGTGCTGGGATTACAGGCGTGAGCCACCGTGCCCGGCCTCCTTTTTCTTTTACATGCCCTACTTGTCACCTGAAATCTTACTCTGAAACTAAAACAGCTATCAAAATTACATGTTTAAAGTTATGTTTGCACTAAGTTAGCTAAAGGTCTCAATTGAATAAGTTAACTAATTGTGAAATTTGGATACAATCTCATATAGTCGACATTTCCATTCTTTCCTTAATTAGCCCTACCACAGTCTCTTTTTAATTATTTCACTGTACTTGTGGAGGAAGTAATAAATTATTCCTTTTGGTTTGAGAAATAATCCCCTTAAAGATTTTTGTCAGGTGAAAGACTGGGTAAAGAACCATTTGTTGGCCCAAGAAGGCAGAGTGATTTCTTTTATTTTTGAAGTTGTTATTCTAAATATATTCTATACATATTGAAGAAATGTGAAAATTTTGGGGGAAAATGATATGGGTGTCAGACAAATATAGGATGATGGCATTATTTAAGAACAGAAGTTTTCAAAACAGACTGACAGTGAGGGTACTTTTTAACCTAGAGGTAAAAATCCTTTGGTTTTACACAGTTTGAGAGTGATTTAAAGTTACAATTAGCTGGGTCATCTTGAAGCTCTTCCAACATTCCTGACCTCCTTTAGGTTTTAAAATATGAGTGTGCATGTGTGCATGAGAGACACATAGTTAAGATTAGACTTTAAAATAGATCTCAACGTTTCCCGAGCATTTTCTATTTAATCATTTCGTATTTGCCCTAATTAACTAAATGTTTCATAAGAAATGTTAAAAAGTAAAAATCACAGGAATAAATGATAAATGATAAATTTCTCTACACAAATTAAGACTGGGAAATTTTGGAGTTACGATTCTAAATATTTAGTCACAAGGAGATTGTGGTAATTGTTAAAAGATGGTTGTTTATTGAAGACATTGCTCCATCACTTAGAGGACTAGGTAGTGTGGGTTTTGCTGATTTCTTTTGAAGCATAAGGTCCTACAGGATCCTGTCCGGATTTGTAATAGTATACCCTGCCCTGTGTTGATGGAATGTTGCTGCGTCATGGGCTCCCTGAGTTCCATGCTGTGGGGTTAAGTAGGTACCAGTTCCCTCACATCCAGTTGCCTTCACTTTAAGAGTTAATGGTGTCTGCAGGTGTGTTGGGATTAGCACTGTAAAGTTGTGTGAGGGGGTTTTCTTTCTTTTGATCTTCAGAAAGGGATGAAAGATGGTCATTAAACTCAAGGGATTAGGTCCCCTCTCTTTACAGACTTTAGGTACCATAAATATTTCACTTCAAATGCAAGGTGAAGAATTGTATACATCAGGGGAAAATAGGTGTTTTATATTACCAGTTGGAAATTATTCAGTCTCCACTTACAAATTAAATGGTCTTTGCAGAGACATTTTCTCCCAACTGAGTGTACTAGGATCTGAAAAAATGTTTGTGTGTTTTATATCTCAATAATGATTTTTTTCCTCCTCATATTCCTAAACCTTTTTCTTTCCTTTTATAAGCTCTAATGTCTTACCTACATTGTACCGTTTTCCCCCTTGAGTTCTCTCCCCTTGTTGTAGTCCATCGGTGCCCTCAAAAAACTGCTGGTTCTAAAACTTCGAGAACAGCCACCTTTAAGAATGACACCATGCTCACGTGGGATAAGTGTGTGTTTCATTTTATAGCCTCTATATGCTGTCTCTTCCTTTAAATCAACATTGTTTAGAAAAGGAAGGTGATGTTGATGAGCTGGCAGCAGAGTCCTACAATTCCTGTTACTGCATTCTCAGAAAACTAGTGGGAAACCAGGAGGAAGTTCCTCCTCTGTAGGAAATTATGGTTCCAGTCTCATTCCACACTTTGCCTTGTCACCCACCCTGTCAATTTCACCCCAGTATGGAACACTGGAGATGTTTTATTCCCCTTTTCTGGGAGGAGAAGGGCTTGGGTAGATGCCAGCCCCCGAATCAGCCTGTGAAATGATTATTCCTCCCTTCACTCCATAGTACATAATTACTCACTTAGAACATATTTACAGTACATTCAGTTGGCCCAGTGGCTTACAATATCTATATAATTTTGTATTTTTTTAGTTCATCCCTGAAGTTGGAGACTTATGTATAGTTAAAACTCATGATGATAGTTTCTGTTGTTTGCTATGACATATGTGACATAAGGACATTCCTTTTCCAGTGTTCCCTGCCCCCCCCTTTATATTTTGTTCTTATCTCTTTATTGCAGAAATTTTGGGTGGTTAAGTATCAGATTGCAAGCAGTACAATATGTGGGTTCGAGCCTCACATCATGTATTAGTAATGTAAAAAAAAAAGGAAAAATAAAATTGTATGAGTAGATGACTTTTTACAGATGGGCTAAATAAAATACCAAATGATTGAGTCGAATATAGCCAGTGGCAGGGGGATGAAGATCAGGAATTAAGACCCTGATTAAGAAGGTGCTTGATAACACCTTCTGATGTTTTCAGATTAGGGGGTCTGCTCAGTTACCTCCTTAAGCTTCTACTTCTGATGCTCCCTAAAATTATAGGAATGACTCTACGTGTAAAGCTTATCCAAACTTTGGGCCTATAATATTTCTCTTTAAAAAAAAAAAAAAAGATGAGGCAAAAAGAAACTGTGAAAAGTGTTTAGCAATGAGCAAGAGAGGGAGCTTACAAACTCTTTGATGGTCAATTAGCCAGAAAATGTGCTAAAGCCTGGGTGCTGTGCTGGATTACAGGCCCAGGAATTACCCCCAAGGTCCTCAGAGTGGTCCTGCCGTCTGAGCACAGAGACAATTACAGACCTCTAGGAGATGCTACAAAGGCTTTAATTAAGGGACTTACTAACACCCCACTAAGTTTTGGAAATTGAATTCTTTTTTGTGCTTACCTGATGTTTCTTTTGTCCAGACTTTCACATGTATTTCAACAGAGAACACTATTTCCCCCACATCTGTTTTATGTTGGAAGCCGTTTACTGTGATAGCAGCAAAGCTGAGAGTTTAACCAGTATAAGGAAGTAGGTAGAAAAGCGGGCTCGGAGGCTTTTTGCTGGGGAGCATTTTGGGCTTAGATTGAAAATTGTAATACTACACATCTTGAAACATCAGTAAGAGAAAACTAATGTACTTTATAGAATTTGAATTTTAGAATTCCCATTTCACAAAGCAATGTCATTTTCTTTGAAATGGCAACTTTATGTTTCTAGACACAGCATGCTGCTCTTTCTCTAAAAATATGTTTTTGTTTGTTGATGCTATAAGGTTAGCCTTTGGCTACCACCCAGGTCTGATTTTTCACAAGCCTAGACTCATATTTTGTTCCATTTCGATGTGACTGTTTTTATTTCTGGAAATACTCTGCTTTACGGCACATTAGTCCTAGCTAGAGCACTATGATCACATTAATCTACCGGAGTTATTGTGCTCAACTACCCCCTTTCTGCCAACAGTGGAGAGAGATGCTCTCATCTTTGAACTCTAGGGCCTAATGGTTGCCCAGGTCAGCTATATCTCCCTTGTTTTCTTAGTGAAGTAGTTATTCTCTCTTCTATCCTTTGAAGCAATTCCCTTCTGCCTGCAAAGTTTGGTTTGAACCTTAAAGGTTTTCAAAAGCACTAAGAAATACTTCTGTTTTAGTAACGTTATATTTTCCTTCAGTATTTCTAGTTTACATGTAATATCTGTCAAGTGGCACATTTTTTAGGTTCTCTCTGTTGTACCAATAGACAACTTGAAGGAGCTTTTATGTGCGTACCACTTAATTTGTGTATGAGGAGGACAGAACCTTAACCTTGCTGAAAAGAGGAGTCGATAAGAAAATCACAAGAAGTGTTTAACCTGTGATGACAATTTTAACTTGCCATTTTTTCATTTTTCACAAGGTCAGATATAAAGTGTGCAGTTTCAGCAAAGTCGAGTTTATACAGGAATCTTATGACTGGGCTTCATTTTTACATGTGGGTTGGTAGGGAAGGATAATTTGTATTGGATGATAGGGCAGCATGCTTCCTTTTTACGTGTGAGTTGGTAGGGGAGGATGATTAGTATTGGACAAGAGGGCAGCAGGCTCCTGTATGTGCTGTCAGCTCCATTGGACCGCTGTGAAGGCCTTCTGACCCCAGAGCAGTTTGAGATGCTGCAGTGGCCTGGATGGGTCTATGTGTCCAGGTGACAGGTGAGAGCTTTTGATATTTATGTTATGTAGAATACTCATATGCTTGGATATGTTTTAAATAAAGCATAGTATGAATTTTAGTTCTTTTTTGCTTTTCTTTGGAAAGAGGGAAAATTATACTTAGTGACACAAATATTTTTTGTCTGATCAAGTACCTAACTGATTAATGAGCTAAAGCAAAGTTTGATCCCAACTTCTGGAGAGAGGTAGATCTGGCAACTGAAGAAGAATATAACTGAATTTTGCTAAAAAAAAAAGTGCTGATTCGAAAAGTTGTTTTATGAAGTAAAAATTCTAAGCTCTTATCTCTTAGGCTTTATTTTGCTAACATTGTTAGAACTAGCACATCTGGCTTAGATTCCAAAATAGTTTGGTTTTATGCTTGTAAAAATGAAACCAATCAAATTGGAATTGAAGATAGATGAAAGGATGGATTTTGGTACAATGAGGATTCTTAAACACAGTAAAGTTATCAGGGAAGATCCTGAACATTGCCTTTCTGAGTGTCCCTTAAAAATAGACTGGTGTCAAACATCAGCATCACACAATATACCCAGGTAACAAACTTGAACACGTACCCGTTGAATCTATTAATAAGATAAAAGTTCATAAAAACCACAGCAAGCTGGTGTCTTTTTTCAGGTAGTGTGGTTGTATTCAAGTCTAGCTCTGTATAGGGGTGCTGGGGTGCTGGGATAAATAATTCCCAGCAGTCCTTCCAGTTCTGCAGTTCTTGATTATATTGCTTACCATCAACACCTTATATAATCTTCACTTACATGTCATTTGAAGATTTTTCTTCTCCTTTGGGGAGTCGAGGGGAGGAGAGTTTTGTCTTTTAAGTTAGACATTTATTTTGATAGAATTAAAATGTGCCATCTTTATCAGATTTAGTAATATTCATATGAATGTGAATATTCATATTAATATGAAACTAAGGCTCTATAATATTAGTTGGGTTTGGTTTCTGCATTGTTTTATTTGGTTTCCCTCCCTATCCCTCACCCCAAGTGTGGATTAGTGTGCAGAGCCAGATAGTTAAATGCAGTCACTGAAATTCTTGCTTTAAAAGACAGTGAGGCAGAATTGTTTAGTTTGGAGAGATGTGAAAAAGAGGCCACCTTAATATTTCACCTCTGTTGCTTTGGGTTTACTTAAGAATGACAATTTAGAATATTTTCCAGCTCTTTCCCCAGAAATATAAACAAAGATCCTTCTCTGCTGGTCAAGAAATATATGTAATTGTCCTTTGTCTCTGTGGTACTAACTTGACAGTAGCCGGTTCCCCTCCCCTCCAACCTGATTCTGTATTTCCTAAGCATGCTGACCTTGGAACCATTAGTAGAGACTCAGCAGTTTACTCTTTCATCAATAATGCACTCACTCTGAAGTGGCAGGCTGGACACTGTGGCCCAGCTCTGCATGGGTGTTTATAGTTTATGCCAGTAAATGTTTCTGTTGAATCTGTCAGGAGCTGCAGGCCTGATCCCTTTTCAAGTTGGTGGTGAGAGCAGTGAGTCAGCATATTTGTAAACTTCAGAAGAGTACAGAACACTGATAATTTACTGTGGCACTGGTAATTTCATGAATATGGAGTGGGCCCATATGTTCATTTTTAGCTCTGTAAATCTCAAGAACTGTTACTGCCTTGGTAAGCTGTATCAGTGCATTGGCACCCAGATAAAGAGAACTTTCTGCCTGTCTTGAAGTAAATGAGGCATCAACCCAGACTTGTGTTAGGCTGGCCTTTGCTGTGGTTTTACAGTAGATGCTTCAGAACTGCTTAGAAAGCTCTTTTCAGATGGGAATGTGGGTTGCCTTCTGGTAGCATGGCCTGTCATCAGAGGTGTGGTTCCCCCAGTAGCCGGCCTATGACACGGCGGCTCCAGTTTCTTTATGTAATAAGGTGAGAAAGAGTGAGGAAGAGTTGTACAGAGCAAATGAATTCAGTGTCGATGTCTTATCCAGTGAGCGTTGCTATGGAAAAACCTGTTTGAAAACAGGTTCTTCCCATTAAGTTCATCAGTTTTATGTTTCATTTTTTTCCTTTTGGCCTTTTTAGGACCAGTTCCAAGTGCAGGCAGAGTTCCCCTAGGACTTCTGACTGTGGACCTTCAGCAGCCTCCATGATTTCATCCTTCCTGCTCGGGTCCCTGTTACCAAAAATACAGGGCCCTTATTTTCATATTTGCCCCGGATTTTTTCCTTGCAAGAGTTTCTTGATAGCAAATCCTTCTTTTAAATACTAGAAAGTATGAGGAAGCGTTCTCTTTTCATAGCCAGTGATTTAAAGAATAGTTATTTTTAAAGTAGACTAGTGGGCTTTTAGTGTTAAATGTCTATTGATGTTTTGCCAGAAGAAACATTGATTTTTCTCTTACTTTCTCTTTTTCAGGGCCTGCTTTCTTCCCCGGGCGATGTGCAGAGATCTTTGCCAGGGGTCAAAGCGTCGGGAAGCTTGGGGTCCTTCATCCTGACGTTATCACCAAATTTGAGCTGACCATGCCCTGCTCCTCCCTAGAAATCAATGTTGGACCCTTTTTGTGAAGATTGGTCTCTGTGGTGTGATTCTCTTCCCAGGTGTCCCTTTCTCCTCCCCTAGTGTCCTTAAGTCCTCCTCCACAGGGAACATCTATTTGGGCTTTGATGTTTAATAAAGTAGAAAGCACTGTCTGGCTGTGTGGGTAGAGACCATCCTTTCCCTGCATATTAGGCCAGCTTGTGCCATATACCAGTGTGGTGTCTGTGTGTGAAGCTGCATTGTTGGGTAAAAGCCCCGTGGAGTGCTGGAGAAATGCACTAGCAGAGTGCAGGATCTGTTCTGAAAGGCAGACGTGCTCCTCAGACATCAGAACATCACATTGGAACGGATTACTCCTGCATAACAAGATCCCATTTCTTTCCTTATTGATAAAACAAGATAATCGATGAGAATTCATGTTGCATGAGTTCGAGATAACTGAGGGGTTTAGCTTTGATTTTCTACATTTGACATGTATTCATCATTGAGAAACACTAAAATAACAATATTTTTAGAAAACGTTTAAGAATCAATTATGGTCCAACAATTATAGCTTCTGAGGTCAGTTTAAAGTGAAAGAAAAATCTGTAATACAAGGATTCAAAATATGTGAGGGTGCATAGGTATTTTTTACTCTATCTGTGATACTCTAAGATAGAGTACATGCAACAAAGATCTGTTCTGCTGTAAGAGTTAAAATGGACAAGTATTGATATCAATGCAGTATGAACATTAGGAAACAATGAGAAGCTTATTTTTGCCATAGGCCATACATGTTACTGTAATCAGTCAGTTATAAAATCATGGTTTTAAATACTTAATTGAGCTACTAGTTTCTCTATTGTCCCAGGGAGATATTAGACCTCTCTTTTTCTGAAGCTAAGCTTCAGCCAATCCTCCTTGTTTTATATCCTAATTTCCTTTCTTACTTCAATCTAGAATTCTCCAGTAGGTACCATCTCTGGAAAAAAGCTGGGTCTCATGTTTGAGACAAGTTCCCAGGTACTATTGAAGTAATAAGAAATATGATAAAATATAATACTTTAAAGTCCCAGTAGAAATAGCTAACAAAGGCTGGGTGCGCTGTGGCTCATGCCTGTAATCCTAGCACTTTGGGAGGCTGAGGTGGGCAGATCACTTGAGGCCAATAGTTCGAGATCAGCCTGACCAACATGGTGAAATGCCATCTCCACTAAAAATATAAAAATTAGCCAGGCATGGTGGTGTGGGCCTGCAGTCCCAGCTACCTGGGAGGCTGAGTCAGGAAAATCTCTTGAACCAGGAGGTGGACGTTGCAGTGATCCCAGATTGTGCCACTGCCCTCCAGCCTGGGTGACAGAGTGAGATTCTGTCTACAAAAAAAAAAAAGAAGAAGTAGCTAACAAAGATAGTGAAATAAGAATTATGTTTATGGATCTTTTGCTGAGTCTACTACTAGGAGAAAACCTGACCATATTACAACCTTGAATTGGGGCAGCAGTGTCTAACTCTGTAAGATTTGTGAACACACACACTTCCAGCTGACCCTTCACAGCTCTGTTATAAGCAGATCCTTACAACATTTTAAAAATGAAATATGCCCTCTAAAAATAATGCATGCCAAAAGGACTTGTATCCAGCATGCATAAAGATTTCTTAAAACTTAATAATAAAACTTAATAGTAAAAATAAAACAACTGTTTTTTAAAAATGTGCAAGAGTTGAGCAAACATTTCCCAAAAGATGACATATGAATGAGCACTTGAAAAGATCCTCAACATCGTTAGTCATCAGGGAAATGCAACTAAAATTCACAATGACAAACTGCATACCCATTAAAATGGCTAAAATTTAAGATTCATAAATCAAATACTGCTGAGACTGGAGCAAGTGGAACTTTCATGCACTGCTGGTGAGTCACAATGTAAAATGTTACATTGTGACTTTAGAAAACAGCTTGGCAGTCTCTTGAAACATACACCTACCATCTAGCCATTCTATTCCTAGGTTTACCCATATGGCCAAAGATTTTTATGCAAGTGTTCACAGTGTTACTTATAGTAGTTACAAATTGCAGTATATCCATACTATGAAATACTTCTCAGCAATAAGAAGGAATGAACTACTGATCCTCAAAACAACATGAATGAATTTCAAAACAGTATGCTAAGTGAAAGCAAGAGACACAAAAGACTCTATTTAATTCTATTTACCTGAGAGTCTAAAAAAGTCAAAAGCAGGTGGTCGGCAGGACCTCAGGAAAGAGAACTGACTGCAGTGGGTTAAGAGAAAACTTTTTGGGGTGATGGAAATTTTATCTTAATTGAGGTGGTAGGTGTACTTCAGGTGTAGGTTATACCTTTGTAAAGCTGGGAGAAAAAGAATGTAATGTAACATGTAGTATTTTACTGATTTTAACTACATAACACCAGTTGATAAATGCCTAGAGAAATAGCCTGAACTGTAGAATTGGCAGTTGTGCTCAAGGTGGCTCACTGGTCCACAGCTATTAATGATATATTCTCCCTTAGTTTCAGGTTCGCTCTAGTTAAAATCATGGCTTATGGATCATCATATGATAGCCCTTGTTGAAGTAGGTGGAACCATTTGTTCTGTCAGCAGCTACCCACCTGGATATTTTTGGGGGTGGCCAAAATTACTTGTAATGAAAAACCCACTAATGCCTAATTGTATATCCCAGCATGAAAGGGGAAAGATCAACTCCATGCATCATGTAGATGTTTCTGCCCTCGGAAGCAGGAAATGGTAGGCAGAAAAACAGTGTCGGCTGCATTGGAAGAAGCGAATCCAGCTCATGAGTCGAGGCTCTGCAGCCAGATCATCTTACACTTGTCCCTGGTGAAGCATTTGAACTGGAGCCAGGGCAGTCTGTGAGTACTGCCAAAAGCCTTTATTACAGAAGATGCACACCTTCTTAGTAAAAACTGGGAGCTCTAGTATTAAAGTGAAAATTAAATGGAATTGATTTTTGTTCTAGCTTAGAAAAAACTTAAATTCTACCACTACAGCCTCACAGTCCTGCAGTGCTCTTCTAGTTTTGTTTGTTTTTTGTTTTTTTAGACGGAGTCTCGCTCTGTCACCCAGGCTGGAGTGCAATGGCACAATCTTGGCTCACTGCAACCTCCACCTCCTGGGTTCAAGCAATTCTCCTGCCTCAGCTTCCCGAGTAGCTGGGACTACAGGTGTGTGCCACCATGCCTGGATAATTTTTGTATTTTTAGTAGAGACGGGGTTTCACCACGTTAGCTAGGCTGGTCTCGAACTTCTGACCTCAGGCGATCTGTCCACCTCTGCCTCCCAAAGTGCTGGGATTACAGGCGCCCAGCCTGCTCTTCTGTTTTTAAATTATTTTTGAATTGATCTTTTTTCACATTTTAATTTTTTTGGTTTAATAACGGTATGAGAGTAGGAATTCTCCCTGATGTGTAGGGTGAAAACAGTTGAGTTTCAGAGAGATCAATAACTTACTCAGAAGTCACATAGCCAATAAATGAGTTTGAGACACTATAAAAGAGTGACTTGGAGTCCACAGACCACTCACTGATTTGCATTATTTACTTATTTATGCGAAAGTAAATAATGGGACTTTCTACACTTTTTAAAAATATAAAAATAATGGGAGACAAAAAGTTAAAAATTGTTAAGTCCAATACTTTAAAAAAACTCTGCAAACTGTGGCCTTACTGAGTTAATCTACCTTTCTTCCTCCTGATTCCCTGAAGTAACTAACTGCTGTTAACAATTTAGCCTGTATTGTTCCTTAGTTTGGACATTTTCCTTGATTTGTACAGTCAGCCACACACACCTGCTCACATTTTTGGGGGTCATGCTCTACTTACTGGTTTGCAACAAGTTTTGTTTTTTATTTTACATATATCTCATGACATTTCACTTAATATGCCCCATTTTTTCAGGTCAGTGCCTATAGACCTATCTCATTCTTTTAAATGAGGTAATATTCTATTGTACAGATGTCCGTAATTGTTCAATTATTCCCTTGTTGGTGGACATTCAGTTGTTTCCAACTGTTTGCAATTATAAACACTGCTCCAATGAACCCCCTATCCTGCTAAATAGCACTGGCTTAGGACCCCAAGGAAAACCAGTCCTAATGGGTGCAAGACTGTATAAATATCCACATTTGACAGACACATTCAGAGATGCATAGAGTTCATTAGATATTTCTTTGATGTGACGTTTGTACTTGAACTATATATTATTCCAGTACCTTACATCTTAGATGTAGAAGTCGCTAGGTCAAAGGATGTGTTTTGAATTTAAAACATGTTGAATGACTGTTCTCACATTTTAAACAGGAGTAATCTACTACAAACCAGCCAGCCTAACCACTGCCCCTGCTCTCAGCAATGATGGGCTCATCAGCTTGGTAAGAGAGAACATTACTCACAATCTTGCTTCTCAATCTTAATCTATTTGTGCTTGGTGTTTTATATAACATCACTAACCCTAATACTTGAGTATTTACTTTGGCCCTTCTGTCCATTTTATCCAAAAGCAAACAGATAGCCTTCAAGGGACACCATTGCCTTAAGCAGAATATGCCTCCTAAGCATTGAAAGCCTTTGACCCATCTGATATCCAAGTTCTGGCTTATTATGTTATTAGGGCCTTGAATAACTTTATGTATATTATTATGGACTGAATGTATCCCCACAAATTCATGTTGACCCTCTGACCTCCAGTGTGATGGTCTTTGGAGATGAGGCCTTTGGCAGGTGATTAGAGCTAGATGAGGTCATGAGAGGGAGGCCCTCATGAAAGGCTCAGTGGCCTGATAAGAAGAAACACCAGAGAGCTTGCTCTGTTTCTCTGCCTACCTGGCGCACACATACAGAAGAGGTGATATGACCACACAGCAACATGGTGGCCACCAGCAAGCTAGGAGAGGGATCAGAATGAAACCTATTTTGCTGGCACCTTGATCTTGAAATTCTAGCCTCCAGAACTGTGAGAAATAAAATTCTTTTATTGAAGCCACCCAGCCTATAGTCTTTTGTTGTGACAGTCCCAGCAAACTAAAACACATTATTGAAAACTTGCATTCAAAAAGTAGAGAGTGGCATGCATGATAAAATTCAAGGCAGCAGTACACCTCTGGGACAGTCTGTAGCAGTTCCCTAATCTACCTGTATCCATGAGCGCAGATAGGAGTGAAGCCTCCTAGGCTTCCAGTCTGCAGCATCTCTGTCACATGGAAACCTGATGGGTGCCACTGTGAGGGGGGCCAATTATGCACAGTGCACACTAAACACAGATCATTTTAGCCTTCCTAATTAGCCACTAATAAAAAGACACTGAAGTATCCTGAAGATCAAAGAGAGATTTCCACCATGCCTCAATACAAACCCCAGTCCGGGCCTCCGCTTGACAGGTGCTGTGCCTAGTGTTTTGCCCTGACCAGAGTCCATGTAGGGAACATGACCTGCTTAGATAAAAGAAGAGCTGTCAAATGACTGTGCTTGACAAATGGGCCAGGCAGCAAGAAGGGCAACGCAGAAGCAAAGCGGTTTGAGTCTCCGCGATGTCTACTTCATGTTCAGGTATTCTCTGCTTTGGCTTTCTAGTAGGCAGAAAGGATGAGTGAATATTGTAGCTAGACTGTGGGTTGAGTAAGTATCTCCAGCAAAGGGTCTAATTGAATTATGTCTGACCAAACCCTGTAGGTTTTTTTTTCTTCTGAAGTGACTAATGGAGTGTGCTAAGAATATACTCAAGGTTCACACTCAAGCTTTTCATTCTTCGTCTGTAAGGTTTGGCCTTCCTTGTTTCTATTGAAGAAAGGCAGGAAAGGCATGAATCTCCAGGAGAAAACATTTGAAGCCTCAGTGTGGTGGCTCATGCCTGTAATCCCAGCACTTTGGGAGGCTGAGGTAGGCAGATCACCAAAGCCCAGGAGTTAGTGACGAGCCTGGGCAACATGGCAAAACCCATCTTTACAAAAAATAAAAAAAATAAAAATAAAAAAAAATATATATATATATATATATATACACACACACACACATACATACATACAAAAATTAGCTAGGCGTGGTGTGCGCCTGTAGTTGCCATGTGAGCCAGAATTGCACCACACAGTACTCCAGCCTGGGTGACACGGTGAGACCCTGTCTCAAAAAAAGAAAAAAAGAAAAGAAAAAACATTCGGAAGAATCCATCACGTTAGGAGCGCTGGCAAGGCTATGCAAGAGAGCTGCCGCATACACCGCTGGAATCAGAGGACTTGCAGACATGAAGTAAATCTGGCCTTCTAGGTGGGAAGGTGAAGATGTGGAGAAAGTGTGCCTGGTTGATATCAAGCCTGATAGCAAAAGAAATGTTCTGATTTCCACATGGCACAGCTTTTTGTCAGGAATAAAATATGCCTGTCCCTACAATAACCAACTACTTAGGGCTGACAAGAAACCAGTTGTGACACACGGAATAAACAGTCACATTTCGTGCTGGAAAGGTCAGAGAAAAAGCCCCAGTGGAGATAGGTGGGATTAGAGATTTTTTGGCTGTGTGTCTTGGGCAGAACATTTAAACAAGGAGCACTTGGGTGACGTTGGGGCAGATGAGACAAGAGAGCCAGACAGAGAGGTGCCCCTTAAGCAAATCATGTAGGTGAGATGACTTGTGTAAAACACTAGGCACAACACCTGTCATGCAGAGGCCCGGACTGGGGTTTGTATTGAGGCATGGTGGAAATCTCTCTTTGATCTTCAGGATACTTCAGCGTCTTTTTATTAGTGGCCAGTTAGGAAGGCTAAAATGATCTGTGTTTAGTGTGCACTGTGCATAATTGGCCCCACTCACAGTGGCACCCATCAGGTTTCCACGTGACAGAGACATTGCAGACTGGAAGCCCAAGAGGCTTCACTCCTATCTGCACTCATGGATACAGGTAGATTATAAGACTCTTGCAGGCATGGGCATTAAGGCAGGACCCACTTTTCACCCTGGCTCACCCCTAATGATCTGAGGCCATCTTTGTGTATATTAAAGAGGCATTGACATTTGAACACCTGCATTGGGCAGAATCTGGCTTGCCATACAGAGAGCAAGGCCAGCAGATGTGTTGAGTGCGTGTGTTAAAGAAGCATTACAGTGGAACTCCTAGCTACATCCTTACTTTTCTTGGTTTTTTTGCATGCCATATAGACAGGCTTGGAAAAAGAAGAATTATTTTTGGCTTTGTATAGCTCCCTGTCTCACGTGGCTACAGTTTTAAGAATTTAGCATTCTCTTCATGGCCTACATTTAACTCTGATTCTTCTTAATGTGCATTCTGTAAATATCCAAGTCTGTACTACAGGTGTGTCTCATTTTAAGAAAACAATGGATGCATGGTGTGCACAGAGTCACCCATTAAAGCCTTATGTTCACAGAAATGAAGAATCCAAATTTTAACTGGAATTCTAATGGCAAACCCATACGTGCAGTTAAAATTCAAGTTTAAAAAAATCAAAACACAAGCAGCTTCGAGGAAAAAACATCTCTTGTCTCAAATGAGATATGTGTATGTTGCTATTCCACTTGGCTCTTGGGTAGCTTCTTACTAGAGGATGAGGGCTTCATTCACAATCATTAAAGAAAGACTTGGAGCATTTTGAAGCATTTTGAAGTTCTCTGAAGAGCCAGGATCACGGTAAAATATTTTGAAAATGAAGTTTCACATGACTAGTTCAGGGAACTGAGCAAAGAGAAGACGGGGGAAGGGAGTGGGCATGAAGGACACAGAAGGAGGTCCCAGCTGTTGGTCATGTCTGCCAAGAGAGGAACAAGAAGGATGGGAATGACGCTGTGCGTGCAGAGATGGCAGACGGGGAAGGTGCTCGGGCTGACTGGTGAGTACAGTTAACCCTTGGACAAGATGGGTTTGAACTGTACACATTCAGTGGTATGTGGATTTTCTCCTGCCTCTGCCACCCCTGACACAGTAAGAACAACCCCTCCTCTTCCCTCTCTTCCTCCTCCTCAGCCTCCTCAACATGAAGATGAGGATGAAGACTTTTGCGATGATCCCCTTCCACTTAATGAAGGGTAAATGTATTTTCCTTACAATTTTCTTAACATTTTCTTTTCTCCAGTTTACTTTATTGTAAGAATACAATATATAATGCCTATAACATAAGATATGTGGTAATCTACTGATTGTGCTATCAGAAAGGCTTCCCATTGACAGCAGACTATTAGTAGTTAAGTTTTGGGGGAGTCATAAGTTATATGCATTTTTACTGCATAGGAGGTTGGCACCCCTGAGCTCCGAGTTGTTCAAGGGGCAACTGTATTTGAATGAGGAGTGATGAAAGGAGTCTGTGAAGTCACCTCTGGACGTCACCCCCTCTGGGAGGGCCTTCTCACACTTCTTGTTCGTGTGGTTTGATTTTGCGGTGTCACAGCCCTATGCTCATCCTTTATTTCACCACCACCACCACCACTGTTATTCTTACGATCACCAACGTGGTCTGGTTTTTTTTCTTGTAAGAGCTGGAGGTGTTTGGGAAGTGCCTCAGACACGCTGTTCTCTAGCCATGGAGTACCATCTCCTACCTACTTCCCGTCACATTCCCTGTGCAAACCCCATCTGTTCTCTAAACCTCGCTCATGCAGTCTACCCCTCCTCCCAGTTCCCATGTCGTTGTTTTCTCTTCCCTACAGCCTTAACCATTTGGCTCCTGAATTGTAATTCTCTGCCCCTGTGTCTTCTCTGTCCTGCGAAAACTGCACAGGATAGGTTGGAGCTTTACATCTCATATGTCCTGCTCAAAGTACAAATAGAGTCCTAGGTCTGCCCTTGCAAATAAGGGGCAGTGTCAACTGTATGTACCATCTCAAATAGCAAATTTGGGATGCTTAAAGGCAGACCACATCATTGCAGTGATACACTGTGAATTTGAATGACGGTTATGTTTATTTGGTTCAGCAGATAGAGAACGCATCTCTAAAAACCTTTTACTTACCTTAACTAGCAAAACTTACAACATTTACCTTTCAAAACATAGTGACATTTAACTCCATATAAAGTAAAAGGAGGTTCTTTAGTATCATGGAGTAGAGGAGGGGATTTAAGGATGCCAACATGCCACTTCTTTCTTGTTACCACACCTGTGGGTCCTCCAAGGCTCTCCAACATTTGCACATGATTGGATTATGACAAGAACAGAGAATTATGTAGCCTGCCTCTTATTTTTGTCCCCTTTTCAACTCAGGTCCAATGAATTCAGAGAAAAAGATCTACGTTAAGAAAAAAATGCAAGGAAACAGAACACTGGCTTTTAAAGCATTTAATAAGTCAAAATCAAATAAAAGTGATTTTTAAAAAGAATAAATTTACATACAGTACATAAGCAAGACAGCTGAAGGTTTCTAAAATAGAAACCTGGTGCATATGGCCCCAAAACACCACATGCTTTGATTACACTCAGGAAGCATGAGTTGCCTATTTGGGTGAGAAAATCCCATGTTACAGTGCGATCACTGGGCACGTTTTGGAGTAATTCCAGCCACTGCTATGTAAGTGTTTTTAATTCAGGGGTGTCTTCTACGTTTTCATCTTCTGAATATCTTGTGACGGTGCAGGTTTGAGCAAAACTGGCATGAAATGAGAGCTGTTTTAGATGAAGATTGCAAGATGGATGGCTTGGCCCACAGTGGCAGTGGGTTGGGGGTGGAATGTGGACAATTAGGAAAAAGGCATGTCATTCTATCTGGCTCCTGGAGAGGCAGATAGTCCTGGGGGCTTTGGTGTCACAGTTCCCAAAAGCAAGGTTGGCCAGACCATAGGCTTACATTGTGGTGAGCTTGCCTTTTAAATTAATCTCCAAGATGCCAGATCGAGAGGGATGGTGGACCTAGACTGAAGCCAAACCAGTAGGGGGCTCTCTTTCCCCAGAGAGAAACTCCAAATGTCTTGAAAGGAGCCTGAACCATACCCTTTGAAGGGGCAAGCAATGGTCTGAGACAGAGAGAGGATTTAACAGAGCAAAGTGCTGTGTGAGAAATGAATGGAAGAGGGCTAGCAAGACAAGGGTGTGAATCAGGTAATGCCTTTTTCACCCCGATGAATTTTTGTCTGATTCTCACCACAGAGCAGGAGTGCTCAGAAACTGAGGTTGGCGTCACCAATATACACTTTTCATTCTCCAGTTGCAGTAATCAAATACTTTAAAAAGTGACCAACCATGACAAATCCTTGGCTCATTCTTTAATGTGCTGTGGCTGATATATTCATCCTCAGCCCAAATTAGTTAAGTACAGCCTTAAATATATCAATATAGCTGATCGGCCTTCCTATTGTTGGGACTTAAAACTAGAGACAGCAGTAAAAATTATGTATATGATATATATATATATATAAAATGATATATATATATCATATATATGAGAGGCCAGCACCCACTCTGTGACAATGATCACAATCCCTCTTTTTAAAAAATACAAGTGGGAAAAGCTGATCCTTTTGTCAGCTGGCTTCAGACAAGTCAACCACAATTATTTGGTGTAAATATCCAGTGTTGCGAACTCTGGCTGGGCAGCTGTGTGGATGAAAATACAGAAAAGTGCCGCATCCGGCTGACAGCCACTGCTCTGCAGGGGCAGATGAAGGCTGGGAGTACCTGTAAGCTAAGGCCCTTCCCCTGAGTTGTGCTGCAAATACTGGGCAGAGTTTGATGTAAAAGCAGTCAAACGGCAGGTCATCTTGATCTTTGCCTTCTAACTATAATAAATATGAGAAGAATTTTAAGTAAAAACAGGATGTTTTGCTAAAAATTCTTTTTTTTTTTTTTTGAGAGAGTCTCGCTCTGTCGCCCAGGCTGGAGTGCAGTGGCGCAATCTCGGCTCACTGCAAGCTCCGCTCACCGGGTTCACGCCATTCTCCTGCCTCAGCCTCCTGAGTAGCTGGGACTACAGGCGCCCTCCACCACGTCCGGCTAATTTTTTTGTATTTTCAGTAGAGACGGGGTACCGTGTTAGCCAGGATGGTCTCGATCTCCTGACCTCGTGGTCCGCCCACCTCGGCCTCCCAAAGTGCTGGGATTACAGGCATGAGCCACCGCACCCGGCCTAAAAATTCTTGAGAAATTGGAATGCTAAGTTACATACTAAATATCATCCCAACAGTAAGGCCGTAGAACATATTTGAAATCAAGAAAAATGTGATTTTTCGGTTTTAACACGTTAAGAGCCTCTGTAACTTTTAAGGAAGCTATTTTTTTTTCTAGAGTATGCACATGGTGATGATGTGTTGGGTTGATAAAGCACTGGCTCAGTCCTACAGGCACTAAACTTCAATGGATACTTTGTTAACTATAGTTACACTAACTTTAAAGAAAGTTCTTGATACCTGTTCTTTATTCTTAGGAACTGAAGAGGAGGGAACTCCGGTGTTTGCATAATCATCGCCTTCCCATGTTAAGAGGACTCACCCTAGTAGGCTTAATGGGTTTTGTATTTGGTTGGCTTGTTTTCCCAAGAGACACTAAAGTTGTTCTTGCATTAATTCCCCTTAAAATTGCCAAGAGATAAGAGGTGGGAAGACAAAAAGGGCGCCTGATTCTATTCAGTAGATGAGAAAATAGATTTACAGAAGGTAACTGTGAAATTGGAGGAGTAATGTCAGGGAGGCCTTGTCAGGACAGGCAATGTCAAGGAAGCCTATCCCTTCTTTGTCAGACTCCAGAAAGGATTGAGTTCATCTGTTCTTCACAGATCCACTTTCCTAGGCAGATGCCAGTGCCTTCCAGGTTTGTATGAAAGCAAAAAACTGCTGACGATGGGCAGAGGGCCTGTCCCAAACCACTAGGAAGCAGGAGAGGGCAGGAATCTCAGTGAATCCCAGATGTATCCACCTGTGCTGAAGGCTAACCCCCAACCTGTTTGGTGATGTGTGAGCAGCCAGTTGGTTTCATGGGTCAGAAGAGTGTGGTAATGGTACCTGGAATCCTGCAAAATGCATGGAAACAAGGAAGAGCAGATCCTTATTCCAACATGAACAGCAGGACTTATAAGGAAAGCAGGCTTTTCCCCATGACCTCACAGCTCTGCCTCCACCTTTCATCTCTTCACAGTGAGCTTTCTTTCAGAGTGATCTTACCACCCAACCAGGCACAGTCTAATTTGATCATAACAAGGAGGAGGCCGGGCACAGTGGCTCATGCCTATAATCCCAGCACTTTGGGAGGCTGAGGTGGGTGGATCACTTAAGCCCAGGAGTTTCAGACGTACCTGGGCAACATGGAGAAACCCTGTCTCTACAAAAATTAGCTGGGCACATGGTGGTCTATGCTTACAGTCCCAGCTACTCAGTTGGCTCAGGCAGGAGGATTGCTTGAGCCCGGGAGGCAGAGTTTGCAGTGAGCTGAGATTGTGCCACTGTAATACAGCCTGGGAAACAGAGCAAGATCCTGTCTCAAACAAAACAAAACAAAAAATCACCAAATAAACGATAAGGAAGTCACCCTGTCCAAGGAATGCCGTTTCATATGGTGCCACCCCTTCTCCTAGACCAAAGTTCCCATTTTAGAAATAACTCCATGCTAGGCAAGGTTGTAACGGAAAAGAAAGGCTCTACCTCCAGCCTCCCAGATCACCCCATCTCTACTGGCTCTCCAGAACCCAGTGGGGCTCATAGCTATTCCTAAGCCAGGCCACAATTCCTGCCAGCCCATGACTAGATCCAAAGCCCGTGCAACAGCGAGAGGAGCAGGGGCCGGGCGGGGGGGGGGGGGGCGCGGTGTGTGCCTTTAAAGATCCGGATTATGGTCTTTAGCCTGGGTTCAACTGTAGCACAACCAACCACCACGGACGACCAATGACCGCTATGAGACAGTTCTTCCTTTCACACAGCAGCATCATTTATCTGGTAGTAGCAAGACAGCCGTATGACTTTTTGTTGTTGTTAAAGAAAAATAAGTTGTCAAGATTTGCCTACCAATAACTTTCCTATGTCTTGGCTTTCATGTCCAGTGGGCTAGTTTCCAACTGTTTGAGACTCAGGGTAATCCCAGAAACCTGTGAAGCATCGGCACAAAGGTTGTAGCGCAGATGCCAACAGATGTGTAGGTAACAAACTTGTAAGGCACTTCAATCTCCAGTCTCCGCCTGGCCTCCTTGTTCCTGGTGACCACCTTGAACCATGAGTATAATACTTGCAGTGAGAGATTTTGTACAAGCTGACGAACCAAGAGGATCAACACAATTCCCACTGCAAATTTGGTCAGACCCAAAACTAACATGTAGGTGGTGAGTGGTGGGATGTTCTGAATAACAGGGAGAGATTCAGCGGGCTTGGATACAAGCTGGAAGAAATGGTTGATCCAGAATCCTATGGTCACTCCAGCCCCGGCAGCCAGAATGGTGGTGGTGTCCGCCCGGGTTGGGCTGTAGTAATCAGAAACAGGGTAATTGTAACACAGGAAGAATGGCACAACTATGACACACACGGGGAAGAGGGGGCTGGCCGAGTCCAGGCAGTCGATGAAGGTCCAGGCAGGGTAGGTGAGGACGATGAGGAGTGCGGTGATCAGGACGCCACCCAGCACATCCTTTGGGAAGGAGAGAAAAGAACAGTGTGAACCAATGAGTGTTTCCTTGTATACAGGTATAATTTGAATCAAGTATGGCTAATTTGATATTTAAAACACAATTTTTGCATTGTTTTATTTTACAGTACATGTTCAAAGAAAGTGTAAAGTTCTAAAACTTTGAAGTGAAAATACGAAAAAATGCTTCCAACAACCATACTACTCATGTTACGTATCTTCTTTCACCTTTTTTACCTTTTGGAATAAATTCTGTATTTGTTTTCTTAATGAATAACTGTAATCTCATTGTCCTTCAAACTTATATAAATCTAGTATTTCGACACTTATATCACAAATACTGTCACCGTCTTCACCGAGGTGTCACCATCCTTTCATCCACCTGGGGGTTGGGCTGCAGGCTGGCTAAAGGAGGAAGCTCGCTTCTGGGGGAGCCAAATATACACAGCAAGCACATCAGTGTTATGTAGAGGACATGTTCCTTTGGGGTGGTTTGAGGAGACATTTGGATGTGGTAGCACCAAAGTTCTTCTGCGTCAGCCTTGACACTACTACCCCACCTTCAGAGACAGGATTTCAAACAGCGTGCATACAATTTCATTGAGCAGTTGTACCATGCTTTATTTAATTAATCCCATTCTTTAGAACAGTGGCTTGCTTTATTCCATCGCCTCCTTCCTTCCCTGCTTAAAATATCTTTAACTCCTTGATGTCCCACATTTCCCTCTTTCCTTAGTCTTCTCTTTGCACAATATAATTAATCGATTCTTAGTTTCAATACCTAGAGTTAAGCACTTTCTCTAAGTTTGCATGTTTCCATATATTCTTTTTTTCCTATATGTATAATAGAATTCTAAGACTTGGTCTTGCTTTTTCTAATAACTTCATTATTTATTTTTCTTGCTTAGTGTCTAATACAATGACATCTGATTTGGATAAACAATGGGTGAGAATTAGATCTTAGAAATAATCACTAAGGCAACAGCAAGTTTCACAGATTAGTGGGCATCCATCCATCCTTCATACAGTGGTCAAGTATGAGTGCCTACTGTTTGCCAAACACAGTGCTAGAGGATCCACGTGAACCAAACATACACCATCCCCACCTGTCCTGGACCTCACGGTCTGGTAAAGAGACAGGCAGTTACCATTATTTCAGAGGGAAAGAGGCCAGTGAGGGATCTTGATGGTCCCTGGGGGCTGGAGAGAGAGAGTGAACACAGGCAGGAGCCACTTCACACAGGGCCCTAAAGTCCAACCCACGCCATGAGTACTACGTCCTGGGAGCAGCCTGAGGCCCTGAAGTAGCTCTCACTGGGTAGCAACATGACTGGGTTTTCACTTTAAAAAGATTGTCTGACTGCAGTGGGGAGGGTGGATGGGGGCAGGGAGAAGTCAGGGTGGATGGGGGAGGACTAAGGGTGGATAGGGAAGGAGTAAGAGTGGATGGGGAGGAGTGAGGGTGGATGGGGAGGAGTGAGGGTGGATGGGGAAGGAGTGAGGGTGGATGGGGAGGAGTGAGGGTGGATGGGGAGGAGTGAGGGTGGATGGGGAAGGAGTGAGGGTGGATGGGGAGGAGTGAGGGTGAATGGGGAGGAGTGAGGGTGGATGGGGAGGAGTGAGGGTGGATGGGGGAGGAGTGAGGGTGGATGGGGGAGGAGTGGGGGGAAGAGTGAAGGTGGAGGGGGAGGAGTGAGGGTGGGTGGGGGAGGAGTGAGGGGGATGGGGAGGAGTGAGGGGGGATGGGGGAGGAGTGAGAGTGGATGGGCAAGGAGTGAGGGTGGATGGGGGAGGAGTGAGGGTGGTAGGCAAGGAGTGAGGGAGGGAGGAGTGAGGGTGGTCAGGGGAGGAATGAGGGTGTGGGGGAAGTGAGAGTGGATGCGGGGGAGTGAGAGTGGACGGAGCCGGGGTTGGGGGGAGACTGCCTTTCAGAGGAAGAGTTGAGTGTCCTGACCGCCTGCACCTGGCTCCAGGGCTTTACCAGTACGCACTTCAGTTCCCCTCCACCATCCCCTCACGCTTCACCATCTCTGCAGCCTCCCTCCCTGTGGTTTCTTTTCTTGGGTGTATGAATATGCACTGATATTGCCTTAATTTTGGGGAGAAAAATCCTTCATATAGGCTTCTTGGTTACCAAAATTGAGCCAAACTCTTTGGGTTTTCTACACATGTTGCCTCCAGTCTCTCAACTTAATGTGCAGCTGCTTCTAAGCTCCTGCACTCAGATGATACGCCACTCTCAAAGGCCACTCACTGGACATTCATTGGCTGTTTCTTCAGCATCTAAGTCTTCCAACAGCCCCATATTTCCCCTTGGGGATCCATGAGGTTCTGGGAAATTATGGAGTTGAAGCACATGACCTAGGTAGGCCAATCAACGCACTGAATTCCTTTCATAGTGAATAGCGCAGGGGTAATCATGTGACCTTGCTACAACAATCAGAATGAACTGCAGGACTGTTATTTGGAATTCTTGGAGAAAGATGTTCTCTCTTTCTCTTGACATTGTGCTCTGGGATTTAAACCCTTTACTTATCAGACCTTTAAAATTCAGCTTTTATTAATGTTACCCTGAAATAGCCTGGTTCTTCTGTGACCTCTAAGAAGTCTCTTGGTTTCTTCCTTTACATCCTCCTCTTTCTGCATCCTAAACATGGGCATTTGCAGATTCTGTCTTTGAGCCTTGTGTGTTTCTCTCGAGTTTACATCGCTCCCTGGCTTCAACTCTCCATTCCCTATCAGTGTGCCTCTCAAATCCACATCTTTGAGCCTCTCTCTCAAAATTGAGGCCTGCATTTTTTGATTGAATGCTAAACATTTCCATCTGGATGTCCTGTCAGCTCCCTTAAACCAATCTTTCTAAAATAAAAATCAACAACCACCAAAAAAAAAAAAAAAAAAAAACGGATAAAAGAAATGAGCAGCTAACAGAAAAGGAAATACAAATGTCTTTTAAATATATGAAAATATCCCTAAGCTTACTTATAATATGAAAATTATGCTAGGGAGAAATTAAAACTTATGTTCCCACAAATAATGGTACATGCATGCTTATAGCAGTTTTATTAATAATCAGCCCAAACTGGAAACAACCCCAATGCCCCTGAATGGGTGAATGGGTAAATAAACTGTGATACTTCTCAGCAGTAAAAAGCAACACACTACTGATGCATGCAACAGCTTGGATGAAACCTCCAGGAAATTATGCTGAACTGAAGAAGTCAAGCTCCAAGGGATACATACTGTATGGTTCTATTTAGATAACATTCTTGAAAAGATAAAACCATAGTGATGGAGAATTGATTAGCAGTTGCCTAGGGGTTTCAGGGTGGGGGGGATGTTGTGACTCCGAAGGGATGGGAGGAGGGAGGCTTGAGGATGATGCAACTGTTCTTTATCGTGGCGGGGGTCACTCAGATCAATACATGTATTAACATTCATGGAACTTTATGCCAAACAAAGTCAATTTTACTGCTAATTTTTAAATTAAAATTTCAAAATATATTTCAGACACGTAAAGAAAAACTAAAAAGCTGGTGCTCTCTTTTGTTGCCACTGAATGCCCGCTGCTGTCTGCAAAGCAGGCTCTGGACCCCTGGCGAGGTTCCCAGTATAGTTGCTCCCTTCTCCACCTTCCCACACAAACCGTGCAGAGAATCAACTCCTCGCCTGTCCCTGCTGACAGAGATGCGGAGGTTTAACGTTCTGTTAATGAAACTGTAGGGGTGAACTGGGACTCTTTTTCATTAATCATATGAATGCAAAATGGTATAACATTTATGGGGAGGAGCCTGTCAATAGCTTTAAAAATTACACATTTATTTATCCTCCAGCCCAACAATCTCATTCTGGGACTTGACCTTAGAGATATAACTGCTCACGTTTAAAAGGACATATTTACAAGCTATCTGTTGTAGTATTGTTTGTAATAGCATCACAGTGGAAATAACCCAAGTTCCACCTATAGAGGACTCATGAAATTGAACTATGATATAGCCACGCAGTGGAATACTATGCCACTGCACAAAGAACAAGGAAGCTCTGACAAGAAATTTTAAAAAGCAAGGTGCAGAACAGTGCATACAGTATATTACCATTTCCATTTTTAAAAGCTGGGCAGATACAGAGATACTCTTTAACTTGAATACACAGAGGTGCTACTTGGATGGCTGGGTACAATCAGGAAGGAGACTTTTCACAGGATGCCCTGTGTACCTTTTGAATTTTGTGTCATGTGAATATAGTACCTCTTTTTAAAAAGTAAGATAAAATTCAGTCTCTCCTCTTCCAAACAGTATCTGCCTTTCAACTTCCACACGAGTGGGATCAGGACCCTCACTGTGTCCTCTACACAGGTTGGTGTGATAAAATCTCACCCCTGAAGCTCTGAGGGCATTCTGTTTGTGTGTTTTTAAAGGCATAAGAATTCTGAGTGGAGGAGGAGAGCCAGGTGCAATGAGCTTCACACTGCAAACAAGCCTCTCCTCTCTTGTGGGGGACAGAAGATTCTGCCACTCAGATCACCTCCCAGGCAGCTCCACTGGACTCAAGTCTGAGCCCTAACGAAGCCTGGAAGATAAAAACAGTCATTTTACCTAAATGTATAATGAATGCACAGAGCTAAAGAATGCTGCTTTGAGACTTCCCTGGCAGAGGGACGTCCAAAAGGACGAATCCTTTCTTCCTCATACCTCTAGGCCACACTGCCCTGATGGTTATTTGAATGGGAAACGTTCTCAAATTTTAGTGTGCATTGGAATCTCCTAGGAAGATGGTTAAAATGCAGATTCAGGGTACTGCCCTATGATTCTGATCAGAAGCGTGGCCCAGGAGTCTAATTCTGATGTCGTGAGTCTAAATAGAAAACTCGGAAATACTAGCATAGAGGTTTACAAAGTCTTCTATGACATGGGTTTCATTAACCTATCTTCCAGGTTTTCTCTCACTTTCCCATTTGAACTTTCTGCCCCACTCACATACGTCTATTTGCTTTTCCCAAATATGCCTAATACAATTTTAGGGTCAAAGTTTTGCATTTGTTTTATGTACAGCACACTTTAATCGCTTCCATCAAGATCTTATTGGTGCTTCTAAGGCTAAATTTAAAAGCTACTTCCTTTCCAAAATATCTTCATGTATTAACACAGTTGGAACCAACCTTTCTCTCGCTTTCTCCCTGAACTGAATGTGAAGGCACTTGCTGAATGTGACTCCAAAAGCCCTTTCTTGCATTGCCTTTTGCTATTGCTGTGTGTTGCCTGCCTTTCTTCTAAGTTGATTATAGGGTCTGATCAGCAAGGTCAGGGTCTTTGCATTATTCCACAAAGCTCCTAGCCTAGTGCCTAACACGTAGCAGACATTGAGTTACAGGAATTGGGACACTGGAATGCATTTCTCTTTTTTTGTCCTTTTTTAATGTTTTATTTCCATAGGTTATTGGGGAACAGGTGGTGGTTGGTTACATGAGTAAATTCTTTGTTTGTTTGTTTGAGATGGAGTTTCGCTCTTGTTGCTCAGGCTGGAGTGCAATGGTGTGATCTTAGCTCACCACAACCTCTGCCTCCCGGGTTCAAGTGATTCTCCTGCCTCAGCCTCCTGAGTAGCTGGGATTTCAGGCATGCACCACCATGCCCAGCTAATTTTGTATTTTTAGTAGAGACAGGGTTTCTCCATGTTGGTAAGGCTGGTCTCAAACTCCCAACCTCAGGTGATCCGCCCACCTCGGCCTCCCAAAGTGCTGGGATTACAGGCATGAGCCACTAAACCCGGCTTGAGTAATTCTCTAGTGATGATTTGTGAGATTTTGGTGTACCTATCACCTGAGCAGTAGACACTGCACCCAATTTGTAGTCTTTTATCTCTCGCCCCCCTCTCATCCTTTCCTCAAGTCCCCAGAGTCCTTTGTGTCATTCAAAACCATAATGCAATACCACCTTACTCATGCAACAATGGCCATAATAAAAAAATTAAAAAATAATACATGTTGGCTTGGATTCGGTGAACAGGAAACACTTCTACACTGCTGGTGGGAATGTAAACTAGTACAACCACTATGGAAAACAGTGTGGAGATTCCTTAAAGAACTAAAAGTAGAACTACCATTTGATCCAGCAATCCCACTACTGGGTATCCACCCAGAGGAAAAGAAGTCATTATACGAAAAAGATATTTACACACTCATGTCTATAGCAGCACAATTCACAATTGCAAAAATGTGGAACCAACCCAAATGCCCATCAGTCAACTAGTGGATAAAGAAACTGTGGCATATATACAATGGAATACTACTCAGCCATAAAAAGAAATTAATTAATGGCACTCACAGCAACCTGGATGAGATTGGAGACTAGTATTCTAAGTGAAGTAACTCAGGAATGGAAAACCAAACATTTTATGCTGTCACTCAAAAGTGGGAGGTAAATTATGAGGATCCAAAGGCATAAGAATGGAATGCCTTTCCCTTATCCCAATTATCTATAATACTTAGTACCCATTGTTTCAATATATAAATAAAAATCTGTCTTCCTTTCCTTTGTCTTCCTTTGTAATTGCTGATTTGTAACCAAATTCTCAGACATCTGGTTGAAATATTTTTTATAAATGAATTCTGTTCATCTTCAGTGCATCAGGAGACTAGACTATTTTGGTTCATAGCCCCAGCATTTGAGGCAAAAGTAATTTTAGTTAATATGGCTGTCGGTGAGATTTTCAGCCATAAAGGTGATATTGTAATAAAGACATGTAGGTATTTTTGTAAGGAAAATACTTGGACTCTAGCTAATGAGCTTTCTAATATAAGTCTCTAAATTTCTTATAATAAAATTATTCCAAACAGTTTCTAAAAATAAAGACAGTAAATACTTGAAAATTTGAAAACAACTTTTTATGTTAGTTTTTTTTTAAGCTATTAAATTCACAGAAACTATGAAAGCTCACAAAATATCTGTCTCTGAACTGGATCTGTTCTTTTTATTTTTATTTTTTTGCATATTCAAAGTTAGGAGGTTACTTCTTTGGAGCTGCATAGTGCTTGGCACAGTATGTGAGGCCAGAGGGAAAACGGTTCACGGTTCTACAGGACAGCAAGGACAAGCTATAGGGCAGATGACTGTGTAACAGAGGGGAAAAAATAGGGATAACTGTCCTGAACGGGTGGATTTGAGGGATAGGGAGAAGAGAGGAAAGAGTGCAGATGGTTGATAGGGAACATAAGAAATATATGGAAGACAGGTAAAGAGAATGGTGCAAAAGGCATGATAAGGGAAAGACATGAGAGCAAAAATGGTGAGAATAAGTATTCTTTACTTTGCAAAGAACAAATGTAAAACTCCTTCCCATAGAGAAGTATAACTAGACTACAAAGTATACAAAATATACAGCATATTCAAACACCTAGACCCAGTGATTCCACTCCTAGGAATTGATTCTAAGAAAATAACCAGAGACGATAATAAGGCTGCTCATGAAGTTTACATACAGGGATGATTCCTGTTTGGTTCTTGTTGGGTTATTTCAGCTCATGCCATTTAAGTCCAAAAAGTAACACATGCTCCATTACAGAAACATCAGAAACAAGCAAAAATGCAGAAAGTATGGAACATACATCATAATAAGAAAGACTCTAGAACAATAAATCAAGCATATTATGCTGCTTACACCAAAAATGAGATAAAAACCACGCTGCCTTATTTAATAATATAGCAGGAACATTTTCCATGTGAAAAGACAAATTTCTGCAACCTCATTTTCTATGGTTTCAAGGTAACCATAAGTGAGATGTTTTAAACAGAATACAAGCTTTACAGAAAGTATGATCCTAATTTTATATAAATATATACTTGTAAGCATGGATAAAATGTCAGAAGGAAATAAAAATGTTAAGAGTAATTTATTCTCTGTGTTGTGACATTACAGATGACTATTATCTTCTCTATACTCCAGGATCTTCCAAATTTTCTAGTCAATACCTGTTATTTTTATTATAATAAAATGAAATCAAGGAGGAAAAAAATCAGAATGTGAAAATCAAAGTGTTTCAAAACAGACTAAACTAGAAATGATTGTTTATAATTTTCACATCATGCCAAAAAAAGAAATATCCCTAAGAATCTATATGATAAGCAATATACCATTCCTCCATGATCCAAGTAACTTTTAAAATAAAGGCATACAGGCTGGGTGCGGTGGCTCATGCCTGTAATCCCAGCACTTTGGGAGGCCGAGGCGGGTGGATCACGAGGTCACGAGTTCAGGACCAGTCTGGCCAATATGGTGAAACCCTGTCTCTACCAAAAAATACAAAAAAATTAACCAGACGTGGTGGCGCGTGCCTGTAGTTCCAGCTACTCAGGAGGCTGAGGCAGGGGAATTGCTTGAACCCGGGAGGTGGAGGTTGCAATGAGCTGAGATTGTGCCACTGTATTCAGCCCGGGTGACAGAGTGAGACTGTCTCAAAAAAAAAAAAAAGAAAAGAAAAGAAAAGAAAAAGCATACAAGATGTGTTTCCAGCCTTACCCTATGGATTGCATTGTTTGAAATACAGTCAACCTTTAATTCAGTTTGCCATCCAAGGTTTATATGTATCCTTTTAAATTATTTGGAAAAAAAAAGGAATCATTACACAAAACTAACATTTTCCAACGTTCAAATGCAGAAAGTTCTAAATCGCTTTGATTTTTTAATCTATTTTCATTTTCAGTTATAAAACTTGATATTTAGGTAAAAGCTTGAGCTTTATTATATTCTCATTACAGGAAACAATAATAGAGGCAGACAAGCTCCAGTGTGTAGAAAAGAATGCTAATAGAGCTACCCTAAGCATCAGAACAAATTTTAAAAGTAAATGCTTATATAAACACATAAAATAGAGTGTTTTCATTCTTAGCCAAACAGAAACACTCCTTTTTTTAGTGAACATCACTGGGTATCTCAACAGCAGACCCTAAACCTGAAAACTCCCAGCATTTATTAATTCTGACCCTACATCACATTCCCATATGCAGTTTACTGCGACAAATTTCCATTCTATCTCCAAACATCTTCCCTGAAGAATGCTATTGAACAGGCCAACACAACACAAGGTTAGCGCTAGTGAGAAAGAAAGGGAGAGAACAAACCCATTCAGTCAATTGTTAGGAAAGAATGCATTCAGATCTTGAAACTATTTATGCTGAGAACTCTATGATTCTGGCATCTTCCCCTCTGCCAGGTCCCCTGCTGAGAATGTGAAGGGACTTCTCTGCCCTTGGCTGCCTTCACAGAGTAAGCTGAAGCCAGGAGCAGAGTAAAAGCCAAGACCCACTTCTTTGCAGATGCTGCGAATGCTTTGTAGGCAAGCAGACACTGACATTAAAACAAACTGAAACAAACCAAAACACTGCAGTTACTCTAGAAAATAACTTTTAGTCATAGATCAGTCAATGTTTCCTAGTTAACAGACTCAGAATATTTATTCTTTTCTATGCTAGCTCAAAATGAAATCAGTTGCTGAGAATAATGCAGATGAGATTCAATAGCAGCCAAATCACAAGGAGGAGGCAACATTATTCATGAATATGAATATAAATGATTACGGAGAGAAACCTACATGTAATTAGCATATGTATAGGGGAGAAGAGTGAATGCATAAGTTCAAAAATATTAATTTCCTATTGAAAGCACATCAATGTCCATAGGGATCAGTCAAAAGCAGGAGGCTGATTTACCTGTCACATGGTATGAGCAAAAGCAGTAGAATCGCCTGATACGAATGGGTCTTTGAGTGGGCACTCTGTCACCGAAAGCATGTCTTTTCCATGTCATGACCGTCCTCTGAGCCACCTTAGATATCCCAGCATTGTTACAAGTCTAGAACTAAAAATCACTAGGTGTGGAAAGAGAAGACTTTGAAAAAGACTGAAAACTGACTGAGGCTCAGGAGTAACTACATGAGGTAGAAAAAAGTATGTCAATTTGCACCTTCTGTAATTTTAGAATAAATGTCCACTTGGAAAGTGAGCATATTTAAACCTGCAGTTGAAATTGACATTTTTAACAGAAGATGGTTTTCTATAAGTGTGTTAAGAAAAATTATACAAAACATAGACAGAAGGTAAAACCTGATTTCCATGTCATATGGGGGCAAAGGCCACCCCAGGATTATAAAAGGGAAAGTACTTTGTTCAACTTATTGTTTACTATTGATTAATGATCTCAGACTTAGTGAAATGACAGGTTAGCTGGTAGATTTTTATCTGGTTGAAATGCAAATAATTTCAATTTGGTGGAAATGAAACCTACAAAGGTTACAGTTTGTTGCCCTGTAGGATGGTAATAACCCTGTAGGACACATAACTAGTTTTGTATATAACCCAGAAATCTCAATGTAATATTTCTTTATTAGATTGTCTATACATACTTACTAGTTCCTTCATTAAATCTTACTGGTACTTTCATTAATTAATGAATTTAATAAAATCTTTCACACATATTCATTTTATATTTGGAAGGGAGTTATGATTTTACCATTTAAAAATTATACCCTAGCAAGTAGATAATTATTTCAGTGTTTATTTATATGACTAAATATTTATAAGGAAAATTATGTTAGATGACTGAATATGGATATTGCATGTAAAAACAATTATAATTTTAATTTTGCTTTCCTTTGTATGTTCTCTTTAAATGGTGCTGGTTTGCTAAAAGGTAAGTAAGGCAGGTATTATGTTTCTCGATGTGATAATATAATAGTATAATAGTATAGTATAATTTGCATACTTTGTATAATATCAATATTAACTGGAAAAGTATTTGAGTATACCATATATTTCTAAACTTTATTTCATATGAAGCATGATTTAGGATATAATCACTTGCTTGTCTTGACTTCACAGAATCTAACAAGTCCAAACAGAGGTCTTCATGAAACAGACAAAATTTCCCCACCCATAATTCACATAAATATGAACCGTTCTAATTATAATGGATCACAGGATTTGGCAGGTCAATAGGATTGTGACATTAGATCAAACAAGCCTCCAGGCAGGTTATAACATCATCTTTGACAACTGCTAAGCAGCTTGCGAGAATGACAAGCCTAGGGAAGGGCAATCTGCTAGAAGACACAAAGACACTGTCAAACATTCAAGCGATTTTGCTCAAATCTGGGTGGGCAGAGGGGCCTCTGAGCAATAAGAGAACAGAAAAGAGTTACGTTGGACGCTATATAATTGTTAAGCAGGCCCATGCAGGTTGACATTTAATTGGTATTGTCACCATATTTGCTGGGATGTGCATCTACACTGTTTCAGTGCTTTTCAAACTGTATATTGCATTCAGGTCTCCTGGGAAGTTTGTTAAAATGCAGGTTCTAATTCAGTAGGTCTGGGAGGGGTCTGAGAGTCCGCATTTCTGACAAACTCCCAGGTGACACTGAGGTTCCTGGTCAGAGGATTCACCTCACTAAATCACAGAGGCCAATGTGAGCTCTTCATGCTAAAGGGGACACATCAGAGCTTCTGGCATGTTCTTTTTTTTTTTTTTTTTTGCAACATGTGTAAAAGAATAAAAACGTCTGAATTATATTAGTGCTTTTGTCGTCTTTGAAAGTCCTAGAGTGATATTCCAATATAGTAATACATAAGCGCAAATAGGCACAAGAGAAAAATCTGGAAATTCTTTGTAGACCTGGAGACATGGGTGCTCTCATGCAGAGGAAAGTAAATCTATCCCAGCCCTTTGTCACTGACCTTGGGAAATGTTGCTTGAGCTGTTGAGTCCTGGCTCCTGTGCAAAAGCAAAACTCCCTGGGGAAATACTTTATATCCCTTCTACATACTAGGAACTAGAGATTACTGGAGATTTTTAAAATGTTAGTTTTTTGCAGATTGTTCCAGTGAAGTCAAATATGGCCATGTTCTCTTTTTGATGAGGCTGGACAATCTCACTTACAGAGATTGTGACATCCTTGTTATTAAGTATGTTTCAAGAGAGCAGAAGGTTAAGCCATTTAATGTTATTACAATGGGGAAGTGACATCCAAGATGTAATGAGGTACAAGATTGTGGTGGTTGGGTGACCCTTTGCTTTCAGAAATGCGGTGAGTGCTCAGGATTATGGTGTGGAAATCCAACTATGCCACAGGCCTATGCACATGAATTAATTTTATGCAGGTGTCAGGGCTTTAAAAAAATCAAATAAATCATAGCACTTACTGGAAACCCTGTGTGAATTTAAACATATGATACATGACATGTTTATTTCCTTTCCCAAGTGAGCATGTTTTAAGGACCATTCCCACAGGCATACGTAAACACAGACCTTAGCAGTGTTTTGAAATTGAAATGAAGTTCCAGACCTTTAGCTAATTTTCAGAGCATAGCTGCAAGCCAGCTACTTTGCTCTTCTACAGTCGCTGTATCCAATCAGCGTGCATCAATTCACCAACAGGATATATTTTGGTAACAGACCAGTTCTCAGGCAGTTTTATGGCTGTGATGGATAAACAATCCATTTGCCCTTTTGTGATGGGCTGGAATCTGCTATTTCTCTTGACAGGCTACTTGGCCCGGCTCAATTCTGAACTCTTTAAGGTGGAATTTCTCATTTTGAAACAGCCACCACAGAGAAGGGAAGGATAGATATTAATTCTTTTGAGAACATGGTTCCCTTTTTCAATTGTATTTGGGAGGTAGGGTTGCAATGATTAAGAGAAATCTTGCAAATCAATAGTTTGAGAGTTTTAAAACTGATTCCTAAACAATAACAGACAAAAGACATAAGCTCTTTGAAGGCCAGGTGTGGTGGCTCACGCCTGTAATCCCAGCACTTTGGGAGGCAGAGGTGGGCAGATCAATTAAGGTCAGGAGTTCAAGACCATCCTGGCCAACATGGTGAAACCCTGTCTCTACTAAAAATACAAAAATTAGCCAGGCGTGGTGGCACATGTCTGTAATCCCAGCTACTCAGGAGCCTGAGGCAGGAGAATCACTTGAACCTGGGAGAAGGAGGTTGCAGTGAGCCAAGATTGTGCCACTGCACTCCAGCCTGGGCAACAGAGTGAAACCCTGTCTCAAAAAAAAAAAAAAAAGCCATAAGCTCTTTGAAACCCATGTACTTGTTTGATTGCCAAAGTTTACATTAAGCGTTGTTCTGTTTTTAAAAAAGAAAAAAAGACACGGAGCGAAGAAAGAAATCATAATAAATGCAAGTACCAGTGGAAAAAGTAGAGCTATTTTTCATTGCAGTAAAGTCTAAAATCTTTCCTCTCTTCTAGGAAATCCTCATGTAAATAATAATAGAGCTCAAAAAATTACTTGTTCAGTCATTCAATAGCTATTGTGCTTTTATTTTTCATTAGCTATTACTTACTGAGAAATATACTTAGATAGGAGGAGAATAAGAATACTCTCTGTCCATTAAATAAAAATAGCTTTATTATTTTATAATAACAAGTCAGGCCCACTATTAAAAGTGCATTTCAGAGCCCCTTGTCCATAACTAACACCCCATACACGCTCACAATTTTGTAACACTGGCACCACACTGTACAAGCTGTTCTGTAACTTTCTTTTTTAAAAAGATTAATAATATGTCACAGGCACCTTTCCAGAATAACAGAGCTATATTATAGTTGGCCCTCCATATCCATGGGTTCTGCATCTGGATTCAACCAATCTTGGATCAAAAATATTTGAAAGAAAAATGGATGGTTGTATCTGCACTGAACATGTACAGACTTTTTTTCTTGTCATGATTCCCTAAATGATAAAGCATAACAACTATTTACACAGAATTTACATATTAGAAACTGTAAATAATCTAGAGATGATTTAAAATGTATAGGAGGATAGGCATTGATTATATGCAAATACTATGATATTTTATATAAGGGAATTGAACATCTGTGGATTTTCATAACCATGGAGAGTTGTGGAACCAGTCTCCCACCTATACCAAGGGAAAACTATATTTTAAGGCCTGTATAATATTCCACTCTATGACTTTATTTAACAAGATCTGATTGATGGATATTAAACATATTTTCATTGTTTGCAATTAAATGCATTCGTGAACATGTTGGAGGCATAGTACAGAACAGTAATTCAAAGCATGCATTCTGTAGTCAGCCTGCTTAACTTAAAATCTCAGTTCAGCCTTTTAACAGCTACACGACCTTGGTCAGGTTACTTAACTTCTCTATGTCTCATCTGTAGAAATGGGATAATAATAGTGCCTCCTTAGTTTTCTGCTAACTACCCTATGAGGTAGTTAATATATGTAAAGCACTTAGAATGGCACTTAGCAGATCAAATGCTTAGAGATACATCTAATATATGATAGGCAAGACCTCTATACAGAAAACAACATTAATAAGATAAACTAAAGACCTAAATAGAGGGATGTGCCATGCCCATATATTGGAATAGTCAATATTACAAAAGATACCAGATCTCTCAAATTAATCTATAGATTCAATTTAATCCCAAGAAAAAGTCCAGCATTGGAGAAAATGAAAAGCCGATTCGAAAATTTATATGAGAATACAAGAATAGTGAAGATAATTTTGAAGAACAAAGTTAGGGGCTGTCACTATCTGATACCAATACTTATAACAAAACTGCAGTAAATAATGACAGTGGCACTGGCATGAGGATAGACAAATAGACTAATGGGAAGAGTACTGAGTACAGTCCATGATTTTGTCTTCTGTGGTTTCAGTTACCCATGATCAACTGTAGTCCAAAAATAGGTGAATACAGTACAATAAGCTATTCTGAGAGAGAGACCACATTCACATAACTTTTATGACAGCATATCGTTATGATTGTTCTATGTTATTATTGGTTGTTGTTGTTAATCTCTTACTGTCCCTAATTTATAAATTAAGCTTTATCAGAGGTGCATATGTATAGGAATAAACATAGTATATATAGGGTTTGGTACTACCTGCAGTTTCAGACATCCTTTGAGGGTCTTGGAATGCATACCCTGAGGATAACAGGGAACGACTGTATGCATAAAGTCACTTGACTTATGACAAAGTTGATGTTTCTGTTAAAGGATAACGGGTAACCCTTTCAATAAATGGTGCTGAGTAAATTGGGTATTCATGTAGAACAAAAAGGAATCACAGATCAATTCAATGTAGATTATAGATCTAAATAAGAAAAACAATAAAACCTCACAAATATAATAACAGAATATCTTTATGACCTTTTAGTAGTCAAAAAATATCTTACACAAGACACAAAAGTTGTAACCATAAGGTAAATATTGATGAACTGGACTACATTAAAATGAAGAACTTCTGTTCACCACAAGATGCCAATAGGGTGAAAAAGCAAGCTACAGAGTAGGAAAAGCTCCAGCTTAGGTGACATAGCGAGACCTCATCTCTATGAGTAATAATACAAATTAGCTGGGCATGGTGGCACACGACTGCGGTCCCAGCTACTCAGGACCCTGAGGTGGGAGGATTGCTTGAAGCAGGGAGGTCAAGGCTGCAGTGAGCCTGCATGACAGAATGAGACCTTGTCTCAAGAAAAAAAAAAAAAAGGAAAAGAAAAAGAAGTTTGGAATACATGTATCTGATCAACAACTCACCAATAAATCAGTAAGTGAAAGTTAAGCAATCCAATAAAAAAAATAGGTAAAAGACAAATCGTCACCCCACAAAGGAGGGTATCTAAATGGCCAATGAACATACAAAATGAAGCTAAATGTCATTATTAGGAGAAATTGAAACCACATGAGATACGAAGATGTACTCACAAGAATGGCGAAAATAAGAGTGATATTCACAAGTGCAAATAAGGATGTGGAGAACTGGAAATCTTAGTCACTATTGGTGAGAATGAAATTGTTAAAATTCTTTGGAAAACAATGGAACATACTAAAGCTGAACATATGCATGCCTCAGGACCCAGTAATTTTACTTCTGCGTTCATACTCAAGAGGAAAATGTACATATTTGCTCTAAAAGGCACATAAAAGAAAGTTTGGGGTAGTGTCATTTATAGTAGCCTCAAAATGGAACCAGTCCAAATATGCATCAATAGCAGAAGGGATAAAGTGTGGTATATGGTCATGAGTTAGATGCTAAACAACAACAAAAATTAATGAATGAGAGCTACATACAGCAACATGGTGAATTTCACAAATAGAACAGGGAGTAAAAGAAACCCGATACAGAACAAAGCATACTGTGTGATTACATTTATATGAAATCCAACTAATCTATGGTGTCAGAGATTTGGGGAGCGGGTACCTTTGGGGAGATGCACAGTAGAAGGTATGAGAGAACTTCTGAGGTACTGATAATGCTGTATTTCCTAACATGGGTGATGGTTACTGAGGTGCGTGTTTACTTTATTGGAAATTAACCGAGCTGCACATTTACAATTTGTTTACTTTTCTCTATGCACACCACAGGTTAATAAAAATTTATAAAGTTTTAAATTGTTTTTCTTACCCAGGCACAGTGGCTCACACCTGTAATCCCAGCACTTTGGGAGGCCGGGGTGGGTGGATCACTTGAGGTCAGGAGTTCAAGACCAGCCTGGCCAACCTTCTCTACTAAAAATACAAAAATTAGCTGGGCATGGTGGTACATGCCTGTAATCCTAGCTACTCGGGAGGCTGAGGCACGAGAATCACTTGCACCCAGGAGGCAGAGGTTGTAGTGAACTGAGATAGCGCCACCGCACTCCAGCCTGGGTGACAGAGTGAGACTCCATCTCAAAAATAAATAAATAAATAAATAAATAAATAAATAAAATAGTTTTCTTATTTTGAACCAAAAAAGTGGGGATGCACATTTCTTGTCCTATACAAGTAAGCCTCTAAAAGTCTCTTCTTAATCTCTAGGCACTACTTACACACCTATATCCAGATAAAGACCTAGGTACCAGGCCTCTATGAAATTTTCAATTCCATTAGGAACTGTAGAACTTTCTTCTCCTTCCCTGGCTATGCTGTCCTTCCATTTATTAAATGAAGTGTGCAAAGCATAAAACAGCATGTCTTGAGATACTCTTGCAAGCAGTCTTCCCTCTGTCCTAAGAACTGGTGCCTCAAACAGCCCCAAAGCCTCATGCTGCTGACACACTGCTCCATGGTCGTTTCTTACACAACTCCACACTTGCCACAGTTAACTTAGAGTTTTAGAAACACGAAAGTGGGCATCCATGCTTGGATGATATTTGCTGTTCCAAGACACTCTATTACATTTTTTACAAGTCAAAGTTTATAAGCTGGCCGGACGTGGTGGCTCACGCCTGTAATCCCAGCACTTTGGAAGGCTGAGGCGGGTGGATCACGAGGTCAGGAGTTCGAGACCAGCCTGGCCAACATAGTGAAACATCGTCTCTACTAAAAATACAAAAAATTAGCCGGGCATGGTGGTGGATGCCTGTAGTCCCAGCTACTTGGGAGGCTGAGGCAGGAGAATCACTGGAACCTGGGAGGTGGAGGCTGCAGTGAGCTGAGATCATGCCACTACTCCAGCCTGGGCGACACAGCAAGACTCTGTCTCCAAAAAAAAAAAAAAAAAAACAGTTTATAAGCTAAACAAAATTATGCTGAAAAAATAATAAATGTATAATGTATGATCTGGCCTGGGCTCCCATGTTAAATCCAATATTCAGACTAATGGATGAATCTTGTCAAATCTGACTCAATAAAGTGCAGATAAATAAGGGAGAAAAAATAGATTTATTGACAGATGACAGATAATATCCATTGCAATCCACTTGACATTTACTGCGCACCGTTCCCAGGTGTTCTGCTGGGAACTGTGTGCTGGGGGAGAATGTATACAAAGGCGAATAGAATAAGATTCTTACCTTCAAAGGACTCACAACCTACTGTGATGAACAGACATGAATATAACCAACCATATGCTTATGCAATAGCTTTCTCTGATTGTTAATACACTGATATTTATGCAGTACAGGTTCAGCATCCCAAATCTGAAAATTCAAAATTTGAAATGCCCAAAATCCAACACTTTTTGAATACTGACATGACATCACATGAAAAAATTCTACACCTGACCTCATGTGATGAGTTGCATATGTGATTAAAAATACTGCATAAAATTACCTTTAGGTTATGTGTACAAGGTGTATATGAAACATAAATGAATTTCATGTTTAGGCTTGGGTTCCATCCACAAGATATGTCAGTTGGTACTTTCAAATATTCAAAAATCTGAAAAAACCCCAAATCCAAAACACTCCTAGTTTCAAGCATTTCAGATAAGGTATACTCATCCTATATGACCGAAGAGACTTTGGAATGAAAATCTCTTAAATGTCATTTTATCTACTGAACTAGAAATATTTGTGTTTAACATTAAAATAAACAAACATCAGGAAATTCACATTCTTGTCTTTTCTGTTGGTAAATTGTCATTTTTCCTAGGAAGCCCACTCCTAGGAAATTATCCTAAGCATGGTTTCCCATAGTAAGCTGAGAAGTAACTAGATGACACCGGAAAAAGGGATCCCAAAGCGCAATGGATGTGATCAACTGGCACCCTGTTAGGTATCCATTTCTACCTCCCACCTGAACTGAAGATGTTGGAAAGATAAAAATGGCTCCCTTGGAAATTAGGTTCTACCAGTTTGATGCCTTCTTGCAGAATCTAGAAGGTGGCATGGAGGTTGAAGCCATCTTCCTCCTGCTGTTTCTGTGATCTGGCAAAGCCTCAGAAACGTGAGCTCCAACAGCAGGACTAAGGATTCCAGTGTCTAGTCACTGCTGTCAGTTTTCTAGAGGCAACCAAGGCAGCTACAGTGGCTGAGTTCAGCCTAGTGTCTGGCCATCTGATTGGTGAGCACTGAGAAGTGGGAGGTGGAAGACGGAGATCTGGTAGTGGTGCCGGACACTGAGTATAGCAATGATCTCTGTGCTCCCCAAGCTCCTCCAATACTTTGTAAGCACCACATTCCCTGTATAAAATTCCATTTTGCTTAAATACCTAGAATAGATTCTATTTTCTCCTCTAACATACAGCATTTAACAATGCTAAACCAGTTTCTTTGATTTGAAAATATTTAAGAACCTTTATAATTATTTTGGAGCTTCAAGATTTAATGGCTGCCCTGATGGGTTTTGGACTCACATGGGGCCAGACTGCGGCCCCTTTCTTTTGGTCAATTTCTCCCTTTTTGAATGGAAGTATTTACCCAATCCCATCGTTTCTTGGAAGTAACTAACTTGTTTTTGATTTTACAGGCTCCTAGACGGAAGGGACTTGCCTTGTCTTAGATGGGACTTGGGACTCTGAACTTGTGAGTTAATGCTGGAATAAGTTAAGACTTTGGGGGACTGTTGGACAGTCATGATTATATTTTGAAATGTGAGAAGGACATGAGATTTGGGAGGGGCCAAGGGCAGAATGCTATGATTTGGATCTGTGTTTCTGCCCAAATCTCATGTTGAATTGTAATCCCCAATATTGGAGGTGGGACCTGGTGGGAGGTGACTGGATCATGGGGGCGGATCCTTCATGAATGGTTTAGCACCATCCCCTTGGTGCTGTTCTAGTGATAAGAGTTCTCACGAGATCTGGTCATTTAAAAGTGTGTGGCACCTCCCCACTCTCTTTCTTGCTCCTGCTCTGGCCATGTAAGATGCGCCTGCTTTCCCTTCCCCTTCCACTATGACTGTAAGTTTCCTGAGGCCTCCCCAGAAGCAGAAGCCACTATGCTTCCTGCAGAACTGTGAGGCAATTAAGCCTCTTTTCTTTATAAATTAAAACAAGGAAGCTTCATATACAATTGAATTGAGGAAGGGCAGAGGACTTGGCACAAACTGCTTCAGGAATCCCTTTTTTCCTCATCAGAGAATCTCCCGGGACTGCTGTTTTATAGAACACTGTATAAAATGCAACAGAGAGGATCACCTTGCTTTTTTTCACTCAGTGATATAACAGATTTCTATGTAACAAAATTTTTAGAGTCTCTTTAGAGTTTATTTTTTATTTCTCTACAAGAAATCTCTCTCTGTCTCTCTTCCTCTCCCTTTCTCTCATATGCAGGAGTACAATTTAATTTTTAAATTTATATACACTAAAAGTTACTCTTTTTTGTTTACAATTCAATGAGTTTCAACAAATGCTCAGAGTCAGGTCAAAACCACAGCAATCAGTTGCATAATTCCCCCCAAAACTCCTTCATGTAGGAGGAAGGACCAAGCCCTCCTACCACCCCAATTCCCAGCAACCACTGGTCTCTCCATCACTATGCCTTTGCCTTTCCCAGAGGTCACAGAAATTAAACAGTATTTAGCTGTTTGAGTTGGCTTCTTCCATTTAGAATAATTCATAGGGGAACCATCAACATGTTGCATGCAACAGTTCAGTCTTTGTTACTGCTGAGTAGTAACCATTGAATGGATGTACCATAGTTTGTTTATCCTTTTACCAGTTGAAGGACATCAGGTTGTTTCCAGGTTTTAGAGATTAGGAATAAAGCTGCTACATCAATAAAAATTACATAATATTAGATAGCTGAATATCTTCCCATATCTTGATAATACCATTCATTTCATTGGATAAATCCTTACTGTTGTACGTTAGATCATTTCCAATGTTGTACTATTTTAAATAACACTGCAACTTCATTTAAGTGTCTGTATGTATTTGTTCCATTATTCTTTAGGACAAGTTCTCAGAAAAAGTTCCTGGGTCAAGAGGTATGCATCACACATTTTACTACTTTTGATACATATTGCATTTAAATGTCCCTTAATGAGAATGTTCCTTTACTCATAGCCCCTCATCAACCTTGACTGTTATTCTTTTTTTAAAACCAATCTCACAGGCAAGAATGTAAAAATGGTATCTCACTTTTATTTGTATTTATTTTATTCCTTCATATCTCTATACATACATGTGGAATTGTTTCCTTAGATTTATTGGACATTTTTATTTCTTCTTTTAGAAATTATCTGTTCTTGTCCACTGGAATGCTGGGCTTTTGCTCATTGATTCATTGTATTTACCCTTTGTCTATCACCTATTACATTTATGGTTTTCAAGATGACTTTCAATTTTTTTATAGGCAGAGATTTCTTTAAAAATGTATGTAGTCAACTCTTCTAATCTTTTCTTTTGTGGATTATTCATTTGATATCATGCCTAGAAAGGGCTTTTTCTATTGTACATTTATATAACTATTCACTCATATTTCCTAATTTTTCCAAATGGTTTTGGAAACAGCATGAAGAATACAGGAGGCTTCCTGGCTGAGGCACACAGTTTGCCCCTGACACATTGGATTTGTTTCTGCCTCTTCATGGCTTTGAGCTGCTGTGCTGTCATTAAATACTTCGGATTCTTCTTTTCTAAGGAGTTCATTTGCCTTTTGAAGAAGGTGAATTCTTTATTGAACTAGGTTGACATTTTTCTTATGATTTGATTTAGAAATAAGGCTTTATTAGGTTTCAGTGGTTAGCTAAGGAATTATAGTAAATCATTTCATTTCTCTTTCTTTTTATTCCACTATTGGAACAGACTAACAATAACTCAGAGGCTTACAAATAAAAATAAAGTGCAAGCACATGCCAATATTTTCCTAAACATCATAACAATGATCTTGCTGGCAGAAATTTGCATTTATATTTTCCCAAGGGGCCAAAGAAACAATTTTTTATTCTATTTTATTTTATTTTTTTATTTTTTTTGGAGACAGAGTCTTGCTCTATCCCCCAGGCAGGAGTGCAGTGGCGCGATCTCAGCTCACTGCAACTTCTGCCTCCTGGGTTCAAGCGATTCTCATGCCTCATCCTCCCGAGTAGCTGGGACTACAGGTGCCTGCTACCATGCCTGGCTAATTTTTGCATTTTTAGTAGAGACAGGGTTTTACCACGTTGGTCAGGCTGGTCTCGAACTCCTGACCTCAGGTGATCCACCTGCTTGGCCTCCCAAAGTGCTGGGATTACAGGCGTGTGCCACTGTGCCCAGCTGAAACAATTTTTTAAAACAATGATGTAAACATCCTTCCTTGGCCTTTCAGCTAAAATAGAGTATATTACCTATTCATATCATTTTAATTAAAAAGTGATGCAAATAAATGGGAAGGTCAGATTCGTTTTACAGAAGGTGACTTCACAAATTTGGAAGACAGTGCTTTTTGCATTAAGAGAGGCATACAATTATAAGCTATGGAAAAACTTCACCCTTCAATGAAACTACCTGTAACACACTATATAATCCAAAAGGCAAGCACCTAATAAAAGAAAGAAGCAAACGGAGCCTGGCTCCTATGGAAGATTTCATCAACCCCTTAGTCTTAAATCGAAACTGGAACTCACCTAGAAACACAAATACAACACGCAGTAGTGTCAGATCTCAAATCCATGCTGTCCCTAAATGTGGCTGCTTTTTATTTATTTGGGAAAAGTGGATGCATTCTCAGTACCACCCAGACTTTAAGCCTTTATCGAGCTCCCTGCTCAGCATGCTGGAATTTAATTGGCACTTCTGAGTCTTTTGAGAAACCAGCCACTTCCCAATGGACCACATCTGAAGCCAGAGTCTTAGCCCATTTGGCTGCCTGGCCACTAGCCTCAGGGAGGTCCCCACTTCCCCTCCCAGTCAGGCTAATTGTCAGTTAATTGTAGGCTCCTCCAGGTCTGACCACACACCATGCTGAAGCAGCCTCCGAGGTGCCAGGCTGCAGAATGTCAGAGGCCAACTGGTTTCTCCACTGCGGCAGAAAGGATGCGAGTGGCTTCTGGTCTGAGGCAGATGGACCCAGTGCCTGCTCCAGCCCTTTCGACTGTGGCTCTCTGCCACGCAGGGGCCTCTGACCTCTGCATCACTCTGGTGCTTGACCAACTTCTGTCTTTGTCCATCTCCTGTGGTCTGCACTCAAGGCTCGTCCAGCTCCCATCCTAGACTTCCAGCCCTTCCAGCAGCGGATTCATCCTCCACTTGTAAAAGAGATGAAAACAGTGCCCCCACTGTGGCTTTTTTTTTTTTTTTGAGACAGAGTCTCGCTCTGTCACCCAGGCTGGAGTACAATGGCATGATCTTGGCTCACTGTAACCTCCGCCTCCCAGGTTCAAGCAATTCTCCTGCCTCAGCTTCCTGAGTAGCTGGGATTATAGGCACCTGCCATCATGCCTGGCTAATTTTTGTATTTTTAGTAGAGATGGGGTTTCACCATGTTGGCCAGGCTGAGTCTTGAACTCCTGACCTCAGGTGATCTGCCCGCCTTTGCCTCCCAAAGTGCTGGGATTACAGGTGTGAGCCACTGTGCCCAAAGGCTTGAGCCACTGCGCCCCCACTGTGGCTTTTTGAACAGCGTTGGGAAAGAAGGTACACAAATTAATTTGCCTGTGTTTGTTGTTAGTAATACATATGAAAGTTCTTGCTGGAAAATATGCTAAGGCCTAATCCCAACAATGGGTATCTGAACTTCTCCTTTGGTGGTTAAATAATAGTGATTTATTTTGTCTTTTAAAAAAATTAAAACCAAGAGGGAGTGAATGTTTTACCATGAGTATTCATTACTTTTGAAACTAGAAATAATTCCCTATTTTTACAAAAGGGTAAAAATATGTCTCTCTAGGGTAAAGAGAAAACAGTGACATACTAACATAGTGACTGATGCTCAGAAACATAACTAAATTCCCATTTTATCTCAGTAACTCATCCAACAGGGTGTAACAGAAAGTAAGGCTTGGTAGGGTGTAATTTATATTGCCATCGGCTTTTTTTCCCATGTTAAGTAAGGCATTTTGAAGTAAGTTTTTTTAAACAACATGAAAAAATACAACAAAAATGCTCTAGTCCAAAGCCAGAACACAGTTTTGTATGGTCTGCAGATAATTTAGTATTTGAGAAACCTTTTCAACATTCTCTGACTCCAACCAAAACTAAAACAAAAGTTGGGAGGAAAAAAAAATAAATGAATAAGCAAATAAAACAGTATCTGTGTAATTATCCAGAGATCAAACAATTTAGGGACAATAAAATAAAGCAGCATTTCAGCTAGGTCAGGTGCAAAATAATGGAACAAGTATTCACTGTTTGTTCATATTTCACACATTCGCTAACAACAAAAATTCTGGCTAGTTTTAATATATTTGGGATGGTTGTTTCATTAGTCAAAGGGCTTAAAATCCGTTTTGTGTAAGTTGAATAGTCAGGGCATCATAAATATAGTATGATGAGCCTTCTTGGTTTGCTCTAGCCCTCCTTCCTCCACAAACACAATATTAGGTCCACATTTTGAGACTTTGAAAGAGTAGGAAAAATGCCATGCTATAGATGCAGAGAGCATATCATGGGACTTTGTCTGCCCTGCTTCTGATGCCAGGAGGCACTTTATTTTAGAGAACTGAGCCTCCTGTATGCCAATCCCAACCCTAACCTTTGCTGCCAATCAGAGCCACTGCTCGCACGGGTTGGCTCCAGACCTGGCTGGTTCCATCACAGTTCTCAGCACCCCTGGGATAGCATTTGATGCAGCCACGGACTTATTATCCAGGTGCAGCCAATGTGAGATCTTCCCTGAAACTCTCCTCCCTGAAGTCCTTTAAGGAGCGAAATAGAAAAAAAAAAAAAATAAATGAAGCCCAGAACTCCAATCTCAGGGAGGATGGCAGACCGAGAGTATGAATCCACCATGCAGAGATAAGCTTGGGTAAGAGTGGTGAGGGAAGCTTCTGATGAAGGTCAAGGCCTGGGGTCCCACTCTCCCAATGCCAGCTGCACCTCTGACCTCCTTATACTATGGTTATAAACATCAATACATTTCCCTGTAAGCTTAAACTAGTTTGAGTTGATGTCTGTTATTCTCATTCAAGGAGTCCTGACTAACGCATCTGGTAACCACTTGATTTTGGGCATATTCAATTGTGGTGAACTTACTGGGCTCTTTCCAGTCCCTGTTCTCAGGACACTGCCTTCACATCCTACAGGAGTGGCTCCCAGGTTGCATTTCTGCTCTGCGACCTGTCCCCCTGCCAAGGGTCACTGGTCCAAGGGTAGTGCTGGGTCCAGCCGAAGTCTCACCTCCATATGTTAGAGTTTTGATCTGAGGGAGGAGTTGTCGGGAGCTGGGATACATGAATGGTGGCACTCCAAAGGGAAGGTGATGACACTCCTCAGAGCCACCCCTCTTCTGGTCCCTCCTGAGGCTTGTTTTTTTGACAGCTTCCTGAGCTCCACAAGCTACCCCAGTCCTTCCAAGACATTCTATCTTCCCTCCTTTCCCTCTTTCTCTCTGTCTTTTCCTTCAGCTGGATGCAATTGGTTTATTCTTCAAACTAAGAGAACATGAAATTATACACCAAAAAACTGTTTTCATAAATTATCACTTCACATAGAATGCCTTTCACCATGAAAAAATGTAAGACCTCAGTAAAAACTGGCTTCAGCAATAAGGAACTCTGTTTTACCTTGAATGGTGAGCCCAGAGGTACGGTGGCCCCAGGGGTGGTAAAGTCACTCAGTGATGTCATTGGGGCCCCTGTGTTTTATTTCCATACTTTGGCATGGACAGTACTGATTTCTCTCAAAGGCCAATTCCCCAAACATTCCCAAATGGCTGCTGCTCACAAATGGGGCTGTGTCATCATTCACGTCCAGCAAGAGATAGAGAAACTTCTCCATGCATGGAATAGCATAATCAGATTTGGAAATAATTTCCAAGCAGTGGTGTAAGAGCAGCTGTGAGACATATTTAAGAGCCAGAACGGATTCAGCTTGGTGACTACCTGACTGATGGAGGTGTGGGAAGGGAGGAGCTGGGGTGTTGCCCATGTTTCTTGCTTGGGTGTCTTGGTAGGCAGGGACGCCTTCCCTGGGGTGGGGCCAGATCTGGTTTGGTGAGGATGATGACACAGCCATGCGGGTTTAATGCCTCCCCATGCTTCAGTTGGGCCTGCCCAGGAGACTAGCTGGAGCCCGTCAGCAAAGCCTTGACAGGGGCACCAAACCACATCTGACAAGGAGTGACTTCCTAAGAGGCGGGATAAGCAAATTATTTCTCTCCTTGAATTGCTCTCCTGCTTATGCAGAGAGAGCCATTTTTTTCTTTTCTTTCATTTTCTTTTTTCTTTTCTTTTTTTTCTTTTTTGAGACAGAGTTTCACTCTTGTTGCCCAGGCTCAAGTGCAATGGCGCGATCTCGGCTCACTGCAAACTCCGCCTCCCAGGTTCAAGTGATTCTCCTGCCTCAGCCTCCCAAGTAGCTGGGATTACAGGCATGTGCCAGCACACCTGGCTAATTTTTTGTATTTTTAGTAGAGATGGGGTTTCTCCATGTTGGTCAGGCTGGTCTCGAACTCCTGACCTCAGGTGATCCACCTGCCTCGGCCTCCCAAAGTGCTGAGATTACAGTCATGAGCCACCGTGCCTAGCCTAGAGAGAGCCATTTGTATCAAGCAGGCAGCCACCTGAATGATGTACTCACACGCCCTGAGCATCAAAGCTGTGTGCAATCAGAGTGGTTCATGTGGATGCTGGGTGTCTACAGAGTATCTGTCTCCACCTTCCAACCCAGTTTTGTTCAGGGGCATGCACATATCTAGCATGGAAGACAGATCATTAGTCCAATCAATGACTCTCAACCCCGGTTGCACATTAAAATCAACGGGGGAGCTTAAAAAAATACCAAAGCTCAGGACCCACCTCCATATATCTATTAATATGTATACACACACACATAACATAAAATTCACCACCTTAACTATTTTAAAATATCCAGCGGTATTAACAGGATTTATATTGTTGTGTAACTACCATGATCATCCAATTCCAAAATGTCTTTCATCTTACAAAACTGAAACTCTATACACAATAAATAAGAACTTCTCATTCCTCCCTGTCTCCCTGACAGCTGCTGGCAACTACCATTCTAATTTTGGTCTCTATGAATTTGATTACTCTAGGTACCTGATGTAAGTGGAATCATATAAGATTTCCTTTTCTGACTGGCTTGTCTCACTTAACATAATGTCTTCAAGGCTCATCCATGTTGTAGCAGGTGTCAGAATTCCCCACCCTTTTAAGGCTAATACTCCATCGTATGTGGACAGGCACACCTCATTTTACTCTGCTTCCCTTGATTGCACTTTGCAGATACTGTGTTTTTTACAAATTGAAGTTTTGTGGTAATACTGTATCCAGCAAGTCTATCGGTGCCACTTTCCCAACAGTCTGAGCTCATTTTATGTCTCTGTGTTCTCTTGCTTTCTTCTCACCTCCCTATGCTCTGAGACACAACAATATGAAATTAGGCCCATTAATAACCCTAATAGCCTCTCAGTGTTCAAGTGAAAGAAGAGTCACATGTCTCTCACTTTATTTATTTATTTTGGAGGCTGGATCTCATTCTGTCACCCAGGCTGGAGTGCAGTTGTACAAGCATACCTCACTACAGCCTCCAACTCCTGGGCTCGAGCAAACCTCTCTCCTCAGACTCTCAAAGCACTGGGATTCCAGGTGAGCCACTGCACCTGGCTGTCATCTCTTACTTAAAATCAAAAGCTAGAAATGATTAACCTTAGTGAGGAAGGCATTTCAAAAACTGAGATAGGCCAAAAGCTAAGCCTCTTGTACCAAACAGCCATATTGAGAATGGAATGGAAAAGTTCTTGAAGGCAATTAAAAGTGCTACTCCAATGAATACATGAATTATAAGAAAATTAAACAGCCTTATTATAGAGAAAGTTTGAGTGGCCTGGTTAGAAGATCAAACCAGTCACAACATTCCCTTAAGCCAAAGTCTAATCCAGAGCAAAACCCTAACTCTCTTTAGCTCTATGATGATTGAGAGGTGAGGAAGCTGCAGAAAAAAAGTCTGACACTAGCAGAATTTGGTTCATGAGGTTTAAGGAAAGAAGCCGTGTTCAAAACATAAATGTGCAAGGTAAAGCAGCAAGTTCTGATAGAGAAGCTATAGCTAGTTATCCAGAAAATCTAGCTAAGGTCATTGATGAAGGTGGCTACGTTACACAACAGCGTTTTAATGTAGATAAAACAGCCTTACATTGGAAGAAGATGCCATCTAGGACTTTCACAGCTAGACAGAAGTCAATGTCTGGCTTCAACACTTCAAAGGACAGGCTAATGCTCTTGTTAGGGGCTAATGCAGCTGGTAACTTTAAGGTGAACCAATGGCCATTTACCATTCTGAAAATTCTAGGGCCCTTAAGAATTATGCTAAATCTACTCTGCCTGTGCTCTAGAAATGAAATAACAAAGTCTGGGTGACAGCACGTCTGTTTGCAGCATAATTTACTGAATATTTTAAGCCCATTGTTTTGACCTACTGCTCAGAGCAAAATATTCCTTTCAAAATATTATTGCTCATGGACAATACACCTGGTCACCTAAGATGGAGATGTACAAGATGTACAAGATTTATGTTGTTTTCAGGCCTGCTAAACACACCATCCATTCCACAGCCCAGGGATCAAGGAGTCATTGCTACTTTCAAGTCTTACTTTTTAAGAAACACATTTTGTAAGGCTATAGCTACCATAGATAGTGATTCCTCTGATAGATCTGGACAAAGTAAATTGAAAATCTTCCGGAGAGGATTCACCATTCTAGATGCCATTAAGAACATTTGTGATTCATGTTCATGGGAGGAGGTCAAGCTATCAACATTAACAGGAGTTTGGGAGATATTGATTCCAGCCCTTATGGATAACTTTGAGGGGGTTACGACTTCAATGGAGGAAGTAACGGCAGATATGATTAAAATAGCAAGAGGCTGGGTGCAGTGGCTCATGCCTGTAATCCCAGCACTTTGGGAGACCAAGGTGGACGGATCACTTCATGTCAGGGGTTCAAGACCAGCCTGGCCAACATGGTGAAACCCCGCCTCTACTAAAAATACAAAAATTAGCTGGGTGTGGCAGCGCATGCCTGTAGTCCCAGCTACTTGGGAGGCTGAGGCAGAACAATGGCTTGAACCCGGGAGACGGAGGTTGCAGTGAGTAGACATCACGCCATTGCACTCCAGCCTGGGTGACAGAGTGAGACTCTGTCTCAAAAAATTAAAAAAATAAATAAAATAGCAAGAGAACTAGAATTAGATGTGGAGCCTGAAGATGTGACTGAATTGCTGCAATCTCATGATAAAACTTGAATGGATGAAGAGTTGCTTTTTATGGATAAACAAAGAAAGTAATCTTTTCAGATGGAATCTACTCCAGGTGAAGATGCTGTGAACATTGTTAAAATGACAAGAAAGGACAGAATATTACATAAACGTAGTGGATAAAGCAATTGCAGGGTTTGAGAGAATTAACTCTAATTTTGAAAGTTCTCCTCCAGGTAAAAGGTTATCAAATATCATCACATGATTTGGCATATGTAAAGGGGAGAAAAATAAGGAAAAAAACAGCATTGGCATTCTACAAAGAAATCTTTCCTAAAAGGAAGAGTCAATTGATGCGGCAAACTTCATTGTTGTCTATTTTAAGAAACAGGACACGCTGGCTCATGCCTGTAATCCCAGCACTTTGGGAGGCTGAGGTGGTATGATTGCTTGAGCCCAAGAATTTGAGACAAGCCTGGGCAACATAGTGAGACACTGTCTCTAATAAAAATACAAAAATTAGCCAGATGTGGTGGTGCATGCCTGTAGTCCCAGCTACTCGGGAGGCCGAGGTATGAGAATTGCTTGAATCTAGAAGGCAGACATTGCAGTGAGCCAAGATCTCACCACTGCACTCCAGCCCAGGTGACAGACTGAGATGTCTCAAAAACAAAAACAAAAACAAAACTTGCCACAGCCCCTCCACCCTTCAGCAATGACCACCCTACGCAGTCAGCAGCCATCAACACTGAGCCAGACCCTCCACCAGCAAAAACATTATGACTCACAGAAGGCCCAGATCATTGTTAGCATTTTTTAGCAGTAAATTATTTCTAAATTAAGATATTATATGTACATTGCTTTTTTTTAGACATAATGTAATTGCACACTTACTAGACAACAGAATAGTGTAAACATTTTTATATGCACTGAGAAACAAAAAAAAAATTGTGTGACTTGCTTGATTGTGATATTGACTTGATGGTGATGGTTTGGAACTGAACCCGCTGTGATTCTGAGTTAGGCCTGGATGTCACACTATGTTCATCCATTCATCTGTCAGTGAACACTTGGGCTCACCTTTAGGCTACTGTGAGTAAGGCTTCTCTGAACATGGGGTTTCAAATATCTTCAGAGAGATTTTTTTAGAAGCTTCCCATGGGGTTTGAATATGCAGCTATGGTTGAGAACCATTATAAAAGACATTCCCTAGAGATTGTGAGGGGCCCAGGGAAGGGGCACGCTATCATAGTTGGCTCAATCCAGTTATTCCATCCTAACTATATCATCATGTCAGGTAATCAGCAGTGTAGACATCTGTCTCCTTCAGTAGACTTGGACACCTGAGGGGTGGCATAGGTTTCTTTACCACAAGAGCTCCCAGATCTCATTCCAAGTCCAGGGGCCTGTAGGAGCTGATTAAGTTGCTGCTGAATAAAGGCAACTAATCCATAATTCTACCTTATCCTACTATTAAAACCAACTGTTCCCTTCTACTAAAAATTACTCATCATTGCACCCTAGGCCATTCTCTGGTCCTGTAGCCTGACTGGTACCTGGGCCTAAGCCTGAGTCAGGGTCTAAGATCTTTATGAAATAAAATTATGAGCATGAAAGAAGCCCTGGGTCCTGACAGAACAGATGGGGTTGGGGACAATGGTTGCTGTGGCCTCTTGCTCCAGCTTCTTCTGGGACAAATGCTCCCAAAAGGGGGCGGTGCCCCTTCCCTGGGCCCCTCACAATCTCTAGGGAATGTCTTTTATAATGGCTCTCAACCATAGCTGCATATTCAAACCCCATGGGAAGCTTCTAAAAAAATCTCTCTGAAGATATTTGAAACCCCATGTTCAGAGAAGCCTTATTCACAGTAGCCTAAAGGTGAGCCCAAGTGTTCACTGACAGATGAATGGATGAACATAGTGTGACATCCAGGCCTAACTCAGAGTCACAGCGGGTTCAGTTCCAAACCATCACCATCAAGTCAATATCACAATCAAGCAAGTCACACAATTTTTTTTTTGTTTCTCAGTGCATATAAAAATGTTTACACTATTCTGTTGTCTACTAAGTGTGCAACTGCATTATGTCTAAAAAAAGCATATAATATTCCTTGCATCTGGATGACAGGCCTAATCTATCTTCCCCTAAATATCTGCTTACTGTCCCCACAACTCACTTTAAAAAGAAAAAGCTGTAGCTGTGTTTCTATTGAGGTGGGTTTTGTGTACTCTTTACTCATCTCTGTAGCTCTACATGCTCGTGCTTACTTTCATTTTAACTTTAACCCGAGTTCTCGAGATCATTCTTTTTTAAATTTTACTTTAAGTTCCGAGATACATGTGCAGAACATGCAGGTTTGTTACACAGGTATACGTGTGCCATGGTGGTTTGCTGCACCTATTGACCATCCTCTAAGTTCCTCCCCTCACCCCCAACCTCCCAACAGGCCATGGTGTGTGTTGTTCCCCTCCCTGTGTCCATGTGTTTTCACTGTTCAACTCCCATTTATGAGTGAGAACATGTGGTGTTAGGTTTTCTGTTCCCGTGTTAGTTTGCTGAGGATGATGGCTTCCAGCTTCATCCATGTCAAAGGACATGATCTCATTCCTTTTCATGGCTGCATAGTATTCCATGATGTATATGTACTACATTTTCTTTATCCAGTCTATCATTACCAAGATCATATTTTATTAAAGCCTACAGAAATTAAACAGTAGCCCCAGATAAAAAGAGATGCCAGAGAACCCAAGAGTTCTTCATTCCATATTGAAGTCTATGAACATATTTGGAGAGAACCTCTTTGTAACACGAAGTGGCAGTGTAGCAAATAGAGAACGCCCTCCTCCCCTCCTTCCCTCCATCTCAGGAGCCACCAGTGTGGTGTGACGTGGGATGGGGACAGCAAGGACGTGCCTTGGGAGGTAAAATTACAGGACTGGCCCTTCATTGCTCCTTTCTTATTTCCAAGATCTGAGGCCCGCCTTCACCCAGGCAGCACCCAGGTCAGGGCCAGGCTGAGGTGAAGCAGCTGAGGCACAGCATGCAAATACAGGGTCAAATCTTGTCTTCACTTAAAATTTGACTATCTAGCTCATCATGGGGTTTTGTAGCATGAATTTTGATTTTTTAAAAAACTGCATTCAAATGATTTATCTTGATTCCTGAGATTTTTAGCACTCTTTAACTTGGAGACTTGCCTGCCTCTTCTGAGGCCTGGCCTCGAGTCAATTGCTATCAGCACCTTCCTTTGCATTTTAAGAGGAAAGCGTAATGTTGCTCTCTGATAGACCCTTGGGAAGCCATAAACCCCCTTCTCTGAGTTACTTCGGCCTCTGTTCATTTTGACAAATGATCTCCCCAATCTGTTCGCTCTGCAGCTTCTGCCCTTCTGCCCCCTCTCTCCCACATTTCCCATAAAAAACCCACACAAGGGACCAGGGAGAGAAGCAAGAAGGCCCGTGTGGGGTGTAGGCCTTTCCCTCCCAGGTTTTTTTGCTAACTTAACTTTTGAGCTTCAGAATTGAGATAAACACACAATGAGCAAGGGCCCATTTCTTTTTAAAGAAATCTTTCTTGTACCTATTACGATGATAAATAGCGCCCCTGTGGTCGACCATGGCCAGCCTTATGCTCTGGAACTTCAAGGCAGCCGTGGACACATTGGGAAACTGAATTCTCAAGGAATTTTAACTGTGCCAATCATGGCGGCCCTGGAAAATATTTCTAATATGGTAAAAGGGTGGATGGACCTTTACATGCAGATGGGACTCTGTTCCCACCACTGCCTCCAGCCTAAAACAGTATGGAAGGAAGCAAAGCCGTGATACCGGGCTCCTCTGACCTGGTGGGACCCTTACCTTGCAAGGGCACTGGAGACCCCTGATTTCAGGCCCCTCTCTGTGAGGACCTAAGTGGGGAACTGCATCTACTCACTCGTGCCTATGAGCCTGGGGGCTTTTTCTGAACTGCTTGCTGCATCGTCAGTAAACTGATGTGAATATAAATGACCGGAGTCTCCAACGCTGTTCTAGCCCATTTTCAAAATCTTGAGGGTTCAGTGTAGCTCAGCCTCATTGATATTACCTTAATGTTTCATTACTATTATCATACATGCACCCGAACATAATAATTACTTAATGCATTGGCATGATGAGAAATATAATTACATATGCAAATAATTTTATAAATAAGTAGTATGAGAAACATATTGACACACTGACCACAATATCATTCAAACAATCACCACAAGACCTGACCACAAAGCCTTACCAGGACCGTATGCATCCCAGTGTAGAGCCTGCTGAGACACACCAAGGTGGAAAACACCACGGCCATCACCAGTCCCAACACAAATGGATACTGTGGGGGAAGGAGAAAAAACAAGGGAATTAGATCACACTCAGACATACATGATTTGATGTCATAGGTGGGAATAGGATTCATTAATGCAAGAATTGCTAGTCCAAATCTTGCATTCCCCAGACCAGCAATCTGATTAACTTAAAACTTTTTTTTAAACGGGGAGACAGAAGAAAGAGAAGGGGAAGATACCCAGGTACACAGTTCTGGGAGGAAGTTTCACAACATATAAGCATGCACGTGAGACGTAGTAGGACTTGGCTTTAAGACTCATGACCACAACTACAGTGCTGGCAGTTTTAGTGAAATGAATAACTTTGATTTCTACCTATTCTTAAATTAGAACGATAAGAAACAAACAATTTGACCAAGAAGCAAGGTAGATAGATAGCCAGGGCTATAATCTGAAAATCCCAACAAGCAACTTCTCCTCCTCCGTAGAAGGAGGGGCAATGGGCCTAAAGTCAGAATCGGCATATTTGCGTCCAGATATCAAAAGCACTTGTGCAGATTCTACTGACTCTCAACATTTGCTGCTGAGTAATACTAGTGGCTAGAGGAATCTGGCTAATGCTGAATCATATAAGGAACACACAGATACTCTGCTTATAAGCTAGACATAGGCATAAATCCACCTGCTTCAAGCACTAGTGTCTGTGGTATACTGTAGTAAGAAGATCAAAGACAATAGGGCACTGTCTGTATTAGGCAAAGCACTTTATACTATCTCCTTTAGTCTTCACATAGCCCTATGAAGTAGGCTCTGTTATTAGCCCCATTTTACAAATGAGGAAGCTCTTAACCATGATAATAAATGACGTTATTAATAAACTTTATCATAAAGGCACTTTCCCCTCAATGCTCCCATTTGACCCTCACAACAGGAGCTTGGGGTTCAGAGAGGTGAAATGATCTGCCTGAGGTCACACAGCTGGTAAGTGAGAGTCAGAACTGAAGGCCATGCCTTCTGAGTCCAAGCCCAGTGTGTTCTTCCCCTTGTAACACATGAGTACCATAACAGCTGGTTGTCATGTCTGTTCTTAAGGTTTATCATTAACTAAGTCTCAGATTTTAATTTAAAAGTGTTCAGAATTAATGAGTTAATATATTTGGAAATTAGAGTGTGGGCAGCAGCCTCAACACACATTTTTAAAATTTTATTTCAATAGTTTTTGGGGTACTCAACACACATAAACCAATATATAATATATAAAAATAAATATGTATATAAATAAACCAATAAATATAATATATAAATAAACCAATATTTAGAGCTGTTTATGAGCAAACAGCTAGCTAAATACATTCACTATTAAAAATCAAATAGGAAAGAAATTCACAACATGACTCCAACCTTATGAAAACTGCTACATCATGTAAGTTGAGGAGAATTTTTTAAGGAGGACTGGGTGGCTCTGCAATGGATGTGTCCGTGGTGATGGTGGTGGTTTTCCTGCTGCGAGCCTCCACTTGCTGCTTTTCTCTTAAGGTACATTAGCATATTCACAGACTTCTCTGGGCACCAAGATCAACCCAATGGGAGCTGGTGCTTGGCCCACTACGTCCTTCTAGGGCAGCTGACATTGGGTACAACATGGCTCAGCAGCCTGCACTAAGTTAATTCAGACAGTGCCAGGAGCTCAGACATTGTTTGACCCCGGCATGAAGTTTAAGTAACTTATGACAAAAGATGATATCTAGTCAAATATATTCCTTGTAACTGTCCCTTTCTTATGTAACAGAGGTCTAAACCCAGATGACCAGGTAGAAGGCTACAGTGGTAGAGGTGGGACCCCACACTAGTCCTGGTCTTTCCAGCTACATGAGGCTTGACTTCCTGCTTCTGCATAACCTGGAATATGGAACATCCCTGGGCTTCTGGGGTAAAGGGACAGGGCTAAACAATACTGCTATTTATCTACAAGACTGCTAGATTTAATGGAATCTAAAACTTCCAGTGGGGCTGGGTGCAGTGGCTCATGCCTGTAATCCCAGTGCTTTGGGAGGCCCAGGCAGGCAGATTGCTTGAGGCCAGGAGTTCAAGACCAGCCTGGGCAACACAGCAAGACCCCTTCACTAGAAAAAAAATTTTTTTTAATTATCTGGGCGTAGTGGTGCATAGCTGTGGTCTCAGCTACTTGTGAAGATGAGATGGAAGGATCGCTTGAGCCCAGAAGGTCAAGACTACAGTGGGTGGTGATGGCGCCACTGCACTCCAGCCCCAGCAACAGAGACCCTGTCTTAAAATCAAACAAACAAATAAACAAACAAATAAAACATCCAATGGGTAAAAGATAACACTTATAAAATTAAACATAAGATTAGATCCATAGGTCTCAAATAGGAGAAAAATAACTTCCATTGCTGTAATAATATAACTGTTTAAGTCTTACTATAATTGGCATTTAAGCAGATATTAAGTAAAATTCTTCTATTTTCAACATTTATTAATCCTCTGCCATTTAGACTGTTCTAGAAAACTTTGAGCCATCATTTCTAGTGGCTGAGCCTTAACCAGGGCAGAGACATCCTTAGAGGCTAATTTGAGGCACAGACTCTTTGCGGCCCCAGGCCCTGGGGAGTCTGGCAGAGGGATTTGGTGGAATCATCTCAGCCCTGGAGAATCATTTACTAGGACATAAACTCCTCTTGCAAACAGAGGATGAGAGCACTAATTCAAGCACTGTCTCATCAGGCAGCCCAGGGTGATAATACATGCTGGTCTCCTGGGATGGCCCATATTATGCTAGTTGTCCTGGTGTCATTATTAATATGGTGCTGATGTTCACACACAGGCATAACCTGATTTAAATGCTAAATTATATAGTCACTTTATTTATGATGCAATTGTCATCTGTTTAATAGGTTTCAGTTTCTCTTAATCTTTATTTCATAAACCTTAAGGTCCCTCAAAGCAGCTTTAAGAGAAAATTCAGAAGTGCAGCCTCTATTTGCTGCCTCAGTAGGTGGGTAGGAAGAAGAACCAGGCCACCTTACCTGGTATCTGTCCATAGTAGAGATAAGGAGGGTGAAGGCAATGGCAGTGGCCGCCATGGCGTGGGTGGATGGCATTCCATATTCAGCGATCAGTCTCTTTTCCAGTTTTACAACTGGAGGGGAGGAGGGACGGGGCCACTTCAAGACATCCTTGGCCACTTGGCCAATATACATCACCAACTGCAAAACCAAAGGACTGAGGTAAGTCTAATCAAATAAGGAAAATGAATGCATTTCCAAATGTCATGGATATATTTTGGGGTTCTCAGGTTGTTGATTGAAGGCTCCTTTCTCTCTGACCAGCTACTTGTTGGCAAAGTCTTGTAGGATATTTTAGTTGGTAAAAAGAAAACAGACTTTCTGGATTCCATAGGACCACTGAGCAACTAAGATATGACATTAATGCATATATTATTTATTTTAATCTTGTATTTAACAAACACGTAGCTTATATATGTGTTGGACACTGTTCTAGGAGCTTTGCAGATTTTTACTCAATCTAGTAACACCTGGAGAATGCAGACCAATTTTACAGATGAGTAAACCATTGCACACTCATCCACAGGCACACAGTCAGCAAGTGGCAGAACTGGGATTCGAATCTAGAAAGTCTGACTTCAAAGTCTGTGCTTAAACTACCACACGATGCTACCTCCAAACCAGGATGGTCCTGCACTAAAGATAACCTAATACTCAAACCAGGCAGCACTTGTTTTCAAATTTTAACCACAAAAGTGACTGTTCTTACTCGAACAGCTAGTAAGATACTTTTTGAATGCCACTGTTGTATGAAGGCAACATACTGCATTTACTGTAACTTCTTTAGTAATCAGGAGCATCAGTCAAATAAATGGCATGGGTATTTTCAGTCTTTAAATAAAGACTCAGGTTGGGTGCAGTGGCTAATGCCTATAATCCCAACACTTTGGGAGGCCAAGGCGGGAGGACGGCTTGAGCCCAGGAATTCAAGGCAAGCCTGGGAAAGATGGTGAGACCCTGTCTCTACAAAAAATTTTAAAATTTGTCAGGTGTGATGGTGTATGCCTGTGGTACCAGCTACTTGAGAGGCTGAGGTGGGAGGATTGCTTGAGCCCAGGAAGTCAAGGCTGCAGTGAGCAAAGTCCAGATTGGAGCCACTGCACTGCAGCCTGGGCAACAGAGCAAGACCCTGTCTCAAAAAAAAAGGGCTCGATATGGAGGGTTTTTTTTTTTTTTTTTTTTTTTCAGAGTCTCACTCTGTCACCCAGGCTGGAATGCACACTGCACCCGGCACACTGCAACCTCTGCCTCCCAGGTTCAAGCAATTCTCTTGCGTCAGACTCCTGACTAGCTGGGATTACAGACATCTGCCACCACACCTGGCTGATTTTTATATTTTTGTAGAGACAGGGTTTCACCATGTTGGTCAAGCTGGTCTTGAACTCCTGACCTCAGAAGATCTGCCGGCCTCGGCCTCCCAAAGTGCTGGGATTACAGACGTGAGCTGCCATGCCTGGCCTAATATGGAGTTTTTAAAAATGATTTTTCCATGAGGTCATTAACGAAGACATATTCTCCCTCCTTTTTTTCAAAGCAGAAGATAGAAATCAGAATTTGATGTACATGAACATGTTCTCAAAAGAAGACATACCAGCGTTCATATCTACTGAAAAAAGATATGAAAAAATGCTCAGCATCACAAATCATCAGAGAAATACAAGTCAAAAACCACAATGAGATATCACCTCACACCAGTCAGAATCGCTATTATTAAAAAGTCAAAAAACAAAAGATGCTGGTGAGGCTGTGGGGAAAAGGAAATGCTTATACACTGCTGGTGGGAATGTAAATTAGTTCAGTCACTGTGGAAAGCAGTTTGGAGATTTCTCAAAGAACTTAAAATCAGAGCTACTGTTCCACCCAGTAATCCCATTACTGAGTATATACCCAAAGGAAAATAGATCATTCTACCAAAAAGACACATATGCTCATCTGTTCATTGCAGCAGTATTCACAATAGCAAAGACATGGAATCCACCTAGGTGCCCATCAATAGTGGACTGGATAAAGAAAATGTGGTACAGGTACACTATGGAATACTACACAGCCATAAAAAAGAACAAAATCATGTTCTTGCAACAACATGGATGGAGCTGGAGGACAAAATACTAAGCAAATTAATTCAGGAACAGAAAACCAAATACCACATGTTCTCACTTATAACTATGAGCTAAACATTGAGCGCACAAGGACATAAACACGGGAACAACAGACACTGTGGACCACTAGACGGGGAGGGAGTAGGTTGAAAAACTATTGTTTATTATGCTCACTACCTGGGTGCACTATACCTCTGGGACAAACCTGCGCATATATCCCCCATATCTAAAATGAAAGTTGATTTTTTTAAAAAAGAATTGGATGTCCATACCCTCTAAAAGTGAATAGGATTATTAACAACAGACTTGTTTACTTTGTGAAGGAGTGAATAGGATTATTAACAATAGACTAACTTACTTTGTCAAAGAAATTTACAGGACAACTTCATAATCTAATATGCAAGAGCAACATATTTACTTAAGTACCTGCCTTTGCAACTTAAAGCATTGTCTGAGAACTGGCTGTACCAGCCTCACCCAGGAGCTGCTTTAACATGTAGTCATCTCAGGATTCTCCTTAGACCTACTAAATTAGAATCTCTATTTTCACAAGATTGCCAGGTGATTCATGTGCACAGGGGAATTTAAGAAGCACCGCACTATATAGTCCTCTTGTACAAATCACTTTGTTGTGGGCTTTAATCACAAAACATATCTTACCAGGACTGTGTTGACCTTACCAGGGTTTTATTTAGCTCGTGATGGATGGCATTACCTTGCTTGGAACAAAACCCGCTATGAAGAACTATTTCAAAATAATTTTGGTTAGTCAGCTGGCCCACTATGAAGAACTATTTCAAAATAATTTTGATTAGTCAGCTGGATTGCTGTAGGAGTTCCCACATTCTTGTGCTTTCTTTCAACTCCTTGAGTTGCCGGTTAATTCCGTGCATAATTCCAGCAAACCCAGTAACCCCCTGAGAAGGTGTTGCATATGTGTTTGTGCTTCACTGCCACTTTGCTCTGGGCTAAAAACCAAGAACCACTCCCTGTGCACAGCAGGCCAAATCCACAGGCTATAAAGCCTCAGCGACAATTACTCTGAATTCCATAGCTGCAATTTCGAATCAGACTTTGAAACTTAACTTCTTTACCATCCACTTAACCACCAGGAACTACTCTCCTGGAAATCAGCTCACTCTTTTTATGTTTCTGCCTCCCTCCTGTGAACCTGTAAAAACCACAACTAACTGACCATTATCTGGGGAGTTGAAAAACTGGCAGGTATTACCGACTACTGGGAATTTCTCAGAAGCTGCTTGAAATATACTTCTCAGTCCTACTTCTTCCTCACTCACCAACATAAACAAAATATCACAGGCATAACTACTAATGCTAGTTCCCTCAAAAATACTTAAAATCCTCACATCCTAACAGAGAGGATAAGGGTAAAAAAATACTTAAAATCATCAGAAACAGGAAACCTTAGAATCATAAAAATAATGATTGGGTGACTCTCCTTCAGATAAAGTTAAATTTCTTTGAGGTTCATGAGTTCCTTTGTCTTCATTTATATTTCACCTTCTATGTTTGAAGAATGTTTTGTGGAATTAGGAAAATCATTCATTTTATTTAAAAATACTACGGCTGCATATTATGTCTCATTAATAATTTTCAAATAACAATGACTGTGATCACAGCTCTCTTTAAACAGGAGAAAATAGAGCTACATTTTTCAAGTTGCAGAGGAAAAGTATCACTCTCAGAAGGTTGTATCCTGTTTCTGGCATTGCCATTTGTGACAATGATGCTATGATGAGCCAAGCCTTGTATTAGGTCCCCATCCTTGAGTAGGGAAAATGGTGACACAATAAGAAGATTTCAGAGGATAATGTGAAAAGGCTTTGAAAAACAATCCACAGAATTCTATGAGTATGTGTACATATACAGAAAACTCTGGTTCAACCTGGATGGCCAGAGAACCTGGGGCTGGTTAAAGTGAAATAGGAGAGTTCCCTGACCCCCTTCACAGGACGTGCAACAGGGGTGTGGCTCGTCTGTTTGGCTGCAGCTGCTGCTCAAACCCCTTATAGGAGGGGAAGCACACAGACGGGCAGGGTGCAGGGAGCCTGGGCAAATGCTTTTGGGGCTCTGGCCCCACGTTAGGAGTCTAGGGATGTGTGTCTGCAACTCTCAAAGCCCCAGTGGGCATGCTACAGTGCTCTTTTAGCTCTGCCATCACAGACAGCTTAAGTGTTAACCAGCTCAGTGCCATCTTGGCACCTGGGTTCTTGTCCAGTGTCCAGGAAGGATCAGGTCACAGGGCCTTGAAGGATGGTGAATACAGGGGTTTTATTGAGTGGTGAAGGTGGCTCTCTGTGGAATGGATGGGGAGTTGGAAGGGGGATGTGGTGGGAAAATGATCTTCCCCTGGAGTTTGGTTATCCAGCAGCCGATCTCCTCTCCGACTGTCCCCAGCGGAACTCCTCTCGATGTTCAGATGTTCTTCCTCTCCTCCCCTTCTCTGCTGTGCCATTCTGCTGCTCTTCTGCTCTTCTGTTTTTCTGCCTGTGGAGTCTGGGATTTGGGGTTTATATGGGTACAGGATAGGGGGGTGAGAAAACAGGAATGCCTGTTCCTATTTAGGGCAGTGGGTTTCCAGGCTGGAGGGTGGGGCCTTTGCCAGGGGACCACCCTCTTCTACCCAGTATTTCCCTGTCTTCTGTCTGTATCAAAAGGAAGATGGTTTAACTAAGGGATGGGTAAAGAAGCATCCAGGTTGCAAGAACAGCCAGAGGAAAGGCTTGGGGAAGTGATGCTGGATAATAGGTAGTGGGAGCTCCTAGGAGGTTAGGACCACTAGAGTTTAAACTGTGAGGCACACTGCTACACATCCACTAGAAGGGCTAAGTTTCTCATTTCCTAAATGAAAATAAAATAGTGCTCATCTCCTAGATTTGTTAGGAGAATTAAATGAGAAAATGTATGCAAAACACTTAGTATAGTACCTGGCACGTAGAAAGTGACCAATATAAATTACTATAATAGTCAGTATTTATATTTTTATTAAACAAATATTTATTGGGGACCTACTGCTATGGTCTAAGTGTGTTCCCCAAAATTCACAAGACTGACACATCAAGTGTTGGTGAGGACGTGGAGCACCTGAACCTCTCATATGCCTCTGGAGGAAACAAAAATGGTACCACCACTTTGGAAAATAGTTTGGTAGTTTCTTAAAAAGTCTACCTGTATACTTATATGATAAGTTTCTTAACATATATAAGTTTCTTAACATATACTTATCATATGATCCAGCCATCCCACTCTTAGGTATTTGCCCAGGAGAAACAAAAGCAATATGACCAAATACTCATATATGAATGTTCATAACAGCTCTTTTTTATAATAGCCCCAAACTGGAAACAACCCAATTTACCATTAACAGGTAAGTACACAAATTGTGGTATAATCACACAACTGAATACTACTCAGCAACAAAAATGAATAAACTATTGACATATGCTTACAACGTGGATGAATCTCAAAATAATTATGCTGAATGAAGAGAAGCCAGACCAAGACAAATGACAAAGTAAACAGTACATACTACATGATTTGTTTACGTAAAATTCTTGGAAATGTAAACTACTTTATAATGACAGAAAGCAAGTAAGTGGTTGCTAGGGAGGGGAAAAGAAATTACAAATGGGCATAAGAAAACTTTAGGGGGTGATAAATATCATCTTGATTGTGGTAATGATTTCAGGGATAGGTACCTATGTTAAAATGTGTGAACTTGTATATATTTTTATTTTTTTGAGACTGAGTCTCGCTCTGTTGCCTGGGCTAGAGTGCAGTGGCATAATCTTGGCTCACTGCAACCTCCGCCTCCCAGGTTCAAGCAATTCTTATGCCTCAGCCTCCCAAATAGCTGGGACTACAGTCACGCGCTACCACACCTGGATACTTTTTGTATTTTTAGTAGAGATGGGGTTTCACCATGTTGGCCAGGCTGGCCAGGCTGGCCTTGAACTCCTGACCTCAGGTGATCCGCCTGCCTTGGCCTCCCAAAGTGCTGGGAATATAGGCATGAGCCACCACGCTCAACCCTCAACTTGTATATTTTAAACATGTGTGAACTCTGTGACTACACTAAAAATTATTGAATTACATGCTTTAAATGGGTGAATTGTATAGTACGTGAATTATACCTTGATAAAGCTGTTAAATATGTTCAGGCTGGGCACGGTGGCTCACGCCTGTAATCCCAGCACTTTGGGAGGCCAAGGCAGGTGGATCATCTGAGGTCGGTAGTTTGAGACCAGCCTGACCAATATGGTGAAACCCCGTCTCTACTAAAAATACAAAAATTAGCTGGGTGTGGTGGTGGGTGCCTGTAGTCCCAGCTACTCAGGAGGCTGAGGCAGCAGAATCGCTTGAACCCGGGAGGCGGAGGTTGCAATGAGCCAAGATCATGCCACTGCGCTCCAGCCTGGGTGACAGAGCGAGACTCCATCCCAGAAAAAGAAAAAAAAAGTGGTTCAATATTTTTCTGAAATGTGAGAAGCAGATGTTTGGGGAGGACCTGGTGATGAGGCACCATGTTGTAGAATGGATCTTTAGCCTACTGGGAGATCCTGGGCAGAGGCCTGGCCTGACCTGATCTGCATGTCTGATGGCACCCTTTGATACCAAGAGTAGAGTGGGGATGAGGACATCAAGACTTGAAGGAAGGACATCAGTTAAGATAATATTGCAAAATCCAGGTAACAGATGCAGTATGATGTAAGTCAGCAGTAGGGCAGAAGAGAGATTTGAAGAATGTGGTTTCTTTTTTTTTTTTTTAATGAAAGAATGCTGAATGGGTTGATGAATGTACAAAGAATAACAACAGGGAGAAATTACATATGGAAGAGAGGAGAAAGAAATGGATGGAATATGGACTCAGAGGTGATCAGGCATGTGGAAGTGGTTTTGAAGTTGAGAAGGGCTCAGCCCCTGGTCCTCAGCAGGGATGGATGCTCTCCTGGGGGACATTCTGGTCAGTGCAGTGATTGCAGTCACTATTGGCATTTAGAGGGAGGAGGCCAGGGATGCAACATGCCTTTCAATGCACAGGACAGTGCCACTCTATGAAAACCAGTTTTTGTGTCTAACATGACTCTTAAGTGTTCTGCCAGACATTCATGTAGATGAAAAATCCATCTGTAATCCTCTGAGTTGAGAGCCTAACTCTCTTTTACAAGTAAACACTAAATATTTTCTTGCAGGTTATGAACGTACACTGAAGTTTCCAAGGCCATAACTACTGTGTAGACTGAGAGAAAAATGAACTTTGGTTTATTTGGAACTTTATCAAGAACTAGCCAGGTGTAGTGAGTGGCTCATGCCTGTAATCCCAGCACTGTGGGAGGCAGAGGCAGGAGGATCACTTGAGGACAGGAATTTGAGACCAGCCTAGGCTACATAGTGAGACTCCATCTCTATTTTATTTTAAAATTAAACATTTTTTAAAAAAAGAATTGTTCATCATTTGGAGAAATCAGGTTATCATCAAGGGAAATGCTGATTATTGTATTTGAGACTTCAACACTGCATATCTGTGTCCCAGCTACCATCATTGGCACATTCATAGTGATACTGCTTCATAAATAGTAAAGCAGGTTCAAGGCTCCTACTATCCTATGAAATAAATAGCCTAGTGTAGACATGTTACAACATATACTTATTTTAAAAGTTATTTTTATTATAAAGCACATTATTTAAAAAATTGTATGTGTAAGTAAGTCATATTATCTATGAATTTTAAGAAAGTAAAAGGAATATTACAATATATTTAGAATATAACAGGAGGTGCTATTATTTTAAATTTAGTGAGCCAGACACAAAAGATCACACATTGTATGATTCCATTTATATAGAATGTCCAGAATAAGCAACTCCATAGAGATGGAAAATTGACTAGTGGATATGTAGGGCTTAGAAGCCACAAGTCTGAAATCAAGGGGTCTGCCAGGCCACACTCATTCTGGAAGTTTTAGGGGAGGGTCCTTTCTTTGCCTCTTCCAGTTTCTGGTAGCTGTAGGTACTCTTTGACCTGTGGCCACATCACTCTGATCTCCACCTCTGCGGTCACATTGCTTCCTCCTCTTCTATCTCTTCTTCTGCCTGTCTCATCTCTCCCTCTGCTTTTTTCTTATAATGGAACTTGTCATTGGATTGGTCTAACCAGATAATCCAGGATGATCTTACCATCTCAACATCCTAAACTTAATTACATCTACAAGGACCATTTTTCCCAAAACAGCAATGTTCACAGATTCTAGGGATTCGAATGTGGGGATATCTTTTTGGAGGCCACTACTTAACCAACCACAGTAAATATTTAGTGAGTGAATCATATGGACCAGGTACTGTGCTGGTTTGGGGGAATACCACTGAGAATAAGATAGACGAGATCATTTTTCCCGCACAGCATAAAAAATGAAACATTAGCAAAAAGTCTGCTTAGCTCCTTTGCATGTTATTTGTCCAATAAAATGGAATCATCATGCTTTAAGAAAAAAGAAGTACTGGGTCTGGCAGAATTGAATAGCTTTGTCTAAGATTTAAAAACATTACTATAAATGTTCAACATCACATGACATTAGGGAATTCCAACTTAAAACAACAATGAAATACAACTACACACCTATTAGAATGGCTAAGTCCAAAACACTGATAATACCAAATGCTGACAAGGATGTGGAACAATAGGAACTCTCATTCATTGCTTATAGGAATGCAAAATGGTACAGCCACTTTGGAAGATGGTATGGCAGTTTCTTATAACACTAAACATACTCTTACCATATGACTCAGATGTCACACTCTTTGGTGTTCATCCAAGTTAACTGAAAACTTACCTCCACAAAAAACCTGTGCAAGGATGCTTATAGCAGCTTTATTTTTAATTGTCAAAACTTGGAAGCAACCAAGATGTCCTTCAGTAGGTAAATGAATAAATAAACTGTGGTTCATGTAGACAATGGAATATTACTCAGCACTAAAAAATGAGCCATCGAGCCATGACAAGATATGGAGGAGCCTAAATATATATCAGTAAGTGAAAGAAGCCTGTCTGCAAAGGGAACGTACTGTATGATTCCAACTATATGACATTCTAGAAAAGGCAAAACCATGAAGACAGTAAAAAAGATCAGTGGCTTCCAGGGACTGAGGAGAGGGAGGGGTGAACAGGCAGAGCACAGAGAAATTTTAGATAGTGAAACTATTCTGTATGACACTATAAGGATAGACACGTCATTCTACATTTGTCAAAACCCATAAACATACAGCACCAAGAATGAACCCTAATGTACACTATAGACTTTGAGAAATAATGATATGTCAATGTAGGGCCATGGATTGTACCAAATGTATCACTGTGGCGGGGAATTTTGGTAGTGGGGGAGGTTGTGTGTATGTGGCGTGGGGAGAAGGTATATGAGAACTCTATACTTTCCACTCAACTTTGCTGTGAACCTAAAACTTCTCTAAAAAAAATAAAAGTTTAGAACAGGCATGGTGGTTCACGCCTGTAATCCCAGTACTTTGGGAGGCCGAGGCAGGCGGATCACGAGGTCAGGAGATTGAGACCATCCTGGCTAACACGGTGAAACCCCATCTCTACCAAAAATACAAAAAATTAGCTGGGCGTGGTGGCGGGCGCCTGTAGTTCCAGCTACTTGGGAGGCTGAGGCAGAATGGCGTGAACCCGGGAGGAGGAGCTTGCAGTGAGCCAAGATCACACCACTGCACTCCAGCCTGGGCGACAGAGCAAGACTCTGTCTCAAAATAAATAAATAAATAAATAAATAAAAGTTTATTTTAAAAAGCCACTGTGGCGGGCCAGGCATGGTGGCTCATACCTGTAATCCCAGCACTTTGGGAGGCCAAGGAAGGTGGATCACTTGACCCAGGAGTTTGAGACCAGCCTGGGCAACATGGTGAAACCCTGTCTCTACAAAAAAATACAAAAACTTTCCGGGTGTGGTGGGGAACACCTGTAGTCCCAGCTACTCAGGAGGCTGTGGTGGGAGGATCACCTGAGCCTCGGAGGTCAAGACCGCAGTGAGCCATGATGCACTCAAGCCTGGGTGACAGACCAAGACCCTGTCTCAAAAGAATAAAAATTACTGTGGCAGCAGAGAACTATTTCTTCATTTAATTATCAGTTAAAGAGTATAACGATTAACTCAACGTGTGGCTTGCCCTAAGTGGAGGGCTTTTCTCTGTATTGTTGAAGAGGCCACTTTCCAAAAAGGACCCAATTAAGTTCCATCATCCATCATACTTCTTTGGGTTGAGGCCCTAAAGTCCTGTGCATGAAAGCAAAAACCCATAAGGAGGCAACACGGGAAGTAATTACAGACCATTAACACCTTAGTAAACTGGCTAGGGGCCCCCACATGGTATTGAAGGATGGCATGGAGGTCCCGTAGGTTTTCACGAAGGGGAATTAGCCTATTTTCTTCTTCTGCTCTGAATGCAGGATAAATGTAATATATAGATAGAAAGAAAATCTGGTTCTCTGGATAGTCGACCATTCACCCCAGGCAGACAAAAGGTTTTCCAGGGAACCAATGCGGTCAATATGAAACTTGTCCTTACAGTGTGGAAAAGCTTCCAGCATGGGCTCTGTTCTGGATGGCTGGGCTCATATGGGGACGGCAGAGAAAACGGCACTTTTTCTCTTAGTGTAGTGGCCCTTTCTGGTTATTACAGTAAAAAATGACAGTGTGTACCATGTCTAACACATTTCCAATTAGCCAGACTTTATTCTTTACACTAGCATAAATAACACCTAAATAATTTTGAAAACAAAATATTTTGAAATAACATTATTACTAGTAAACCAGCCACAGGATTTTAAAAAGCCAAGCCACACTTCCATTTTTGGCCCACATTAATATAAGACGCTTCTCCTCCTAGCTTCTTCTGAATGTCTGCCTTCAAACTTTTCTCTCTGTTAACATCTTCCATTCCCTGAAGGAAAACAGGACATGATGAACTGTTTTACACTTTTGTTTACATTTTTGTATACACTACGGAGCTGCCCCTGTTTGTCTTCATCCCCGCAAAATACCCTCATCTGAAAAGAGCAAAGGCTCCATATGATCATAATAAAACCTAAGTCCTCTGCAGGATGAACGGAGCACCAAGAGGCTCTTTTCAAATTACACCCACCATATTAAAAAAAATTGAAAGATCCCAATATCTTTTTTCCTTCCCTTGGCTACACTCATAGCCCCCTCCACCATGGAGAAATAGCAAAAGTGATGTGCTGTTAACTAACAGGAGCATATGATTATTCCTCATGTCTCATGGGGTAGAAACACTGCAAACTGCTGGGATTTACAGTCTATCTACGGGTTTGTTTCCAAAAAGTCAGGAACTGGTTATGTCATTGACTGTTGGAGGCAAGAGAACAATGAGCTGTAACCCAAAGACCACAGCCTCTCTACCAGTACGTACCTATCCTGTTTCTTAATTTATCCAAATGCATCTCATTCCCTTTTTTTCTCAGCTTACCAGTAAGATGACTTGGATAAACAGACACCAGACACTCATCCATTCCACTCCTAGGTGTATCCCTAAGAGAATGGAAAGCATGTGTCCTCACTGGAACTTGTATGTAAATGTTGTTAGCATTTGGTAGCCTCATTCTTCTCAGTTTCCAAAAAGTTTAAACAACCCAAATGTCCATCGACTGATAGGCAGATAAACAAACTGTGCTATATATTTACAATGGAATATTATTTGGCCATAGAAAGAAAGAAAGTACTGGTGAACACAGTAATGCTGAGTGAAATCAGAAGTCAAACACGAAGGACACACATTGTATGATTCCATTTACATGAAATGTTCAGAAGAGGCAAATCCATAGAGATAGAAAGTAAATTAGCCCCACTGCCTACGGTAGTGTGTGCTAATGGATATTGGGGTTCCTTTTCAGGGGGTAAAAATGTTCTGAAGTGAGATAGTGGTGATGGTTACACAACTCTGTGAATATGCTGAATTGTATACTTTAAAAGGTTGACTATTATCATATGTGGATTATATCTCAATTTTAAAAAGAAAGAGAAATGAGACATCAAGATAAGTCCTGGTGTACCTTTTCTATGTGTTCTTGAAGTCTCTTGTTCCAAAATGTTATTGCAATGCCTTCACATATTGATTTCAGAATAGAAGAAGAAGCAAACTATTAGAACTATTAATAGTCTTTTCTTCAAAAATCCTGTTCAATTCTGCCCGTCCACAGGGCACTGAAGTGAGTACATACCAGAGAGCTGCTGAAAATCCACTACTCACAACCATAAGTACACAGGATTCATTTTCAGAACAACTTTTAGCTTTGGAGGCTTTCTTTAAAAGCTACATTATATTTATTAATGCCTAAAATATTGCTCTTATCAAAATTAGTATATCATTATATGTCATAACAATTATACTGATTTTTTTTTGTTAATACATAATAGTTATACATCTTTTGGGGGGACATGTGATATTCTGACACATGCATACAATGTGTAATGATCAAACCAGGACAACTGGGACACCCATCACCCCAAACATTCACCTCTTCTTTATGTTGGGTCATCATGGAAGCTTCTCAAATCAACAGTCTTACAAAAAAGAGATTGACTGCACTAGATTGTGTTTTTGTCTATTCAATGTTCAGTCTTTTTTTTTTCTCCTTGGAATACAAAGTGCTCTGTGGTCTCCTATTTAGCGTCTGGGAGTGAATTAAAAGCAATTCTTGGTGATGGTTATTTGGAAACACTCTAAAGGCTACTGTTTACCATCCAGTGTGAAAAGCTATTTCCAACTGGTGAATAGCCACTCATACTTCTGGCATTATTTTTATTTTTTAAATTCAGAGCTTTTTTGCTTTTTTTGCTGGATGTGATGTGTGTGTGTGTAACGCTGGGAGAAGCAATTTTAATTTCAAACTAGTACAGTGCTACTCATGTCTAAACCACCAAAACAAAGCAAGCACCATAAATCATAGAAGATAATCAGCAAACTGACATTTATATATTTCAAGTTTTGTAAAAATAGAGATGAAATAACTAAAGCACAAAGAGTAGATGAGAAAAATTAAGTTACAACATTTTCTCATTCTTTCCAATGTTCCCTCTTTTTAAAGCTCAGCTCTGCTTTTGAAATTTTTGAAGACAAACACTAAAGGTACAAAGATTGTTAAATCACAGATGTATGTATATGCCTAGGAAAGCCACTTTCCACCTCTTGAGCCTCCCTTTCATTATAAGAAAGGAGTTGGGTTAAATAATAACTGACATTTGTGCAATGATTGTTTTTAGTGTATACTTTCACAGACATTATCTATTTCAATGTCCACATCATCCTTATTTTACAGATAAGGAAATTGATGCATAGACAAGGTGAGTATCTTGTCAACAATAATGATGCCAGTGTAGAGAAGCTGGACTTGAATTTGGTTTTCTGATTCCAAATTTTATCATTGTTTCACCACACCACGCCGTCTAGCATCTCACAAACTCACTACCGAATCTAAGTGAATTGAGGGCATATGTATAATACATGAGAATAGTTATCTATGCTTTAAAAACCCAAACTCTATTATCTTAATTCTTTAGATCCATCCGGAGCTCAATAGAGGACGCTGAGTGTCCTTGGGGCTGAGAGATTACGATATCACATCTGATGAGAAAATTGCTTATCCCTACCATCCCACCAATGAATAGTGCAGAAAGCTAGGATCAGTGTCCTTTACTTGCCATTAGATGGACATCACATCCAAATGACTCCCACTGAGGGAACGAGTGTCTTCAGTCCTAGGAAATGTAGAGCACACTCAAACATGAAAATCATGCATAAGCTCACCCTCCTTCAAACAAATGAACAGTCAGTCAACCACGGTCAAAATCTGAGAGCAAAGCTAAATGTTCATGACAGGACACGGTTAAATAAATTATGTAACTGTTAAAAAATTATGAGATATACTGTTAAATGAGAAAGCAAGAGGCTGAAGAGTATATTTTCCTTCCATTTATATTTTGAAAAGGTATTTACATACCAGCGCATATAGGTACATGGGAAACTGCATGGTAGATTCACAAGGGGATTAGAACTGAGATCTGGAGTGGGCAGGAGACATGCTTTGCAAACAGACCTTGTGTGATGTTTCAATTTTTCATGCAAAAACAAATAACAAAAATTTACTTCTGATAGCAACAGAAGCATTGCTAAGAAAACCCTTTTCTACTAGATTCCTCCCTCACATTGCTATAAATTTTAATTGTCAGTCCTACTGACCATGAAAAGACTAAGAAATAATATTAAAAGATCAAAACCTTTAGCTTTACAAACCCCTGATGGCAACAATGCAATACATGTTAGTCACATGCCAGGTCCAACTTTCTCATCTGATTAAAACCATGAACGATTCCTGTCTCTAAATGTGATACCACAAATCTTAAAGATAGTCTCAGAATATCCAATCTGGAGAGAAGTCCCTCTTCAGTTTTGACCGATTGATTACTAACCAAAGACTCTTTCTTCTTCTGCTTGCATCCAAAACAGTAAAACCTGCACCAGGACTTTTTCATAGGTTAAAACTCTAACAAACTCAGGAAAATCAAACCAAGCCATTTGCGCTAACAGCTGAATTCTATACCAATCATCTTCACTAAATCACCAAGCATTATCATTCCTCTTTATTAATGACTAGTTCTTTAAAATTTTCAAGATGGAGTCAGAATAGTTTAAGTGGAATATGAGTGGACCTACACTGGGACACTTTCTGTGGGTCTCCTACCAAGCTGGGGTTGGAGGTTTTCTCTGTGCTCCCAGATCACTCTGCCCAAGTCTTTTTCAAACACAGTCACAAACCACCTTCCAGATTCTGCCACACTCATGGTCCACCCATGTGATTATTTCTTTTTTTTAATATATATATATTTATTATACTTTAAGTTCTAAGCCATGTTATTATTTCTTTAACACTGGTCTTTAAATTGGCTTACTTCCTTTTAGTGAAACACTTGTGAGATAATGATCTGATCGTTAGTTATGTTTTGTAATATACAACTGACCTTTGTGCAACTTGAGGGTTGTGAGTACCAGTGCCCTGTGCAGTTGAAATCCATGCATAACTTTTGACTTCTCCAAAACTTAACTACTAATAGCATTCTGTTGACTGGAAGCCTTACCAACAACATAAACGACTGATGAACACATATTTTGTTTGTTATATGTATTATATACTGTATTCTTGCAATAAAGTAAGCTAAGCTAAAAAAGTTATTAAGAAATCATAAAAAAGAGAAAATACATTTCCAGTACTGTGTTGTGTTTATCAGCGCATCAACTGTTTACAAGATGAATCATCTGTATGAAATGGCGGCAATCACAGAGGCAGACTTCAACCTACGGTACATATCAAGTAATTTCATAGCTTTTCTTGTAATTGCATAGCTTTTTTCTGCTTCTTGGCAGCACTTCCAGCATCACTAGTGCACTTTGAATGGGTCCCACAGTGTTATTCAAAGTTTACAGTGTTGCACTAAACATGATGAAAAATACATCAGAACTTTAAGAGATCACTTTTTACTGTGATGTAATTTCCTGGAGAGACAACTGTTCACGTGGAGGTGATTAGCGTTATGCAGTGTTTTAAGTGGATAATCAGAACACTTGTGCTCACTACAATAACAAGAGGTAGCTATGAAATTATTACAGTAGGTGCAGCATGCAGTACAATTAATTTATGCCATTATAATTTAATACTGCATCTTTACATGTGTTTAATTTCCCTAAACTGTGACTGGCGTCATATATAGTTTGATGTGTTCATGTGCATAAGTTTTAGTAAATTTTAACTACTTTTTTTTTTTTTTTTTTTTGAGACAGAGTTTCACTCAGCAGCCCAGGCTAGAGTGCAGTGGTACAATCACAGTTCACTGCAGCCTCGACCTCCAGGGCTCAGATGATTCTCCTTCCTCAGCCCCCCAAGTAGCTGGGACTACAGGTACCTGCTGCCAAACCCAGATAATTTTTGTATTTTTTTGTAGAGATGGGGTTTTGCCACGTTTCCTAGGCTGGTCTTGAACTTCTGAGCTCAAGCAATCTACCCTCCTCAGCCTACCAAAGTGCTGGGATTACAGGTGTGAGCCACCAGGCCCGGCCTAATTTTTATTTTAACTTTTCATAATAGATTCATGTATATTTTATGGTAGTAAATAATAACATACATAGTATTGACATATGTTTTATGCATTCATGACATACCTTTTTATTAACTTTTCCAATATTTCTAGGCTACATCTTTCATCTGTGAGTTTTTCCAAATTGTTGCAAATTTACAGAAAAGTTTTCAATATATTTATTTTTAAAAATTCATGTATAAGTGGACCCACTTGATTTAACCCATGTTGTTTAAAGATCAACTGTATATTCCATCCAAGATGTACATATTTAAACTAAACCAAAACAAGCTCATCTCACATACTGGGCACTTTGGGAATCATAGTTGTTCTTTTACAATTATGCAGTTACATATATCCACTCACCTTCATACGATTATCTCTAGTTTAGATGATGGTTGTTTCATCTCCCAGCTCTTGCAATAAGCCGAGGTCCTAAATGAATGACTGAGAGAATGCATGCATGTGTGGGTGCCTGTAAGCAAGCAGTAAATATGAATATCTCTCACTATCCAAATTTTTGCTCTCTGGAATCTGAAGCTGAATGTATTTAGATAAACTTTTGTATAAATTCTTTGCTATCAAAACTCATGTTACTTGCTATCTGAAATTCAGGAACCAAATGGCTTTGAACAACTTGTAAGCCTTGCTATCCAACCTTGCTTGCTTCCTGGACTTGGCCTAAAATGTATTGCTTTCATTTTCGTATTTAAAACCCATGCAGCTCTCTCAGTTCCTCTCCACTAAATAGAAGCCTCACCTTTTTTGCAGTGCCAGCCTCCTCACCTTGTCATGACTGTAAAAGCTGGATTAAATGGGCTTGTCTATATTGGGTGCCTAGTTACCAGGCTGCTTCCAAAGTGGATACTGTGGCCATCAGTGACTCCTTCCTTGACCTCAGCAATAGGGACTACGTGTCCAGAAATGATTCTACCCATGGCAAGTTCAACGGCATCATCAAGGCTGAGAACAGTAAGTGCAGTCAATTGAAATCCTACCTTCATTTTCCAAGTTCAAGATCCCCCCAACATCAAATGGGGTAACATGATGTTGAATACATCATAGAGCCCACCGCACTCTTTACCGTCTTAGACAAGGCTAGCAATCACTTGAAAGGTGGAAGCAAAGGGTTATTATTCCTATCACCTGCGCCAATGCTGCTGTGCTCAGAATGGGAGAGAACTGTGAAGATGACAACTCCTTCGAAATTGTCAGCAATGTCACCTGCATACCAAGTGCTTGACTCTCCTGGCAGAAGTCATCGATGATGACTGTGCTAACGTGGAGGAATCTCAGACCACAGTCCACGCCATCACTGCTCCCCACAGATCATGATTACTCCTCCAGCAAGCTGTAGTGTCATGTCAGTGGTCATTATCTCTCAATCCCTGGCCCTGCCAAAACTGTGTGCAAGACAACCCCTGAGTTGAACGGAGAGTTCACTGATTTGGCTTTCCAAGTCCCCACCGCTGGTGTGGAAAGTGTGTTGAGAATGAGATTTGCCATCTGGAGAAAGGTGCCAAATATAATGACATCAAGGAGGCAATGAAGCAAGCATCAAGGGCCCCTGGAAGAGCATCCCGGGCTACATTCAGGACCAGTTGGTTGCCTTTGTGACAACCACTATCCCATTTTTGATCTGGGGAGGGTATTGCTCTCAATGATCACTTAATCAAGCTGTTTTTTTGGTATGACCATAAATCTGGCCATAGGAATTGACTGGGGGGATCTATCTTATGGTCTGTGTGACCTCTGAGGTGTAAGAGTCCTGGAGCACTCACCCCAGCAAAAGTATGAGAGGGAGAGTGAGGCCCTCGGTCACTGAGGAATTCTTGCCCCAATTCCACCCCAACACATTGAGAACCTTCCTTTCTCTCTATACAGGTCCCATCCAAGACCCATGAAGAAGGAAGGACCTGAGAGTCTTCCCTTGTTGAATACCATTGCTGCCATCAAGAAAATTTCCACTGTGTACAATGCGGGTGCAGTTAAGAAAATAAAACACATGGAGACACATGAAATAGACATTATAATCACTGGCATTATAATCCTACACACTATACTGAAAAAAAAGCATGATGGCCTGTAATTTATACATTGATTCAAAGCAATTATTACCAGGGACTTGAGATCTTTGTCATTTCGCCATGGGAACAGCCCTACAAGTGGGTCTCACATGTCCCTTGAAGGTGGATTTGAATACTGAAAGAAAGTGAACCTATACAAATAAATCTACGCTCTTAACACTTTAAAACAAGAATTCACCATGCTCTCTTCCCTTTATTTTAGCCTTAATATGTTTGAAATATTTCATAACATATTTAATAAAATTTAAATTCATCGTCATTTTAACATATAGTTTTAGCTACAACCGAAGGACTTTCTGATCATCCCTCGTCCTTAGCAACAACGCTCTTGGTTTTCACCCTTTTTGGTTCTATTATTTGGTTGTTTTTCCTGAATGGGCTACATAATCTAAATAGAGATCTTTTTGTCAGGAACATACAGTTTCAGTATTTCCTTAGGCCTCCCAAAGCTCAATGTTCAACAGCAGGTGATTAGAGTAAAAGGATAGTCTAGGTGATGTCCTCAGAATGGGTAACTTTTCTTCAATTAGAAATAAACCAGTTATACATTACTTAACAACCAGCCTAAAACGAAGACCTAGAATACTTCAAGTTCTTATTTCTTCCTATTCACATTTTTAAAAGGCAATGCAACTCTCTAATTGAGGCAGTGTTAAAGGGTAGAATTTCGTACACGGTGTAAATGTTCTCTCAGGAATGGTGCCATTTCCAATATAAACCATTCCTGATGTTAGCATCCAGGATGAGCTGCCATTTCCCCCAGCACTGTTGGCTTTAGCAACAGCAAGCTAGAGCTTCTCAGCATGGTGTATTGATAATAAGCAGCTGCTGCCTTTATCCAAACCATCACTTATATGTGTACCTGCACAGGAGCCATTTAGATGTTAGAAATCAACATTGTGAACAGCAGCCTATCTACAGCGCATATTATAAAGAAATATAGGTTGAGCATCCCTAATCTGAAAATCTGTAATCCAAACTCCAACATCTTTTGAATGTTGACATGACATTTAAAGGAAATACTCATGGGAGTTCTTCACATTTTAGATTTTCAGATTAGGAATGCTAAATGCAAATATCCTGAAATCTGAAAAAATCTGAAATCCAAAAAAATTTGAAAACCAAAACACTTCTGGTCCCAAACATTTTGAATAAGGGATACTCAATTTGTATGGAGTATGCCTGGCAATAATTCAAGGACAGCAATAGTCTTTACCTTCAAAGGATCCTGGCTATTTTCAAATTACTCCAGAAAGTCACTCTTATTTTTCTCTCCATAGATGTAACAAGAAGGGGATATGGTTTAAATCTAAATTATAAACTTACGTAATTTTCTCAAGACATTGTAATGTATATATCCTGATTCCTGGTGGTTTCAAAAAGTTTAACTGGGAAAATTTCCCAACTTACCTAGGCCAATTTCCTTACTTCACACATATTTTACAAAATCAGTTCTATCACTTGTATTCTATGAGTGTGCCTAACAAATGGGAAAATTTGTGAGGGTGGCATAAGGAATATCTGTCCAGACTTTTCTTAAAACTCTGGTCATTCTAGTGGTACCCAGGTAAACTTGTGTTTCACCATAAAGATTGAGAAAGCATTTGTCTTAAAAATGATAATCATAAAAACAAATGTTTTTACCTGTCTTCTCCAACTGCCACCATCATAAAAAACCCCAACCCTTAACAAAACAAAAACAACTCTGTAGACTATTTGGATTTTTCTAATATGTCTCACAATTTGTGGGGAAAAAGTTTAGTTGAAAAAAGCATAGATATTAAAGTGAGATTCAGTCTCAGTATATCTTGGGGTAGAGATCTAGCCTCAGAGAGTATCTATTCTTGACTTACCCTGAGACAAGAGAAAATGTGAACGCACCTCACTCACCTGTCCTTCTATGGCAGTGTCTGTTTATGAGGAAGTCTCCTGATGAGGTGAGGTCAGGTCTGCCATTTTGCTGACCAAGAGTCTGATTTTAGGCTCAACATCATTAACATCGAACACCTAATTTTTCAGGCAACTGCCCACTCTCCTTACACATTTGGTCAGAGTTGGGTCATTTCATGTTAAGCTCCTGTAAAAAGACAGCTTTTGAGGTTTGAGAACCTCCCTATGTAGTGAGCTGTTAGAGCTAGAAGTCACCTCAGTGGGTCTGTCACAGGTTTTTGTTCTTAATAGAATTCAGAAAAGATCTAAGTGGTGATCACTCAAAAAAAAATAAGTAAGATTTATTTCTGGAGAGATTAAAGACTCCAAGAAGCCAGGCAGCAGCAACCTCATCTGTCCAGGTTCAGAATGACAGTCACTGAGCTCCTGTCCCATGAACAGTTAGCTGGACTGCAGGAAGGAAACCTGGATTTATGAGGCAGGCTCAAGTGACTCCTGCTCAAGCCCTAACACACTTGTGCACTTGTTCTAAGGGTCTTTGGTTGAGAAAGCCCACGGGTCACAGGCTTTCTGTTTGTCTGAATTTGGTTCTCTTTAAAAAAGACCAAATCTCCCCACTTTACTTACAGTGGCAGGTAAATTAACATTGAACCAAATGGTGGTAAGAACAGCAGATGATTGTCTCCAAACCCTCAGGTCTGAGTTCTTTGTCTCCAAAGGCTGATATTGCTGGTTCTATTTCCTCACGCTAGAACAACTGCACACACGTAGGGGGAAGCACCATTTCATGGTGAAATGCTTTGCTACGAAGCAGTCCATGAGCAAACTGAATTACCAGTTAAGATGCTTGGAAGGAAATGGAGAGCTGAGGAAATGCACGAGCATAAAAACTCAATATGAAGGCTAACAAAGTTATGGGAGCCATAATCACAGGATGCAGGGAAGAAAATTCACTTAAAGCAGACAATGCCAGTTTTCAGTGAGGGTGCCCTGGATGTGTATCTGCTAATCTGGGGGAACAGCCAAATGGACTCTTCCATTTTTTCACACAACATATGTTTCCATTCTCAGTTTGATATCACAGGCTATTGCTATCCACACTGGAAAAGCCAATTTCATACTCTTTCCAAACAACTGCCAACACGGTGACCGTCAGCAGGGTGGCTTCCAACAATGTGTGGCAAACTAAGTCCAAAGTCTAGAGAATGAGTGCACTATCTTCTTAAACACCCTCAAACTGGCTGTGTTTGTAACAATACCCCCACTTACTCCTCATTGCTCCCTCCCTTTTTTCTGGTTATTGCTTCTCCTTCAAAACTGAAAACGAGACATCCAGCTGGAAGTCAGAATCAAGACCGTCATGACTGAACTGCTTCCCTCCGTGCTTCCAGCCCCCACTCACCCCTCCATCCCAGTGGTGCACCATCACTACCACTGAGAACCACAGTCTCACATCTCACTGTATCATAATACTGGTTCCAACTTTAAGATTTAACCTCTCTCCTAGGAAATTTCTCAACCTTCTTCCTTATGTGACAGAGTATCCAAGCCTGGAAGCACAGGTGGTGGCTGTCATACCTCTGGGATGAACACCACTCAGCCAGACTCACTGAAAGAACAATTCTTTTGGCCTTAATGCATAATTCTTCCTGCTGGTAACACCCTTCTGCCAACCAAAGGGTTCAGCTGTACTTCTAGTCAGGCCCAAGGTGAGAACTTAACGTTGTAAGTTCCAGTCCAGAACACTGGCAACCTGACTCTTTGGGCCCTTCTGCCTGGGGACCTCTGGTCTAGTCAGTTCCATGGAAGGCCTTATTTAGGGTAAACATGAAGACATTTACATTTAGAGCTCAACCACAAACAGGCAACTCACCATCTCCTTAATGAAAAGGTTCTAAAAACTCACATGACACTGAATTGGAAAAGCTTCCAGCCCATCATCTATGGACATTGTTTCCTTTGCATTTTGGTTGCAAGATGTCTTTCCTCAGAAAGACTGTCTTTCCCCCAATGCCCCAACTTGTGTTTCCCCCAATGCCCCAACTTGTGTTTCCCCCAACACGTCCTCTTTTCTGCTTCCTCCTCCTCTTTGGCAATAAGGCTTCATTATAAGGTTTCTCCCAGGTAGAAAGAACATGCTCTCATGCCCTGGGGTTAGATGACTCTCCTTCTAAACAGCCAGTCTTTGAGTAGGAGGGGAGAAGAATCCTGGAGTCCTCTGCCTGATGCCAGTTCACTGCAGGGAGCAGGGGAGCAGGCTGGCCGAGCACGGGCAAAGTGTAGGAGAGAAAGCAGGGAGCCATTGATTTTCCACTTGGCCAGTGAGTGATTAACTCTGCTCCATTAGGAGGGGTGGTTGATCACACCATCAACACCTCTCAAACCTTCACATAACCTCCCCATGACCCTTTTTAATGAGAAAGTCTTGGCTGGAGCCTGTCAGAATCTGCCTTCGGGGCAAACAGGCACATCCCTACTCTGTGTAATGTCCACTTTCCACTGTAAGGCTGAGGTTCAGCAATGCTGACAATGGAAGTCTTTACAGAATCCGTGTTTGATGAAATGTCTTACCAGATTTGAATTAGAGGACATGTTTTGTTTTAAAGATGAAAAGACCAATTCAAAGATGGCTTTGTACTTTTTAAAATTTAGCTGTCTTCTCAGAAGTCTTGCTTGCTGGAGAATTTAGACTTCTGAGAAATACTGGTTTCCATATGAACACAGAAATCAACCAGAAAGGATGATGGTACATTTCAAACATTCTAAACTCACCATAAACAATTTAAATAGGAGTTATAAGTAAATTATAAGTAAAGTCAGTCCTGTACACAAACACCTCCTCTGAAAGGCCTTCTCTGACCACCTCACTTAACACGGCATGCCTCTCATCACTCTCTCCTCATATCCTATTTCTGTTTTTCTTCACACAACTTTATACCCTGCCTGCATTTAGACTATATATTTTTATTTTATCAGCCTCATCTTCACTCTGAGTGGATGCTCTGCCTTTGTGTGGCCCAGAGTCTGGAACAGTATCTGGCAGCTTAACTGCTCAAAAATTTTTTTTTTGAAAAAAAAATTCATTCATTCATTCATTCATTTCTTTAAATGTTCGGAATACAACATTTGTTTTGAATGAATGAATGAATGAATGAATGATGCCTGTTGAGATTCAGTGATCCTTTAGTAATTAATGTTTTCTTTGGGCCGGGAGACCATGTTGGCTTCTTCAAATGTCCCAGATATATTGGCTGCCATTAAAAAAATGGAATGCTCCATGAATTGACATGTCATCCTTGCTGAGGGGCCCTGTTAATCTTCTCTGTATCATTCCAACTTTTAGTATATGTGCTGCTGAAGTGATCATAGTAATTAATGTTAATAGCATCATAGTATACAGAGTTGAGGGCACCTCATCCAACCTCTGCTTATTATATATGAGAGAACCCAAGTCTTAATCAGTGAAGTAACAATCCATGATCTCAGGGTGAGTTGATGGTTGAGGCAACACTGAACTCAGGTCTCCCAAAGGGGCTACACTCTCTGCAATCACAAAAGGAGACTGAGAAGGGGTCCTGTGTGAAGTAACTCAGGAGCCTGTGGTCTCCTGGAAGCTTCTAGAAGAAAGTCATTTCTACCACTGCTGGGTCATATTGGCTTCTCTTACTCCTCCACAGGATAAGTTTTCTCCTGCTTTGAGATCTTCTTGGCCTGGGACTCTCTCCCCCAGGGGCCTCATGAGGCTGGCTCCTCATCCGTCAAGACTTAAGTTAAAGGAAACTGGTACAAAGTGCCCCTCTCCAACCACCTTCTCTAAAGTAGGTTTCTGCTCTTCCCTCATCACATCCTAAACAGTAGTTGTACAATATTTAATTCCTGTATTGATTACTTGTTATTGTCTGTTTTGCCTGCATGTGAACCCCAGAGCAGGATGGAGTCTGTCTTGTACATTGCTTAATCTGTACCACTTGACATAATAATGTACCAATGGCATAATCTGTACCACTTAGCACATAGTAGGCCCTTGCCAAGTGTTTGTTAAATGAATGAACAAATGACTAAATACATTTAAAGGTTGTTGCTCACCAATTACAAGGTTAAGAAAGAGATCTGCTAGGTGCGGTGGCTCGTGCCTGTAATCCCAGTGCTTTGGGAGGCCAAGGCAGGTGGATCACTTGAAGTCAGGAGTTTGGGACCAGCCTGGCCAACATGGTGAAACGCTATCTCTACTAAAAATACAAAAATTAGCTGGCTGTGGTGACATAGTCCCAGGAGACCCGGGGAGGCAGAGGCAGGAGAATCACCTGAACCTGGGAGGCGGAGGTTGCAGTGAGCCGAGATTGCACCATTGCACTCCAGCCTGGGCGACAGAGCAAGACTCCGTCTAAAAAAAAAAAAAAAAAAAAAGAAGAAAGAGATCTGACACTCTTTTCAAAAAGCAAATAAAGTTGGTTTCTGGTTTAAAGACTCCTGAGCAGTTCAGGAATGTGTAGAATTTCTATTTTCATCCTGCAAACACCTTGAGATAACCTTGGCCAAATTTGTTTCCCAACTTTCCATCAGGGCTAATGGGGAGCCATTCCATTAAGATGGAAACCATTCCATTTTAAAAAGAACCTCTAGGATGCTACTGTAGTACTTTATAGATGTTCTCCATATATCTTTATCATCCTGAACTGCAATGACCTCTTTACATGGGTGCTTCTGTAGGGGACATCTCTTAAATCACTTTTGTAGAAATAGCCTTTATTTATGTTACCCAATATTTATTTATTGAATTGCTGCCAGATGCCAGGTTCAAGAAGCAATAAGAAACCAACTGGGAGGGAATGCAGACACAGGAGGCAGAGTGGCTTTTCTAGAGATGATGACTGCACTGAGACTTAGCAGGAATGGTGAGAGCATGAAAGGCAGAGGAACACCAGAAAAGGAGCACAAAGTAGAATATGTACCTACTGGATATGTAGGGCATGGCGGGGGGGTCTCACCAGAGATAAGAACAGACAGGGGAAAGGGCTAGAGGTGGAGATTGAGGCAGAAGTCTGACTGTGAGAGACCTTGTAGGTAATTTTAAGGTGCTTAGACATTACATGTTTTTAAAAGTTCACATCTGCATTTGAGATAGATCACTAAATGCTGTGGGGAGGATGGATTTGAAGGTATAAGACTAGCTCGAGGGAGACTGATGAGAACATCTACTGCAATAGTGCAAAATAAAGATGACGCAGGCCTGAATGGAGGGAATGTTTCCAGAAATGTTCAGAATACAAAATTTCCAGGGTCCATACAAGGTAAGTCTTTATTAAATGAATAAATGCAACAACCCTGGCTCCCTGGAGAATAAGACTCTGCTTACTACTTTGGAAAGCGTCTCAAACTGAGAAGTGAAGACCTCATGGACGGGAACTGTTTTACATCTGTGTTTCATGTTGTCGTGTGTTAACAGACATCTCCACAGGCAGGCACAAGTACTGTAGGGTGGAACTCTGTGCTTTATTTATTTATTATCTTTGTCAAATAAAAAGCAAATCTGGATTTAGGTAAGGAGAGATGCCATTCGAAAGGATTCTTGCACGAAGGGAGTCGGGGCACTATGTGACACGGAGACCAAGAGGTCTGCAAGTGTCTTGAATGTAAAGGAGGAACGGGCATTTCTATTACTTAGGGAAGAATGAACAAGGCTCAGGAGAACTGGATGTGGGGAAGTGAAATGGAAGGTGAAGGTGGGTCAGGATACTAAAACCATGTGTACCCTGACGTCAGCCTATTCTGTGTGGTAAGGGTGGGTCAAAGTTCAGGGGTCTATAGATGGAGAGAAACTTAATTAGAGTTTGGTCAAGTCAAGGTGGCAGGTATTTTGTACAGACTGACCAGGGGGTACAGAGTTCAGCTAATCATTTATGAGCCAAAGAATGGGAATTTGGAGAGTCTGTGTCTGGCCTTGTCACTAATAAACAAGGGAGGCATCTGTGGGTCTTATCTGAGCCACAGGGAGAAGGTGGGGGTTCCTTGTAGTAAATCCTTTCTTGGAACACAAAAAAGAGTGGGAGGATTATCTTCATGGTTTCTGTTTTCTAGCAGCATAGAGAGCTCAAGTAAAATTCAACAAGGCCATTTTTCTTCCTCTCATTTTTAAGCCAAGAGATCTTGAGGATATTCTCTAACAGTTTTTCATTTGCAGGAGAAAATTTGAATATAAAAGGACTTCGGTGCAGATAGATTTTTTTTTAATTTTTATTTTTTTGAGACAGGGCCTTGCTCTGTTTTCCAGGCTGGAGTACAGTGGCATGAATATGGCTCACTGCAGCCTCAACCTCCTGAGCTCAGGTAATCCTCCCACCTCAGTCTCCCGAGTAGCAGGGCCCACAGGCACATGCCACCACACCTGACTAATTTTTTAATGTTTTGTTGAGATATGGACTCACTTTGTTGCCCAGGCTGGTCTCAAACTCCTGGCCTCAAGCAATCCTCCCACCTCAGCCTCCCAAGGTGCTGGGATTACAGGCATGAGCCACCATGCCTGGCTAGGTGCAAATAATTTAAAGTAAGCTCTGACATTAGCAAACTCCTTCAGGTTTTCAAACCACCAGCAACTTTTGTTTTTGTTTTTGTTTTTGTTTTTGTTTGAGACAGAGTCTCACTCTGTCACCCAGGCTGGAGTGCAGTGGCGCGATCTTGGCTCACTGCTACCTCCACCTCCCGGGTTCAATCAATTCTCCTGCCTCAGCAACTCTTATATTTTAAGGGAAAGTTAAAGAAAAGTCTCCAGAAACTTTCTGAGAGACTAATGCTAGGCAAGGCCATGACTTCTAGCACAGAGAAAAAGACAAACTTCTTTTTAAAATGAAGAGGGGGGAAAAAAGAGAGGTACAGTCTTTGGCAAATGTTTAAATCCTGCTCTCATTGGCCCCATATATCTTACAGTGACTAGTTATACAATTGTTTTGGAGGTTAATTTATGCTCTTGGTTAGCTCCCCTTAGAGAAAGCCTCACGCCAAGATTTTGGATACGTATGTGACTGTGGACCACTTGGTGACTGTCATGGAACTGCACACGCAGGGCCAAGCTGGCGCCCTCGGCATGTCTCATGTGAACACATAGCTATTCAGTGAAGACACAAGTGCAAGTTGGGCAGCCGTGGGCTGGCAAGGTGACCTGGGAGACCACCGCTGCCTCCTCCCAGCATTTCCCTGACTAGTCAGTCTCATTACCCATTTCTCTGAAATTTCATAAGGAGTATATTTGCTCATTCGTGAACATTCTCTCTATCTCTACCGCCTACAGTCCAGCTTTTTGGGCCCTTTCCAAAACTCTTCATTTCCTCCTGTCAAAAGACGAAATTACAACAAATTTAGCTTAAGGATTTTTTTAAAAAATCTTTTTTCTTCCCAGTGCTCAGTGCAGCTGGGATCCTTTGAAAATCTTAATTGGCTTCATTTGCGATTCTAGAATTGGGCAACACTTCATTCCATAAAATAGAAGGAGTGTTCCAATGGGTTCAGCAGAGGAGGCTGGTTTTACAGACAGGGAAGGGCTGAGGAAAGCCAAAACAGAGAACAAAAAGCAGTTTGGTGGTTTTGAAGTTACTTTCCTTGAAAGGTGGGAATAGGGAAATAGAATAATAGAAAAATGACTGATGAGTTGACATCAGGTTGTTCTTTTATAAAGATTAAAACAGAGGGAAATTAATTAGCTTGCCCACTGAAATTGGCCTTTATGGCTATTCTCTCTCAGAAGGTCAAATGAACAGATTAGTCTTGATTTGGTGATGTGGAACTTTAGCATGAGTGACTCCATTTTGGTTTGGTCTGTTGGGCCAAACCAATAGCCTCCTATAAATCTTATGTAACACTCCAAAGAGATCATTAATTTTAGGCCTAACAGTACGATGAAGTAAAAAGAGGGCTGGCTTGAGAATGAGCTCTGATGTTATTAATGTCTCACCTTCAGTTTCATCATACGTAAATGTAGATATTAATGCTTTACAAAATTAATGTTAGACTTAGTTAAGAATACATTTAGGCTGAGTGCAGTGGCTCATGGCTATAATCTCAGTACTTTGGGAGGCCAAGGCGGGAGGACTGCTGTAGTCTAGGAGTGAGAGACCAGCCTTGGCAACAAAGTGAGACTTGTGATATGGTTTGACTCCTTTGTCCTCACTCAAATCTCATCTTGGATGGTAATTCCTGTAATCCACACATGTGGAAGGAGGGCCCAGGTGGGAAGTAATTTGATCATGGGGGCAGTTTCCCCCATGCTGTTCTCGTGATAGTGAGTGAGTTCTCATGAGATCCAATAGTTTTATAAGGCAGTTTTCCCTGCTCTTGCTTCCTCTCTCTCACCTGCCACCTTGTAAGATGTGCCTCTTCCTTTCCCACCATAATTGTGAGTTTCCTGGGGCCTTCCCAGCCATGCAGAACTGTGTGGGTCAATTGAACCTCCTTTGTTTATAAATTACCCAGTCTTGGATAGTATCTTCATAGCAGTGTGAAAATCGACTAATACAGTAAATTGGTACCAAAGTAGTGGGGCACTGCTATAAAGATACTTGGAAATGTGGAAGTGACTTTGGAACTGGGTAATGGGCAAAGGTTGGAACAGTTTGGAGGGCTCAGAAGACAACAGGCAGATGAAGGAAAATTTGGAACTTCCTAGAGAGTTGTTAAATGGTTTTGACCAGAATGCTGATAGTAATATGGACAATGAAGTTCAGGCTGAGGTGGTTCTTATGGAGATGAGGAACATCCTGGTAACTGGAGCAAAGGTCACTCTAGCTATGCTTTAAACAAAGAGACTGCTGGCATTTTGCCCCTACCCAAGAGATCTGTGGAACTTTGAACATGAGAGAGATTATCTGAAATTGGAACTTATGTTTAAAAGGGAAGCAGAGCATAAAAGTTTGGAAAATTTGCAGCCTGACAATGCCATAGGAAAGGAAAACCCATTTTCTGGGGAAAAATTCAAGCTGGCTGCAGAAATTTGCATAAGTAACAAGGAGCCAAATTCTAATTGCTAAGACAACAGGGAAAACGTCTCCAGAGCATGTCAGAGATCTGGGCCACCCATCACAGGCCCAGAGGCCTAGGAGGAAAAAGCGGTTTAGTGGGCAGGACCCAGGGCCTCCCTGTTCTATGCAGCCTCAGGATTTGGTGCCCTGTGTCCCCGCTGATTCAGCTCCAGCTGTGGCTAAAAGGGGCCAAGGTATAGTTCAGGCCATTGCTTCACAGGGTGCAAGCCCCAAGCCTTGGTGGCTTCCACATGGTGTTGGGCCTGTGGGCACACAGAAGTCAAGAACTGAGGTTTGGGAACACCCATCTAGATTTTAGAGGATGTATGGGACTGCCTGGATGTCTAGGCAGAAATTTGCTGCAGGGGTGGAGGCCTCATGGAGAACCTCTGTTAGGGCAGTGGGGAAAGGAAATGTGGGGTTGGAGCCTTTACACAGAGTCCCCACTGGGGCACTGCCTAGTGAGTTTAGGAGAAGAGGGCTACTGTCCTCCAGGCCCCAGAATGGTAGATCCATTGACAGCTTGCACCATGTGTCTGAAAAAGCTGCAGGCACTCAATGCCAGCATACGAAGGAGCTGCCCAAGGCTGTGGGAGCGCACTCTTACGAATGTGAGACATGGAGTCAAAGGAGATCATTTTGAAGCTTTTAAGATTTAATGATTGCCCTGCTGGATTTTAGACATGCACGGGGTCTGTAGCCCCTTTGTTTTGGCCAATTTCTCCCATTTGGAATGAATGTATTTACCCAATGCCTGTACCCCCATTGTATCTTGGAAGGAACTGACTTGTTTTTGATTTTACTGGTTGATAGGTGGAAGGGACTTGCCTTGTCTCAGATGAGACTTTGGACTGTGGATTTTTTGATTAATACTGAAATGAGTTAAGACTTTGGGGGACTGTTGGGAAGGCAAGATTGTGTGTTGAAATATGAGGATGTGAGATTTGGGAAGGGCCAGGGGCAGAATAATATGGTTTGGCTCTGTGTCCCTACTCAACTCTTATCTCAAATGGTAACCCCATAATCTGCACCTGTTGAGGGAAGGACCAGGTGGGAGGTGATTGGATCATGGGGGAGGTTTCCCCGCATGCTGTTCTCGTGATAGTGAGTTCTCATGAGATCTGATGGTTTTATAATGCAGTTTCCTCTACTCTTGCTCACTCTCTCTTGCCTGCTGCCATGTAAGATGTGCCTGCTTCCCCTTCCTCCATGATTGTGAATTTTGCCTCCCCAGCCATGCAGAGCTGTGGGTCAATTAAACCTCCGTTGTTTATAAATCACCCAGCCTCAGGTAGTATCTTTACAGCAGTGTGAAAACAGACCCTGTCTCTACAAAAAAATTAAAAACTTAGCCAGGCATGGTGGTAGCTATCTGTAGTCCCAGCTGCTCAGGAAGCTGAGGCAGGGGGATTTCTTGAGTTCAGGAGTTTGAGGCTGCAGTGAGCTATGATCACAGCACTGCACTCCAGCCTGGGTGACAGATCAAGACTCTGTTTCAAAAAAAAATATATATTTGGAAGTGCTATGCCATCTTAAAGATTATTTTTAGAAATAATAACTGACTCATGGTTCCTAGGGGTGAAAAGCTGGCATGAGACAATTATTACTGGAGTACAATCACATCATCCTACTGGGCAAGCACAATAAAATCTTCTTTTACATGTTTTACAGATTTAGTGGCACACCAAGACACAGTTTAGGAAGAAAGTGTTGCTATAGATAACTAATGAATTATGTTCAGGGTTACAAGACGAACCAAAAAACTGCAAGTGGAAACCTAGGCCTGATGAATCTATAAGAATACAAGATTCAGAAGCTGTTTTATGAGATGCTTTTAAAAGGATTACTAAGGCTCATGCCTGTCTTCTCACTCATATCAACCTCTAGTGTTCAAATGCACATAACTGCTGGGTAAAGTGGCTCATGCCTGTAATCCCAGGACTGTGAGAGGCCAAGATGAAAGGATCTCTTGAGCCCAGGAGTTAGAGACCAGCCTGGGTAACATAGTGAGACCTTGCCTTTACAAAAAAAAAAAAAAAAAAAAATTAGCCAGGTGTGTTGGCTTGTACCTGTGGTCCCAGATACTTGGTAGACTGAGGTTGGAGGATCACTTAAGTCTAGTAAGTCTAGGAAGTCTAGCTTGCAGTGACCTGTGATTGCACCACTGCACTCTAGCCTAGGCAACAGAGCAAGACCCTGTCTCAAAAAGAACTCAAACAAAACAATAAATGTACATAATCTTGGAATTTTAGATTGCAAAGGCTGGTAAATGTCCAAGTGACCCCATAAGAGTATTTGTCATTGCCTGGGTTTTGATTTGAGTGCCTGTTCCCCTTAGCTTTTAGGATGATCTCACCCAGAAAACCCCTGTTCCACTTACCAAGTATATTTCCTGAACCAGGGTCCATCCCATGCATGACTCTTTATATTTTAATCTTAAAGGTGACATACTAAAAAGGTTCTAGGTGGTTTTGTATCTTCTACATAAAAATTTATAAAAATATGTTTCTCATGAATATAGAAACTTACTCAAAATTAACATCCACAAGGGCTAGACACAGATGAGCACATCCTTAAACACATCCTTTTAGGTAGCTGAAATGTTTTAAACAAAGACAGGCACCTGGTTTTCTGCAACTCAGGCTTTCACAGAGTTTTATTTTTTATTTTATTTATTTATTTTTGAGACAGAGTTTTGCTTTTGTTGCCCAGGCTGGAGTGCAATGGCATGATCTCGGCTCACTGCAACCTCCATCTCCTGGGTTCAAGTGATTCTCCTGCCTCAGCCTCCCGAGTAGCTGGGATTACAGGCATGCGCCACGATGCCTGGCTAATTTTGTATTTTTAGTAGAGATGGGGTTTCTCCATGTTGGTCAGGCTGGTCTTGAACTCCTGACCTCAGGTGATCCACCTGCCTCGGCCTCCCAAAGTGCTGAGATTACAGGTGTAAGTCACCGCACACCGCCCACAGAGTTTTAATAATTTAATCCTTTCAGTGTTAAAGACACACCCTTTTGACTGCCCTGTAGGA